>NC_000009.12:125720552-126345552 GCF_000001405.40 Homo sapiens | reverse complement strand
CAGGCCTTTGCTCTTCTAGATATGCCCGAAGGTGCAAAGCACCCTTCAGGCAGGAACTCTGATGCAGGGCCCTCCAGGGGACTGAGGCCCACTAACGCCTGGGAATCCCTTACCTGGACTTTCAGAAAGAGTCACGGAGCCTGAGGCTGATCTGTCACTTCAGGGTTACTTTGCCAGAAAGACTCCTGTGTGTTGGGTGGGATTTCTCCAGAAGAGAATGGAGGAGGTCTTAAATTGGAGTGAGAAAAAAGAATAAAATATCTCCTAGTCTAAGACCAGGATGCAGTTTAGCCTGGCTGCTAAGGTGTGGCAGCTCTCAATGCTTTTCTGAGGTAGGCAAGATGAAGGCAGCCAACAGCAAGACACAGGGCTGGCTAGGAAGAGGTCTGAGCATGGACCTGGACCCCCACCACAGCTGTCAAGATCCTCTGAGTTTTAATATCTCACTCCCATTATCCCCAAAGTCCCAGAAAGGTCTCACTAAAAGTAAGTTTGGTCTCAGCTGCTCTATGGGAAGCCATATGCTATGCTTTCAATGTGCCCCCAATGTTCATGTGCTAGAAACCTTATCCCCAGTGCAACAGTGTTGAGAGATGGGACCTGTGAGAAGTGATTAGGTTCTGAGGGTTCTGTCCTCATGAATAGATTAACAGTCTTATCCCAGGAGTGGGTTCCCAATTAAAGGATGTGTGTGGCCCCCTCCTGCTCACTCTCCCTCTCTTGCCCCTCCGACTTCCGCCATGGGATGATGCAGCAATGAGGCCCTTGCCAGATGCAGGCCCTTCACCTTAGACTTCCCAGCCTCCAGACCTGTAAGAAATAAATCCTGCTCTTTATAAACTACTCAGTCTTAGGGATAGCGTCATGGCAGCACAAAAGGACTAAGACACCATGGAGGGTCACAGAGGAGGGGGAGACGCAGGGAGAGCGGTGTCCAACCCCTACACAGGCCAGAAAGGCCAGAGCAGCAGCTGCCAGGTGAGCAGGGAGCTGAACCCAGCCATGGGACAACCTCGCAGATGTCACCAACAAAAAAGGCGCCATGTGGTAGCAGGGGAGAAAGCTGGCGCTGAAGAACTGTGAGCACCTTTGAGGCAGTCTCCTGCGAAAGGCTCCAACACCTAGCAGGCTTCCAGGTATGGAAGGAAGGGAATGATCAGTGATTTTTCGAAGCAGGATGCAAGGGGTTCATGCTGTCAGAATTATCTGGAAAGCTAGATCTGAAAGATAAATCATCTATAAGGACTTCCCTTCAAAGCACTTACCCCCAATTTCATCTTTTATTTATTTGCAACCATCATTGCCTGTCTTCCCCTCCAGACTGTGTGCTTCATGAAGGCAGGAGCTGTGTGTGTTTTGCTCATCGCTGTCTCCCCAGCTCCTAGCTGGCACATAGTAGGTACTCAAAAAATGGGGTGGATAGATAAACAATTTAAAATTAAAAAGTTCTGGAGTGTTTGATTCGTCTCACTTTCTCTGTGTTGCTATTTTTTTTTTTTTTTTTTACCAAGAAAAGTATATTTTCAAGGAAAAGAAGACATGTCCTTTATGGAAAAAGAGTCATCTCATAAATATAGTGTTGCAGCTTCAGTCTCTGAGTTGTAGGCATTTATTTATTAATTAATTTATTTATTTAGAGACAGAGTCTCACTCTGTTGCCCAGGCTGGAGCGCAGTGGCGCAGTCTCGGCTCACTGCAACCTCTGCCTTCTGGGTTCAATCGATTGTCCTGCCTCAGTCTCACGAGTAGCTGGGATTACAGGCACGCACCACCACGCCCAGCTAATGTTTTGTATTTTTAGTAGAGATGGGGTTTCACCATGTTGGCCAGGCTGGTCTTGAACTCCTGACCTCAAGTGATCTGCCCACTTCGGCCTCCCAAAGTGCAGGGATTACAGGAATGAGCCACCATGCTTGGCCATAAGCATTTATTTAGAAAGGCAAAGGAATGTGGGTGAAAGGTAAAATGTGTATTGCTGGAAACACACCCAACAATGATTCTCAGTAATGTCCAGCTTGATGCCCTTTAGACACTGCAACATCCCAGAGTGGCTTGTAAATCAAAGGTTACATTCTGCACACAGGCACTGTAGCCGGAAGTGCTTCTTATAGCATTACAATTCTTCGAAAACTGACCATCCACCCAGGATAAAACAGCATGCACTACCTTTGGCAAACACTAGTCATCTATGACATATAGTCACTACTCCGGGCACGTGGCATCACAAAGATGCACGAGACTCACCCCAACTCTGACTGCAAGGGGAGAGAAGCACCAGTCACTCCCAGATAGTGTGGGTGCAGAACAGAAAAGCGAGGCTCTTTCAGAGAGGACCGCAGACGTCGGAACAATAAATTGAGAAGTTTAGCAAATAATCCCCAGCCCCCTAGCCTAAGAAGGCTCCCCTGACCCAGAGAGAAGGGAAGTTATTGAATTAAATTTTTATAAATGAACATTTGGCACCTTTTACCTCAAGCAGCAATGGGACCTAAGCTCATTTTAAAGCAGTTGTGCTACTCAGGGCCACCAGTCCATCTGGTGCCTAACTCGCAGGGCTGCGTGGTGGCAGTACTTAACGGGCTCTGTGCGCAGGGAGAAATTAATCCTACAGCAGCTACAACAGACAGAGAGAGGTCTCGGCCCAATCCGCAGCAGGGCTTCCTCATCTGCTGGAGTTCTGTCTAAGCATCTCTGCAGCCTAGCCACCACAGAGCGCCTTGCACTTTGGTTTGGATATTGACTTAATATGAAACTCCAGATAAAAGGAATGAGAAGTCTCTCTTCTCACCATGCCCTCCCCGCCTTCCTTGAACTTGGGGCCAGACCTCTGGGGAACGAGACGCTTATCTGCACACAGTCCAGAGGCCAGTACCAAGAGGGGACTCCCACCTCTCTCCCTGTTAGGGCTTTCAGAGGGAGCCCAGGCAGTCTCCACCTCGGCCGTGCAGAGCTGGGTAATTACCGGGCGGATGAGCTCAAGCCCCTTGCCCTGCTAACCTCCCACTAAAATGCATGGCACAGCACAATCATGAAATGTGCTTATTAATTTTACTCATTTGACACTGCGCTCTTCTGCCCTGAGCTAGATGTTAGGAGAAAATGATAGGGATAGATTCTGCTCCTGTCAGACTTACCAAGACTTCCAGAAAACCAAACTATCAAAGGCCATCTGCCACCCACTACCCAGGCAAGCAGGATGACCCTAAAGGTACAAACGGAATGCTAAAGATACAGATCAACAAAAGAGGGCATGGGAAGATGGGGAGACCCCTGCCTTGGGCTCAAGCTCCCTGAGAGCCCTCCTAGGAGAGCGACCCCTGAGCCCGTCCTCTCCCACAGCGGGAACTCCCAGTCCCTGCCTTGATTCATGACTTGCTGCTTCATCCCTAATTCATCAAAAGACACTTTGGCTTCTCAAATCAGGAACATTTTTATTAGCTTCCCCCAGAGTTTCGTGGCACAAAGCCATACCTAATGATTCTATTTTATGGAAAGTTATACATTCAAACCACACTTTGAAGTCAAGCAGCAGCTAAGACTGAAATGTTTGTCAGAAAAGTTTCCTTCACTTTTTCACTTTTAAAATGTTTATGAGCTTTCAAACAGTTGGAGAAGGGATGTGTAGCATTTGAACAGGCTCCTCCTTCCTTACCCAGGACCCAGCACTGGCTGACTCAGTACAGATCTGCCTTGACCATTGCAGTTCTCAATGGGGGGTGATTCTGCCCAGCCACCCCCTGCTCCTGGAGACATCTGGCTACGTCTGGAGACATTTTGGGTTGTCACCACTGGGGGAGGAGGGACAGGTGCTACTGGTATTCACTAAGGAGAGGCCAGGAATGCTGCTAAACATCATACGATGCACAGGAAAACATATAGCAAAGAATTATTGGATTGTCTTGCCCTAAATGTCAACAGTGCTGAAGTTGGGAAACCCTGCCTTAGGGCTTCTTCTGCTGGACCAGGCATCACATTCTCCTCACTGCAGGACATCAGAGACTATTCTAATTGCTGTGGGAGGTTTTCAGTGTTGGCTAATGAGATTCGTGTTCTTTCACTCTTATGCATTCTTGGTGCACATTTTCAGTGAATAAGAACAAAACGTCACAAACAAAGTGAGGAAAGTAAACATAAGACCACCTTAGAATCTCAGAACACATGATAATATCCACTGTTAATTAAACCCTCCTAACGTTCCTCTGTACTTTGCAAGCTCCACCCGAATCAGAATTTACCTACTGAAACAACAACATAACCAGTTCCAATCATCAGGACTACTGAACACCAGCACAGATGTCTGCTGAAAAGCAAGGAAAGTTCTCCACTAAACTGTGGTGGTGTGGTCAGCCACAGCACTGGACTTGGAGGGGGTCTGGTCCTGATGATTCACCATATCCAAGGACTGGGACTCTGTTACTTGACTTCTCAGAGCGTGGGTTCTCCTAATCAGCAAAGAGGTGATACAGCTACTTGCCCTCCCAGCCTTCCAAAAGCCCAAGAGAGCTAAATGAGTTCATGGGTAGGAAACATTTTAAACTGTAAAGAGCTACACAGACGTAGGACAATGCCTTTACAATATTTACACATGCATGACAATATATGAAAACCACCAGGAGTCGTTCATAGACTCTGGATCCTTTTCACGAAATGTCACAACCAGAAGTTGAAAATCAATGAATCTAACTCCTTAATTTTACAGAAGGTGAAAATGACCATCACAGAGGTGGTCAAGGCCAGGAAACGGCCCAGATGGGCTCAGGTCTTCTGACTCCCAAACCAGGATGCTCTCCACGCCCTCCCTGGATTAAGTTCCTAGAGGGAAGAAGCACATCTTACACGCAAGGGCCAGAAGGTCTTGGACACAGGAGATAAATACTTGTAGAATCAGTGAGCAAAATGTACAAACTAGTATCTTGACTTACTACGTCATAGCCTGTCGGGGCTCGGTTCCGAGAAGCCACCACCCCGACTCCCGTGATGGGATCCATTGACGTTTCTGGCAAGGCTTCTGAGAGGTCTTTGACTTCAGGCATGGTGGACTGGTCCTGGTTCAGCAAAGGAAAAAGAAAACACAAAATTCAAACATAGCATTTATGTGAATAATATAAAGTCTCAAACAGAACCAGAATCTTGGGGCAAATACCCTGAGTTTCACATACCTGTACTGGTTGAATGAGTCCTGACCCTATGTGACCCTTTCCCCAGGTCAAGAATTCAAATCACCTCTGTTTCCCACTCTTCTCAGGTTAGCTTTGAACACTGAGCTAAGATGAGAGCTTGTCTCTACTCTCAGGAGGTGAGCTTGACTCAAACCCAAGAGCACGTCATTCTTAACTCCGCCATCCAGCTGCTTGATTTCTGAACAGATACCAGTAGCTGCTCTGAAGACATGTCAGACACGGCTAAGCTTAACAACACCTTTCCTCTCTCTCCCTTGCAATCTCTCCTACGGAGGCCTAGACTTCCAAACCCACAGCCAAGGTTAGGCCTTCAGCACGCAGAGCTTTGCAAAGAAGCAAGGAATGTTGCAAACACAGAAATAAGTGTTCTGGGCTCAGGTGAAGGAATGGTGTTGGAGTCCAGGCTCCATGACTGACTAGCTGGTGACTTTGAGTAAGCAATTTAACCTCCTGGACCCTTCATTTTCTCAGCTATAAAAGGAGGTCATGATACTGACCCTTGCAGAGCTGCTGTGAGGACCAAGAGAGTCAAAGACAGTGGATGTAAATGAAAGGCCTGGAGAGGTCCCTGGTATACAGTAGGCGCTCAAAAAAAGCACATAAAACTGGTGGGGTTTGGGACACACAAGTCCAGGTAACTGGTCAGAAATGTGATAGGCGTCACTCCATAGGGGACTGGCAGATCCCTTTGTTGTGTTTTACCCTCGGGTCATGTGGGCACTTACTCAAAGCCAAATACTAACAATGATCATAATTCTTGCTGGGCACTTTGAGAGAAAGGGAGGGAAAATGGAATTATTATTCTGCTGCTGACTGCCTCTTGATGTGACCAGAGGAGAAAGGTAGAATATAGAGAGCACTGGGTCTGGGCAGCTGGAGTGGCAGTGCACCAGAAAGCAAATAAAAGAGGCAACACCATATGTAAATGAACCTAAGTACTTTTAAAAGGACAAGCAGTGAAAAAGAGCAAGTCAAATTCCACCTCCTTCTGCAACAATTAAACTCCACTGGCTGCAGGTCTGCCAGATCTCTCAAGGCTGGTTACTGCTTCTAATACAAACCAAACACCCTACCTCACTAAGCAGGCAGGAGGAATATTCTTGCTTCTAGCCTAGAATCAGAAAAGGCAGAGGCCATTAAAAATGACTGCAGCCTTCTAAATAGGAACAATCAAAATGCTGTATGCAAGTCTCCCATGAAGTCAGTGGAACCCACAAAAAGCTCCGGAAACAGACTTGTCAATGCAATGGAGCTGAGTCCTCGATCAAGGCTAGGAAGTGCCTGGCACAGCTGCAGTCTCCTCTTCTGTTTACAACAAAGCTTAACAAAGTTATGCTTTACCTAATTCTTCTGAAAATAAGCTTCTAAACGGCCAGGGCAGGGGGTACCACACTGCATCACTGCATCATTTTCTGTTTTCAAGTTTCATTTACCAGGCAGGTTTATCTGCATAAAACACAGGGCTTAGTGCTTCCTGCACACAGTAGGCACTAAGTAAATATTTGAGTGAATATTTACTTAGTGCATGTCCCCAGTAAAGGTTTAGAATTAAATATCTGCACCTGCAGATCCAGAGCAGGCATTGATCAAAAGGGCTCAGCACTTGAAAAATCCCGTAGTATTGGTAACATGAAAATAACATTGCTGCAGTTTGCAAAATATTGGTACCTGCTGTTGGTTACCAAGAATGCTTTGCAATTAACAACTCATTAACAGAATGTACGAATTCTGCCAGTGCTAAAATATCACGCTGTGAATTTAATAAAGAACATGTGAGGTAAGTTTTTTTTTTTTTTTAAGATAGTATGGCCTCTACTATCAGAGAGAGAGAAAAGAAAGTGACAAAGAAAAAGGAGGAGAGAGAGAAGTGGGGGTAAGCATGAATAAGCAGTATCTTATTTGCTGGTGGATTCATTGCCACATCCCCTGGTCACAGTATCCTCCCCGGTACGATGATGACAATGGCCCTCTGCCTGGAGTCCGCTCTCAACAGCAGGAGGGTCACCATGCCCTGGAAGAAGCCATGCTGCTCCCACAATGCCCTGTGGCGGCCCAGGAGAAGGTTCAAAGATGGCTGCGGGCGGCCCCCGGCTGAGGCAGACAAAGGAGCCGGGCCTGGCCTGCCAGAGGGCCCTGCAGAGCTGCGCGCAGAGCATCTCCAACGCCAGCCGTTCTCCCTCCTTCCCCCCAGCTGCTGTGCCCCGGACGGAGGCGGCCTTTGTGAAATATGGACAAATGGCTCCGGGCCGCGCGGGCTGCAGTCGACCCATCCAGGAAGCGCCATCACCAGCCAAGGCAGCTTTTAATGAGAAACGCCCAAGATATCCATGGCAGGGGCCATCACTCAAAGCCGCTTGCCCTGAATTACATATTTTCTGACTGCAAATTACTTTTAACTGCGTCTCTACCGGCACTTCAATTGACCTTCCTAACAAAAGGCCATTTATTAACTAGCGCTCCACATTTCCCAGGCCGCGCGGAGCCTCAAGCCAGGAAGGATGGCCCCGCGGCTAAGGACTCGAGGAGGCCATTCATGCGGGCCCTCTCACATCAAATCCGGAGGCCTACTGGCAACAACCCCAGGTTGTATCAACAGCTCCTCATCCAGCATCCATCTGTATCTCAAAGCCCAAACTGCCCGCAAAACACACTAACAGGTCTGTTGCATTTGGACAGCGCTTTGCAGCTCTCCAGAAGCTTTCTCAGGCTCCTTCCCAGTTGAGGCTCACATCAAACCTGGGAGGTGGCCGGGTCACCTTCCAGGAATGGGACGGCTGGTCTTCCTCCCTAGGTCTGGTCTGTTTTCTATTGTACTAGGCAGAGAGGCACCAATATCCCATCCAATTGAGAAAGCAGTTTCAACACTAATTATATTTTAAAATGCCAAAGCTTTTCTTTCTCTAGCCACAGCTCAATAAGTCAAGCAAGGGGGAAAAAGTACAGAAGGATAAAAGTAACACGGGATTAATTTTCCTCACACCTCAGTTTCAAGATTCAACATTCCCCTCATAAATAATTTACAACAATAAAAATGAGCTAAGGCCATGTTTGTGTAGGATGGAGGTAAATTTAGGCCTAATGAGGGAGATCCAAGCACCGCACAGGAGGGAATAGGTTGATCTATGGCACGGTGCGAGCAGGATCGACAGCTCAGAGGGGCTCCATTACCAACTGGAAGTTGCAGGGCCAATCAGGAGGAGGGGGAAGCAAAATGGGGAAACTTGTGCCATCCCAGCTGTGGCTGCGAGGAAGTTCTCTATAGGGAACCCCCAAAGCTGACCCAGTGTTTTGGATGACAAGACAAATGTTGAAATTTTTCAGAACTATAGGATTGGGCCAATCTAAGTCTATTCTCAATACATGCTGGGTAAGGAATAAAGGTGGTAGGATGCCAGGGACTCAGACTGGACCTTGAGCAGGTCCTCTTACTTTCACCTCGCAGGTCATCAGGTCCAGATGGTTCCATTCTGACCTCTCCCCTAAGCGGGCATACAGCCTCTGTGAGATAATTTCCAAGGCTGGGGGCTGCAGAGCCTCAGTTCAGGCAGTGTTGTCTGCCCCGAGAGGCTCCCTCGGCAAGGCAGGATAGTAGTGTGTGTGTGTGTGTGTGTGTGTGTGCGTGCACACACAAACATGTATGTGCGCCCACAAGTGTACGGAATGGGAAAGCTGGGGAGGGTTAAGGTGAAGTGTTTTCCAAGCTAGAAGGATTTTTTCCACCATGCCATGCTCAAAGAGCACCATGCAAACCACACAACAAAGCCAGGAGCAAGCCTGCTTCCAGCTTCTGCCTGCAGTGCTGCAGATAGCGCTTGGGGAGGCCCCAGCTCCCGGTACTGCAGCACCTAGCCAAGGTTGTCATCCCGGGTTCACGGAGAAATGAACTTTAACTATAAAGACCCTTCATACAGACGGCACACTGCTCCCTTGTAGCTGATCAAAGAATTACTACAACAGTGTGTTTAATCCCTGAAAGTCAGCAGTGCTGGGCTTAACTGATGCTGAACATTGTTTCGGAATCAAAGGTGTGCCTCCCGGCCCCAGTCTGGGAGAAAACAGAGCTACTGTATCACAGTTGAAAACTCAGGGGAACTTTGATATCATCTCTGTTTAATTTCCATGGCCCTCCTGAGCCTGGGGTTTATCTCGTTTTATCAACTCCTGTACTGAAATCAAAACCCAACTAACAAAGCTCAGACCTCTCTCCACCAAGGCTCTTCCAGCAGCGGGGTGTGGGCCGAGGAGTTTAAAGTGCTTTCAGGGAGCAACAACTGCAGGGGGCAGGGGGCGCTGCCTTCAAAGCAGGTGCCCTGGGCAGTGGGCCCACGTTCCAGCCTCCCACCATCTCGGCCTCCTGCCATGGTGAGGCCAGCTCAGAAGCGGCGCCAGCCAGCGCTGCTGCTCAGGGCTGAAGGCATGACTGGCATACAACTTTTGAGGAGAGTAATTTCAAAGTATTAACGGGGGGCAGGCTAAATTGGGCTACTGTAATTGAAATGACAAAACCAGTGGCTTAATTACATCCCTACAGAAGGGCAAACTTGTGATCAGCTTGCTTGAAATCCAAAGTCAAGGGCACCAAAGACAAAAAACTGCCTGCTCACATATACCAGCTTACAGGGCTGAGGAAGGAAGAAGAATAAACATTTCATTCGCCGTAGGAAACGCCACAAGAGCAGGTAGCTGCTGGAAATGGGTTGTCCCCCAGTAAAAGCTGCTGCTCCGGCCTTCATAGAAAGGGTCTTTGCCTGTTTCCCATTGGCAGCGATGGTCTGTAGGAATACATGCCCACCTCTGGTGCCCCGGGATTACTGACACCTTTCTGCTGGCAAATCGCAAGCAAGGGACAGAAGGACAGGCAAGGGACTGCCTGTCCCCAAGGAGGGAACCTGTGGCCAGGCCTCACCAATGCACACCACACACACAAACCCAGCCACCTCCTTACAGAAAGTTGCAGAGACCTACCTCCTCAGAAGGCTGAGAGCTGAGGCCAGTGTCCATGCTGTGCCCAGTTAAATGGGCAGCTGGCTTTGGGGCCACCCGTGGGGGACAGTGCACAGACTGAGAGGCTGTCACTGTGGAGCCTCAGGATAGCATCCTGACACCTTCTGAACTTTGGACAGATTACCTGGTGACCAGCCAGAGTCAAATCACTCTGACAAATGCTGCTGGACATAGTCAGGTGGCAACAAGTCACTAGCTGCTAGGAGGGCTGCTAAGTTGTTGGGCAACTAAGGCAAATATTTTTCTAAGCTCTCCTAGATCGCAAAGAATTTTCCAGCTCGGGAACTAACAATTGTGAGCACTTCCTTTCCCCCCCAACAGAAGAATCCAGTGTATGCACGTGTGTATTCAATCTGCCTTATGCTTAAATTTCTATTAACCATTTGATTACCAAACAGATTTTGCATAAACCCCATGAGGCAGGACTAGGGTTCAGATTGCTGCAGCCCTTATGGTGCAATGGTAGGTTCCAGGATTCACTTTCCAAAAATAAATTCAGGATCAAGTTCTACAGCACAGCCCTGGCCAAAGCCCTGCCCCATACAGGCCTGACTCTGCACAAACCAGGGAACATTACTCGAGGGTAGGGCATTCTCCAGTACACTGTGGGTACCACCTGCTTGCCCATGATTACTGCAAATGAGGGTAGTCCATGTCCACTCCCATCAGGTTTTGCTGGGTGGTGCCATATTGTCCCCTGTAGAGAAGGAGAAAAAAAGGACCCCAACAGAAGGCAGATGCCTACAAATGAAACCATCCTGGAGGCCCCAAAAGCAATGGTTCCTGAGTGTTTGGTGACAGGAGTCACAGCTTGCCCTGATGGGCACGGTGCTCATACAGTAAAGATACTAATATAATTTCAGTGCCAGGCAAATGGGGGCCCCTGCCAGAATCATCAGAACACCTGTCTTCAGGCCAGCCAGGCCACCACACCCCTCTCTGACTTTCACATGGGTCTTGAGAATTTTTTTTCATATATTTGGTCATCTAATCATTCTACCCATATGCTAATGACTTCCAAAATACCTCAAACCCAGGCTTTTCTCCTGAGACTCAGAGGTATCTGTCTCGCGTCTTTGCCCACATGGCTCAGGAATACCTCAAATTCAGCTGACCTTGCCATCTTCCCCCTGAAGCATCCTCCTACATTCCCGGTCTCTAAGAGGGCCTGGCGCGTGAACAGTGAGTCCACAGATGACTACGGAGCCACTTGGGCTAAGCACTGAGGCTACAGTAATGAGACGGAAAGTCCACATTCTGGAGTGGGAGTTATCCAACTTTAGCATGTGCAAAAATCACCAGAAGAGGTCGTTAAAACGGACATTCCTGAACCCCACCCCCTGAGATACTGATGCAGTAGGCCTGAGCTGGTCTAAGAACATGCATTTGTAACAGCTCCCAGCTGACACTAAAACAGCTGGTCTACAGTCCAAAATTTAAGTACAAGAGAGCAGGTATTCATCAGGTATTTGATGAACGAATGGATGGATGGATGGATGGATGGATGGATGGATGGATGGATGGAATGAACCTAAAGGTAATCTTCCATGGAGAAAAGCCTCAGAATCAGCCCTCCAGTCTCCCCCTCCTTCCTCTTGACAGTTCACCCAAGGGCACCAGGTTCCTCCCCTGCAGATACCCACCCCACCATTTAAAACCAGGGTCACACACGGGCATGGTGGCTCACGCCTGTAATCCCAGCACTCTGAGGCCAAGGTGGGCAGATCACTTGAGGTCAGGAGTTTGAGACCAGCCTGGCCAACATGGCAAAACCGCATCTCTACTAAAAATACAAAAATTAGCTGGGTGTGGTGGTGGTGCCTGTAATCCCAGCTACTCGAGAGGGTGAGGCACAAGAATCGCTTAAACCCAGGAGGTGGAGGTTGCAGTGAGCTGAGATGGTGCCACTGCACTCCAGGCTGGGTGACAGAGCCAGACCTCATCTCAAAAAAATAAATAAGTAAATAAATAAAACCAGGGTCATGGCCAGGCGCAGTGGCTCACGCCTGTAATCCCAGCACCTTGGGAGTCCGAGGCGGACAGATCACAAGGTCAGGAGTTCGAGACCAGCCTGGCCCATATGGTGAAATCCTGTCTTTACTAAAAATACAAAAATTAGCCAGGCATGGTGGCACGCACCTGTAGTCCCACCTACTCGGGAGGCTGAGGCAGAAGAATCACTTGAACCTGGGTGGCGGAGGTTGCAGTGAGCCAAGATTGCACCACTGCACTCTAGCCTGGGTGACAGAGTGAGAGTCTGTCTCAAAAAAAAACAAAACAAAACACCAGGGTCACATCTTCCATTCCCCTCAAACTTTCTCCAATTTCCCAGTCAGACAGGTGCCACCACTCAGAATCCTGACATCATGCAAGCACGTAGTCTTAGCACACGTATGTGCACACATGCACTCGTGCACACATACACATACACACACAGCCTTTCCTCTCAGAAGGCTAGAACATGCTTTCCCTAGCAGACCGTAAGTTACTCAAAGGTGTGTTATGTCCACCACAATGCCCAGCTTATGGTGGGTGCTCAATAAATGGATTATGAATGAATGGGGGAAGGATAAACAAACAAAATTCCTATCCTCTCAAAATTGCCAAGTTTCACTGGATTAAGGAGGGCACATAAAGGGGAGAGGGCACATAAAGGGGTGGGGCCACATAAAGGGGCAGGGGCACATAAAGGGGCGGGGGAACAGCAGAGCTGTCAGACCCCTTCCAGTGAAAGCCCGGGGTCTGGGGTCACTGATTCCTCCATACAGGACACACACCATGACCCCAGGGGTGAGCCACTTACAGAGGACGGGGGAAGGGACTGCAGCACTTCCAGGGAGTTCCAGATTTAGATCTAACTCAGTGCAGCCAGGCTGGATGTGGGCCTGTCAGGGGCCAGTGGGTGCCCAGGCTGGCTGCAGGAAGAATGCCCCGGAGAGCTTGTAGAAGCACAGCTTTCCCATTCCCTATCCTCAGGTTCTCATTTAATTGGTTCAGGCTGGGACTGAGACTGGAGAGTGCACAGCCAAGGAGAAGCTCCACAGTGCTGGGTGATAGAGCAATGAATAAGACATGGAACTCACAGGCTGTGGGAAATATCCCAAGAGAAAGGGACTGCAAAGGAGGGGACTCTTCCTTCTGCCTGGTGACGCAGGGAAAGGTGAGCAAAGAACTGGCCTCCCTGAAAGACGGGGGTGTGTGAAGTGGTGAAAGTCTTGCAAGCAGATGACACAGCCTCAACAAAGGCACCGTGGTGTGAACACACAGGGACTGCTCGGGGAACTGCAAGGAGCAGATGGGCTCTGAAACAAGCTTATAAAATGCTTAAGAAAACAAATAAACAAAACACAATCAAACTGAACTAAAAAACCTGTCTGCACTTCTCTGCTGTTTCTGAGATCTAAGCAATGATGTTGAGCTACAGGAAGGGGCACCCCAGTGGTCTAATGGAAGAGATTCCCAGGCCTTCCGTTCATACTTCCCCACCTGCAACTGAACATTTCTCCAACCAACGCCCCTTCCTTCAGACCCCCATGGGGCCTCCTTATGCTATTAGCTCTAAGGGGGGAAAGTCAGGCAGAGCAGAGGAATGGGATGGGTGCCCCCTTTGGAGTCCAAGGGACCCGAGCTTGAATTCCAGCTCTGACACTTACTGTACAACCTTAGGCAAGTTAAACTAAACTGGGCCTGAGTTTCCATCCCTATAAAACCGGAATAGCAAATAATATTGTTTCTACAGGGTTATAATGTGTAGAAAGCATCAAGAATTTGCAGCAAAAGGCAATCAACAGAGTAAAAAGGCAACCTATGGAATGGGAGGAAATATTTGCAAATCATGTATCTGATGAGGAGTTAATATGTGGATCTATAAAAAACTCCTACAAATCAACAACAAAAAAACAAATTCCTTAATTTAAAAATGGGCAAAGGACTTGAATAACAAGTCTTTCCAAAGACAATATACGAATAGCCAACCAGCACCCAAAAAGATGCTCAACATCACTTGCCACTAGGGAAATGCAAATCCAAATGACATCTCACCTTATACTCATTACGATGGCTACTACCAAAAACAAACAAACATACAAACAAAATAACTGTTCGCAAGCATGTGAAGAGATTGGAAACTCTGGCACACTGCTGGTGGGAATGTAAAATGGCACAGCCACTATGTTATGGAAAACAGTGTGGTGGTTCCGCAGAAAATTATAAATAGAATTACCATATGATCCAGCAATTCCACTTCTGGGTATCTACACAAAAGAATTTAAATCGGGGTCTCAAAGAGAATTGTAGACCCATGTTCAGAGCAACATTATTCACAATAGCCAAAAGACAGAAGCAACCCAAGCATCCATCTATGGATGAATGAACAAAATATGGTCCACATATTCAATGGAGTATTATTCAGCCTTAAAAAGGAAGGAAATTCTGAAATATGCTACAACATGATGAACCTTGAGGACAGTATGCTAAACTAAACAAGCCAGTCACAAAAAGACAAATACTGTATGATCCACTAGGATCACACAGTTTGACTACCTAGGGTAGTCAAACTCACAGAAACACAAAGCAGAATGGTGGTTGCCAGGGGTCAGGAAAGGGGGAAATGCAAAGTTGTTTTATGAGCACAGCGTTTCGGTTTTGCAAGATGAAAAGTTCTGGAGCTTAGTTGCACCACAGTGTGAATGTGCATAATGCCACCGATCTGTGCACTTAAAGATGAGTAGGATGGTCAATTTTATGTTACGTGTATTTAACACTTTTTTAGAAAGCATCAAGAACTGTAGGTCTCTAATTTCAGTAAGAAGAAGTATAACCCAAGGTGTCTGTTAAGACTGCAGATTCCAGGTCCCGTTCCCCAGAGATTCTGACTCAATAAAGTCTGAGTATGAGGTCCTAGAATCTGCATTTTCATCAACACCACAGGCATATTTAGTGCATTACAAACTCATTTATTTCTCTCTTCTAAAGGATCAGGGGATATTCTTTTGAATATTCTGCTCTGCTGATTAGAATCTGTTTTTTTTAAGTGTGTGTGTATGTGTGTGTGTGTGTGTGTGTAAAGAAAGAAAGAACAAACTCATGTTGACTCCTGCCACAGGTCCAACAAGATGGCCCTCCAGTCCTAAGGGAAGTATGAGCCACAAAGCTACTATGTGCAACCCCTGGGCTCCAGGCCCACAGGGCTCTCACATTTCTGCCTGGACAAGCTCTGCATCTCGCCAGAAGCGTGTCAAGTAAACCAAATGCATGCCCACAGGATGTCCCCAACAAGGGAGGTAATGTCAAGCACACTCTGCAGTGGCTTTGCCTCCCAGGCAGCCGGAGACAGGAGACCTGACTCTGGCAAACCCACTGCAACTAGTGCAGACAGCGCAGGGAAGCCACGATTCCCTAGGGCAGCCCAGCAAGCAGAAGGCCAAGGAGAGCCGGGGTTGGGGGCGGGGTGGGTTGGGGAAATGCTGGCCAGGGTGGGCCTCGGTGAGAGCCAGAGCAGCCTGGGGAGAAGGAGTCTATTCAAGAAACCCAGGCCTCCCCTCCACAACCCAACCTGCAAAGGAGGCTCTGCAACACAGTGTGCTCAGCCTAACCACATCCAGCCATGTAGTCATTTGTTATCTTCATCATCATAATAGCACCTTCGACTTTTCCCATGCTTGACTCCAGCACCATCATTATTTTGCAGTGTGGCAAGGATGTCTCCCTTTGAGTATGGAGCACTTCCAGCAAACTCAGACAGAGGGGCCTATGCCATTTGGATTCTGATCCCCCCAGGAGAAGATCCTCCATGAAATGGATAGAGACTACACTTCTCCCTTACCCCTTCCAAGGCCCTGAGAGGGCATCCAGCAGTGTGCTCACATGGTGGCGTGGTTCTGTAACATGTACAAACACAGGATATTCTTGTATTCTTTTTCTTAATGCTCTCCCCGCAACAAACTGTATAAACATCGGACCTGAAAAAAACACCATGATCTGCTGCTGGATGCTGAATCGCACACTTAAATTTCATGAGGACCGCCACCTCCTGCAGTGCCAAGTGCAGTCACATACATTAGCTCCTTCAGCTCTTCTTGACTGATTAGCTTTATGGGGTAGGCTTTGTTCTTAAGACACTTTTACATTACAGAAATGGGGATTCAGAAAGGTTCTGTGACTCCCCTAGGGTCACCTGGGGTCCAGGAGGTAGCCTGAGAGTCAAACTCAAGCTCCTAAATCCAAGTCCAGTGTTCTTTCTACTATACCATCACTTCCTGGTTGTCCCGTTGAAGACTAAATAATAGGCCAGGCGTGGTGGCTCATGCCTGTAATCCCAGGAATTTGGGAGGCCAAGGTGGGAGGATTACTTAAGCTCTGGTGTTCAAGACCAGCTTGGGCAACATAGCAAGACCCCAACTCTACTAAAAATAATAATAATTTAAAAAAACAGCCGAGCGTGGTGGCAGGCACCTATACTTGGGAGGCTGAGGTGGGAGAATCGCTTGAGTCCAGGAGTTCAAGGCTGCAGTGAGCCATGATGGTACCACTGCACTCCAGCCTGAGTGACAGTGAGACCCTGTCTCAAAAACAAACAAAAACCAAAAAAAAAGCAGACAGAAAGAAACTCTAAAAATAAATAAATAAGCTACTCCTCTCATTCATCCGTTAACAAACCTCTCATAATGACCCCTACCGTTTACTGACTTCTTGCCATGTAGCAGGCACTGAGCTAGACTTTTCTTGCAAAATTTCATTTACATCACGCCATAATCCCATGAGATGAATACTATCATTAGTTTCACTCTACAGATGAGGAAACTGAAACTCAGAAAAGTTCAATAATTTGTCCAAGGGCACAAAGTAAGTAGGAAAGCCAAGACTTAAGCTGAGGGCTAATTCTAAACTCCCTGCACATAACCATGGCACAACATTCCAGTTGGAAGTGGTAAAAGGTCCCTAGCAGGATGGAGACAGGGCAAGAAAAATGCCTTGAACCTAAATTAGGAGTGTGACCTAAAGCCTAGAAGGAAGGAATGAAAAATATGGATTACAGAAGGTAAGTTTAGGTTTAAATGAACCAGTAATCGCCACGTCAACTGCTTCCCATGGGGCTTGGAGCCCGGGTCCCAAGCAGAAGCCTCATCTCTCTGAGGCCCTATTTAAAGATTCTGAGCATGGTACAGTATCTCCAAGGACCCCACATGATTTCTAACAAGCAAGAAAGGTGTCACCATCTACTGTAACTAAACATCCTAGCACATTGAGTTTTTCAGTTAGTCAAGGCTTCACAGAGCTTATTTTTTAACTCTCTAAGCTTTCCTGGTGCCGCTGATAAGATTTCCCAGCCCTGTTAAAACGAGATGAGATCCAGCCAGCTGTCGAGAAATGTACAATGAGATTATACTGAGAAGGAACCACGAGAGACAAAGGCCCCTAAGAGGAGCTGGTCTGCTGTCTGCTTTTGTGGCAGCAATCGGAGTGGGCTCTGGTTCTTGGGTGGGGGCAGGAAGCAGGGAAGGGGCAACCACCATTTGCCTTTTGCCCTCCTGTGGTCTTCCTCAGTGCCTTGTGCAAGAGGTGTTGAGGGGCAGGGAACAGAAGAGTCTCATCTTTCATGGTGAGAAGGGCTGCTGATTTAGAACAGTTGTGTGTTGGTAACAAAGAGGACAAAAGATGCTCTTGGGTCTACCCCGTTCCCTGGTGCCTGCCTCTGAGGATGTGATGTCCCCTGGTGCCATGCCTCAGCTCTTGTCCCAGCCCCTGCTCCTCCCGTCTCGCTGGTGTTGGAGTCACTGTAGGGTGCTCGACGTGCCCACCATGTTCCTGGATGGGTGCTCTGGGTCTCGGGTACCCAGGCTGGGCATGTCACCTTCCAGACAGGTGCCTGAGGGTTTAGGTGTCCTCTCTGCTGTGCCCAGGTCACAGAGGCAGTGATGCTCCTGGGGCAGGTGCACGTTGGTCTGCACCCACGTGACCAGAGAGAGCAGGACCCCAGGCCAGGCCGGTCAAACGATTGACTGTTCCCAGTCTGTGCCCAGGTGGGCCGCCTCCCTCTCACGCGGGCAGAGGTGGCTCTCGGCGCCCCTCACCTGCCCGGGCCTTGGGGGCGCTGCTGGCACTCGGGTCCCCCAGCTTCTCCCGCCTCTCGCCGCCAGGCCGAGCCCGGGCACCGGCAGCCGCGGCGCGCTCGGGGCTCTGCAAAGGCCGCCCGGGCCTGTCCCCGCCGCGGGCCGGGCACGGAGCCCGCAGGCCTCGGCGCGGCCCGGCTCCTCCCGTCCGCCCGCCCCTCGGCCGGGGGCCCGCGCCCGCCCGCCCGCCCTCCCGGCTGCAGGGCCGGCTCCGCCGAGCCTCCGCGGCGCCCGGGCCTCACTTAACTGTTCCCCGCTGGGGCGGCGGCGGCGGTGGCTGCGGCGGCGGCGGGTCCCGGCTCCGTCTCACGCAGAAGCAGCTTCTCATCGCCCGGGCGGCGCGGGAGGGGCCGGGCCCGGGGCCCAGGCGGCAGGAGCCGGCGCCGCAGCTCGAGCGCGAGCCTCACCGAGAGCGGCGGCGGCGGCGGCGGCGGCGGAGGGGCGGGGCGCGGCCTGGCGGCGGCGGCGACAACGGCAGTGGCGGCGGCGGCTCCCTCCGCGGGCCGCGGCGGCGGGCCGGGCTCCGGGCCTCCCGGCGCTGGCGCTGGTTCAGGATCGGGGGAGGCGCCCGGCGCCCGAGGCTGGCTCGGGCGGGAGGAGGGAGAGGGAGCCCTGGCGTCCCGAGCCCGCGCCGCCGCCCCGGCCGGCACCCCGCCTCCCCAGCCTCCCCCTCGACCCAGCCCGTCAGCCGCAGGCAGGGCCCCGGTGCGCCCACCCGGGCCTCCCCGAGCCCGCCGGCGACCCCAGTCCAGCCTCAGGCCCCCGGGAGCCCACGGCCTCTAGAGCCTGGGGCATCGATGGTCCCCGCCCCCAGGCTGGTCTTTTCCAGGGACCCTCAGCCCACTTAGCTCTCGTAGGCCTCGCTGTACGCAAGACCGGTCTTCCGCTCGGCTGCAGATCCCTGGAAGCCCCCAGGCCCTCAGGCTAGAAGTTGGACCCTTCTAAGGACTCTCCGCCCACCCAGCCATTCTAGGCTTCACTGAACCCTAGAATCCTTCAGCTCATCTTCCCCCACCCCCCAGCTCACCTAAGGTGAGCTCAGCCAGTCGTCTCAAACTAACCCCAATTGCCTAGCAATTCTCTTATATTAGTTAGATGATTTATCCCCAGAAGCCTAGAATCAGGTTTATGGGGCCAGCCTCAGGCAAGCATCTAGAAGAAGTTTTTAGCAGGAGTCCTACCCTGCAGTACTTGGGGAAGGCATAAGCCAAGGATAAAATGGAGCTGGATGGTTGGGGGAGGGTCCAGAGCTTGACCCTCAGCTAGAGTGGCTGGTAGGAAAGGCGGACTCTGCGCCTTAACCAACCATGCCCCCCACACCGCCCAGCCAGGCACCCCAGGCAGAGGCCAGCGTGTGCAAGATTTGAAAGGTTTCCTGCCAGGAGGCTGGAGCATTCGTTAGGACTTGAGGACCATGCAGGAGTGATCAGCATTGATTTGCTAATGCATTGAGTCTCATTTTCACACATTCTAGGCTTTTCCATAATAGCTGTTTGATCCTAAAGAGAAGGGTGCCAAGCAGAATGGGCTGTCGGGGGAAACATCCTGTAGGGAAGCCATGCACGTGTGCATTCCCAGTGTCTTCACTACTCAGAAATGCCATGGGTTCAGATGGCTTTACAGCAAGCCTTATCCTCCCATCAGGGCACAGATCATCCCTATGTTACTTAAACTGTTACACAGGAAAAAATAAACAAAAGAAACAAAAATTTTTATTTCATTTCCCAAGTTTAGCATAACCCTGATACCAAAATCCAACAGACAATACCAAAAAGAACTGCAGATGACTAACCTAGAACACGAGTCCCCAGAGAATTTAATATTTATTTTTTGAAAATGGGCTTCTGTGGGCAACTTGAGAAAGTGCTGCATGCCGTTTATAGTGTACCTTTTGGAGAATCACGATAAGTATTCGTATATTAAGGAAGGCCTCTGTGAAGTCCAGGAGTAAAGAAACCTGTTTGGTTTGTTTAACCTGGCATTTCCCAAACTCATCTGAGCCAGGACCACCTTCTAAAGCTCACTGATAAATCCTCAATATGTGAATCTGCACTATATATTTAAGTATATAATAGTCGTAAAACTATTAAATACAATTTTAGCCATTTGAATCCAGTTTACTATTAAAGCAACTGAAAACCCACCATGATCAAGCAAGATTTATTCCAGAGGCGCAAGAAAAATCCAACATTAGGGAATTTGTAAATGCATTGCATTGTTAAAGGAAAACAAATTACAGGATATTATCAATGGGATAGATGCTTTAAAAGTATTTTATAAACTTCAAAACTAATGACCCATAAATTTCTAAAAACTCTTAGTAAACTATTATAGGAAGAAAGTTTAAACTTTTAACATGACAAAGTTTATCAGAAGCCATCAACAAACATATTTAATGGTGAAACACTAAAGGTATTCTCATGTAAGTCAGTCAAAAGGATGCCTGCTATAATGGCTATAGAATAAAGCCAATGCAATAAGATAAGAAAAATAAATAAGAAATATAAATATTAGAAGGGAAGAGATAAAATTGTCATTATTTGCTTATGATTTAAGTGTTTCCCAAAAAGTAAAAATAAAAAAAATCAACTAAAAATCATAGAGACTTTGGTAAGGTGGTCAGTTATAAGATAAACACCAAAATCAATGGTTTTCCTAAATGTTAAGGGAGAAGCCTTCTCCTTCCTTCTTCTTCTTCTTCTTCTTCTTCTTATTATTATTATTATTATTATTATTATTATTCTTTTTTTTCTTCCTTACCCTGTCTTATGGTATTGAAGGGAGAAGCCTTCTTTTCCATATAGAGGGACTTCCATTAGAATAAGACTTCTGGCCTCTCTCCACTCTAAGGGAAGATGAGTGAGTTTGGAAAAAGTGGACAAGAATAGATGCTTCTGAGTTCTCTTTTTGGATTTGGCTGACTGCAGAGAGCAAATATTTCCATGCGCTCTCACTGTGGGTTAAGTGAACCTGTTTCAGGGACAGAGTGATACTATTCTCCTGCACCACCCGCCACTACACAAATAAATCTACTCAATTCAGGGAGAAATATAGCAAGCCCACTTAGCTACAGAGCAAAAGCTACTTTTTCCAGTCAGCTTCATTAAAAATTAAGGTAGTATTTTTGTCTTATGTCTCTTTCCTGTGTCTATGCCCCAGTTTGTTCCAAACTTAGAATAGGGAGGGAGGTATTACTTACAGAGACCTCCAAATACAACACTAAATACCAGTTATTTCCATTTAGGAAGTATGATGGAAAAAAAGCATATTCACATTAGCAATGAATACTATAAGGCATATACTAGGCATAAGCTTAACAAGAAATGTGAAGGTCCATGGAAAGAAAACTACAAACCTGACTGAGGGACATAAAAGAAGATCTTAATAGTCGGAAAAATATAACAAATCCCTGGGCAGGAAGTCTCAACAGTGCAAAGATGCTGTGTCTCCCCAACTCACTTTATAAATTTAGTAAAATTCAGATCAAGAAACCACTATGATCTGAGGGGTGAGGTGAGATGGAACATGATGAAATTATTTTAAAATTTACCTTGATTGGCGTGAGTGTGTTGGCTCATGCTGGTAATCCCAGTACTTTGGGAGGCCAAGGTGGGAGGATTGTTTGGGGCCAGGAGTTTGCGACTAGACTGGGCAACATAGTGAGACCCTGTCTCTAAAAAGATTTTTTAAATGAGCCAGGTATGGTGGTGTGTGCCTGTGGTCCCAGCTACTTGGGAGGCTGTGGTGGGAGGATTGCTGGAACCCAGGAATTTGAGGCTACAGTAGGCTATAATCACGCCACTGCACTCCAGCCTAGGCAACAGAGCAAGATCTTATCTCAGAAACAAACAAACAAACAACAACAAAAAAAAACTAACAAGAAACTTATCTTGATAAATAAGTATGAGGAAATACCCATGAAATTTTTGAAATGGAAGAATAATGAGAAAATATTGCTCTAACAAATATTACAATATAATGTAAAACTTCAGAAGAAACTATGGGCCACTAGTGTAAGAATATACACTTTTGTCATATATTAAGTTCCGTTTATAAATGCTTTGTTTTTATCCATTGATCTATTTGTGTGTATAGATATAGATATAGATGTAGATATAGTTTTTTTTTTACTTTAAGTTCTGGGATACATGTGCATAACATGAAGGCTTGCTACACAGGTATACATGTGCCATGGTGGTTCATGGCACACATCAACCCGTCCTCTAGGCTTTAAGCTCCGCTTGCGTTAGTCATTTATCCTAATGCTCTCCCTCCCCTTACCTCCCACACCCCAACAGGCCCCAGTGTGTGATGTTCCCCTCCCTGTGTCCATGTGTTCTCATTGTTCAACTCCCACTTATGAGTGAGAACATGTGGTGCTTGGTTTTCTGTTCCTGTGTTAGTTTGCTGAGAATGCGTATATTTTTAAATAACTATTCCTATAAAAATAGGTATATCCATTGTATATTATACATCTATTGTATATAATAGGAATATCCATTTTAATCTATTGAGCTATTTGTATATAGGTATACAAATAAGGCATACAAATTTGTATATTTCATACACCCTACTCCAAACCATATTTTCTGGCCTAGACCACTCTAGTAATTTCCTTACTGGTCTCCTGGCTTTGCCCTACCCAAACAATGGAAAGTAGCAACCAGAGCAATCATTAACAAATAATAATAGGCCAGGTATGGCGGCTCATGCCTATAATCCCAGCATTTGGAGAATGCTGAAGCAGGAAGATCGCTTGAGGCCAGGAGTTCAAGATCAATAAACATAGTGAGACTCCATCTCCACAAAAAATAATAAATTAGCCAGACATGGTGGTGTGAACCTGTAGTCCTAGTTACTTGGGAAGCTGAGGCAGGAGGATCACTTGAGCCCAGGAATTTGAGGCTATAGTGAGCTATGATTGTACCACTGCATTCCAGCCTGGATGGCAGAGAGACCCTGTCTCTAAAAAAATAAATAAATACTTTTTTAAAATAAAAAAATAATAATAAGTGCTGGGTGCAGTGGCTCACACCTGTAATCCTTGCATTTTGGGAGGCCAAGATAGGAGGATCGCTTGAGCCTAGGAGTTTGAGACCAGCCTGGGCAGCATGATGAAACTCCATCTCTATGAAAAATAACAAAAATTAGCTTTGTATGGTGTGGCACACCTGTAGTTCCAGCTACTCGGGCAGCTGAGGTAGGAGGATTGCTTGGGCCTGGGAGGTTGATGCTGCAGTGATCTGTGATCATGCCACTGTACTCCAGCTTAGGCAATAGAGTGAGACCCTATCTCAATAAATAAATAAATAATAAATAAAACAAAATAAATAAATAATAAAAATGCAGCAGGTGCTCCCTTGCTTAAAGCCCTCCAGGGACTTTCCATAAAATAAAATAAGATTTAAATGCTCCAGCACAGCCTTCAAGGTCCCATGCTATATGGACCCAGCTTCCCCTCCATCCTCCTCTCAGCCATTCTAACCAACTGGCTTCCTTGTAGATCCTTAAACATCAAAGCTCTTTCTTCCCTGGGTGACTCTGCCTACAGCACTCTTTTCAGTCTTATAGGGTCTGGGCTCTTCTCATCCTTGAGCTCTCAGCTCAAATGTCACCCTCTTGGAGGCCTTCATGGGTCATCTATCTAAGTAGGTCCCTTTTATTTCCATACCCCACTAGTTCATTTCCTACTTATCACTCATCACAATTTGGAACCATCCACTATTTGTTAACCTGTTCAACTGTCAGTCTTCCCAGCATACAAATAGCTCCACCCAGACAGGAGACATATCTGTTCTGTTCACTAAGCATAAGTGTGCCACACATACTAGCCCCTCAATAAACATTTTCTAGATAGATGTGTCAACATTTAATATGTGTGTACCCTTTGTCCATGTCTAATAATTTATCCACAATAAACAATCAGACAAGTGCACACAGATGTATGTTCAAGGATAATTATTTCAGCATTGCTTATAATGAGAAAATATTGGACATAGCCTAAATGTCTAGCAATAGATTGAGTCATTTAAAAAAGCTGTACTGACATAGAAATATATCATGGTATTTTGTTAAGTAAAAAAGAGGTTCTAGAACAGAATGCATTTATTATATGAGCCCATCAATTTTATATGTATTTGTGATTATTTATATGTATTCATATATGCATAAAATTCTTGAAAAAATATATACCCAATGTTAACTGTTTAACAGTGGCTACGTCTTGGGAATGGTTTACACAGAGACTATCATTTTTTATTTTAGCATATTTGCATCACTTAGGAATATGGATACAAATAACAGAAAATTCAACCAACAGTAGCTTGAACAGTAGGTGTTTATTTTACTGGCCAGTAATCATCTTCAGTCTTCTTGTTAAGAAAGAATGAAGCCATTAAGAATACATGTCCATCCACACTTCTTTGACATCTTCAGCTTGATGTCTTTTCTGTCATTGCCTCATGGGTGCAGGATTACTCCCCCAGCTTCAGATGTCATGGCCTGGCAGCAAAAACTTTCTCAGAAACTCCCCACCAGGCCTGCTTAGATACCATTGGCTAGAAATGGGTCACATTGCCCCTCCTCACTGCAAGGGAGGATGGGAAATTGGCTTTGTCAATGGCAGTCACTTCCTGAGACTGGCCGTATTTCCAGGCCAATACAAAAAAAAAAAAAAAAAAAAAAAAAATCACTGTTTCATTATCAAGGAAGAAGGCAATTAAGTTTTTAAAAAAATTAATAATGAACTATATGACCTTTATAATCAGGGGAAAAAATGTCAGTGCATTTCATACATGATAAGATCCCAGAAAGTGTTCAGTGCCACAAATAGTACCTGTTCTGAAAGAGATGGGTTAAGGGTGGAGAGCCGTGCAAAGCAGGCCTTCATGCTTACCAGGCCTTACCTGCACAGGTCCAGGGCCAACTCGGGCAGCTTCCTGGAGCTCAGATCCCCACCACTCACTTCCTTCCTTTTTGGCCCTCTTTAAGGGCTCTCTCAATTATGATAATAAATACATCATTACTCCTAGGGCTGTTTTCTGGTATTGATCTGCGGGAACTAGAATGGATTGATTCTGCCTTGAAAGAGTAAGGGTAAAATCTCCTCAGTTATGAGTCTTGCTGGCTAAACAGAACTTTTCCCTGATCTGCACAGTTTTTGACCTGCTGGTAGGAGCAGAAAGCAGGCAGGTGGGATTAGCATGTTTGTGGGACAGGTGTGTAAATGTGGCAGGCTCACTTTCACAAGACTTTGACTGGATGGATGTGAGAAATAAACGGAGGATACCCACAAACAGTGCTGTTGAAATGAAGAAGCCATAAACACATGCAGACCTGCTTTTATGACACTGAGGCCCCACAGAATAACGGATCCAACTTGTGATTGTTTCAACACCTTCCCTAATAGAGAGGGCCTTTGTGCCGCAGAGAGCTGGTACAAAGACAGCATTCAGCAAAAGCGACTTCCTTTCTTTAGATTGTAAGCTTCACAGGGGCAGGCACCTGAGGAGCCCTGTCTCTTTTATTTACCACTCTAGGACTTAGCAGGCACTCAACAAATAATTCTTGAATTAATGTCGGTCCTTATCTGCAACTGTTAGGAATCATGATCATTGCCATTCACGGGGTATTTCCTCTGTGTCAGGCACTGGGCTAGGTCCTTCTGCCTAAACTATTTCACTCAATAACCAACACTGATCCTGTAAAGCAGGGAGTATGATTGCCATATTATAACTACAAAAACTGGGGCTCAGAGAGATAAAGTGGCTTTCCTAAGTTATATCATGGAAAGTAGGAGTTAGAGGTATTAGACTCTAAAGTCGATGCTTGGAACTTCACTCTACAAAACTCTTTTTTTGTGTTTTTTTGTTTTGTTTTGTTTTCGTTGTTGTTTTTTGTTTGTTTTTGTTTTGAGACAGGATCTCACTCTGCTGCCCAGACTGAGTGCAGCGGTGCAATCCTAGCTCACTGCAGCCTTGAACTCCTGGCTAATTTTTAGATTTTTTTTTTTAGAGGCAGAGATCTCGCCGTGTTACCCAGGCTGGTCTTGAGCTCCTGGCCTCAAGCAATCCTACCCCGTCAGCCTCCCAAAGCACTGGGATTGCAGGTGAGAGCCACTGCACCTGCCTACAAAACTCTGGAGCAGGATTTCCAGAGTCCTGAAACGCATTGTGTTGGATAGAGCCCTGATTCTCAGGACAATGGTTGTTTCTTCACTCTCTCACTGGGAGTCCAGGCCAAGCTTCTGGATTTAGAGAGACGAGCAGAGTCAGTTGTGCCCTCAAGATATTCACAGGCTGTAGGGAGATTCAGATGTTGTTCAGTGATCATTTGGTTTTCCGTAACAGAAATGCTCTCAAACCCAGTTAGGCATAAAACAGAATTCATGGAACAAACTGGGATTCTCTCACGGAAGCAGTCTCGTACGGCAGGCACATTTCCAGGCCTCTTCCAGGGCTATGTTTCCTCCTGTTTCCCCTTTTCCCTGTGTCTGCCTTTGTTTTTTGCCCTTTCTAACAACGACTTTTCTCTTCTTCTCCTCCCTGTCCACAGTCTAACAATTGCTGCCATGATGGTGTTCTCAGCCCACAGTCTATATCACATCAGTCCCAGTGGCCTGCAGACAGTGACAAGGCATCTCTAAGCTCCAATTCCAGACTTTCAGAGAGATGATCTGACAGGCCCAGTAAAGGTCAGAACTACCCCAGACCCAATAAACTGGGACAGAGGGCAGGATCGCATCACATCTATGTGCCCACTTCCCTGGGCCAGGCAAACCTCAGGAAGGTTAGGGCTGCAGGTGTACTCAGGAAGAACTGACACCAGAAACCCAGAGCTTCCTTTATCTCAGCTTCATTCTCTCATTACAGACCTTCTTCTTCCACATGGCAGAATCAGACTGCTGACAGTTTTATATCCTCTTATTGCTTCTACCACTAAATAAAAATTGGCTGTCTAAGATTCACTTTAAAAATCCTGGGAAAAGATTCCAATGGGCCTAGCTATGACCAGGTGACCACTCTGGCCTGATCAAGGCCATTTAGAGGGACAGGGTCATTAAAGAACACAGCTGCTCCTGCAGAAAGAACAGGTTGCCAAGAAAATGGGTGGTCCTGGGAAAATCAACCCATGTATTGGCCCAAAGCTGTGTTATGATTCTGTTTGCTTATCTCCTCTACTAGCCCCTAACCCCACCTCAGTTGGTTCTGGAACTCAAGGAGCATGGCTGTGCCATCTCCAGCTCGCCCCATCCCAAGCTCACCCCATCCCACAATTAGTATCCAAACCCTCTGGCTTTATCTTCCAAGCCTTCCTCACATTCACACCCATTCCAGGAAGCTTTCTTTTTTTAAAAAAAGTAAAAAACATATGGTCTTTCAGACTATTTCTCTGCCATGACATTTTTTTTTTTTGGTCTTAACTATTTTTTGTTAATAGACTCTATTTTTTAGAGCAGTTTGAGGTTCGCAGTAATGTTGAGCAGAAAGTACAGAGGTTTGCCACCCTTGCCACCCTACTGCCCCCTTGTGCCTCCCCACTGTCAACATCCACCACCAGAGTGGTACATTTGTTACAACAGATGAACCTATGTTAAAACAGCATCGTCACCCAAAGTCCATAGTTTACGTTAGGGCTCATTCTTGTGGTATACATTCTATGGGTTTGAAAAAATGTATAATGATTTATGTCCACCACTAGCGTATCACACAGAATAGTTTCACTGCCCTAAAAATCCTGTGTTCTGCCTGTTCATTCCTCTCTCCCTCCTGACCCTTGGCAACCACTGACCTTTTTACTGTCTTCACCTTTTTGCCTTTTCCAGAATATCATCTAGTTGGAATCATACTGTTACAGTGGGTAGCTGGTCAGGCATGAGCAGGGCAGGAGAGTGTTCCCCCCCACCCACCCACACACATACAGCAGGAATGTCAGGTGACAATCAGGTGATGGTCAGGTGGTTGTTGACTGTCTCTGTAAAATAATAATTGGTAACATCCGTTGCTAGGGAAAGGTAGTCTTCTAACAGTCAGAGAACACCTGAAACTGGTGATCAGCAGCTTCCAAATAAGATCTCAGGAGTTGGGCGAGTGGGCTCAAGCATAAGCATTAAGAGGCAAAATGGTGGAGTTTAACTGGTAAATGATCTTCCTCTAGGAATGCTAGACTGGTAAGGGAGGAATGTCTCGAGTGAGCATAAGTACAACTCCAGTAAACACAGTGCGCATGCTCCCCTCCCAAGCGCTAGCAGGCCACTGTGCATGTGGACAGCCCACCCAACGGAAGAATCAGGGGATAAGAGAAGCAAGACCCTGAAAATACGCACACGTATAAAACCCCAAGTCAAAAGGCCAAACCGCACACTTGATCTCTGAAGTCGCCTGCTTGGTCCTTTTCCAAGTGTACTTTACTGCCTTTTATTCCTGTTCTAAAGCTTTCTAATAAACTTTCACTCCTGTTCTAAAACTTGCCTCGGTCTCTGCTTCTGCCTTATGCCCCTCAGTTGAGTTCTTTCTTCTGAAGAGGCAAGAATTGAGGTTGCTGCAGACCTGTACAGATATGGATTCAATGCTGGCAACAATACGTATGTAGCCTCTTCAGATTGCCTGCTTTCACTTAGTGATATGCATTTAAGTTTCCTTCATGTCTTTTCATGGCTTGATAGCTCATTTCTTTTTAGGGCTGAACAATATTCCATTGACTGGATGTATCACAGTTTATTCATTCACTGACTGAAGGGCTTCTTGATTGTTTCCAGGTTTTGGCAATTATGAACAAAGCTGCTGTAAACATCACGTGGAGGTTTTTGTGTGGACATGTTTTCAGCTCCTTTGAGTAAATACCAAGGAGCCTGACTGCTAGACTGTACGCCAAGAGTAGGTCTAGTTTTGCAAGAAACTGCTAAACTGTCTTCCAAGGTAGCTGTACCATTTTGCATTCCCACTAGCAATGAATGAGAGTTCCTGTTGCTCTACATCCTTGTCAGCATTTGTTATTGTCGGTGTTCTGAATTTTGGCCATTCCAATAGCTGCATAGAGGTATCTCATTGTTGTTTCAATTTGCAATTCTCTACTGACATATGATGTGAAGCATATTTCCATGTGCTTATTTTGTCATCTTCTTTGGTGAGGTGTCTGTTAAGGTCTTTGGCCCATTTTTAAATCATTTTTTTCTTATTGTTGACTTTTAAGAGCTCTTTACATATTTTGAATAATAGTCCTTTATCAGTTATATCTTTTGCAAATATTTTCTACCAGTCTGTGGCTTGTCTTCTCATTCTCTTGATGCCATAGATTTTTAGTAGTGAAATGTAAAAACTCAAAGCTACAAAATTAACCTTTTGTTTTGCTGTTTATTTTTTGTTTTTGTTTTGTATCACTTCTTCCTTGAGATATGAAGCCTAACTTTTTTTTTTTTTCTTTTTTTTTTTTTTTTTTTTTGAGATGGAGTTTCACTCTTGTTGCCCAGGCTGGAGTGCAATGGTGTGATCTCGGCTCAGTGCAACCTCTGTCTCCCAGATTCAAGCGATTCTCTTGCCTCAGCCTCCTGAGTAGCTGGGATTACAGGCACCCACCACCATGCCCAGCTAATTTTTTGTGTTTTTAGTAGAGACAGGGTTCCACCGTGTTGGCCATGCTGGTCTTGAACTCCTGACCTCAGGTGATCTGCCCACCTTGGCCTCCCAAAATGCTGGGATTGCAGGTGTGAGCCACCACACTTGGCTGAAGCGTAACTTTTAAAGAGGGATGAGAACCAGGTTAAGGTGCTAGAAGGAATTGCCAAGGAGAAAACACTCTTTCAAAATATTTATCCACAACACAGGTATTATAACATAGTGTGAGGTCATTTGCCAAGGGTATCAATACATACAGTCAAAATGCTGTGGGAAAAGTAAGAATAGAAATATTCACTCTTCCAGGAAGAAGCTACAAAGAAAAAGAAGGTATGAGCCAGTCCTTGAGAAACGAGGGGCAGTCAATAGGCAGACAAGCCAGGAAACCTGTCCCCAAGTGCAGGGTGCAGGAGGATGAGAGGTTTGCTGGGGCCAGTGTGAAGGGTGCACAGGTGGGAGGGGAAGGCATGAGGCTCGGTTGGTGGATGACGCCCAGTTGGAAGGATCTAGTGTCCCAGGCTGAGGGCTAGTGGGAGCCACATCCCACATAACCTCATCCAAAAGTTCTTTTAAATCCAATTATGCTAGTGATTCTCAAATTGATGCCTTTAGCCTGGTCCTCTTCCCTGAACCCCAAACATGTATATCCAACAGCCTACCTGACATGTCCATTTGAATAGCTTGTGGGCATCCCACATCTAGACCTCAGCTCTGGTCATCCCTTTCAAACCTTCTCCTCCCTCGGTCTTCCCCACCCCATCCATCGGGAGCTCCATCTTTCCAGTTGCTCAGCCAATAACCTGGGCGCCATCTTCTCCTCCTCTTTTTCTCTTATGCCTCACCTCCAAGTTGTCAGCTTCAAGGCTTAGGACAGTAAAGAAGGTGCCTCTACTGAGCGCCAAACTTATTTTTAGCTGTGTGGAAGAACAGGCCTGTTCCTTGTGAAGGATACATACACATTGGCCAAGCGGAAGTGGTGGGGCAGGGGCCCAGGAAGGAGATGCTTCAGGCAGGAAGGTCATGGGCAAAGGTCACAAAAATATAAGAAAGAGGTCTTGTGTGGGGATGGCAGGGAAGACAGTCTGACTGCAGGGATGGGGACTCAAGGGGACCTGGTGAAGGAAGGCTCCAGAAGTGAATGGAGTCTGGCCGGCTCCTACAGGTCCTGACAGATCCCTAGGTCTCCTAGCTTACCCTTCAAGGTCCTCCATAGCCTCTCACTAAGCACTAAGCCCTGTGCCTACTCTTCTTGTCTTCACCCAGGCTTCTGCCCATTGCCCATGTGGCCACCCTTGACTCTCAGAATCACAGTTCCTAGACCACCGTGTTTGGCTTTGGCTTTTGGCTCCTGTTGCACGCCCAGCCCTATAGCCTCCAAGCACGAGTTCACAGACCAGCGCTTGTCAATGAGATGGACATGCAAGTAGGGAAATGAGAAATAGGGACAATGTGGCATGATAGAAACAGAATTGCATTTCTGTCTGTGTGTTACCACAACGCATGAAAATGACCGGACATGTTGAATGTAAGTGGATGTTTGGAATACTCTGGCTTAAAACTGAAGCTACATGGTATGCACAAAATTCACTTTGAGGGCACCAAGAGGAAAGACACCACAAATAGGTAAGCAGTTATTAACACAAGAGGCCTATATGGCTACCAGTTGAGAGGGACACGAGGTGAATATTAAGATGCCCCAGTAAAAGAAGCCAAAATGATTTTATTTCATTTATTTTTTACTTTAGAGACAGGATCTTGCTATGTTGCCCAGGCTGGAGTGCAGTGGCTATTCACAGACACAATCATCACACACTGCATCCTGGAACTCCTGACCTCAAGTGATCCTCCTGTCTCAGCCTCCCGAGTAGCTGGAACTACAGGTGCATGCCACTGTGCCTGGCTGACAAACTGATTTTAAGTATAACTCCCAAATTGAAAGTTTTTAGGGTGATTCTTTGAATGAAAGATGGTAATTTATCATCAAGCAGCTTCTCACACAGGCAACTCCATATATTTCCACAGTGGGTCATCGCACAGATTCACTTATTTAATGATGATAAAAGATTCTCATGGGCAATTCCAGAAGGCCAACTAATGTATAGTACCTGTGAATATCTGGCGAGTGTGTGGTACATGTGCATGTGTGTGTGATATGTGCAAATTTGTCAAATGTCTCTTCAATGAAAAGTGTGTTATTTTCTTTCCTTTTCTTTTTTCTTTTTTTTTTTAATGGATGGGGTCTTGCTATGTTGCCCAGGTTGGTCTTGAACTCCTGGGCTCAAGTGATCCTGCACCTCCACTTCCCAAAGTGCTGGGATTACAGGCATTGGCCACTGTGCCCGGCTGGAATGTTCTTCATTGTGTTATTATTTCCTTCCAACTGATAAATTTTAAGATGGACTTTATTTTATGAAATTATGGTGACAGCATAGATACTTATGAGACAGACTAACTCTTTGTTGGCTTCTCTGTAGGCAACTCTTTGTTGGTTTGCCAAATTGTTTTTGGAATTTTCCAGTCCCTGAAATCCCAAGGTCTGAGAATCAGGGCCTCCTGATTAAACATTTGTCTTTGAACTCTTTACTACAGCTTTGACCTAAATGTCCCTTTAGGACCAACTTTCAGCATATGCTTTTTTGTTCCAGGAGGTAAAATTTACCCGGCAAATAAGGCCACAAATGACAAACCCAAAGGGGAAGGAGTTAAGATGTCATTTCAGAGCCTGATGTGGCTGAAACTCCCACTACTGATGATTTAAATTTCTCACACAGAAACCAGAATGCCAATTAAAATATAATCAGAGTACCTTGCCATCTGTGGTAGAGGCTTCTGGGGCCCTTGAGCATATTGGTGTGCTCCTTCATGTTTCCCAACCTCCCTTGCAGTTAGGTTGGCCATGTGACTGGTTCTGGCCAATGGAGATGTGAGCAGAAGTGCTGTGTATTAATCCCAGGCTACAGTAGTTAAGTACCTCGTGGGCTTCCCCGTTCTCTCTTCCCTTTCTACCTGCCCTCAGGTAGATAACCTCAGAGTGACCTTGAAGCTACAAGGTGATGGAACCATAGGATGGAGGCAGCCTGGGCTCCTGGCTTACCATTCAGAAGAAACCTTCCAGAAACCTGGTAGACTGTGATGTAGCAGAGAAATAAATGTCTATCAGAGCAAACCACAGAGATTCTAGGGTTTATTTGTTACTGTACCATGCCTATCCCATTCTGACTGATACACCACTCACTAAAAATGCCCACTGGTGCCTTCCCATTGCATTTAGAAGAAAATCTAGAATCTTTTGAGTGGTCTACAAAGCACTCTGTGTTGTGGCCCCTGCCTACCTCTCAGGTACCCCCTCCTGTCCTCGGCTCCCACATCCACCCTGTTCCAGCCACACTGGCCCTTGAAGGAGGCTCAGACACACCAAGCTCACTCCCCCAGTGGCATCTGCATTCTGCCTGGAATAGTCTGCTTCCAGATAATATTTCCTCTTAACATTCACCTCAACCTAAATGCCACCTCCTCAGAGCAAACTTCCCTGATCATCTAAAAGTTGAAAAGCCCCATTTGTCATTCTATCTCACCAAGTTTTATTTTAATCTCAATGCCTCACTACCTGGTGTTTTTGTTTATTTCCCATCTTTCCAATGTTTCTGTCTTATTTGCCCTTGAATCCCCAGTGCTTAGCAAAGAGCCCAGGGCACACAAGAGCTCATAAATGTTTGTTGAGTGAGTGGATGTGATGTGGTTTGGATCTCTGTCTCCAACAAATCTCATATCAAATTGTAACCCCCAGCATTGGAGTGGGGGTCTGGTGAGAGCTGACTGGATCATGGGGATGGATTTCTCATGAATGGTTTAGTATCATCCCCTTGTGGTACTGTCCTCATGATAGTGAGTTCTCATGAGATCTGGTCATTTAAAAGTGTGTAGCACCTCTCCCCTCTCTCTCTTCCTGCTCTGGCCATGTGACATGCCTGCTTCCCTTTTGCCTTCTGCCATGATGGTAAATTTCCTGAGGCCTCCCCAGAAGCCAAGCAGATACCAGCATCACGCTTTCTGTATAGCCTGTGGAACTGTGAGCCAATTCAACCTATTTTCTTTATAAATTACCCAGTCTCAGGTTTTTCTGTTTCTTTTTTTTTTCTTTCTTTCTTTTTTTTTTTTTTTGAGATGGAGTCTCGCTGTGTCACCCAGGCTGGAGTGCAATGGCGCGATCTCAGCTCACTGCAACCTCTGCCTCCCAGGTTCAAGCGATTCTCCTGCCTCAGCCTCCCGAGTAGCTGGGATTACAGGCACCAGCCATCATGCCCGGCTAATTTTTGTAGAGACAGAGTTTCACCATGTTGGCCAGGCTGGTCTTGAACTCCTGACCTCAGGTGATCCGCCCGCCTTGGCCTCCCAAAGTGCTGGGATTACAGGCATGAGCCACCATACCCAGCCTTCAGGTTTTTCTTTATTGCAATGAAAGAATGGCCTAATACAGGATGAATGAACAAATGATGCAGCTCTGTGTTTCCCTGCATCTGCTGAGGAGTTAACTGTACCCTGTAAGCATTAGGACACGGTTCCTGTTATCTAGTTTTGTGTGACCAGCCTTCTTAAAACAGTGGCTTACAATAACAGGAATTGTTTGCTTTGCTCACAAATCTGGGAGTTGGCTGGGTTCTACTAGGCAGTTCCCAGTTGGGGTTTCTCATGAAGTTGTATTCAGACAGTGATTGCGGCCCAGGTCATTCTGAAGACCTATTCACTCCCATGTCTGGCTCCTGGTCTGGGAAAACTCAAACATCTGGGGATTATACTGCTGTCCAGCTGTGTGACTTTAGGCAAGCTACTCAATCTCTCTAAGCCCCAGACCTTTATATGTAAAACAGGAGCAGGAATGACAATAGCACCTATCACTTATTGGGCACCTACCCTGTTCCAGACACCATGTATGTTAAACTCTTGGCACACCTGTCTACACAAGCCTTATAACAACCTATTTTGGGGCCAGGTGCAGTGGCTTATGCCTGTAATACCAGCACTTTGGGAGGCCAAGGTGGGTGGATAACTTGAGGTCAGGAGCTCGAGACCAGCCTGGCCAACATGGTGAAACTCCGTCTCTACTAAAAATACAAAAAATTTAGCCAGGGGCAGTGGCGGGCGCTGTGGTCCCAGATACTCAGAAGGCTGAGGTGGGAGAATCGCTTGAGTCCGGGAGGCGGAGGTTGCAGTGAGCCATGTGAACCCAGATCACGCCACTATACTCCATCCAGCCTGGGTGACAGAGCAAGACTCTGCCTAAGAAAACCCACAAAACCTATTATATAGATACTCTTATTGTAGGACCTACTTATTTTATACACGAAGAAACTGAGGTTCAGAGAAATTATGTATCTTGCTCAAAGTCATGTAGCTAATTGTGTTGGGGATTCTAACTAATGCAGTGCACTGAGCCAATGTCTCAGTTCATTCAGGCTGCTGTAACAAGATCCCTTAGACAGCGTAATTTACAACAAAAGACATTTATTTCTTACAGTTCTAGGACCAGGATCTTGGACCAGGAAGTCCAAGATCAAGGTGCCAGCAGATTCAGTTTCCGGTGAGGGGTCTCTGCTTCATAGGTGGCTCTTTGCTGTGTGCTTACATGGCAGAAGGGAACGGCAGCTCCTTGGTGCCTCTTTTATAAGGGCATTAACCCCAGTCACAGGATGGAGCCCTCGTGACCTAATTACCTCCCAAAGGCCCCACGTTCTAATATCATCGCCTTGGTGATCAGGTTTCAACATGTGAATTTGGGGAGGATACATTCAGGCCATAACTGCCAATATGGGAAATCCCCCCTCCTGCTCTATATACATTACAATACTCGATAAAATATAAACAAAAAATATAAATGCATGGTTGAGTTCCTAGCCAAGAAAAAGGAAGCCCCAGGGACCAGAGAAAGAGGAAATTCAGAGCTGGGACAGTGAGCAGAATGTGAGGTTGAGGGGCTTGCTGGGGAGAGGGAGGGTGCTGGGAGCCTTGGGCCCTGTGAATGCAATGGGCTGGAACAGTGCTATGTGCATACAGCCAGGAGCCACAGAGGAAGAGGGACAGAACAACTCTGCCCACGGCTCCCACTGTCCTCCCAATGAGCAGCCAGTGGCCTGAGACCATTAGTGGAGTGGGGCATCCAAGTGGCACAGCTAAGTCAGTCCTGGAGCAGGGATTTGACCTGGCCACTCCATAACTGGCCTGCATACTGATAATCAGGCATTGTCAATTTAGTTAAACATTCAACTAAAATAACAACTCTAGACACCTCTCTAGCTCTATCCTTTCTAGTTAGTATCCACTCTAAAAATCTGTTAGAACTGACAAAAGATCAGAAGAAAAAGGAAACTTTGGAAATTAAACAAAAGATTTGTGAATCAATGACGGGTCAAAGCCAAAAGTTCAAGGGCCTTTGGGATGCTTGGGTTGGAAAATGCTCCTTGTCAAAACTCATAGATGGGGCCCAAAGCCTTGATATCATGGAAATTAGAAAGTACCATGCTTACAAATAAACAAGCACAGCAGCTCTACCTATCAAAACTTGTAGGGAAAAGTTTTGCCTGCTGGTCTGCAAAGGAGGGAAATAGTCTTGCCAATCTCTTGGGCCAGGAATGGAAAAAATAATGGGAGTCCAGGGCTAGAGCATGCCCCAGTATAAAGTCTGGAGCCACTGGCATTTACCCTGCAAAATTAGTAAGCAATCTCACCTGGGACCAGAGGAAAATCTTGGATCCCCATGGAGGCAAGCTTGGAACAGCTCTATAGACACAACCCAGCGCTCACAGGAGACCCAGGGAAGACAGGCCCTGCTTAGTGTGAGTTAATAGGCAAAAATTACAGTCCAGGCATGGTGGCTTATGCCTGTAATCCCAGCACTTTGGGAGGCCGAGGCGGGTGGATCACCTGAGGTCAGGAGTTCGAGACCAGCCTGGCCAACGTGGTGAAACCCCGTCTCTACTAAAAAGTACAAAAATTAGCTGGGCGTAGTGGCTGGCGCCTGAAATCCCAGCTACTGGGGAGGCTGAGGCAGGAGAATCGCTTGAACCCGGGAGGCAGAGGTTGCGGTGAGCTGAGATCACGCCATTGCACTCCAGCCTGGGCGACTAGAGCAATTAGACCTCACTGAAATCCTAGGTGCTACAGCCTGACCAAGTCATCTAGTCTCTTTGGGTCTTAGTTTCCCTTGTTTTTTTTGAGACAGGGTCTCTCTCTGTCTCCCAGGCTGGAGTGCAATGGTGCAATCATAGTTCACTGCAGCCTCAACATCCTGGGCTCAAGGAATCCTCCTGCCTCAGCCTCCCAAGTAGTTGAGACTATAGGTATGCACCACCAAGCCCAGCTAATTTTTGTGTTTTTGTAGAGATGGGGTTTTGCCATGTTGCCCAGGCTGGTCTTGAACACCTGGGCTCAAATGATCCTCCCACCTGGGCCTCCCAAAGTGCTGGGATTACAGGTGTGAGCTACTGTGCCTAGCCTCCTCAACTCTTAAATGGGAATAATAATTGCCGTCTGCCCCTTGCAGGCTTGTAGGGAGGAACACAGAAGCTTCCTGTAGAGCCCCAAGCACAGTCTGGGTGGCGTCTTGGCAGGGAGGGCCATGCCCACCCGACAGCCCCAGGCCTTGGGGCGCACAGATTTGTTTCAGCTGCAGAGAAAATGGGTGGAGAGAGAGAAAGAGGTCAGTGTTGGAGGGGTCAGCTGTGCGCTTCCCTGGTCCCGAGACAAAGAGGCCTCTTCATGAAGTCCCCCTCCCAGACCCTTCTGCTTCCTGCACTGCCCGCCCCGGCCCCCATCAGCAGATTCCCTCAGTCCCACTGTTTTGCTTCTGTATCTGGTTTTGTGACAGTTTTAAAGATGTCAACATGCCACAGAGCTCACACTGGAGCCGGCCCAGCCTCAGCTGCTGTCCTCACCGTCATCGTCAACAGATGTTTAACCCGCTGTTCCTCTGCTTTTGTAAACACTCTGTCTCCTTTCAAATCTCAAATTAATATGATCCTTCCCCTCTCCTTTCAAATTCTGCCTTACAGCCACATGCTCAGAGATGGCTGGATTTCAGACCATAGAGAGATGCATGATAGGACCCACATTCACAGGGGCCCAGACAGGGACAGATCCTGTTCGCACAGGTCCCAGTCTCCCTGACCTATAACATCCTGGATTGCAGGCCAACTTACAGACATGGTCAAGTCCACACAGAACCCTGTCGAGGTCTCATAAGCAAAGGCAGCCGAGACCCAGGAGTCCCAGCTCCAAAAATTCACAAGGACAGAGTTCTTTATGGTCAGACGCTCAGACAGACAGACAGACAGACACACAGACTCTGACACAGAAGCACAGATGTGCAATCACACAGTCACAGGGGCCCAGGAATGGCCAAGCATTCACAGACATTGTTGTGGGCCAAACTGTGTCTTTCTCAAAATTCATGTGTTGAAGTCCTAACCCCCACCCACTACCTCAGAATGTGCTGTGTTTGGAGGGAGGGCCTTTAAAGAGGTAATGAAGGTTGAAATGAGGTCACTGGGGTGAGGTCCCTAATCCAGTAGGACTGGTGTCCCTAGGAGAAGAGGAGATCTGGACGCAGACACACACAGAGGGAAGAACGTGAAGACACAGGGAGAAGACAGCCATCTCCACGCCGAGTGAGGCCTTAGGAAAAACCAACCCTGCTGGCAACTTGACTTGGACTTCCAGCCTCCAGAACTCTGAGGAGATAAATTCCTGTTGTGTAAGCCACAGTCTGCGGTCCTTTGTCATGGCAGCCCTGGCAAATGAATTCAGACATGGAGGCCAAGAGACCCTCAATGTCCCCCAGTGTCACCCCAGACCCACTATCGCCTTCACAGCCTTGCACAGAGCCCTGGAGGCAGCATGGACCCCTGCAGACATGAAGCCCAGGGCCACATTTCCCACAGCCCCTTCCTCAGCCTGAGTTTGGCCCAATTTCCTGGTGGCACCAAGATACAAGAGGAGATGGCACCTGGGGGCTTCCTCCACTGGGCAGTGGAATTGTGGAAAATGCTGTGATAATAGCTCACACAGCTGAGTTCCATTTGGAGATCTCAAGGGCTGTGCAAACACTTTGCAGGTATTCACTCATCCAGCCTTCTCAACAACCCTTGGAAGTAGGTACTGTTACCGAAATCCCCATTCAAGAGATGGCAAAATAGAGGCCAGAGAGGTCAAGTAACTTGCCTGAGATCACACAGCCAGCAAAAGCTGAGCTGGGACTTGAATCAAGGCAGCCTGGCTCAAGCCTAGCTCTAAACCATGGGACAATTTGCTACCAGAATCAGAGATAGAGCCAGATTACAGAAGAGTTCAAATCCCCAGTCAAGAAGAAAGCAAGTCGAAACGCTTTCCCAGCCTGGGCGCGGTGGCTTACCCATGTAATCCCAGCACTTTGGGAGGCTGAGGGGGCTTATCACTTGAGGTTAGCAGTTCGAGACCAGACTGGCCAACATGGTGATACCCCATCTCTACTAAAAATACAAAAATTAGCTGAGCATGATGGTGGGCACCTGTAATCCCAGCTACTCAGGAGGCTGAGGCAGGAGAATCACTTGAACCTGGGAGACAGAGGTTGCAGTGAGCCGAAATTGTGCCACTGCACTCCAGCCTGGGTAATAGAGCGAGATTCCATTTAAAAAAAAAATGCCTTGGGGCTGGCAACATAATTTGCAGGGCCCAGTTCCAAAATGAAAATGAGTCCCCTGTTCAAAAAGCAGGAGAAAAGTGCCACCAAAAAAATATTAAAATAAAAAGTTTTCTCCTTTCCTCAGTGGTCTCTCTCTTGACTTATAATGGTTTCAGTTTGCTATGTAATGTCACTCTAAGTAAAAATAAAAAACACATAATTTCAAATTATTAGTACAAGTTTTACTCTGTATTTTACAAAGTCAGTTTTAAATGCAAACATTAGAGCATTTAACTCATGTGCAGAATCACCTAAGTTATACGCATATTTCTTTTTTTTTTTTTTTTGAGATGGAGTTTCGCTCTTGTTGCCCAGGCTGGAGTTCAATGGCAAGATCTCTGCTCAATGCAACCTCCGACTCCCGTGTTCAAGCAATTCTCCCGCCTCGGCCTCCCGAGTAGCTGGGATTACAGGCGCCCGCCACCAATACACGTATTTCATAGCTCACATAGACATATGCATTTTGTCCTCATCAGAACGTAGAAATACTGCACAACACTCACTCCCTGCTTTTATTCCACTTCTAGATATATTCACACTCTCCTAACACTGTCTACCTCCAGCTTATAGATGAGTACGGAAGGTCTGAAAGGAAAAGGAACGACGGTTGTGCTATCTGTTCCTTTGCTCCCATCGTGGTTTTTGGCTAAGTGGTTGGCTAATGCGGGGAAGTATCATGGATAGGAAAGGATATGCTAGGGTTGCTTGGTAGTTCACGTTTCTCAGAACACCTCCTTTCTGTTTGAAGCAAGTTCTGGTTTGCAGAGGGAGTGTGGCCTCTTGGGGCTTTCAGCATCCCACTTAGCCGCAGAAGTAACACGCTTGCCTTCTGATTGCTTTGACAGTCATTGGACTCCCACTCATTGTGGGTCCACTGGAATTCCGTGCTCATGGGCATGGAAACCACTGAGAACGGGGAACAGGGATGTGCATTTTGCATGTTATCTACTCTGTTCACAGCATGCTCCATTGCCCCTATTATCTTTACTTACAGAACACAGTTCAAAGATAAAATTGCTAAGAATTTCAAAACAGCCACAGCAGAGCATTAAACCAAGCTCAGGGCCTGCTGGAGCTTGGGTATGACTTCACAGGTACCTACTCATGAACCTGGCCCTGCCCACCCTGGCCACATTCCTGCCCTCAAGATAGCCTTGGCATGCAGCTTCCCCTCCCCTGGACTGCTTCTGGTTCCATGGCCCAGCCGCTCCCTCTCAGAAAATGGGGGCTCACCCAGGGCTCCCTCCTCTGCCAAGCGCTTCTCCCACCTGTCTTAGCTCCTCTGCCCTGTGTCAGAGACTGGGCAGTGTCTGGAAGTCCATCCCTTCAGCTGACCTAATTTCCGGATGCTGGGAGCTACAAGGACACATCTTGAGGAGAGCTGAGTGTTTCTTCGTCTTCTTCCTATGCCCCAGACTTGCCTAAGTGATCCTTTCGCATCAAGTACCACAGCAGGACCCTGTTATCACCTCCAAACCAGGTTCACCCCTTCACTGCTGCCCCATCACCAATTCCTGAGGCATGGATTTCGTCACATCAGTGCCCTACTCAGAACTTTTTCCAAGTTTCCTGTTGCTTCTGAGTGGAATTTGCATTCCCCAGCCCTGTGTAGCAAAAGGTGAACATTCCTCCTGGAGAAAGTAGTCTTCGGGGCATACAAATAGGGTGGGCATTTCATTTGGACGTGGGGATTGGGGAAGGATTTCCTTTTTGCTACACTACCAAGACAGTGAGATGGGGACAGAGGGTGGGTCTAGGCTTAGAGGATGGTCAGAGTTGGAAACCCCTCCTAAACTGACAGCTTGAGGGTGCCTTGGGGAAAATGGCTTGGTGCAGGGAGGTTGGGGGAGAGGCTGTTGGGAGTAGAGTGACTCCCAAACCAATGTGGGGTGCCCTTGCCTGGCACAGTAGGACCAGATATCCACACCAAGGTTTGTAGTGGGAGAAAGGAAGGCATTTACTTGCAGGGTGCCAAGCAAGGAGAATTGGGCAGTTTACGTTTAAGACCTGAATTTTTAGATGGCTTATAGGTGATAGGTCCCTGTGCCATTTTATTGTGAGAAGCCAGGCTGGGATATGTCCTAAAACAACTGTGTAAATAGAAGCTGGAGCCACCAGGGCTGAGTGTAGCAGAGACTGCTATACGATCATCAAGCCATTTTCCTCTTCCTAGCACCCAGCTAGACTACATTTCCCAGCCTCCTTCGCAGTTAGGTGAAACCATTTGACTCAGTTCTGGCAAATAGAATGTGAGGTATGGTTACTTCTAGGCCTGAAAGGCAAAGCGCCATGAGATGACAGAACCATAACATGGAAGGGGCCTGGGCCCCTAAGTGACTGTGTGGAACAGAGCCTCCACCCAACTGTGCATTAACTTGTGAAGTGAGTGAGACAAAAACTTGTGTTAAAGCACTGAGATGTTGGTGTTGTTATTTACAGCAGTTAGGTTGTCCTGACTAACCCACTGTTTCTCCCTCCATGTGCCCTGAAAAATGACTGTCCCCCATCAGTGGTGGGATGTGTGTGCTCCTAGCTCTGCACTGTCTTTCTGTCAGTGGGAGGGGGTTCACCGAGCTGCCAGACAGCCTGTTTTTCTCTTTATGAATAATTAATTTTCAATTATACAAGCAGTTCATAAATACTTTCTCCTTTTTGTCTTCTGTAAAAAATACAAAAATATTGATAAAGCTCAAGTCCCTTTTAATTCTTTCCTGCCACTCTCTCAACCATAACCACCACCACCACCACCACCACCACACAAAGTCCTTTCCCGAAGTCTCAGAGATTGCTACTCGTATTTCCTTTTGAATCATTGTTTCAAGTATTTTTTATGCATCCATACTCATATAAAATTTTAAAAACTTACTTTGGGTGTTTCTGTTTTTCTCGTCCTCTTTGTCTCTACATAAAAGGTACTACTCTAAGTATTTGACTCTTGCTTTATTTGCCCAACAATATCTCTCCAGGTGATGTCATAGATTTACCCCATTCTTTTAAATGGTTGCATAATACTTCATAGTAGGGCCATGCTATGGTTTATTGAGCAAATTCCCTGTTGATAGACATTTGGGCTGTCTCCAGTTTTTTATTCTTATGGAAAGTACTTCAGTAAAAACCCTCACAGAGGTCTCCTTGTGTACATGTGCAAACATTATCTCCAGAGGAGATACTGGCAAGTGGATTTCTTGTTCTTCAAAGTGGTGATACGAATTTCCATTGTGACCAGCAGGATCCAAGAGTCCCGAATTCCACACACTCTCACTAACATTTCATATCAAGCTTTAATGCTTTAATTTCTTTTTTCCAATCTGATGAGTGAAATATAGTTCAAAGTCACTTAATGTTTTATTTCCTTGATTACTAGTGAAATTGAACATTCTTCAAGTTTATTGGCCATTTGAATTTCCTTTTCTATAAATCGACTGTTTTTTATCATTTGCTGAGTGTTCTATTGGGCCATTTGTCTTTTTCTTATTGATTTGCTAGAATTCTTTATATATTCTGGATGCTAATCCCTTATCTGTTATATAAATTGCAAATATTTTCTCCCAGGTTATAGCTTGTTTTTAGCTTGTTTATGGTGTCTGCGGTCATTTAGGTCATTTAGAAGTGTTACATTTTAGCGTGGGGAGGTCTATCAATTGTTTCTTTTATGCTGCTTGTTTTGGGCGGGTCTGTTTTCAGCTGTGACACTGAAAGGCAGAGAAGCCAGCAGCCAGGAACACAGGCCCTCCCTCTGGTGGACAGATTGGATTTTCTGCTCCTCTCTGTGAGATAGCAGTAACCTCAACTGACTCCTGTTGGGGATCTCAGATTTAACTTGGTGTGAGAGGGTAAGAAAGATACTCTTTCTTCTGATAGGGAAATTAACATTGGAATTGTAAAGGTGATTTTATTTGTACCCTTTACAAAATAAGTTCAGCCAAACATATGGCTTCTATTGCAAGTCCTTGATAATCTGGCCTCTGTTTCTCGCTTTATTTTTATTTTCTAGAGAGGAGGCCTGTCTCTGTTGCCCAGGCTGGAGTGCAATGGTGTGATCATAGCTCACTGTGGCCTTGAATTCCTGGACTCAAGTGATCCTCCCACCTCAGCCTCCTCAGTACCTGGGACTATAGGTGCATGCCACCTCTCCTAGCTAATTTATATATATATATATATATAATATATATATATATATATATTTTTTTTTTGTAGAGACAGAGTGTTACTTTGTTGCCTAAGCTGGTCTCGAACTTCTGGCCTCAAGCAGTCAGCGCACTTCAGCCTCCCAAAGTGCTGGGATTACAAGCATGAGCCACCATACCCAGCCTCAGTTTCTCACTTTTATTGTTAACTACTCCCCTCCATGTAGGCTTCACTCTAGTTCCATTTAATTATTTACCAAACCAAACTCATACTTTATGTGTGTCTCCAGGAATTTTAATATGATTATCTGGCTTTCGAGAGATAGGAAAAAAGTCGTGATGACACCTATTTTGAGCCAGGCTCTGTGTTGAGTGATTGGGTCAGTCAGGATAAGCCAAGCTATGTTGCAGTAACAAAATCCCAGGATCTTACAGTGTCTATTTCTCACTCATGCTACTGTCCAGGTCAAGTTGGCTAGGGTTTGGCAATTCACTTTTTTTCTTCCAGAATCCAGGCCGCTGGAGCATTCTCTGTCTGGACCATTGCTGGTTGTGTTTGTTGTTTTAGTAGGAAAGAAAATGTGAAAATGTGGCCAAATACAAATTGACTCTAGCAGTTTCTGCTTAGAGTGACATGTCACTTCTACTCACATTTTGTTGGTCAAAGTGAGTTACGTGGCGAAGACTGACTTCAATGGGCTAGGGCATTAGTGGCCAAAAAAAATCTGGATTGGCCCTGTTCTTCTGGTCACCACATGTTCAATTCCCTCTACCTCCTACATGTAGAACATGTTCACCTCCAGGCAAGCAATCCAAAGTTCCATCCAGCCACTAGTTCAGGCTGAAGCCCAAAGTCCAGGATCTTGTGTGATCTTGTGATCAAGTTGAAACTCATTAGGGAGAGGAAATAACTGGCTCATTTTGGTTCAGAGATCTATGAACCAAAAAGACCGGCTACCTCCCACCCACAGACTCAATATGCTGTGGTGAAATGGAACAGGGCAATCTCAGTTAAACACTTCTATTCGAAGGGACCAGAATGGGAGACACATGGCAGTCAGAGCACTGGAGAAATTCTGAAATCAGGCTGGACCCACATTTCAAAGGGTTCCTTCACTGGGCACGGGGAATGTTCCTTGATCAGGTCCTGATTCTGTCTCCCGGGAGGAATGCCCTAGTCTTGCATTCTCCAGGGCTCTTGGATCCTGAGGGATCCTTCCTCTTCTAATGTTGAACTCTATGGGACAGCTTTTGTGAACCAAAATGGTTGAATATTGGCAATTTTCATAGTCTCCACCTATCCTTTCTCCATGTTGGAGAATATATTCAGTTTGCGGGTTAGGCATATTTCTCAGCCTGTTTTCTTTTCTTTTTTTTTGAGACGGAGTCTCACTCTGTTGCCCAGGCTAGAGTGCAGTGGCGCAATCTCAGCTCACTGCAACCTCTGCCTCCTGGGTTCAAGCGATTCTACTGCCTCAGCCTCCTGAGTAGCTGGGACTACAGGCACGCACCACCACGCCCAGCTAATTTTTTATTTTTAGTAGAGACAGGGTTTCACCATGTTGGCCAGGCTGGTCTCGAACCCCTGACCTCAGGTGATCCACCTGCCTCGGCCTCCCAAAGTTCTGGGATTACAGGCATGAGCCACCACGCCCGGCCTCTCAGCCTGTTTTCTATCCACAAAAGATTAGAGGCCCTGGAGTAGTGCCAAGTCTTAAGCAATCACAATATCTTTGAAACCAGGCTGGTTGGTCTTGGTGAGGATACCAGTGAATGGTAATATAGTCCACCACATTATTTCATTGAATCCATACAACTTTCTGAGATAATGCTTTTATCATCCCTATGTTACAAACAAGGAAATTGAAGCTCAGAGAGGTTAAGTATTCTGTCCAAGGTCACACAGCTTGTACGCTTGTGAGCGAGAAGTCGAATTTAATTGCACTACTATGCTGCCTCCTCCAACAGAAAAAAATAAGACTTCCATCATAAGGCTTGAGATGGGCTGGACTGGCTCTCTCTGACCCCTGCACTTACTTAATTTCTATTTTGTTGTGCCATGATATTTTCATCATGGAACTTACAGTTTCTGCTCTTCCTGCCAATTCTTCTCATGTCTCTTCAATCAATCACCCATGAGAGGAAATCTCATTGGCCTTAGGTCATAGGTCCCTGACCAGCCACCTATCACTGGCTCTTATCAGGTCAGACACTCTCCCCTGGTCAAATAGCTCAGGCTGAATTTCTGAGATACAAGGCATGGCTTCCGAGGCAGCAGAGAATGATTTTTACTCCTCATCAATACCTTCATATATGTTGTTCCCATTGCCTGGCATTACCAAGCTCCAGCTATATTTACTAGTGATATAGTTTAAAGAACTTTTATTACATGTGCTGTGCTAAGTACATTTGACCTTCACAATAACCATATGATGTAGGAACCATCATTAGTCCCATTTTAAAGATGGGAAGCGGAGGCTCACCGAGACTAAAGGACTCACTCACTGTCTCACATTTTAAGCTTCATGGTTGGGGCTTCTGAATGAAAGCGCTTTACTTATACTATGAGGGCTGATGGTGCCTCTTCCTGGAAGCCTGTCTGGATTCCCCCTTGTAGAGTGCCTTCTCTTTGAGGAATCCTTCTCCTGCTCTTAGGAACTGAGCACATTTTGCTGTGTTCTGTCTGAGGGTTGTGTGGAATTCATCGCTGCGTATTCACTCATTCAGGCGTGCCATCATTCATCACATATTCACTGAGTGCCAGGCCCTGCACAAGGCAGTAGGGATAATTCAGATAGAGTCCCTGTTTTCACGGAGTTTATTGTCCAGTGGGGAAGACAGATATTAAACAGATAATGACACCAATAATTATTTAATTACAATTGTTATAAATGTTATGAAGAAGTCCGGGGGGCTATGAGCATTTCTAAGAGGAGACCTGACTCTGAAGGGTGGTGACCGTGCCTTTGAGAAAGCACCATTTAGGCCGGGTTCTGGAAGGGTAGGTAGGAATTGGCCAAGAAAAGGCTAGGGGATTGGGAGAAAGAAAGAGCGCTTTCAAGGCAGTAGAAACAGCTGGAGCAAGGCCGTGAGGCTAAGAGAACTTGGTGAGCTGAGCCTGGCGCAGTGGGCCCGGAGAGCAGGGGCAGGCGGGGGCCAGCACGCGCTGGCACTGCTGTTTGGATGAATCTCTCTGCTCCCAGCCCTGCCAGAGTTTCCCGGTGGCGGTTGCAGGGGCTGCGGTAAGGGGTTGCAGCGGGCATTCTGTCTCTGCCGAGCCAGCAACTGCGAGCATTGCTATTCTCTGGCCAGACCCCGTGCTCCTGGGTCAGGAGGAGGGAGGCAGCTGAGGATGTGCGCAGCACACTTTTTATATATGTGGGGCCATAATATTTAAGTGTCTTGGCTGTAAGCCTGCGACTGGGTCCCCCGACAGCCAAGCCTTGCTCCGCACGCTCTAACAGCTGTCTGTAAAACCCGTTTATGGAGCCTCCATAAATTTCCCAGCTGCTGCAAACACAGGGCTGGGGACAAAGAGTCGAGGGAGGGAGGTGTGGAAGAGCAGCAGCTTCAGCGTCTCCGCTGGCTGGTCCTCTGGGCCCCAGCTTGCCCCCCACCCACCTGGGGCTGCCTTACCCTAAATTCTTTTATTGAAGCTGATCTTAACGTCGACCCCGTGGGGCCTGGCTGGGCGATCCAGCTCACCACAGATGCAGGCACTTTCAAGATTGCAGCAAAAGGTACAGTAAATCAGAATTAAGTGTCATGATAGTGATTTGAACTGACACTGTTTTCACCTTGTCCATTTACTGGGAAATATATAACAGGAATAGATTGAGCCTGTCATATTGTACCTGAAAAATACAGCTGTTAGGGTAGGAAAGGCAGCTGGCACCAAGGCAAGGTCCCAGAGGACAATGGGGTGTGTGGCTGAGCAGAGGGCGGGTGGGGGCTCCTCGTCAGCATCCCGTTGGGATGAAACCGTCCTGGGAGCAGAGAACCAGACTCTGCTTTTCCGAAGGCCCCCAGGGTGGCGTGCCCCCAGCGTGGCATGACCCCACTGCTACAGGGACCCAGCAGCCAGCTCTGTTGCCCTGAGGGTCCAATCTGCCCAGGCTACAGAGCATTACAGAAAAACTTTTTATTGAAGTATAGCATAGATACCGAAAAGTGCACAAATAATAAATATATTGCTTGATGAATCTTACCAACCGAATACACCTGTGTTTCCAACATCCAACTCCAGAAACCACATCACTCGCCCCCAGAAGTCCCCCTCCCTCTGTGTCCTGCTCCAGTCTCAATCCTCCCTCCTCGCACAAGGGGGACCACTATTCTGGTGTCTCAAGCTATGGATTGATACTATATCTGGCATTTTAATGAGGTCATTTTGAAATTCCCACCTGTTTTATAAAGTGGATTTTGAAATTCCCACCTGTTTTTTTTTGCCCCCCCCCACCCAAAGAAAACAGGAACCTCTCAGCTTTGAAATAATCATTATTATTATTTTTTGAGACAGGGTCTTACTCTGTCGCCCAGGCTGGAGTGCAGTGGCACGATCTTGGCTCACTGCAATCTCCAACTCCCAGGTTCAAGTGATTCTCCCGCCTCAGCCTCCCGAGTAGCTGGGATTACAGGCCCCACCACCTGGTCCGGCTAATTTTTGTATTTTTAATAGAGACAGGGTTTCACCATGTTGACCAGGTTGGTCTCGAACTTCTGACCTCAAGTGCCTGCCTCAGCCTCCCAAAGTGCTGGGATTATAGGCACGAGCCACCGCGCCCGGTCAGCTTTGAAATAATTTATAAGGAATATGAACAACAGATACCTTCCTCTCTCTTCCCAGAGCCTTGCTGAATCCCAACCCCATTCCAGAGGCAGTGTGGGCGGGAAGGATGGGGAAGGATCTGGGGTAGGGTGTGGGATGGCAGGGTTGGAGCGGGAGTCAGAAATGGGGTAACCAGATGTGGGAGGAGAGAGGCTTAGAACTGGAGTGGACTGAGGAAGGGGTGAAAAGACAGGGAGGGGCTGAAGCCCAGAGATGGAAGAAATTTCAGGATGGAGTGAGGCTCAGGAATGGGGTCAGGGACAGGGTAAGGGTCAAGGATGAATTGAGGGTCAGGTTCAAGGCAGCTTCAGAAACAGGGTGGAGCCTTGCGCAGGTGGGGCTCAGGGAGGGAGCAGGTCAGAGGGCATGATGTGTCCATCCTTTACAATACAGGAAACTGCACACGATGAGGTCCTAGAGCCAAACTACAGGTAAAATGCAGGGGAGAGACGAGCTTTTCTGCAGCCAGGGCTTAGGCTCTTCCCACCCCATACTTCCAGCTCCTGGCAGCCCCAGGCGTGGGTGGGTGGCTCTGCCTACCCTGCCTTTCCCAGTGGGAGCCCCAGGCCCACCCTTACTGACTGGAGAGTGGCCGCTTGGCCACAGCACCATCGGCAGGTGACCTTCAATGTTACTCTTAGCACCCTCCGCTCTGGCTGTGGGTCTGCTTAGATCTGGCTCTTACCCTTGTCCCTCTTCCTGCAGGGCCTGGAGCTTGAGCTGGAACCCACGCTGCTTGTCTGGGGCTTGAGCCGCCTTCATCACGCATGCCAGCTCACCCCTGAGTCACACCTGCTCCCTGAGCCTCTGGCTCGGGGCCTCCCACAGATGGATCACCTGCTGTGTACCTGACTCCAAGTATATCCTGTGGTCGGGGCGGGGGGCACCCTCAGCGGGGAGATCCCTTTCGGGTGTGGACATCCATCTTCTCCGTCTCCATCTGGAGGCCAGCCCAAGCTGCCCCACAGCCAGGGTCCACACAGCTCTGGCCGCCCCCTTCGAGCAGGAGACCCCTGGTTTCCTTCTGGTTGATTCTGTCCCATCCACATTCCAACTCCACTTCTGCCATCAGCCCATGGGCACCTGCTGGGCAGGATGGCTGCTCTCTTTTTCCTGGCTTTGGCCTTCAGTGCTTTGACTTTCAGCCCTGGATTCTTTCCACCTTTGGCCACCTCAAGGAGGACTTGTTCTCAGGACCCACACTAGGGGTTGGACTGGCTTCTCCCTAGGAAGCACTGTGCTAAGGGCAAGATAAGGTGCTTCCCTCTCCTTGGCGAGACTCTCCTTGAGCACCCAGGCCTCACCCACATTCTCACTGAAGCACCACAGTCCCCTTGTGGGAGGTCAGCTCCCCACAGGACTGCAAGCTCCAGGAGGACAGGGACCATGTTTGCCTTGTGTAGTCCCAGCACTTGGCTCAATGCTAGGCACAAAGATGGCATTTTACAAATAGCAGTTGAATGTCTGCATGATGAATAGCTAAAAGCACAGCTTGGAAGCTAGGGAAATCTAAGGTTGAATCTTGACACCTCCACTCAGAGTATCATTTAACTGCTCTAGGCCTCACTTTTCTCTCCTGTAAAAGGGGATCATACCTCCTTTCACACGAGGCTCTGTGAGGATCAGGGGCAACAATGCATATTGATGTTTGGCACCATGCCTAGCACATGGCGAGCACTCAACACATGATACTGGGTATCGTTTCTATTTTCTCTTACCACTAGACCAACCACTGGTGTTTCTGTTCCTAGAACCACTTGGTTCCACACCCTCCATTTCCACTCCACAGAACTTTGGAGGTTCTAGGTTGCCTTCAGCAGGCATCTGATGCTAGCCTGGCCACATGCTCACGCCCTCCTTGGGCTCACCACAAAATGTTGGCAGACCCCGCCCCTTCCCTCTGATCCTCAAGAGTCCCAGCTATGGGAGGCAGGGCTGGAGAAGGCCTATCCCTCCTTTACGGAACCCTTTCTTCCCATCTGCTAGGCACTGACCTTGCCTCCCTGTCTCTGGCAGGCAGTCCAGGGTCAGCTCCAGGGGAGTAGCGTGACAGGGGAGCTGGGGTCCGATGGCTGGCCATGGGGAGCCATGGTTCTGCTGATAAAGGGTCTTTATCGAGCTCCCTCTGCAGATGTGGGCTGCATCATTCACGGGACTCGGGATGGGAGCCCATTCATCTGGGGCACGGAAGGTGAAGGGGCTGGGATTTCTCATTCGAGGGCGACACGGAGTTCACATCAGGAAATATTAGTCTGATGAGTTCCCTGCAAGTGGAGGGACTGTCAGGCATTAATCACAGCTGAGGGGGAGGCAGCGCTGGGCCCTCAGACAATCCCCCAGGGTCTCATCCTTTCTGGGAACTTCAGAACCTTGCTGGGCCTGAAGACAAGGATTGAAATTACCCTTGGAGGAGCTCAGGCTGCTCTCTGTCACTCTGAAACCTTTCTGCCCCCGGGGCTGGAGCCCTTTGTGAGAATGTGGACCGGTGGCTTCACCCCGAGTCTCAGTTTCCTTGTCTATAAAATGGGCTGGGAAGTACCTCCCTCAGTGGGTGATTGTGAGGCATACAGCAGGCGCTCCATAAATGCTGGTTCCAGCTCCTGCCCCTTCCCTTTCCTCCTCCTCTACTGGACAGTACACCCCTGGATGGCAGGATCGGGTTTATTTCTTATCTCCGTGAGGCCTATATGATGGTAGATACAAGAACACATGCATGTGTGAATGAATGAATGAATGGAACCCAGCTTCTTGGTTTAACACCGGTTGCAAGTAGCATTCTTTTGGCAAAACATGGGTTGCTGGTGCACAGTCCCTGACACAATGTAAGATGTCTCCTCCCCTTTTCCTGTCCCAGTCCACCTTGGCACTTCTGTATTGGAATAATGGCCACGTGCTGCAGGAGACGGCCAGGGACATCGTGTCAAATCAGATCACATCACTCCTTTACCCATCTGTGGCTCCCAGTGTTCTCAGGCTAAAGCCCCAAATTGTTGTCTTGGGGCTGCATGGTTTGGGCATCACCTGTTCTTTAGCTCCCCCACCCCCTTCCAGCCAGCCTAGGTTTCTCTCAAGCCCTGAACGCACCATGTCCCCTCCCACCGCCGCCCTCCATCACGCTGGTCCCTCTTCACAGCTATGTCACTGAGTTCCTGAACAAACTGCATTCTCTTCAGCTTCTAGGCTTTTAGACGTATGGTAGGGACCCCTCTGGAAGCTGTCCCTCCACTCCTGCGCCCAGCAGGGGGCGTCACCCAAAGGCTCCCCGTGAGCAGGGGCTGGGGAGGATGGCCACAGAGGGTTCCTCAGGGTCTCCCGCATGGGTGCTGGGGCAACAGGCACATCCAGCTCCCAGAAGACTTCAGGAGCTCAGACTGGCATCCTCGGCACATCAGGCAGGGGGCCTGGAGCAGCTTGGGCTATGCCAGCTGCTGGGCTCTAGGGTTGGCTTGCTGCCTGGCATCTGGCCTTGAGTGTGCCTTGGGAGCTCCAGGCACTGACAGAGCCCACCTGGGTGGCCAGGTGTCATCTCAGGCCCTCCCCTGGTGGCCATAGCCCTCTCTAGCCCCAGCCCCTGCTGGCTCCAGCTGGCTCTGGGCAGAGCGTAGACCGGTTTGCCTTGCCTCACTGAGAACCACTGCCTGCTGCCTGCCCTGACCCCATAGGGTCATCAGCCAACCGGCCAGGTGATTAGCCACCTGGGGTCACTGGGGAGCTTTTTCCTGCTGACCTCGTCTCATTAGCACCTGGCCATGAGAGGCCACTGTCTCTGGCATTCGGCACTGCCCTGTAGGCAGGGTGACCACAGACACAGACGTGGCTGGAGGAGAGGGTGCTGAGCCAGGCGTGTTTTACGGCCCTGCCCAGGCAGCTAATGGCCTCGGTGACATTGCTGCTCCTAAAGGCAGCCTCAGAGCAGTCATAATTCTAGAGGTGCCTAGCAGCCCCCACCCCTTCTCAGATCGCCTATCCTGGGAGGGGAGTGCTGCCAGGAGGTTTGAGGTCCTCCCAGCCAAGGGTTGCAGAGTGGCCCAGTGGTGCCCACCCAAGCCAGGCTTAGCAAGGGCATCAGTCCCAGGCCAGGCAAGGGTGAGTGTGTGTGTGTAGGTGTCCGTTCATGACTGTGCTCCTGACTCTTCATACACGTGTGGCTGCGTGAGCATGTTTTTTTGTCTGGGTATACGTGACTGTGCACGTCAATGTTCGTATGTGTGTGGATTAGTAGATGTATAGGTAAAGATTAACATGTGTTAGTGCATGAGTCCATCCGGATGTCTTGTATGAATGTGTGTTTATGTGTTTATATGAGCTACATAATTGTGTGCTGTTCACAGATGTGTCTGTGATTATTTCTCTATGTGTACTTCACTGAGCAGTTGTGTGTCTTCCTGTGTGACAGTGTGTGTTTGTGTAAGCACATTCATTTATATGTGTCTGTATCAGTGACTATCTACATCTTCATTTAAGATGTATTAATTGTGTACCTACTATGTGCTGGGCTTTGTTCTCGGTGCTAAGAAAACATCATTGACTAGACAAAGCCTCCACTTTGGGAGCATGTTACATTCCGGCAGGGGAGACAGAAACAAAACAAGTGCTGAGAAGAAAATTAAGTTGGGTTGACAGAGAGAGTTCGACTGGGTGGGAATGGGGAAGCTATTTAAGTAAAAGTAGTCAGGGAGGGCTTCTCAATGGAGGTGGCATTGAGCAGATGTGCAAATAATGAGAAAAAGAAAGCCACATGAAAATCTGGGGGCAGAGGGTTCAGACATAGGGAACAGCCTGTGCAAAGGCCCTGAGGCTGGGGTACAATGAGTGTGGTGAGGATGGCAGGCCAGTGGGGCCAGACCGTGGAAGGACTTAGAGACCTCAGTAGGGAATTTGGATTTTGTTTTAGGAGTCAAGAAAGCCTTAGGAGGGCCAGGCGTGGTGGCTTACACCTGTAATCCCAGCACTTTGGGAGGCTGAGGCAGGCGGATCACCAGAGGTCAGAAGTTCGAGACAAGCCTCACTGACATGGTAAAACCCCATCTCTACTAAAACTACAAAAATTAGCCAGGTGTGGTGACACGCACCTGTAATCCCAGCTACTCGGGAGGCTGAGGCAGGAGAATCGCTTGAACCCTGGAGGTGGAGGTTGCAGTGAGCCGAGATCATGCCACTGCACTCAGCCTGGGCAACAGAGTGAGACTCTGTATCCAAAAAAAAAAAAAAGAAAAAGAAAAAAGAAAGAAAGAATTAGTCATGATGGGAATGGCAAGTCTTAAGACAGTCTCTTGGGTAGCTCTGCGAGAATAGACTGGTGGGTGGGGAAGAAGGATCAGGAGGGAGAAAGGGGAGGATCAACACAGCAGCAGTGGGGAGCTGGCCAGTGACCAGACATGGACCCAGCTTTCCCACAGCTTTTATTTTGAAAAAGTTCAACTTCACCAAAAAATGGAAAGAAAAGAATAGTTACTATCCCCTAGCTTCACCAACCTATTAAAATCTTGTAACATTGGTTTTCTCCCCTACCCAGCCTCATTTGGGAGTTATTTGCAGACATCACAACATTTCATTTCAAAATACTTCAGAGTATCTTCTAAGAGCAAGGACACTCTCCTACATAACCACAGTACCACGGTCAACCCAAGAAGTTCAGCACTGATCCAGTAATATCTGGTATCACTTTAATTGTCTCCCAAAGGCCCCATCTCCAAATACTGTCCTATTGGGAATTAGAATTTCGACATATGAATTTGTGGAGAACATAATTAAGTCCTAGCACCATCCATGGTGTATGGGGAAGTATTCAAGCCACAGGGACGACGGGGTCCCCTCGTCTGGCTGAGCTGGGGGTGCTTGTGCCAGTGCTGCACCATTCCAGCTGCTGAGATGGCGCCTTTTTTAGGGACACTTGGTGCTTACAGCAGACAGTTCCTTAAGAAGAATGCACGAGGATAGAGGTCCCGGGCCCAGGACCTCCTGTGACAGTGCCCCAGGCATCTGTGTCAGGAATACAGAGGTAGGAGGAGACGCAGTGGAGGAGGGGCAGGTTAGACTCTGTAACCCGGGTTCTGAAACTCCCAGAAGGCTACACTTTCATCTTTTCTTCTTCTTTTGACTCTTTTTCTTTTTTAAAAAAATTGCTTTATTGAGACATGATTGACATATAAAAAGCTGTACATATTTAATCTATACAACTTGATGCGTTTAGGGATAAGTATATATGTGTGAAATCATCATCATCAAGGCCATCAACATATTCATCACCTCCCAAAGTTTCCTCCCACCCCCTTTATTATTTTTCTGACCTTTTTATTAAAAAAGAAAAATAGGATATATATATATATATATATACATATATATATATAGTGTGTGTGTGTGTGTATGTATGTGGTATGCATATATATGTATTATGTATATGTAATCTATATAATCTGGACATGCCTTCATCAAAATGTTAAAAGTGATTAGCTCTGGAGAATGGAAATTGGGTTGGTCTTTTAGTTTTCACTTTTGACTCTATATACTTCTGGAGTTAAAAAAAATCTTTCTTCATGATAAAAATACCTTTACTTTTTCTATTTATGTAGTTAACACATACTTAAAAGATTTTTTAAAAAATAGTGTTTAAAGGCCAGGTGCAGTGGCTCATACCTGTAATCTCAGCACATTGGGAGGCCAAGGTGAGAGTGTCATTTGAGGCCAGGAGTTTGAGAACAGCTTGGGCAACATAGCAAGACCCCATCTCTACAAAAAATTAGCCAGGCATGGTGATGTTTGCCTGTATTCCTAGCTATTTGGGAGGCTGAGACAGGATCCTTTGAACCCAGGAGTTTGAGGCTGCAGTGAGCTATGTTTATGCCACTGCATTCCAGCCTAGGTGATAAGTTGTAAAGACTCTGGATTTTATTATGTTCTTCTGAGTGTCGACTTTTTATTTTTGCAGGCAGTTAACTTGGCTGAACTCAAACTTCAAACTCTCCCCATTTTTGGGAGGCCAAGGTGGGAGGATCACTTGAGGCCAGGAGTTGGAGACCAACCTGGGCAACATAGCAAGGCCTCATCTCTACCATAAATAAAAAGGTTTTAAGAAAGAAGTATATAAAATTGTATAAAGAACAAATTAATAATTCCCTAAACCTCACCATGGACATTTTGATCCTGCTCAAACACCTTTCTTTTTTCTTTTTCTTTTTTTTGTTTTTTTTGAGATGGAGTCTTGCTGTGTCACCCAGGCTGCAGTGCAGTGGCACGATCTCAGCTCACTGCAACCTCCACCTCCTGGGTTCAAGCAATTCTCCCTGCCTCAGCCTCCTGAGTAGCTGGGATTACAGGCACCTGCCACCACGCCCGGCTAATTTTTGTATTTTTAGTAGAGACAGGGTTTCACCATGTTGGCCAGGCTGGTCTTGAACTCCTGACCTCAGGTGATCCACCCTCCTCGGCCTCCCAAAGTGCTGGGATTACAGGCATGAACCACTGTGCCCAGTCCTCAAACACCTTTCTGTTTCTCTGCTTTCATACACACGTTTGTCCACAAATATATCACATACATTGCTGTTTTCACGGAAACTTTTAAAACACTTTTGTTTTGTCTGACCCTCTTTTCCATCTCCCTGGTCTTTCCCTGATATTCCCCAAACCAAAGTTAATAACCTGGCGTGTATCCCATATCTTCCATGTGCCTGTGCATCGTATACATATAGGGCTTGCTGATCTTTATTTGACCAAATGGATCACATTACATATATTTCTTGAATTTTTCAACTAACAATGCATTGTGGAAACCCATCCAAGTGAATCTATTCTTTCTCTTTTTTTTTGAGACAAAGTTTCACTCTTGTTGCCCAAGCTGGAGTGCAATGGCGTGATCTCGGCTCACTGCAGCCTCCACCTCCCAGGTTCAAGCGATTCTTCTGCCTCAGCCTCCTGAGTAGCTGGGATTACAGGCGCACACCACCATGTCCAGCTGATTTTTTGTATTTTTAACAGAAATGGGGTTTCACCATGTTAGCCAGGCTGGTCTCGAACTCCTGACCTCAGGTGATCTGCCCACCTTAGCATCCCGAAGTGCTGGGATTACAGGCATGAGCCACCGCACCCGGCTGAATCTATTTTTTTTAATGGTTGCTTCTTGTTCCATGGCATGACCGTATAATTATTTAAACCCTTTTCTATTGACAGATTCTTTCTGGCTCTTTGGCCACTACAAATATTGTGACATTAACACCTTTATATATTCCTACATCTGAGTGCTTTTGTTTATTTCTGGGACAAATTTCTTATGAGTGGGATTGTTGGGTTGAAGCCTATGTATACTTAGATCTTTAAAATAGATTTGTTCCATATTGCTTTCCAAAAAGGCAGTATCAGTTCTCATTTGAACCAGCAGTGTATGAAAATATACTTTTCCTATCACTCTCATCAGTAGTAGGTGTTAACATTCTTTTGAATTGTTGCCAGTATGATGGGTGAGAAGTGCTACCTCATTGTTACTTTAATTTGCATTTCCCTGAGTACTAGGAGGTTGAGCCATATGTTTATTGGCCATTTGGGTTTACTCTTCTCTGAGCCTATTCATATCCTGGGAATATTTTTCTATTGGATGCTTTGTCTTTTGCTTAACAATTTGTAAGAGCTAAAAATTAACTCTTTCTCCGTCGTAGGCGTTGCGAATATGTTTTCCCCAAATTCAGTGCTTGTCTTTTAGCTTTGTTTATGGGAACATTTAGCCATCTAAAAATGTTTAAAATTTATTTATTTTTTACTTTTTTGAGACAGAGTCTCACTCTGGTGCCCAGGCTGCAGTGCTGTGGTGCGATGTTGGCTCACTGCAACCTCCGCCTCTGGGTTCAAACAATTCTCCTGCTGAGCCCAGTCTCCTGAGTAGCTGGGATTACAGGCACCCACCACACCCAGCTAATTTTTGTATTTTTAGTAGAGATGGGGTTCCACCATGTTGGCCAGGCTGGTCTTGAACTCCTGACCTCAGGTGATCCGCCTGCCTCAGTCTCCCAAAGGGCTGGGATTACAGGCATGAGCCACCGTGCCCGGCCTAAAAAAGTTTAAGTTGTATGTAGTCAGAGAGTTGTACTTCCAATAATGACAGAGTACCTTGTAAAAGACAATCTCTCCCACAGATAGCAATTATAAATTCTGGACAAAAGGCTAGGTGGGGGCACTAAAAGTGACCCAAACCAGGCAGAACTTATAACATCTGACATTTCTAAGAAGGGAATGACAGTGTTTCTTATTTTTATATTTTATATGACTGGCTCCCCTCTGAGGCCGGAGGCTTGGCTGCCATCAAATTCAGGCCTCCCTGGGTCACTGCCCTGCGGGGCCCACATAGCACCACATAAGTCAGTTAAAAGTTGGATAGAAATCTGCATTCTTACTTGTTAAGGAATCACAGGGCAGAATCTGGGACTTCCACAGAAATTGAAAAGTAAAGGAGGAAATTCCGGGAAGGAGAACTCCATGGAGGATATGTTCCGAATTCTCCACCCAAACTTCAGGCTGTTTTCTGAACTGTGAATTCATCTGGGAGGCTCCTGGAATCCTAACTGTGGCTAAAATAGCTGAACAGAGATTTCAGCTGCTGTCTACCAGAGGGGAGACTTTGAAGTTTGAGTTCAGCCAAGTTAACTGCCTGCTAAAATAAAAAGCCGACACTCAGAAGAACATAATAAAATCCAGAGTCTCTACAACTTATCATTGACAGTGTCCAGGATACAATCCAAAACTACTAGATATATGAAGAAACGGCAAAATGTGAGCCATATTAATAGAAAAGGCAATCAATGGAGAATAACCTTAATGTGACCTAGATGTTAGAATTAAGAGACAAGAATTTAAAAGTAGCTGTTATAACTATGCTCAAGGACATGAAGAAAAATATACTAGCAATGAATGATTAAACAGAAAACTTCAGTTGGAAATAGACTATACAAATGAGCAAATGGGAATTCTAGAACCAAAAAATACAATATCTGAAATAAAAATTAACTGGATGAGATTAAATTTTATGTAGTCAAAAACGATTATTTCTTTATAGATTCTAGGTTTCTTGTCACAGGTAAAAGTGCCCCCTACACACTGCATTATACATGTATTCACCTAAATTTTTTTCTAAGGTTTTATGTTTTGTTTTTATATTTAAGTCTTATTAACCCATTGGAGTTTAAATTTGTGTTGGTTTGAAGGATCCAACTTCATTTTCTTACAATCAAACAGCTGCTTTTTGCTAGCATTATTTATTAATTTTTTTCTTAATGAGGTAAAGTATTTATTATGTATTAAATTTTCATACTAGGACATATTTCTGGGTTCTTTATTCTGTTCCAAAGCTTTCTGTGAATCCACTAATTCTATGCCAATACCATGTTGTTGGATTCTAGTGGCTTTATAGTATATTTTAATATCTATAAGGCAAGGCAAGATATTTCCCTTTAAATTTTTTTTGGCCATTCTTAGACATTATTCTTTTACATGAACTTTATTATCATTTCATCCAATTAAAAATGGTTCTATAATCAGATGGTATTATAATGTAACTCATTATAATGAGTTATAATGGTACTATAATATAATTCATTACATTTATACATTACTGTTGGGAGAATTGACATTTTATATTAAGCCTTTCCCTCCAAAAATATGGTATCTATTTTCCAGTTTTTCATATTACATTTTAAAGTTTTTCAATAAAATTTCATAATTCAATAAAATTGAGGTGAACTAGAGACTTTATTTTTATATATTTCTTATTATTTGAATAATAATAGAAAACTTTTCTGTAAACCTTTTATTTTAAGTTCAGGGGTACAAGTGCAGGTTTATTACACAGGTAAACTTGTGTCATGGGGGTTTGGTGTACAGACTATTTCATCACCCAGTTATTAAGCCTAGTACCCATTAGTTATTTTTCCTGATCCTCTCCCTCTTTCCATCCTCCATCGTCTGAAAAGCCCCATTTTGTTTAATTTCCCCCCTATGTGTCCATGTGTTCTCATCATTTAGCTCCCACTTATAAGTGAGAAGATGCAGTATTTGGTTTTCTGTTCCTGTGTTAGTTTGCTAAGGATAATGGCCTCTGTCTCCATCCATGTCCCTGCAAAGGACAGTATCTTATTCTTTTTTATGGCTGCATAGTATTCCATGATGTATATGTACCACATTTTCTTTATCCAGTCTATTATTGGTAGGCATTTATGTTGATTCCATGTCTTTGCTATTGTGACTAGTGATTATACACCGTTGGTGGGAGTGTAAATTAGTTCAACCATTGTGGAAGACAGTGTGGCAATTTCTCAAAGACCTAAAGACACAAATACCATTTCACTCAGCAATCCCATTATTGGGTATATACCCAAAGAAGTATAAATCATTCTATTAAAAAAACACATGCATGCATATGTTCATTGCAGTGCTGTTGGCAATAGCAAAGACATGGAACACATATTTTAAAAAATAACTTAAACTAATTTTCCTCTCAAGAAAAGTAACATATGTCTTAAGTTGATTGGTAGTTTCATGATATTTTATGACATCGTCAATACTGTGTGTGTAAAATGTTTTAACATTGTGAAAAAGACTAGTATATACATATTGCATGTTTTTCAGACAATGCATAAAGCTATAAAGAAGAAAATAAAAGGCATCTGAAATTCCACTAATCAGTAATAACCATTTCAATCACTAACTTTTTGGTCTATTTAATTCCAGATTGTTTTTCCATTTTCTGTGTATATAGATTCATACACACACACACACAGATATACACGTATACATGTTTTAAAATATAAATTATATGTATATGTGTATATGTATACGTGTGCATAAATCTAAGATATTTGTGTGTATCTGACATAAACACACATATATACATCAAAATGTGTGTATTATATGTTACATACATAATTATTTAACAATAGTTTTAAATAATGAGTTTTTTAATATATCATGAACATATTTCTATTTCCATACAGATAAATTGTCATAATTTTCAGAAAATGTATAAATACCTTTATATCAATGCATAACATTTTAGTCAGCAAACCCATTTTATATATTTAATGATACCTTTGCTATTGGCCATGGAATTTTCCATTTTCACCATAATAAACACCACTCTTGCTCTCTTGTCCTTTAGCATTCATAGATAAATCCTTAGATGGGATTTCTAGGATTCTCCACCCATTTTTGAGAACTTTTATCAACAGGGAAGTGGAGTTGGAAAATTTGCAAAACCCAGAAAATTCTGGATGGCCCAGAGTACTCGCTTTCTTAGGATAGCCAGTGCTTGGTGGGCATCAGATGGTGATGGGCCAGAATGTGATCCAGAAATTTGGTCCCTGCACTTTAAAAGATTTTTTAAAAAGAAGTCTTTTCTTGTGCTTTATTCCAGGAAGTTAATACTCATTATTTCACCTAATCCTTACAACAGCACTGTGAGGTTGATAACTATTACATGATCCATTTCACAGAGAAAGAGACTGAGGACTACAGAACTCAAGACATTCGTCCAAGGTCATTTCTTGGGATTATACTGGACTGCCACAGCCCAGGAGAACCATGGGTTCTGCTGGAATTATGAGCACAAAGTCAAGAGCGACACTTAGGATCTCATCCAAGCGTGTGAGGAACTAAGGTTGAAGATGCCCTGGAATTTTCCATTCAGGAGGTCCAGGAACATGGCTGGATGATTCATGGGCCCCAGAGGATCCCCTTTTCTGTAGCAATCCCAGATGGGTCTGGGCTTCCTGTCCCTTGCTGCCCCCTACACAGGCTCATTGGTGCTTGCTGGACAGTTGCTCTGGCGTGGGGTCCAGAGATGGCTGGCACAGACCTGAATCTGAGTTGCCCGGTCTGGCAATTAACACAAGCTGGGATTGACTGGCTCTCCTCTGAGGCTGGGGGCTTGGCTATCATCAGCTAAAGAACCTGGAATCCCTTCCAAAGGCAGACGGTAAGATGGCAGGGTTTGCCCCTTCCTCAGCCACAGACCCAGGGGCTCATGGCTGCTGTTCCTGAAAGCGGGTCCCTGGCCTCCAGCTTCTCTTCCTGCAGGAGTGGCCTCTGGAGAGGGGCTGCTTCATGATCAGGCCTAACTCCTTCTCCAGAGCCTCCTACTCCCGGAGACACCACGCAGTCCCGGAAAGCCCCTGCTCTCTGGCAACCTGGGCAGAACCTTTCTCCTTAGTCTTTGCGAGCTCCCCACATAGCTGCAGGGCAGTGACCCAGAGAGGCCCGAACTTGAGTCCCGCTGGAGGCAACACCTCCCAGGACCTCACCCTATCCTGATCTCTGGCCTCCAAGAGCTGGCAGCACCTCGGGGCACCTGCGCTAGTTTCTTAATGTTGCAGTAACAAATGGCAGCAGGCTGGGTATGATGACTCACACCTGGTAATCCTGGCATTTGGGAGGCCAAGGCGGGTGGATAACCTGAGGTCAGGAGTTCGAGACCAGCCTGGCCAAATGGTGAAACCTGTCTCTACTAAAAGTACAAAAATTAGCTGGGCCTGGTGGCACGTGCCTGTAATCCCAGCTACTCGGGAGGCTGACATGGGAGGATGGCTTGAATCCGGGAGGTGGATGTTGCTGTGAGCCGAGATCGTGCCACTGCACTTCAGCCTGGGCGACAGAGTGAGATTCTGTCTCAAAACAAGCAAGCAAGCAAGCAAACAAACAACCCAAAACAAATGGCGGCAGACTTAGTGGCTGAAACAATACAAATATAGTCCCTCGCAGTTCTGGAGAAGTCTAAAAGGAGCTTTACAGGGCTAAGATTAAGGGGAAGCCAGGGCTGTGTTCCTTCCAGAGGCTCCAGGAAGCCTTCCCAGGCCTTTTCCAGCTTTTAGGGGCTGCTGTATTCCTTGGCTTGGGGCCTCTTCCTCCATCTTCAAAGCCCGTGTTCCAGCCCTCTGACCTCTTCCCCCATTGTCCTGTTGTCTTCTCTGACACTCCTGCCTCCCTTTCCCTCATGACTCCTGTGGTTACATTGGGCCTGCTCAGCTCATTTTAAGATCCTCAGCTGAATCATGTCTGCAAAGCCCCTTGTGCACATGGGTACTGGCATATTCCCAGGTTCTGGGGATTAGGACATGGACGTCTTTGGTGGGGGCCATTATTCCTGCCACAGCCCCCCATTCCTGGCTTGTTTGCCCGGGGTGAGGCCGCCTCTGTGACATTGTGACAGAGCCATGTTTTAGACCCCAGCACAGTCCCAGCCAACTCAGGCTCACCAGCTCGGTTCTAGCTGCTGGGCAGAGGAGAGACCTTTCCCCAGGTGACAGGCACGGGTTCAGAAGCAGACTCCCTTAAGACAGCTCAGTGCGTAAAGCAGCAGAGAGCCAGTGTACGCACAGACACGTGCATGCACACACTCGCACTAGGGGTGGGGTTAACCTGAGTGGGTGATTTCCATCTACCCCTAGATGCTCACTGTGAAAAGCCTTTAGCCCATCTGCATGTCCAAGTGTGTATAAGTGTGAACGTGTGCACATGAGTGTGTATATGCAATTATGAACATGTGTGCACATAAGCAAATGTAAAAGTAAATGTACATGCCTGCACATGAGTGTATGTGAGGGGTGCTTTTCAGAGAATGGCCAGGCTGGGTGTGGTGGCTCATGCCTATAATCCCAGCACTTTGGGAGGCCGAGGCCTGGGGGGATTACTTGAGCCCAGTAGTTTGAGATCAGTAGTTTGGGCAACATAGCAAGACCCCTATCTCTACAAAAAATACAAAATTAGACAGGTGTGGTGGCACACGCCTGTAGTCCCAGCTACTTGGGAGGCTGAGGTGGGAGGATCGCTTGAGCCCAGGAGTTAGAGGCTGCAGTGAGCTATGGTCATGCCACTGCACTCCAGCCTGGGTAACAGAGTGAGACGCTGCCTCTGAAAAAATAAAATAATAAAATAAAAATAAAGAATGGCCAGAAGGCAGCCAGTTTACCATTCTAGGAGACAGACATCATTCATCTCATGAGAGATAGCTCTTTGTTTTGTGAAATAAATTGTTGGCCCCCTTGGGTGTTGTAAGTGGCCTGGCAAGGTCTGCAAGGTGAGGGAGAACAAAGAGAGAGCTGAATTTCTCGCATAATTTCTGGGGTCAGCCTGGGAGGCAGGGGATGGAGGATGCAGAGACAAGACAAAGGGAGATGGGAGGAAAGGCCAGAGGGAATGAAGAGGACCCTAACAGGGAGCAAGGGAGGGATTCCATGCAAAGTCATGGCCAGTACAGAATTCCCTATGGTGCGGTACAGCTGATACATTTCTAGAAATGATGATGCCTGATACTGAGTTTTAATTTGCTTCCGTTGTATACTGTAACTGTCCCAAATTTTTAATAGAAGTCTGCTACACACAACAACCTTTGCTGGTGCCATTTGGGGAAAATAAATGGGGTGGGTATGTGGGTACAATCAGCCAAAGTTGGAAGTCGGGGCCACAGTTAGGGGCTGGGGCTTGTGCTGAGTGTAGCTGCAGTGTGATCTGACTCAGGAGAGTCTTCCTGCAAACCAAGAATAGAAATATTGGAGGAGGTCTTCCACAGCATGAGGATGAGTGCTCTTGAACTATCTTATTTTAATATTAGGCCAGGCACAGTGGCTCATGACTGTAATCTTAGTGCTTTGGGGAGCCATGGTGGGTGAATCACTTGAGCCCAGGAATTTGAGACCAGCCTGGGTAACATAGTGAGAACACGTGTCTACAAAAAGTTAAAATAAAAAATAACTAGCTGGGTGTGGTAGCATGCACCTGTAGTCCCAGCTACTGAGGAGGCTGAGGTGGATGGATGGATTGGGCCGGGGAGGTAGAGCCTGCAGTGAATTGTGATCGCACCACTGCACTCCAACCTGGGTGACAGAGTGAGACCCTGTCTTGAAAAAAAAAAATTAAAGTAATGGCTAATCCTTGGGGGGTCTGAGTTATAAGTGTGCCTGTAAGGATGCTGTGACTGTGTGACTATGTTGAGATCTGTACCAGTCCGGGTCTCTGTGCTGGATATATCTGATGTGAGACCAGTGTCACCCTTACACCATCAACTACTTCTCTCTGGTGTCCTCAGTCCCTCCCTAGGAGAGCTCACCTGCATTAACAGGCTTGTTGCCTAGCCCTGGATATGTGATGGGAGCTCAGAGCTGTGTTTATAACCTCCTGCCTAGTGTCTTGTCCTCCATGCCTCCCAAGCACCTTAAACTCTACCTGTCTCCATCTGAGCCCACTACTTCCTCCTAACAACTTGATTCTTGACTAGGATTCTCATTGAGGGGCCTCACTGTCCACCCACATGCACAAGCAGGAAACTAGGCATCCTCCCTGGATCCCCAGCTTTCTCACTATCCCTTCACCCAACCCACCAGCTAGGCCTGTCAATTTGATCTCCTAATGGCATTTTTTCCATCGTCTTGTCCCCATCTCCACCAACCACAAATGTAGTCCAATAAACCTTTGTTTCCTGCCGGTACTGCTGCAATACTCTCCTAACCAGTTTCCCTGAATCCATTCTTAACCACCTGTAATCAGAGTTCTACCCTGCTACCAGAGTTAAAGGCCATTTAAAAAAGACATCAGTGTATTACATACGTTGGTTAAAAAAATAGATCTCTGCCCACATCCACCCCGAATCCCTAGTTCTCATCCCAGAATTTCAGCTCCTTTACAGCTCCTAGTTACAGTATGTCTGATCACTTGCAATAATATGCTTCAATTTCTGTTTCTTGATTTATTATGTATCTTTCATTAGTCATTGTATTCCTGCTGTGATAGGTGAGGTTTTAGCTTATACCCCTCCACGCCAAAAACACTATTTAAATACTGTTCCTTTGGAGAGCCAAGTAGTGTATTATGATTGTATTTTATTTTTTTAATATCATTCCGCACCCCCAACCCCAACCTGGAATTTCTACCTGCCCTTTTCCCCTTGTGCTATTTACCATTATCACATTTTCATTGGTTTCCAGCCTTCCCATCCAATTCCATATTTTATTATACTCTCCCTTTCCAGAGACTCCATCTCCAATGTGGTCTGGCTCCTCCTTGGCTCTGTGCATTGCTTCTCTTCTGAGATTTCTCTTTGCTGTTTTTCTGGGTTGGCCCATTGTTTCTTGGATACCATGTATCCTTTTCCTTGGTTTACTCCCTCATTTTGCTGGAGCACATTCTCAAATAATTTCCTTTAAAAAGAGTGCACTGGAGGTAAACTTTGTGAGACTATTTCTTTTAATCTCACATTGATCAACAGTTTGGCTGGGCATATAAATTCAGTTGAAAATGATTTCTCTCAGAATTTTGATGATATTGAAAATATTGCATCCAATGCTACTATTGAAAAATGTGATGGCATTTTGGTACTTAATCCTTTATGTATGACATATTTTTCTTTCTTGAAGCTTTTTATATTGCCTATTTTTAGTGTTCTGACATTTCATGGCAGTGTATCTATATGTTGATTACTTTGCATTTATCTTTGTTGAGCATTCAGTGGTTCTGTCTATTCTGTAGACTTGTATTCTTCAGCTGTGAGAAAATTTCTTGTATTATATCTTTGTTAATTCTTCCTCCACGCCCCCTTTTAAAATTAATTTTTCTGGATCTACCATTAGTCAACTATTGAAACCCTTAAATAAATATTTTGTTTCTTATTTTCTTCTTGTGTTTTCTGCCTCCTTTATCTTTATCTTACCTCCTGGGAAAATCCCTTAAATTTATCTTTTAATTCTATTGAATTGTTCACTTCAGCATTTCAATTTTTAATTTCTCAGAGTCCTTTCTTATTGATAGTTCCTTTCTCATAGACAGTATAGTACCGTCTAGTTACAAGTTTTTCATCTTTTTCTGAGCACACTAATTTGATTCTTTTGAAATACTCTTCTACTTTGCATGTTATCTTGATTTCCTCTGGGTTCACGTTTTCTGTTTATACACTTGATTTCTCTATTTTATCTTGGTTATCTGTTTATATTTAAGAGGCAGGCAATGAAAAGCTGACTGGGAGCCTTGCATACATGAGTAGTTGAGCCAAAGACCCCAAATGAGGTAGGGCTAGAATGAGGTAGTCTTTTTTGCTGGGGCTTTCTCCAATGAGGAACCCTCTGACCTCTTGCCTTGTGGCTAGACACTAGAGTTCTGGGTGTTCTGTGTGTAGGAGTAGGGTTAGGAGGTCTAGGAGTAGATAGCATTATCCACCAGCCTTCAGTCAACCCCCTTGTTTTAAGCCCCATGTGCCACTTCCACTTTCCCTTACACATGGCGTCTTTGAGGCCAAGTCTCTCCAAGGTTCTACGATATCAGACCCTTTTGTAATTTGCTTATTTGCATTTTTGTATAATATTTAAATGTGTGAATATACCACAATTTATCTATTTTGATAAATTTATTCATTCTATTATTTATGGGCATTTAGGTAGTTTTGAGTTTTTGACTATTATAGATAGTACAACTATGGACACTTTAGTACATGTCCATGATAAATATTTAGTGTGGTGTATACCAAGGAGTGGAATTGCTGGGCCACAGGTGTGCATATATTCAGCTTTAGCAGTTAATGAATTTGCCAAAGTACCCACCTACAGTGCATGGGAGTTCTTGTTCTGCATGTCCTCTTTAATATTTGATATTTTATCTTTTTAACTATCATGGTGGGTAGCAGTGGTATCTTGTAATTTTAGTTGGTTTGCATTTCTCTTATGACTAATGAAGTCAAGCACCTTATCATATGTGTATTGGCCTTTTGAATATCTTCTTTGGTGAGGTGCCTGTTAAAGTTTTTTCCCCCATTAAAAAAATGTGGTTTGTCTTTTTGTTATTGAGTTGTAGCAAATTTTATATATCTTATGAATCTAAGTTCTTCATTAAATGAGTTGTAAACATCTTCTCCCACTGTTTCCATTAGCTTTTCACTCTCTTGCTGGTATATTTTAGGAATAGAATTTTTAAATTTTAATATGTTCAATTTATAATTTTTTTCTTACATAGCCTTTTTGTGACTTGTTTAGGACATGTTTGCTTACTCCAAGGTCATAGAGCTGTTCTCCTATGTTTTCCTCTAAAAGCTTTATTGTTGGCTGGGCCAGGCACGGTGGCTCATGCCTGTAATCCCAGCACTTTGGGAGACTGAGGTACGTGGATAACTTGAGGTCAGGAGTTTGAAACCAGCCTCATCAACATGGTGAAACCCCATCTCTATTAAAAATATAAAAAATTAGCTGGATATGGTGGTACGCGCCTGCAATCCCAGTTACTCGGGAGTCTGAGGCAGGAGAATTGCTTGAATCCAGGAGGCAGAGGTTGTAGTGAGCTGAGATTGTGCTGCTGCATTCCAGCCTGGGCAAAAGAGCGAGACTCCATCTCAAAAAAAAAAAAAAGCTTTATTGTTTTACCATTCACATTTAGTTCTGCAAAATTCTGGAATAGATTTTTGTGTATGATGTGAGATAGGGGTCAAGACACACTTATTTTGTTATGGATCTCCAACGGACCCAGCACCATTTACTGAAAAGATCACTCCTTTCCCATTGGACGATGGTGCTGTCTTTGTCCTACATACAGGAATCATGTATGTGTAGGTCTGTTTCCAGACTTTCTCCTCTGTTTCATTGGTCAGTTTGTCCACCCTTGCACCAATACCACACTGCCTTCATTACCATAGCTTTATTAAAAGTCTTGGCATACAGTTTTGTTTTTCTTCTTCAAGTTTGCCTTGGATTTTTCTTAGACTCGTGTATTAGCTGTGCTCTCCGCCCTAACCCCAGGGCCTTTGCACATCCTCCCTCTGCTGAAACACCTTTCCTTTCTCTTATCACCTGTTAGCTCTTATTCATTCTTCAGATCACACCTCAGTTGTTATTTCCTCAGAGAAGCTTTCCCTGAACTCCCCGACCCAGTCAAACGCCCCACGAAGCCATCATAACACAACCCACCTCTCTCTGTAACATTAAATGCAATTCAACTTTTCATGTATTCTTGTGGTTATTTGATCAATGGGTTTTCCTTCTCTAATCTGTTGAGCTCCACAAGGAAGGGAATCACTGTTTTATTTACTGATATATTTTCAAGGCTTAGCACAACGAGACAGTCTAAGTTTTTGAATACACGAAGGCAAGAGTCCCTTATTCATGGACATCTGTGTATGTGTGTGTGTCTGCATGTGCCCTTGAGTGTATGTGTATGAGCAAAACTTTATCAGTGCATGTGTGTGTGTGCAATAACAGAACCCACTTCGGAGCCACAGATCAGGGGAGCTGGACCCCTCCTCTCCTTTTGGGTTCTCCTCCTCCCCTTCCCCTCCCCACCCTTCCCTGTCCAGCACTCCCAGCAGCCTCCTCTCCTTCCTGAGTGACTGGAGGAAGATGCTGGTCTCCAGCTGCCTCCGCTCGGCTGCCCTTGTGCAGTTGTCTGCCAGTTGTGCACGCCGATTACTATGAATGCCACCATCTGGTACGCCACGTGGACATCATAATCTTTTCTTAATTACATTAGCAGCGCAATCAGTTACTGCATTACAAGGCCGGCGATGAGCTTTTAAATCTTGGTGGAAATCATAAATAATTGCACTAAGTACCAGGCCCCAGATGTGTGCGCCAACTTCGGTTGCACTAGATAAATAGTAACCTTACAAGGGTGTGAGACAGCAGGCGGTCCGGCCGGCCACCGGGCCACACTACACCTGGGCCTCACTGCAGGAAGGCCCTGGCAGCCATGCACCTGAAGAGAGGCAGTGGAAGGAGGCGGAGGTGCCTTCTGAGTGCATGGGTGCCAGGGAGAGAGAGAGAGGGATCCTCAGAGCCAGAGCCAGGGAGGGCGTGGGAGGAACATGGAGACAGACAAAGGGGAAATGAGGTGGGTGGACAGAAAAGAAGAGAGAGAATGGGAGAAGAGAAGGCAGGTGGGGAGAAGGAGGAGAGGAGAAAACAGAGCCAGGGAGAGAGACACTGAAACAGAGATAGAGAGAGACACACAGAGAGTGACAGGAACAGAGAAAAAGAGAGTGCAATGAAAAGATCCAGGATGCCTGGGGAGGCTGGGAGAACAAAGAGAAGGCCTTGTTTCAGCTGACCTCTCGCTCTTGGCCAGCAGTTGGAAGGGATCCCAGGGACGGGCTCAGCTACTCAGGGCAGCAGCCAGGCATCGGTGCAGAGGGTGAGTGAAACTAGGCCCAGGCCCGAGGGGCTTCCCGCAGGGCGCTCTGGGCTCCGGGAAGGAAGCCCTCCTGGCTTCTCTATCTCTTTCTGAAAACCGCCTGAGTCTGAGAGGGAAAGAATGGGCCACAGAAGATTCAGGAGCAGCAGCGCTGGTGTGTGATAAGTTAGTCACTAGAACTGCTTTAGGTAGGCAGGAGGCCCGGGATTGGGGGAGCCTCTCTGAGGGGCGATTTTTAAGCTGACACATGTCTGGTAAGTCACTGTGAGCCAGGTGACAAGCAGGTGAAAGGAGGGGAGCATGTTCCAGGAGGGGAGGCAGCACACACAAAGGCACAGAGGCAGGACGACGCTGGCATGCTTGAGAACTGGAGAGGAAGCTGATGCTGCTCACACAAAGAAAACCATGGAGAAATGTCAGGAATGTGAGATAAGATGGCTGGTTGAAGATGTGTTTTTCCTATTCACTCCTGAAACCTCACCAAAATGGACTTTAGTGGAATTTTAAAATGTATAAACCCACAGAATAAAGAGAAGAGGAGAGGAGACAAAAGCAGACAGGAGATTTTAACAAGATTTGGAAGCCGGAGGGCAGATGGATGAGGGTAAGGGACTTGCAAAGCAGAGAAAGCCGACATCTCAGCCTGCAGGAAGGGGAGCCTGCCAGGAGCAAAGCAACCAGCCCCTGGGACCTGGGAACCTGGGAAAGGCTCAAACATGGGAGCCTGGCACTTCTTTATCTGAAACAGACTCTCACTCTGTCACCCAGGCTGGAGTGCAGTGGCATGATCATGGCTCACTGCAGCCTCAACCTTCTGGGCTCAGGCAAATCCTTCTGCCTCAGCCTCTTGAGTAGCTAGGACCACAGGTCAGAGAGAGGGAGCGACAGGAGCGGACAGGTTGAAGCCTCATTTAGCCAGGCGACCAACTATACCTCCCAGCACAGCAGAAGAAGTCGACTCTTTGAGAAGCTGACTGGAGGCGACTCAGGATTTGGGGCATTCGCAAAGGAAAGAGTGAGACCCAGACTAAAACTGGGAGGAAAACAAATTAAAGAATTAAAGGGTGGGATTCCCACCTTGTCTTCCCACGCTGTTTACGGGATGTGGGCAGTTGGGCTTCAAGCTGTTCCCATGTCTCCCTCCCTCTCCAGGTCAGGAGACTAGAGAATTCTTTTCTGGGGAAACCACTTGGCATGGGGACAAGGTCTACAGGGACCACGATTTGAGATTTGAAACCCTCTAATGAAATCTCCAGTCTCGGCCTGGTCACCCTTGGGCCCCACCCAGGTGCATAGAGCTTGCTTTTTTTTGTTTGTTTTTGTTTTTTGTTTTTTTGAAACGAAGTCTCTCTCTACTGCCGAGGCTGGAGTGCAGTGGTGTGATCTTGGCCTGGGTTCAAGTGATTCTTCTGCCTCAGCCTCCCCCGTAGCTGGGACTACAGGCAAGGGCCACCATGCCCAGGTAATTTTTATATTTTTAGTTTTTACTAGAGACAGGGTTTTGCCATGTTGGCCAGGCTGGTCTTGAACTCCTGACCTCAGGTGATCCACCCGCCTTGGCCTCCCAAAGTGTTGAGATTACAGGCGTGAGCCACTGCGCCCAGCCCCGGTCAGCTTCTTACACCACACTTTTAAACATGAATGACAGGCAGTCAAGAGTCACCAGATATTTGTGGAAAACTCTATAATGAAAGCCAGAGACCAAAGATTCAGGAAAATAGAAAAAGGCAACTAGGAGGAAAAAGAGACAATACATTTAAATAAACACCCATAAATAACATCCCCTGAAAGATACGAGAAGGCACTGCAGTCATAAAATAAGATTTAAATGTTACGTATATATTTCTTAAGGGAATGTTGAGATAACACAAAAGGGTTGGAAGATAAAGTTCAGATAACTCAGAAATTAGAATAAAAACAGATTTTTTTTCCTTTTTTTTTTTTTTTTTGAGACAGGGTCTTGCTCTGTTACCCAGGCTGGAGTGTAGTGGTGCAATCATGGCTCACTGTAGCCTGGACCTCCTGGGCTCCAGTGAGCCTCCCACTTCAGCCTCTCAAGTACCTGGGGTCACAGGCATGTGCCACCATGCCTGGCTAATTTTTCTGTATTTTTTATAGAGACAGGGTCTCACCATGTTGCCCAGCTAAGAAAATTTGTTGTTAAGTAGGGTATGAAGTATGAGAAAATTAAAGAATCAATCCAGGAGGTCCAACAGCCAACTATCAGAGACCAAGAAAGAGAGAAGAAATAAATCAATTCAGGAGTTCTAGCATGATGCTAATAAGTGTTCTAGAAAAAGAGAAGGGAAAGCAAAAAGGAGAACATTATCAAAAAAAATACAAGAAAATTTCCCAGAATTGAAGGACTTGAATTTCAGGATTGAAAGGTAACATTCCAGGCCAGACACAGTGGCTCCTGCCTATAATCCTAACACTGGGATGCTGGGGCGAGAGGATCGCTTGAGCCCGGGAGTTTAGGACCAGCCTGGGCAACATAGGGAGACCTCATCTCTACAAATAATTTAAAAAGTAGCTGGGCATGGTGGCATGTGCCAGTGGTCCCAGCTACTCGGGAGGCTGCGGCAGAAGGATTTGCCTAAGCCCGGGAGGCTGAGGCTGCATTGAGCCGTGATCATGCCACTGCACTCCAGCCTGGGTGACAGAGTGAGATTCTGTCTCAAAGGAAAAAAGAAAGGCAGGAAGGCAGGCAGGAAGGCAGGCAGGCAGGCAGGCAGGAAGGCAGGAAGGAAGGATGGAAGGAAGGAAACACTCTAGCCCAATGAAAAAAGACTCACACTTAGGCATATTGTTGTGAAATTTCAGAACACCAAGTATAAAGAGAAGATCCTGGAAATTTCCTGAAAGGAAAAAGTTACATACACAGAATTGGGAACCAGAACAGTGTACCTTCCCAATAACAACCCTGGAAGCTACATGACACAAAGACTTAAAAATTATAAGACAAAACTATTTCCAACCAAGAATACTGAAGCTCATGTAGCTATAATTTAACTGTCCCTAAGAGTAGAATAAACACATTTTCAGATACGCAAGATAAAAAGTAAAGTTAGTTCTTATGTGTTCCTTCTCAAGATGCTACTGGAAGACATACGCCTACAGCTAAATGAGGGAGAAAATCAAGAAAGAGAAAAGCATGGGATCCAGGAAATGAGATCCCACAGAAAGGCAAAGGCAAAAACTGGGGTGAAAACTAGCAAATGATAAAAACGAAGCAATTATTAACTCTGGAAAAAAACAAAAATCATACAAGAAAAGCATATATTAATAGTACACTACATGGCTCAGCTATGGTCAATATTTATATAGTTCTTATATAAATATTGAGTACTCAACAAAAATTGTGATGTAACTATGTTGGAAGGATGGGAAGAGGGGGATATGTGTGGTGTGGTGTAAGATAACTAAATACTCTTCTTTTTTACTAGAAAGCCAACAGATTTTTCTTTAAAAATGTGAAACTAGCAGTATAAACCAGTGTTTTGAAGTACAAAGGTAAATAGCAGAAGATATCAGTGAACGCATGTAAAGTGGCTGTCTTGTGGGAGAGGAAACTGAAGACATAGTGGAGACTATTGTTTTTGTTGTAAGTTCATGCTGCTATTTGACTCTAAACCATATACATGTACTTTGATAAACATTTTAAAATTCAATTAAAAAAAGAAATTAGGAGGTGGAGACTAGCAAGGTGAACAGGTGCCAGATGTGGCAGAACCTCATGGGCCATTTTAAACAGTTGCAACTTTCCCTAAGAGCAATGTGGTGCCATAGAGGGGTTCTCAGTAGGGGAGTTACAATGTCAGATTTATTTTTCTAAAACAAAATTTTGTTTCCAGTTGCAACGTTTGGGGCTGACTTTCCAGAATTACCCAAGATTGACCTGTGGGAGATATCTGGGCCCCCTGTGCCTTGCAAAGCTTCACATGGGTGATGATGTTGAAGACCAGGTGCGGATCAATGGGGGCTCCATGGCAAATGAGAAACAGAGGAAGAAGAACTAACCTTCCTACCCACCAGTGCTCACTGGCACTCAACATAGCCTTGCTCTTGTTTCTGGAGGAAGGGCCATTGGGATCAACTTAAGAACATGGCAGAACAGAGATGCTTGCTGAATTAGTTGGTTGGAAGCACAAAATTATTTTAGTAGTTGTTGCAAATTGCTTCACTTCTCTGGGTTTAAGTGTAGAACTCAATGGTAATGTGAATAGACTTGATCTCCATAGGATCATTGTGGGGACTCAATGAGATAGATTCTGTAGAGCTTTGGGCTTGATTGGTGCACAGTGTTCAATGAGTGTGCTGGGAGAAACTCTTCTCCTCACTTCTGGTGTTTCCTTCCAGGAGGAGAGAGGTCCCTCTGGGTAGCACCCCTGGCCTCTCTGTCTGCTCCCTGGGTTCTGCCTTTGGAAGTGGGAGGTGATGTGCTTGGTAGGGAAGCTTGAGGGCAGGAGCTGGGTCTGGGTAGCTCAGCTGCTTCCTCTTCCATTCTCAGGAGCCAGCTGTCTATGGGAAGCACCCATTCTGGTCAGCCCCCATAAGCCATAAATGTATAGGGGCAGGCTGGATCCTTCGGGGAAGGCGGCCCCAGTTAGGGTGGCTAAGTCTGCACATTCAGGATAGTGTTCCTAGCTGACACATTGGGCCTAGTGCCTAGTGAACAAGCAGTGGAACGTGGGGAGCAAATTAATACTCAAGGACTGAGGCTTTTGAGGGGACCAGGCCATCAGATTTTTATTTTATTTTATTTTATATTTTTACAGGCAAGCTGCTATTTTTATACAGGCATAGGCCTTAGCAAAAGTGGGTTGAGTTGGTTCCTGAGGCCTTAGGCTAAGAGCGGCTGCAGCTCACCCTGGGCAAAACCGTGCCTGCCTCAGCATGGGCCACCAGGTTCTCTGAAGATGCCATTAGGCCTTAGGGCCCCTGTGGACAGGCATTGTAGATATGCTTTGATTATAGGGAAAAGAAAGTTTACCCATATATAGACTCTTTTAGTGTCTGACTGCTGTTGTAACAAATTGCCACACTTAGTGGCTTAAGACAACACAACCTTCTTATCTTGCTGTTCTGGAGGTCAGAAGTCCAAAAGGGTTTCACTGGGTCAAAATCAAGGTGCATAGTCACGCTCCCTCCAGAGGCTCTAGGAGAGAATCAATTTCCATGCCTTTTCCAGCATCTAGAAGCCCTCTGTCTTCCTTTGCTGATGATCCTTTCCTCCTCCTTCAAAGCCAACAGTGTAGCATCTTCTCATCCCTCTCTGTTCTGTTGTTATATCAACTTGACTTCACTCTGAGCCTCCTGCCTCCTCTTAGAAGGACCCTGGTGATTACATTTAGGACCCACTGGGGTCATCTAGCATAATCTTTCCATCTCAAGATCTTTAATATCATCACATCTTCAATATCCCTTTACCATAGCCACAGGCTCCAGAGACTCAGCCATAAACATCTTTGGACAGAAACATCATTATTCAACCTACCACATAGACCTTTTTCTTTAATTTTTAATTTTTATGAGTACATAGTAGGTATATATATTTATGGGGTACATGAGGTACTTTAATACAGGCATATAATGCTTAATAATCCCATTAGGGTAAATGGGGTAGCCATCATCTCAAGAATTTGTCCTTACTTTAGTGTTACAAACAATCCAATTATACTCCTTTAATTATTTTAAGATGTATAATAAATTTGGATTGACTGTCATCATCCTGTTGTCTATATTTTTGTAAATATTAACTATCCCTCCTCTCCCCTACACTACCCTTCCCAGCCTCTGGTAACCCTCCTTCTACTCTCTATCTCCGTGAGTTCAATTGTTTGAATTTTTAGCTCCCACAAATAAGTGAGAACATGTGAAGTTTGTCTTTCTGTGCCTGGTTTATTCCTTTTTTTTTTTTGAAATGGAGTCTCACTCTTGTCGCCCAGGCTGGAGTGCAATGGCCACGATCTCAGCTCACTGCAAGCTCCGCTGCCCTGGTTCACGCCATTCTCCTGCCTCAGCCTCCCGAGTAGGGGCCTGGCTTATTTCACTTAACACTTCATTACGTCCTCTAGTTCCATCCATGTTGTTACAAATGACAGGATCTCATTCTTTTTCATGGCTGAATAGTACTCCGTTTCATATATGTACCATACGTTCTTTGTCCAGGTGTCTGTTGATGGACACTTAGATTGCTTCTAAATCTTGACTATTGTGAATAGTGGTGCAATAAACATGAGAGTGCAGATATCTCTTTGATATCCTGCCACACAGACTTTTGATACATTAAGAGGAGGAATGATTACCTATCGCTTTTATGATCTTTCAGTACAATTTATACTGCACCCACGTTCCATGCCCTACAATACCTAGTGTGAGCCTGCACCATTGTATTGCTAGTGTGAAGCTGAGGTAGACAGCGGAGGGAGGCTGCCAAAAACCCCATGTCTTTCTATGTTGCCTTGTGGTACAGGGCTAAGGAGAGCTGGGAATTAATGTGGCTTCCCCACAGGCTCTTAGGGTTCACACACCCCACCATATGGTCTACAGTTGCCTCTGGAATAATCATGGCCTTGGATTTAGAGACTCAACTCCAGGCTTCACTGTCAAGATAGCATATTTTATGAATGTAAAGAAGGAACAGAGAACCTGTTATAAAGAGATGTGTTGTCATCTCAGGTTCACAGAGGGACAACTCAGTAACGTCGCAAACCCCAAAAATTACAAAAAGAGCTAAGGAAGCTCGTACTTGAAGGACTCTGTCTCTGAGAATTAAGTTGTCCAGGAAATCAGGGTGTCTGGAGCAAAGTATGCCTCAGATGATCAAAACAGACGCAGTAGGAGAAAGGAAACAGATTAAAAACAGCTCCACTAAGGTGGAGGAAGAGACAGATTTTCTGAAGAGAAACATTGAGATCTTGGGAACAGACTGGATGGATATGAAATGGCAAATGTGATCTTGAAGGCAGAATAGACTTACAGGAAAAGGAAATAAATGTAGGCACAGCATTTCAGAAGGGGCCATGTCTCAGTTGTTACTAGACCAGAAACGGTAATTGAGGCCACAGAAATTCACTAAGGAAGAGAAGCAAGGTCTGAGAGAGGAGACTAGAATGATTCTCCCCAAGGGAACCATATCCAGGAAACCTCTTACAGACACACACACACACACACACACACACACACACACACACACACACAGAGAGAGAGAGAGAGAGAGAGAAAGAGGAAAGAGAGAACGGGAGAAGAAAGAGAGAAAAAGAGAAGAAAGAGAGAGAAAGGGAGAGAAAGAGCGAGTGAGCACATACCATTGGAGCAAATGACGACCCTCCCCTTAGATACTGGGGCATCTAATCCAAGGAGTTACAGAAAATCCAGACAAATTTAAGAAGAGGAGGAAGATCAGTATAAAATACTAGAAGCATCACTAACTAGGTGAGTTTCAAGGTGCTAGAACCACTGTAGCTGGAGATCAAGGTATTACTTGGTCCCTGAGAAATGGCCTATTAACGTAAGGAATTAGGACCCTCTGAAGCAGTGGTTCATTGCCCTGGCTGCACGTAAGATTCACCTGGGGAATATTTTCAACCTAGTAATGCTTGACCACCACCCCAGGTCAAATTAATCAGCATCCGATGCTCTCAGGCAGGGGTGCTTGAGTAGGCATCAGAATCATCTGGGGGGCTTGGTAAAACACTAATTGCTGGGTCCTGCCCACAGAGTTTCTGCTTCAGTAGGTCTGGGGTGCAGCTTGAGAATTTTGAATTTCTAACTAATTCCCAGACGATGCTGAGGTTACTGCCTAGGGACCCACTTTGAGGACCACTTTTTCTAAGGAAAGGCACTGCAAAGATAAAACTGAATAAAGGGGGGTCAGGTAGGACAATGGCAGATGGAGGCAGGCCTCAGTTCAATGCTGGATGATGGAGAAGATCTCCTGGGAAGGTGATCTGATTTAGGAAGTAAAGATGGGGAAAGATATATTTGCTCAATGGATGCTTTCAGCATAGCCAGAACGTTCTGATTTTGTTATCTCTCACTCTGGGAGATACCACAAGACAAAAACAGTGCCTTCCTGGTAGAAGGGGAACCCTGAGGGAGGATGAAACTTCAGGGACATGCCCCATGATTGCAGAATAAGACAAAGTGAGAAGAATCCTCAAGGCCTGGAACTGAATTTTCCAAGGCAAAGAAAGCCTGCTCTGAGAAGCACATGGCAGAGATCTTGGTCCTCTCTAGGACCCCAGGGGAGAGGCTACCAAAGCCGCACACACTGCGTCAGTTCAAGCACCTGCTGAGAGTAAATTTGCAGCAAAAGCAAGTGTGGAGATGAGGGAGACAGCATCTGTAGAACAGTGGTTCTCAGATTTTGCTGCATATTAGAATTACCTGGGAGCTTTTCACCTGCTCTATGTGTAGGCTGCAACCCATACCAAATCAGAATTTCTTGGGTGGGGGTTGGGGGGGGTGGAGGTTGTTACCCAGACATTCATATTTTATAAAACTCCTCAAGAGATTCCGAAGTACAGCCAAGTTTAAGGACAGGTCCTTGCTCCTCAAAGGTTGGCCCACAAACATCACTCTCGTTACCTTGTTAGAAATGCAGAATCTGCCGGGCACGGTGGCTCACGCCTGTAATCCCAGCACTTTAGGAGGCCGAAGTGGGTGGATTGCCCTAGGTCAGGAGTTCAAGACCAGCCTGGCCAACATGGTGAAACCCTGTCTCTACTAAAAATACAAAAATTAGCTGGGCGCGATGGCAAGCGCCTGTAATCCCAGCTACTTGGGAGGCTGAGTCATGAGAATCATTGAACCCAGGAGGCAGAGGTTGCAGTAAGCCGAGATCACGTTATTGCACTCCAGCCTGGCCGACAGAGTAAGACTCTGTCTTAAAAAAGACGCGGAATCTTAGGTCTTACACCAGCCCACTGAATTAGAATCTGCTTTTTATCAACATCCCTCGGGATCTGTGTGCACATGGACACGCGAGAAGCACTGCTCTAGAAGGAAGGCTTCTTAGCCTTAAGCAGTTTCAGAGCAGGAGGCATCGGCAACAGGACTGGGGTAGGGTTTTGAGAACACCAGCTCCAAGTCATGATGGAGGCTGTGTCATTAGATAGAGCCCACGTCCAGTTCATCACTGAAGTTCCAGAAACGGCAGCTTCTATGGGACAGCACTGGAGGGAAGGAAGGTTACTGCAGATAAATCCTGCCAATGGTTAGCAGTGGAAAGAGGGATAGTGACACAGAAGACTTGAGTTTTTGTTTTCAGTGTTTCTGTACCATTTGTATTTCCTAGCCCTGTGTGTGTGCATGCATGTGCACACACAATAGGGGTTAGCAAAGATTATGTTGATGGTGAGATTATGGGATATTCTTTAACATTTTCTTTATTAAAAAAATCTAACAAATGGTAATTTTTAAAAAGCAATATACAAGCAAAAGCTATGAGAAATAACAAGATGAATTTGGCAAAGTCACAATCTTAATAGGGTACCTTAATATTATTGCATTGCTTAGTCTTTGTCAAATCAAGTAGGCAAAAAGAAATAAAAATATGAGAGATATGAATAATTTCATTAATAAGGTTATTTACTAGATACATTTCAAAATCGGCAATCTACAAATATAGAATATATAATCTTAACACGTTCCAGTTAGCATTTTAAAAAAAAGTAATCATTTTTCTAACCCACAAAGGAAATGTTAATAACTTTCAAAAGATAGGAAGTTTAAGCCACAAGAGAGCAGAGAACATATCTGTCTCATCACAACTCGGTCCTCAGAGTCCAGTACAGTGGCTATACAATTGAGTAGGTTCTCAATTAGCATTTATTGCTGGGAGAAGGCTGTATTTTCTTGCATGCAATAAAACAAAAAATTCATAACAGAAGTGTAAGCAAATAAAAAGCTTAAAGCATTTGGAAAATAAAATAAATTCTTTCAAAATAGCCTTTAAAATCAATGAGATATCAATTGCAACTCGATATGATTTTTCATGGAATTTTACAAGCTGGTTCTAAAATTAATATGGAAGAACAAATGTACATGAATTGACCAGAGGAATATTTAAAAGAATCTATTTTTGTTCTATAAGAGTCATAATTTTATAAAATAATAGGAATTAAAAGGGTGTGATATTGGTGCTGGAGAAGGCAATTAAATGAACAGAACTGAGTAGAGTTCAGATATACCGTGTTCACTGATTTATGAATTTAAATAAGATACAATGCCAAATGCTTGAGTAAACTATGTAGTGTTCAATAAATGATATTGGAAAAATTGTATACTATTTGGAAAAAATAAAATTAGATCCTACCTCACACTATCCATAAGAAAAAGTTCAATAAATTAAAATCCTAAGAGCAAAATGTAAAACAATTGTATTAGAAGAAATGTAGGAGATGTAGGAGACTTTAATATCAACTTGGGGCACAGGCAGCTTCTTAGATAAGGCACAGAAACCAAAAGCCATAAACGCAAAGTTTAATAAATTTGACTACACTATAAGTCATAATTCTGCATGATAAATGACACTACAAAAGATTTTGAAAAATGACAAGTGTGCCAAAAATATTGACAACCTATTTAAGAGACAAAGGACTAGGATCAAGATGAAAGGACTCTTACAAATCAGTGAGAAAAAAAATCCAGCAATCTAATAGAAAATGGACAAAGGATGTGGATAGGCAATCCACAGAAAAGGAAATTAATAATGGTCACTAATCCTATTTTAAAAGATGCTTCATTTTACTAATAATCAGGGAACTTGCTGCAAAGTAAAATAAAGAGATACTATTCTTCACTCATTACCTTAGCAATTTTTTTAAGTTTGAATATAATAAGTGTTGGCAAGATGGGGGTAATACATTCATACATTATAAGAGCAATATAAAGTTTGTATAAAATGTACTCAAAATGGCATTCCCACTTTCAAGGGCATTTGGGCAGGACTGAGATGAAAAACTGTACACTGTGTAACACAATTCCATGTCTTTGCTACCTTAGAGCAAGAAACATTGTCAAACATTCCTAAGGCAGCTTGTACATGCTGTCTGCTGCAGCATTCTCTATAATAGCAAAACTTGGAAATAATCTAAGTGTCCATCAAACAGAATGTGATTCAATAAACTATTTTAAATCCGTACTATGCAATACACTGTAATCATTAAAATGAATCAGATTGATATATAGATATTGACAAGAAAAGATGCTTATTACCGATGGAAAAAAGAAAGATGCAGGAAAGTATATACAGTAGAATGTATGTTTAAAAAAATTTCCTTCTCTAAGCTCATCTATATGAATGCCTAGAAAATCTTGCCATGCCATTCAATATAGCAAATAGCAAACTGAGATGACGTGGTACCCCTTTTTCTGTCACCTAGAATCCTCCTAGAAATCCTGGATCAAATATTCCATAATGCTTTCAAAGTACGGGTTCTATTTATTCCCTTACACATAAACACACACACACACACACACACACACACACACACACACACACACACACATAAAAACACCCAGATGATAGAAACAAGGAGGGAAGTTTTCAAAAGTCAGAGCTGTAGGAGTACAAACTAAAGTTCAGTAGCTGTTGGGTGAGAAGACTAGATATTACACAGGGCATTAATTTGGATAAGTTTTAAAACAGTGTGGAATTAAATTTCTAGACAAGGATAACATGGACAATGTGGAAGGGAGTGGTTATCAGATCCCTGAATGGGTTGGGACAAGGGCATGAATACTGATTAACTCAGACTTTGGTCATTCAAGCATGCATTATAAAAATTTAAGCATACCATCTGAAAGCAGAGAAATATAAGAGATGTTAAATAAAGCTTTCCAAATAATTAGGAGAAGAAAGGAGGAGAGGAAATAAAGAAATTTGACTGATCAAATAGAAAGCAGGAAATGAGGGGGTGAGGTAGGGGTGGGGGAGAGGAAGTAAAGAAAAAGGATGGCAAACAGAAAGCTCTCAAAATAAGATCAAGGAAATGTATGTTAGTACTCAAAATAAGTGTAAATGGAATAACTTTGCCAGTTAAAAGACAAAGATACTCAGATTGGGGGTGGGGAAGTGAACAGGTGTATAGTGAAGGATGATGTGTCAGAAAGATTGGATTTCTTTTTTTCCTATTTTAAAGACAGGGTCTTGCTCTGTTGTCCAGGCTGGAGTGCAATGGCATGAGCATTGCTCACTGCAGCCTTGAACTCCTGGGCTCAAGTGATTCTCCCACCTCTGCCTCCCAAGTAGCCAGGACTACAGTCACACACTACCACACCCAGCTAATTTTTTTTTAAACTTTTTGTAGAGACCGGGGTCTTGCTATGTTGCCCAGGCTGATCTCTAAGTCCTGGCCTCAAGTGATTCTCCCACCTCAGCCTTGCAAAGTGCTGATATTACAGGTGTGAGCCTCCATGCCCAGTGATGATTGGATATTTTTTTAAAAACTAGAAAGTGTTATGTTAGAGAAATTTAATCCAAAAACAAATTTAAAAGCTATATTAAGATCTGGCAAAATAGATTTTGAGATAAAAAAATAGAAACAAGGAGTAATGTTACAAAATGATAAGAAACAACCAGAAACATGTAAGAATCCTAAACTTGTATGCATCTAACAACAAATTCAAAATATATAAAGCAAAATATTTCTGGAATTACAAGAAAAAGACAAATCCACAATCGTGGAGATATTTAATGTGCTCTCTCTTATTAATATGTCAAAGAGATGAAAAGTAAAACTAGTAAGGATGAGAAGATTTGAACAACACAGTTAACAAGGTTGAAAGAATAAAGTTGTTTAAAACCTTATATTCAAAATTTTGAGAATAATCAGTCTTTGCAAGTATCTATGGAATAGTTATAAAAGTCAACCTAGTACTAGACCAGACTAGTTTTTGAAAATTGCAATGTCATGCAGATCATATAGTCTGATAACAGTGTAATAAAATTAGAAATCAATTATAAGTAGATTGCCAAAATGCCCCATTAATTTAGGAAATGAAACAAAAATAAAAGTACCATGTTTTTAAAAAAAATATGAGTAGCAATACTGAAAGAAGAAAGTACTTTAAACAGATGGAAGAACAATGAGTTAAGCATCCAATTCCAGAAAAATAGAGACCAAGTAAACTCCAAGGACAATGATAAAAATGAGAACAAAGAAAATCATAGAAATCAATTAAATATGAAACAAATTAACGGTAGAGAAGAGAAACAAGACCCTAAATTGATTCTTTGCAAAGATTAATAAAATATATAAACTTCTAGCATGATTTATCAAGAAAAAAAGCACAAATAAACAATATTAAAAATAAAAAAGGGGAACAAAACTTCAGATATAATAAGTCAAAGGAGGGTGCTATGAAGAATTTTATAACAATAAATTAAAAGCTTGAACAATGTTCTAAGATAAATGGAATTTATAAAACTGACCCAAGAAGAAGGGGTTGCCTGAATAGATCTACAACCGTTAATAAAATTGTATCAGTATTTTAAACTATGACCACAAAAACAAGACAAAATAAAATTACTAGGTACAGATGATTTTATAAGTGAGATATATCAAAGCTTCAAGGACTAGAAAATCTTTATTCTGTACAATATGTTCTAGTGAATAGAGAGAGAAGAAAAGCGCCTTAGCACATTTTATGAAGCTGATGCAACCTTAATACCAAAACAGACAAGGAGACTACTAGGACTGCCCGGTATAACACAGTTACTTATGACCACAGAGGCAAAGATCCTTAATAAAATATTAGTGAAACAAATCGAGTAATACATGAAAAATGGAAGAAAACATTATAACCAAGTAGAGATTATTTGAGGAATGAAAGTTTAATCTTAAAAAGTACGTACGTAGTTAGCCCAGTAATATATGAAAAAAAAAAAAAAACCATGTTATCAGCTCAACAATTGTGGGAGAGAGCATGTGACGAAACTGAATGCTCGTTTATGAAATGTTATCTGGGGAAGAGAGAGGAACATGCCTGGTTTCATAAGGGGTATTGTATTAGTCTGTTCTCACACTGCTATAAAGAACTGCCTGAGAGATTAGGTAATTTATAAAGAAAAGAGGTTTAATTGACTCACAGTTCCCCATGATTGTGGTGGTGGGGCGGCGGGGGTGCCTCAGGAAACTTACAATCACGGCAGAAGGCATCTCTTCACAGGATGGCAGGAGACAGAAATAGGTGCGGAACAACGGAGGAAGCCCCTTATAAAACCATCAGATCTCGCCAGAACGCACTCACCCTCACGAGAACAGTATGGGGGAAACTGCCCCCATGATTCAATTATCACCACCTGGTCCTGTCCTTGACAGCTGGAGATTATTACAATTCAAGGTAAGATTTGGGTGGGGACAGAGATCCAAACCATATCAGGTATGTATATAAAAGTTACACTATACATGCTATCTACTCGTGAATAGCAAAAAGCATTCCTATTAAATGCAAAAATAAACAAAAATGGGTGTGGTGGCTCACGCCTGTAGTCCCAACACTTTGGGAAGCCAAGGTGGGAGGATTGCTTGTACGCAGGAGTTTGAGACCAGCCTGGGCAACATAATGAGACTGTCTCTGAAAATAAAGAAGAAGAAGAAAAAAAACAAAACAAGTAAAACTGATTGCTATGACCACTTGTATTCAATATTGTACTGGACAAATACAATTAATAAGATAAGAAAAATATACGGATTGGAAAGGATAGAAGTGTCATTATTCCCAGGTAAAAATATCCTTGCTCACATTTGAAATAAGTTTTCAGGAAATCTACCAACAAACTATCAGAATAACAGAGTTTGGCAAGCCCAATAAATACAAATTCCATATACAAAAATTGATTGCCTTCCTCCATACCAGCAACAAATTATTTAAAAATGTAATTTTTAAAAAGATTCTACTCATAAGATCTAAAAGATATGCAAGAACTTTAAAGAGAACATTATGCAACTTCTTTGAAAGATATAAAAGACTTCTTTGAAGGATATAAATCCATAGATAAGTCATGTTAACGGCTGTGAAGACTCAATATCATAAATATGAAAATTTTATCTAAATTAATATATAGATTTGATGCAGTACCATTCCAAAACAAAAAGAGACTTTTCCCTGGAACTTGATAAGCTGATTTCAAAATATGTCTGCAATCACAGAGAGACAAGAAGAGCTATTTTTTTGATAAGTGTGTGTATCAGCCTATGAGTTCAGTGATAGGTTCTCCTGCCAGCTAAGAAAATGGAGTAATTTAAATTATGTGGCATTAGTGCGAAGACACACAAACAGGTCAAAAGAACAGAAAAGAGTCTGGAAACCGACCTATGTGTCTAAGGGATTTGCACAAATGGTGAGAAAAGGATAGAATATTTAATAAGTGATGCTATGATAAATGATCAAGGAGTGGTGGAATTAGAACATCACCTTTTGAAAAAGCCCTAAGGAAGCGATGGATCTAGACAATAATCTCCTATGGTTGCTAACATCCCAAAAATGTGATGTTAGATATTATATCCTTTACTGATGGAAGTACCCAAAATCCTGTTGGAAGTGCTCCTACCAGACATCAAACCTGAATGTGATCAAGTCTCTAGGCTGACTGACTGACTTTCAGCTTACAGGCAACACAAGGGCAGATGAACACGTTAAAGGATACCACAGGATCCAATCAGGCAGATCTAGAATGTGGGACTCTGTACAGAACAAGCAGTCTAGTTTCTTTAATAAAGAATTTTCAAGAGGAAAAATGAGAAAGGAGATACTTACAGATTAAAATAAATTTAGGAAACATCCAACCAAGTGCAGTGGATGGACTTTATTTGGCTTTTGATTAAAACAAACTGCAAAAAGAAAATGATATAATTTGTAGAAATTTCTTTATTGATATAAAGGCGTTGTTTTTTGATTTAATAATGTTATGGTGGTTAAGAGAGATCTAAAGTTTTAAAGGTTCATGTTCAAATATTTACAGATGAAGTTGTACAATATCTGGATTCCCTTCAAAATAATTCAAGAGAAGGAGTATTTGGAGGTAGAGATGAAATAAGATTGGCTGTGATTTGATCCTTATTGAAGTTGGGTGATGAGCGCATGAAGTTTATGATCCTATTCTTTCTTTATACTTTGGTGTATGTTTGACATTTTCTAAAATTAAACAAAGGGAGAAAACAATGCTGGGGTGATTTATTCATATAGAAAAGATAAAATTAAATTCCCCCCTTATTTCATATAAAAAATAAATTCCAGGTAGATTAAAGACTAATTGTTAAGTTGCAAAATTTTGAAACTTTTATAATATAGGAACACGTGTTTAGAACATGGAGATGGGAAGGATTTGCTAAGCAAGATAGAAAAAGCACTAAATCATAAAAGCAACCTGATACATTTTAGTACCTAAAAATAAAATATTTATATACAATAAACATATCATAAAGTGAAAGACAAACCACCATCTGGGAGAAACTATTTGCAACAAAATATTAGTCTCCACAATATAGAATGAACTTTTACAAATTAATAAGAAGAAAAATGGGAAAATGAGCAAAGGCTCTAAACAGAATGCTAGGAGAAAATCCAAATAGTAAATAAACAAGTGAAAAATTCTGCAAACTCACTCGTAATCAGGATAATGAAATTAGAGCAACAAGGAGATGCATTTCACATCTATCAATCAGCAAAACTTAAAAGCTGATGATACCTAGTGATGGAGAAGATTCAAGGGAACAAGAACTCTTGCTGGTGGGAGGGTAAACTGGTGCAACACTGGAGATATTTTGGTAGTATTGGACTAATCAATACGAAGGTGCACCTAACTTGTGACTTAGCAATTCCACTTACACGTATCTCCCCTCGACAAATTTTCCCATGTGCCTAAGAGACATGAATAAAAATGTTTCTCATGTACTACTTGAAATAGTTTAAAAAGAGAAACAATACTACACTACCTTAAAAAGGAAATGGAAAAATATTCACGCAATAAAATGCTAGCAAGCAGATACAAGGAATGCACTAAATCTATATGTATCAACATGAGTAAATATAAAAATCAGATTTTAAAAAGATATGAAGAGTATGCCACTGTTCACATAAATTTAAAAACGTGCAAACAACTTGTATACATTGCCGTGGATATACACTTATGCTGTAAACACATGGGAATGACATCCACCAACTCCAGGAGAGTGGTATTCTTTGGGGAGGGAGAGTGAGAAAAGAATGCAGGAGGGTTAGGTATGGCGAAATGTTAAACTGATAACACTGAAATGGGTATCTATCATCATTTTCTAAACTTTTTTTGTATATTCAACATATTTCATAATTAAAATTACTTTTTAAAGAAAATGCACTGATTTAATGCTCCAAACATTACCTTGTCATACGTTAATTAAAGATGAGATGCTTTTTCTATCTGGGAAATCCCAGATAATTAACTAAAAATTATTTACAGCTAATAAGAAATCGTGGTTACCCCAGGGGTAGACTTACTGAGGGGCTTTCACTTTCTACTCTTCTAAGTACTTCGCATTTTAAAATAATGAATGGGTAGTACTTATATATCCAGAAAACAATAATGATATTTTCATTTTGAAAATTAAATAAAATGGAGGGGTAAAAAGTCAAAAACTAATATGATTTGGTAAAGTAGCAGTTTGTAAAATATGGCAGGAATAAAAATGTATAAAGTAATATTGGGATAAAATATAACTCAAAAAACCAACTCAAATTATTAAACAACTAAAACATATGTGCAGACCTATGTGGGAAGGGCCATAAAACTTTATATAAAAGGAAGCTTGAATGAATGACAAATATCTGAGAATCAGCAAGAAATGTTCCGGAATGAGAACAGTTGACTGCAGATTTTCTGTGCAGATGTTAATTCTCCCCCAATTAATCTAAGAGTTTTTGAAACTCCAAGCAACACATGGGATTTTATTCTAAAACTCATCTGGAAAAATAAGTGGATTAAGACAACAGCTTTGGAGGGCCACAGACCATTGCAATGACTGAGATACTTTGTCCCTCAAGAAGCAATTTTTGCTCTCTTGGGGGCCATATCACACCCTTTGAGAAATGTATGCATTGGAGCCTTTGTACATTTCCCCCCTCTTGGGGTTGCTCTTATTCTTTTCAATTTTCAGGAATGCTTCATTTGTTTTATGAGTTGCAAATAATCCCATCCAGTTTGCAGTTTCTTGGGATTTAACTTCTTATGGTTTTTGCTTTACAAATGTTAAAAAATGTAGTTGAATTTATAAATCTTCCTATGGCTTCTGGGTTTTTTTTTTTTTTTGTCATATTAGAAAGGCCTTTGCCATTCCAAGATTATAAGTACAGTCTCCTGTAGCTTATGGTTTCATTTTCCATGTTTAAATATCTGAGCCACCAAAATTTATTTTGATGGTTTTGGGGTGTTTGTTTGTTTTAGAGAGACAGGGTCTCGCTCTGTTGCCCAGGCTGCAGTGCAGTGGCACAATCATAGCTCACCGTAACCTCAAACTCCTACCACTTCAGCCCCCTGAGTAGCTGGGACTATAGGTGCACAACATCATGCCCTGCTAATTGTCTTATTTTTTGCAGAGATGAGGGGGGCTCTCCATTTGCACAGGCTGGTCTCGAACTCCTGGCCTCAAGGGATCCTCCCACCTCAGCCTCCTAAAGCACTGAAATTACAGATGTGAGCCACCATGCCCAGCCTGGAATTTATTTTCATGTAAAATACAAAGTAGGGATTCAACTTCTTCCCCCCAGATGACTGCTTGGTTATCTCAAGATCTATTGTTGAATGATCAATATTCAACTCCCCTGCCCTGATTTGAAATGCCACCTCTATCATACATTAAACTAGCATTGATATCTGTGTATGCAAGTACTGCGCCTTTACTCCACTGTTCTACTTATTACAATGTGTTTTATTATCTGGTGCACTATTTTCCCCTGATTTCTTGGCATTTAAGAATTAGTTTCTTATTTTGGTTTGTTCATATTTAGCTGAACTTTAGAATTGGCTGGTTTCATCAAACTATACAGTTGGCATTTTGATGAGATGCTGATACATTTTAAATTAATTTAAAAAGAGCTGCCATCTTTATACTGAATCTTCCTACTCAAGAACATAAAATAACTTTCCATTGTTAAAGTCATGATGTGTGACCCTCAGTAGTATCTCAAGGCTTTATTCATTTATCTATTACACATTTTTCATTATGAGTATCTCATTATGATAAAATTCTGAATATTTTGTCTCATTATGATAAAATTACTGAATATCTCATTATGATAAAATACTGAATGTGTGCACATGGGTATTAATAATACATACATACTCTTGATTCTCCTTTTAATTTTGTTGCCATCCACATTATTGAACAATCTTATTGTTTATAACAGTTTTTTAGTTCAGTCTCTTGGGTTTTCCAGCTATACAATCACATCATCTTCAAATAAAGATAATTTAATATCCCACTTTCTTATTTTCATACCTCTAATGTCTTTCTTTAATTACATTGGTTATTTATTCCAGAACAATGCTAAATAATAGTCCAATAGAGTAATATTGGACATTTTTGTTCTATCTTGACTTTAATGGGAATGCTTGTAGTGCTTTTCCCATTAAGCATTAAGCATAAATTATTTTTTTCCTAATAAAAGTATCAACTAAAGGCTTATGGGTTGAGATGAATCTATTTTATATGCTAAAGAAATAACTATTTCTTTCTATTTTATTGAACGTCTTAAAAATTAAGAATATATATTGAATTTTTTCAAATGCCTTTTCAGTGTTTAGGAGATGATTCTATGAGCCATCTCCTCAGACCTATTAATATGATGAATTATATTAATAGATATTTCCCAACATTTTATTATGAAATTTTTCAAATGTATACCAAAGTTGAAGGAATCTTACAGTGAACAAACATATACCTACTACCTGCATTCTACCATTAACATGTTACTATACTTTCCTTATCATGGAATAGATAATAGATTTAAAAATATTGATTTTAATTGATCTTAAAATATTGAACCTTTCTTGTATTACTGTATTAAACTTCACTCGGTCTTAGTATATTAGTTTTATTTTGTTTTGAAGTACTGCTGTATTTCCTTTACTATTTTAATTTGGACTTTTGTATTAATCTTCACAAGTCTATTTTTGCATGTGGGCTGTATGTTTGCATCTCTTTGTTGGGTTTTGGGGGTCAAACAGTTTTGTTTCACAAAAACAGTTTAAATATCTTCTTTCAAATAGGCACTGGAACAATTTAAGTACCATTGGAATTACCTGTTTCTTAAATAATTGATATAATTCCTCTGTAGAACTGTCTGGACAGGGTTATTTTTTGAGAAGATGGATAAATCTCCACTGTTTTATATTTCCTCTATGGTCATTTGTCTATATATTATTTCTTTCTCTTCTGGAGTCAGTTTTGATAAATTATTTCTACCTAATAAAAGTATTCATTTCTTCTAGTTTTCAAATTTATTTACATAAAGTTGAGCAAAGTATCTCTTACAATGCTTATAATTATCTCTTTATTTGTGTTTATTTTCCAATTGTCATTATTATTTTGTGTGTTTTTACTTTCCTATTTTTGGATTAGGTTACCAAACCACTGATATATTCTTTTTACCCCCAAAGTATTAGCACTTGGATTTAGTGGAGCTATCTTTTTTCTCTTTTCTAACTTACTGGTGTCTGCTTTTCTCTTTATGATTCCTTCCTTTTGGTTTTCTTTAGTTTTTTTCCCCCTAATTTCCTAGGTTAAATACTTAGAGCATTTTAGCTGATTCTTTCTTAATCATAAATGTGATATCGAAGGCTATGAATTTTCCTCTGAGTGCTCACAGGCTATGAATTTTCCTCATAGATTTAATATTCAGGACATTCACTATTATTATTTTCTAAACACTTTCCAGTTTGGGGTTTAATTTCTTCTTGACCCAAGAATTGTTTGAGAGTTCTAAATTTTACAGATAGAATTTTTTTGTGTGTTTGGGTATTAGACTTAATTTTTAGTCTTACTGTGATCAAAGACTATTGTCTCATTATTCCTACCTTTGTTTTCTTTTTGAAGTAATATATGATCAATTTTGAGAATCAATAGAAGCACTAGAAAGGAATGTATAGTCAGTATTTTTTTTTTGAGATAGAGTCTCGCTCTGTCACCCTGGCTGGAGTGCAGTGGTGTGATCCCGGCTTACTGCAACCTCTGCCTCCCAGGTTCAAGCGATTCTCTTGCCTCAGCCTCCTGAGTAGCTGGGATTACAGGCACGTGCCACCATGCCCAGCTAATTTTTATATTTTTAGTAGAGATGGGGTTTCACCATGTTGGTCAGGCTGGTCTCGAACTCCTGACCTTGTGATCTACCTGCCTCGGCCTCCCAAAGTGCTGGGATTACAGGTGTGAGCCACCACACCCAGCCTATTGTCCATTTTTTTTTTTTATTAGTCAATGTGATTATATGAGACTTATCTCATTAGCTATGTTTTTAGGTCTTTTTTATTATTTTTTTTATGTGCATGTCATGAACTTAGAGAATTGAATTTAAATCTCCCACTACTAATGTGTTTCTATTTGTTTCTTCTTTTATCTCCTATTAGTTAGTACACAGATATGCATAGCTATGTTTTCATTAAGAGTTGTAGCTTTTAACATTATAAACTGTTCACCTTTGTATATCATCTTTTTTTAAATGGCTGAGAATACCATTGCATCACAATTTATTTAGTTACATTCCATTGTTAGGCATTGAGGTTTTCTCAATTTTTCTTTGACTTGAAGGAATCCTGTTAATTCAAAAAGAGCAATTGGTACTTCATCACTGTTTTGAGTTGCATTTCCCAATTAGTGTTAAGATTTAACACTTTGTTTGGTGATCATTTGCATTTATTTATTTATAAATTATTAATGTTTATAGTAGCTAATAGTTGGAAATAACCTAGATGTTCAACAATAGGAGGTTGGATAAATAAATTTCAGTATATTCAAATGATGGAATGATAATAGTTATCATTTATTGTACTTTATATACATTATATCATTTGATCTCTATAACAGTCCTGTAAGGTCATTATTATAACTTCTATTTGATTTGAAGATTAACAGATTTGCATGTATCAAGATACCTAAAATTGGTTGCTAGTGTGCCTAGTTTAATTAGCTGTGTTTTTTTCTCTTGATGGTAACAAAAGGTAATTCTTACAATTGATTGCATATTAGATTCAATAAAATGTGGTATTTCCCCTGTTTCATAAATAATGATACTGAATCTCCTAGAAGCATATAGATTAAACTGTTAAAATGATTCTCTCTGTGTGGGAAGATTATAATAAAATTTTATTTTGTTTCCTTTTGCTTGTCTATATTGTATGCTTTCTTCAATATGTACATGCAAGTTTCCTAATAAGAAAAAGTAGAATTGCTTTAAAAAATGAAGAAATAAAATTAGATTTCCAGTTCACATTATTCATCAAAATTAATTCCACATAGTTTACAAAATTAAATATAGCAAGTGAAGAAATTCTAGTCATACTGAGATTGTGGCAGCAGTATAGTTTTTAATTAAACCAAAACTTTTCCTGAAAATCAACAGAACAGCAAAAGGTAAAAAAAGTCCACAGGCAATCTCTTTAATAAAACTAGATGATGATTCTCTGTAAACCCCAGTGTTGGAGCAGATATGGCCAAACTCCTGGGAGTACCAGAAAGTACTGGACAGGGTAGCAGCTGTGAATCAGAGCACCAGAAGTGAAGATAGACTGTTGAAGTGAAGACAGACTGCTGAGGGGCACTCTGAACCACAGAACCCCAAAAATCCCTAAAAAAATTACATACTCCATCCAGAGCAGGCTCTGGGCAAGCAGATCTGAGAATCACTGTCAACACTGGGATGTGGCTCCCCAAAATGCCAGTTAGGGGTAAGTTCAAAAAACGTGATGCTGAAGGATGAATTCTATGAGAGGTCTAAATCCTGAAGGATTTAATCCTTATCCACAAGACTCATTCCAGAAGTTTAATATTGAAAGAAAACATCTAGAAAACAAATCCAACAGGGAAGGAAGCCTAGGGGTAAGTGAGAGAAAAGGTTCAGATAGTAGGAAGGAAGTCGTTGAGAGCATATTTTGCCATATTGTAATAGCAAATTTAAAAATGTAAAGTCTAAAGCAGTGCTGTCAAAAAGAAATACAATGTGAGCCGCACATGCAAGCCATAATTTTATATTTTTTAGTAGTCACATTAAAAAGTAAAAGCAAACATGCAAAATTAATTTTAATAATACATTTTATTTAATCTAGTATGCTCAACATGGTATCATTTCAACATGTATTAGTCTGTTTTCATGCTGCTGATAAAGACATACTTGAGACTGGGAAGAAAAAGAGGTTTAATGGGCTCACAGTTCCGTGTGGCTGGGGAGGCCTCACAATCATGGCAGAAGGCAAGGAGGAGCAAGTCAGGTCTTACATGGATGGCAGCCGGCAAAAAGAGAGCTTGTGCAGGGGAACTCCCCCTCATAAAACCATCAGATCTCATGAAACTTATTCACTATCATGAGAACAGCATGGGAAAGACATGCCCCCATGGTTCAATTATCTCCCATTGGGTCCCTCCCAAAACATGTGGGAATTCAAGATGAGATTTGGGTGGGGACACAGCCAAACCATATCAAGAATCAACAAAAGAAGTATTAATGAGCTATTTTGCTTTTTTCCATACTGTCTTTGAAATATGGTATTTTATATAACTCAATTCAGATTTGACACATATTAAGTGCTACATGTGACTAGTGGCTACAATATTGGACAATGAAAATTTAAAGCTTAGAGCATTACCTTGAAGAGTAAGTCCCATAGCGCTCCGGGAAACCCAGGGCTAGAGGCTGTATGCCTTTTTGACCCAGGCTTAATTCTGAGAAGCTAAAAAGCAGTTACATGGAGAGACCACCATTTGAGTGTTTCATAATAATAAAAGAAAAGGTAAAGAAAGCCATCTGGCCCATCTCTGCCCCTTCTATAGAAGCTTTCTTCTAAGAATCCAGGAAAAACAACTTTTTAAATTCAAGAAACAACAACAAAATACAATCTAACTCCAAGCAAAAGTTTTTACAAGAAAGAAAAGGAAATAAAAATAAACTAAATACTATTGTGATAGATGACAAGAATGTATGTGGACACAAAGCTAAATGAGCTGAAAACAATTGTGAAAATAAAAGAAGCTTTGAAAGAACAGTACACAGCAGAAAGAGAAGAGCACAGAAATGAGATGGCCTGACAACAGGAGGATTTCTAAAAATCAGATCCAATTGGAAAACAGAGAGAAAACAATATTTTTTCAGAAATGAAGATTAAATTAGAAGAAACACAAGGGTAAGTAAACATCTCCAAAAGAACAGTAATAAAAATAGAGAATATAGTCTAGGTGTGGTGGTTCATGCCTCTCAGTAATCTGGGAGGCTGAGGTGGGTGAATTGCTTGAGCTCATGAGTTCGAGACCAGTCTGGGCAACATGGTGAAACATTTTTGTATTCTAATAAAAATACAAGAATTAGCCAAGCATGGTAGCACATGCCTGTATTTCAGCTACTAGGGAGGCTGAGGTGGGGAGGTTGCAGTGAGCCAGGATGGTGCTACTGCGCTCCAGCCTGGGCAATAGAGCCAGATTGTGTTTCAAAAAGGAAAATAGAGAAAATAGAAAAGTGAGGAAGATCAAACAGAAATAAAGAGATAATAAGGATTTGAGAGAAAGTGATAGATACAGAAGTTAGGCAAAGGAGATTCAACATACATACAATTCAAGGCTCTAGAGAATAAAGCCTAAACAACAGAACAGAATACATATTTTAAAACTGAATTTTAAAAAGTATTTCCTGAAATATAAGAAGGTTTAATCTCTGCAGTGAAAGGGCACATTCTGTCCTAAGAAAATTAGCCTAGACTGGTCAACACTGAGACTTTGCTTGGTGATGTTATTGTTCCTTAAAGACAAAATGAAAATCCTTTAGGCATGCAGGTAAAAAACTCCAAGTTATTTCTAAGGAAAAGAAAATCAGAATGGAATCAAGATTCTAGACAGTAACATTTTATGTTTTAATAATAGAGCAACATTTCAAAGATATTTAAGGAAAGAAAATAGGCCAAAGATTTTGTATCTGGGCAAACTGTCCTGCAAATATGAAGGCTACCAACCAGTTATGAACATGAAAGAACCCAGAGAATATTATTTTCATGAGACTCTCCTAAGGAGAATAGTAGAGAAAGATGTTTAGACAATTAACAAATCATTGGATTTATAAGTTTTGTGGTCAGCATTGAATATATTTAACTGAAAACCTAAAGTGAAAAGATAAGGATAAAGGTGATTGATACAGTTTGGCTGTGTTCCCACTCAAATCTTATCTTGAATTGTAGCTACCACAATTCCCACGTGTTGTGGGAAAGGGAGGTAATTGAATCATGGGGCAGGTCTTTCCTGTGCTGTTCTTGTGATAGTGAATAAGTCTCATGAGATCTGATGGTTTTATAAGGGGGAGTTTCCCTGCACACACATTCTCTTTGCCTTCTGCCATCCATGTAAGATGTGACTTGCTCCTCCTTGCCTTCTGCTATGATTGTGAGGCCTCCCCAGCCATGTGGAACTGTGAGTCCATTACACCTCTTTTTCTTCCCAGTCTCAAGTATGTCTTTATCAGCAGCATGAAAACAGACTAATACATTACATGTTGAAATGATACCATGTTGAGCATACTAGATTAAATAAAATATATTATTAAAATTAATTTTGCATGTTTGCTTTTACTTTTGTATGTGACTACTAGAAAATATAAAATATAAACTGTGAGTCCATTAAACTTCTTTCCTGTATAAATTACCCAGTCTCAGGTATGTCTTTATTAGCAGCATGAAAATGGACTAATACAGTGATAAAACTATATGTATCTAATTCTGGGTCCCAGTAGGAAGCAGAAGGTATATTGGCAAAAAGAAGGTCTATTTACAAAGGGATGACTGACAAAGATAGGAAACAGTGACTGTAAGGAATGGTGCACTAACCCCGGGCCTACCACTAGGTCCCAAGGGATGAGAGAAGTGATTTTTGGATCTAAAGTCAACTGGGCTGGGTGCGGTGGCTCATGCCTGAAATCTCAGCACTTTAGGAGGCAAAGGCAAGAAGATCACTTGCATACAGGAATTTGAGACCTGCCTGGGCAACACGGCAAAACCTCATCTTTACAAAAAAAATAAGAATTAGCTGAGCATGATGGCATGCACCTATTGGTCCCAGCTACTTGGGAGGCTGAGGCAGGAGGATCGTTTGAGCCTGGGAAGTTGAGGCTGCAGTGAGTGGTGATCATGCCACTGCACCCAGCCTGGGCAAGAGAGTGAGACCCTGTATCAAAAAATAATAATAAATATTATAAATAAATAATAAAAATAAAAATAATAAAAATTAGGTGGAGAAACACTGCCAACCTAGGAGGATTAGACAGGAAGCCTGGGAATCACTAACCTGAATTCACTGAATTCACTCTTCTCCTTTCCTTCAATGTCCTTTGGGCTCCTCCTCGGCTGAGGTGGAGGTGGAGGACATGGGAGGTGGTGGACACAGGAACTTGTTCATGAAATCCACACAGGTGAGAACAGAGAAGGGTAGAGAGTGCGGATCCGGATGGCAAATGGAAGGGCTCAGAGACAGTGTGTGAATGCAGTGTGCGCTGGCAGTGTAGAAATAGCACAGCCAACACACATGGGACACAAAGTGTAGGGACTAATTGCCTCGGAGGCACTAGCTGGAAGTAAAAGGATGTCATTTGAAGCCTCCAAATCAAGAAGGAAACTTAACTGTACTCAAGGGTACAGAGAGTACAGAGAGTAGCTCCAACCTAAGAGCGGTGACTAAAACTGGGTAGGGAGGGAAGGAGAGATAGGGGAAGAGTTCATGAGCTGATGTCAGTATTGCTCATAGCAGGGAACCAATATAATCTCCAGAAAGAGAGAACCAAGAGCATTACATAAACCACATTCCTGTGCATAAAAGGAATACAAAGAGCAAGCAGACCACATAGGGAAAGATGGTGTGTGTGTGAGTGTGTAGGCACATAGACATCGGAAGCCAAATGACAGGACAAAACTTAAGAAACATGTCCATCAGACTTTAAATTTACAAAAGAATGTGATATCAATAATGTAAAAAGGGCTTTAACTCGCCTTTTAATGGTAGAAAATCATAAGAATATTGGATAATATATTTCTTTTCTTAGGGGTAGAGCCGGGGGCTTTGTGGAGGTAGGGCTTTTTGAGCCTGTATGAGAAGGTATTAAGTATCTCCAAAGAAAAAGATGGAGAAACTTGACTTCTTAAAAATAAAATCCTAGGCCAGGCATGGTGGCTCACGCCTGTAACCCCAGCACTTTGGGAGGCTGAGGCGGGTGGATTACCTGAGGTCAGGAGTTCGAGACCAATCTGGCCAATGTGGTGAAACCCCTTCTCTACTAAAAGTACAAAAATTAGCCAGGCGTGGTGGCCCATGCCTGTAATCCCAGCTACTCAGGAGGCTGAGGCAGGAGAATCACTTGAACCCGGGATGGGGAGGTTGCAGTGAGCCGAGATCGTGCCACTGCACTCTAGCTGGGTGACAGAGTGAGACTTTGTCTCAAAAAATAAATAAAATAAAATAAAATCCTTAAAGAGCATTAATAGAACAAATGAAACTATAAAACAAGTCACAAAGTAAGAAAACCTATTGTCAATATATGTGACATGCAGAATTGGTATCAACATATAAAGAACTCTTACTAATCAGTAAGGAAAAGACAAATACTCAATATCAAATAGGCAAACAATACCTTCATAATTCACAGAGGTCAAAATACAAATGGCCAGCAAAGTTCAGACTCTCTAGAAATCAAAGAAATGATTATTAAACTAATAATAGGGAATTCTGCCTGTTAAATTAAAAGAGATTATTTTTTAAAGAATTTGGTAAAAATTCACAACAGTGAGATCCGTTGTTGACTGCTGATTCAAACTAGTACTGCATTTTGGGAGAATATTAAAATTGTTCAAATTACATACTTTTTGACCCTGACAGTATACCTGTAAGAATTTAAGAAAATTATTGTGAATTTATGATTTCATTTATCCAACCAATATTTGTTGATTTGTAAGAGGAACATTTTTGTTGTTGTGTGCTGAGTATTCATGAACATTTATTATCGCTAATAACTTTGAAAAGCTGAAAACAGGGGGTCACTGAATTGTGGTCTAATGTTAGAATGTTAGAACAATACTTAGCTATTAAAATGTGTTTAAGAATGGTTATTAGTAAGGGGGATGTGTTCATAATATACCATTTGAAAACATCAAGCTACAAAGTGAGCATGATTCGTACGTTACACACACATCCACTCAATAGGAGGACCTTGTCTCCTCAGTGAGGAATGATGTCTGTGAGAAAGGCAGGAAGAAGACAGCACTCTGTAACTTAAGTCTGGCTTGTGAATAAACAGTAAAGACTGAGAAGGCTGAGTGAGGCCTTCAGGAGATGATACTAGATCTGGCTAGTAATTTGCAGAGCCCAGTGGGAAATAAAAAATGCAGGGCCCCTTGTTCATAAAGCAAGGGAAACGTTGGAAAAAAGGTATAAAATGTGCTGAAATATAAACCCTTTTCCTTTCCCCCATGGTCTCTTTCTCTCTGGGCTTGTCATGATATTTTTTTGTTTTTGTTTTTGTTTTGAGATGGAGTTTCGCCCTTGTTGCCAAGGCTGGAGTACAATGGTGTGATCTCAGCTCACCGCAACCTCTGCCTCCTGGGTTCAAGCGATTCTCCTGCCTCGGCCTCCCAAGTAGCTGGGATTACAGGCATGTGCCACTACACCTGGCTAATTTTGTATTTTTAGTAGAGACGGGGTTTCTCCATGTTGGTCAGGCTGGTCTCGAACTCCTGACCTCAGGTGATCCGCCCTCCTTGGCCTCCCAAAGTGCTGGGATTACAAGCGTGAGCCACCGCGACCAGTGATACTTTTTAATAAACAATTTAATGTCATTCTAAGTAAAAACACCTTTAAAAACATAAGTTATTAGCATCCATTTCTCTATTCATCTTTATACTGTGCAATGAGAGTTTTAAATGCAAATATAAGAACATTTAACTAGCATGCAAAACATCAAAATTATACAATTTGTCATTTGTGGCTCAGACTTACATATAGATTTCTCTCTTTTTTGAGACAAGGTCTCACTCTGTTGCCCAGGCTGGAGTGCAATGGCATAATCATGGCTCACTGCAACCTCTGCCTACCGGGTTCAAGCGATTCTCCTGCCTCAGCATCCCAAGTAGCTGGGACTACAGGCGCACGACACCATGCCTGGCTAATTTTTGTATTTTCAGTAGAGACGGGGTTTCACCATGTTGGCCAGGCTGGTCTCCAACTCCTGAGCTCAGGTAATCCACCTGCCTCAGCCTCCCAAAGTGCTGGGATTACAGGTGTCCGCCACCACGCCTGGCTAATTTAGATGGGGTTTCATCATGTTGGCCAGGCTGGTCTTGAACCCCTGAGCTCAGGTGATCCACCCACCTTGGCCTCCCAAAGCTCTGGGATTACACACGTGAGCCACTGTGCTCATACATACAAATTTCATTCTTACCAGAACAGCGGGAATGATGCACAAAAGTAACTTAATTTTTTTTTTCGCTTCCTGATATGCACACATTCTACCAACATTGTCTATCTTCAGCTTACTGCTGAGTAAGAAAGTACTGAAAGGAAAAAGAACAATATAGGCTGTCCTATCCTTCCCTTACCTTCTGTTGTCATTTCAGCCTAAGTGGTTGGCTACAGGGAGGTTACATGCTTAAGAAAGCCTATGATACATTTCCTTGCTTGTTCGCATTTCCGAGAACACCATTGCCCTCTTTCTGCATTCAAAGCAGCTTCTGGTTGAGACAGAGAGCGTGGCCTGGGTCATCGATATAACATATCTGCCTTGTTCCGGCTTTGATTTTCACTGGACTCCCACGCATTGTGGGCCCACCATCATTTTGTGCTCATGGGGCAGCACACACGCTGTATGCCACTGGGCAGCAAGGAACTGTGGCAGGCACACAGACTGGGCACACCTCCCCTGCATGTGCTCATGTTTTTTGGTCCCATTGGTCTTGACTTACAAAACGCAAGTGCAAAGAAAAAATTATTAAGGATTTCAAGATAACAAATGCAGAGCATTCAACCAAGCAAAGGTTTCTTTGGAGCGTGGGCCTCTGTGTGACTGCACAAGTTTCACGCCCATGAAGCCAGCCCTGGGGAATACCAAGCGTCTGGTGGGGCCAGATCCCTACCAACTTGTGTCTTTCCTCTCCTCTCTCTTCCTACAACCCATTCTCCATGCTGGAGTCAGTGGTATTCCCAAAACACAGAATCAGCCATGCCCAACTCCCAGTGCTCATTCTGCACTCAGTAACACTCAAACTCTCCAAAATGACTTACCTTGACGTGCCTGCCTTTTTTTCTCTCTCATCCCTTCCTCTCCTGCCCTGCTGCCATGTTCCAGGGCCTGGCCACACTGATCCCAAGTATCATGTGTCCAAAATTGAATCCCAGTTCTGCTCTCCCTCTCCCAGATTGTCCCTTCTCGGGTTTCCCCATCTCAGGAACCAGCACTTCGGTCCACCTGGTTGTAGACACACTGGGGTTCTCCCCGATTCTGCTTCTTCCTCAATTCCCACATTTAATCTGGTCTGCCTTTCATGAAACATCCCTTGAGCCTCTTCTTGCCAGAGTCCTTGACCTTGACATTCTTGCCTGTTTGTCCTTCCTTTTCATTCACCTTGCAGTCTTCCCCCCTGAAAGCAGCCTGGCTTCTCCACACTCACACCTTGCAGTAAAGCCTTCAGGGGAGCACACCACGGTGCTAAAGATTGGTGCCTCTTATAAATCAAGTTCTCCAACCTCACATGTTCCCTCAGTTTCTCCCCTCGCTGTCTCAGAAGAAGCCGGGAAGCTTCCCCCATCTAAGAGTAATATCTCACTAGAAATTAATGATTAAAGGAGAGCTAAAATGTTCCATATGTTTGGAACCTTTAATAGCTAACAATTATATAGCACTTGCTCTATGCAGGCACGTTCTGTATTGGTCATTACATGAGCTAATACTCATTTAAATTGACTGTTTTTAAATGAAAAAAGTAAGGCACAGAGAGGTTAGTAACTTGTCCATGGTTAAACAGCTAGTGAGTGATACAGCAGGGATTCAAACCCAGGCAGACAAGCTACAAAGCCTCTGAATTTACCACGTATAATATAGTACTAAATGTACTGAAGAAGTATTTTAGAAGTAAATGAGAATGGAAACAGTACTTGTCAAAACTATGGGCATAGCCAAGAACAACAGTTAGTGAGAAATTTATCGCATCAAATAAACAGATTTATTTATCAAGAAATTAAAAAATAAAAAGAATAAAACAGCGCAAATCCCCCCAAATAAGTAAAGAAACAATAAACCCACTAATCAATGACATAATGAAGGAAAAAAGTGGAGAAAATGAACAAAACCAAAAGTTTGTTCTTGGAAAAATCTAATTAAAAGAGATCGAAATTAATAATAATAAAAGACTGTTAGGAAGAGCTAGATGCTAACAAGTTTAAGAATCTATATAAAAACTGTATAGGATAAAAAAATTAAAAAATAAATTAAAAATGTGTAGGAAAATATAAAATGCCAAAATTTGTGCAAGGGGAATTGGACTTGAACAGACATATGAATCAACTTGAACCAACAAATAAATATTAAAAATATTGAAATGGTAGTCAAATATCTCCCCTTTTTACCAATATCTCTTCTCTGCCAAAACTTAGACCCAGATGGTTCTACATACAAATTCTACTAAACTTCTAAGGAATATTTATTTTCTATTTTATTCCAGTTTTTTTTTTTTCCAGAAAATAGAAAAATAGAGAAGTCTGCCAGCTAATTTTGTGGAGCTAATACAATCCTGATTCCACAGCCAGATGGTGATGATGCAAATAAAGAAAACTGTAGCCCTATTATAAACATAGGTGCAAAAATTCTAAACAAAATGTTTGCTAATAGAATCCAGCAGTGTATTAAAAATAATACATCATATTCAAGGAATGCAAGGATAGTTCAACATCAGAAAATGTTTTCATTTAATTCAATATATTAATAGGAGAAAAATAATATATGATAATGTCAATGCAGAAAAAGCATTTGATAAAGTTGAATACCTTTTAGGATTACAAAAACTTATAAAACTTGGAGTAGAAATAAATTAATTTAATAAAGTTTATACATCCCCAAGTAAATAATACACATAACAGAGAAACTTCAGACATATAGCTTTAAGACCTCAGTATCTCATAACCGGAGTGGTTTAATATAGTATTACAGATTCCAATAAATACTATAAGGAAGGAAGAAAGGAAGATTGTGGAGTCTGGAAGAAAAAACATAAAACTGTCATTATTTGTAGATACGTAACCCATCTAGATGGGTACCAAAAGAACTTACAGACCAATTATTAGAATGAATAAAAGAATCCAGCTAAGGTTGCCCAGGTACAAGATTAACCTACAGAAATCAATAGGATTTCTACATCAGCAATAACCAACTAGAAAATATAATTTAAAAATTCAGTAGAAAAAAGATGACAAATATAGTATGGAATTGTAAGAAATCATAATAAAAGAAATTTTAAATGTAAGTAAATGTAATAAAAATAAAATATCATCTTAAGAGCAACGAAAATTGGCCGGGCGCGGTGGCTCACGCCTGTAATCCCAGCACTTTGGGAGGCCGAGGCAGGCGGATCACGAGGTCAGGAGATCGAGACCATCCTGGCTAACATGGTGAAACCCCGTCTCTACTAAAAATACAAAAAATTAGCCGGGCGTGGTGGTGGGTGCCTGTAATCCCAGCTACTCGGGAGGCTGAGGCAGGAGAATGGCATGAACCCAAGAGGCGGAGCTTGCAGTGAGCCGGGATAGCGCCACTGCAGTCCAGCTTGGGCGAAAGAGTGAGACTCCGTCTCAAAAAAAAAAAAAAAAAAAAAAAACAACAACAACAACAACAAAAAAAGAGCAACGAAAATTACCAAGTATTTGAGAATTAAACCAAGATCATATTAAATCTCCATGAACTGAGCTTTAAGGCTTGTGTAATTGACATCTCTTGGATAGGATGATTTAATATCATAATTAAGTCAACTCTAATCAGATTAATTCATAAATTCACTGCCATCCCAATAATAATTACAGTTGTGTGTATGTATTTAAGAAAATTGGTAAATCTACTGTAAAAATTATGTGGAGTAATGGAAGTTCCATGAAGAACTAAGTCAACTTAAAAAAAGAAGAATGAAGGGGGGATGACTTTCCCCACCAAATATTGAGAACGACTATAAAGCCATAGTAATCTAAAACTTTGGTGTTTTTAATTATACCACAATTTTCAATTACTATGAATAGACAAATTATATCATTGAAACAAAAATGGAGAACCCAAAGACCTACCAATAGAAACTTAACAGGGATAAAGGAGATGTTGCAGCAAATCGATGGGTAAAGGATGGATTGTTTTGCACATAAAGTAGGAAAAACTGGCGCAGTTTACCAAGAAAACTATAACTGGACTCCTGTTTTGCCTCATGTGCGGCGGGGTGGTGGGGGGGGGGCGGGGGCTCTAGGTACACTAAAGATTTAAATGTGAAACTTAAAAAGCATAGAGTTAATAGACACAAATGTGGAAGGATATCTTTGGGCTTAGGAAAGGGAAGGAGGCTTGTTTAACAAAACTTTAAAAGCACAAGCCACAATGCACAAATTTGCTGAATTTGATTACATCGAAATTAAGAAACTGTGTTTAACAAAAAAAGAACGTAAACCAATTAAGCGTCAGATGATAGGATTAAGATTTTTTTAAGTCTAAAATTGACAAGGGATTAACACCTAGAGTATACAAGGAGCTCTGCAAAGCAACAACAAGAGGACATCAACTCCAATAGAATAATGGGCAAATGATATGACAGGCAATTTACAGAAAAGGAAACCCCCAAAGCTAATAAGCACATGAAGTGATGCTCAAACTCATTAGTAGTTAGAGAAATGCAAATTAAAACGAGATATCACTTTACACCTTAGACTGGCAAAAACTAGAAAGCTGTGTAATACCAATTAATGGTAGAAATAAGGAAGATAGGATTCCTCACACATGGCTGATGAGAGTGTAAATTGGTAAGGCCTTTTTGGAGAGTGATTCCACATTACTTATGCAAATTAAGCACATAGGTACCCTAGGATTCAAGGAAATTCTAACACAGCTGTACACTGGGAAATCTACAAGGATTTCTGTTGCAGATTTGTGGGAGGAGGACAGACAGTAGCCACCTGGTTTGGCCCCCACTATTATGAAGCAAAGGATCATATATGTACACATAGCAACATGAATAGATCTTAAAAACATAGTGCCAATTGAAAAACAATTAGTAAGAGAATGGCAAAGTTATACAATACCGTTTACACTAATTATAAATACATGCACACCTTCTGGTGTGCCTGTGTCTTCCCAAGACCTCCAAAGAGCTAGCACTTTTTGCTTGTCTGTATCAGCATGATATCATTGATGTAATGGATCAATGTGATGTTCTTTGCAATCTGGAGGCAGTCTGTATCTCCTTGGACAATTTTATGACAGGGGATGGAAGAGTTAATATAGCCTCTGGGCAAAACTACAAAACTGCAAATAACTATTGCAGTCTGTTTCAGATCCTCTTTTTGATTGGAATAGAAAAGAATGTGTTCATGAGGTGAATGGCCACATACCATGTACCTGAGGCTTTATTAATCTACTCTAGCAATGATACCATGCCCAACCTGGCAGCTGCAGTGAGGGCCACAGTGATTGATAGGTGGAATGAGTTTCCACTGAGAGAGAGGGGGTACCTCAGAGATGGGTAGGGGAAGCTCCTCCGTTCAGCCTGGTGGGAAGCAAAGAGAGTAAAGTAAGGGTACAGATCCTATAGCCAAGATGTTTGGCAGCTATGAGTTGAGGGAGTATTCATTAGATGGCTTCTCTTTGTGAAGAACTTCATTAGCTCTTATCAAAGTTTACTATTCTTTTGGGACATTTTTTCCCAAATAATTAACTCTTTCTTTTTCTTTCTTTCTTTTTTCTTTCTTTTTCTTCCTTTCTTTTTCTCTTTCTTTTCTTTCTTTCCTTCTTTCTTTCTCTTTCTCTTTCTTTTCTTTCTTTCCTTCTTTCTCTCTTTTCTTTTTCTTCCTTTCTTTTCTTTCCTTCCTTCCTTCCTTCCTTCCTTTCTTTCTTTCTTTCTCTTTCTCTTTTTCTTTCTTTCTTTCTTTTCTTTTTCTTCCTTTCTTTTCTTCCTTCCTTCCTTTCTTTCTCTCTCTCTCTTTCTTTCTTTCTTTCTTTCTTTCTTTCTTTCTTTCTTTCTTTCTTTCTTTCTTTCTTTCTTTCTTTCTTTCTTTCTTTCTTCCTTTTTTTGACAGGGTCTTGCTCTGTCACCCAGGCTGGAGTGCAGTGGTGTGATCACGGTTCACTGCAGCCTCAAACCCCTGAGCTCTAGAGATCTTCCTTCCTCAGCCTCCCAAATAGCTAGGACTGCAGGTATGTGCCACCATGCCTAGGTAATTTTCTTTCTTTCTTTCTTTTTGTAGTGATGGGGGTCTCACAATATTGCCCAGGCTGTTCTCAAATTCCTGGCCTCAAGTGATCCTCCTGCCTTGATCTCCCAAAGCACTGGGATTACAGGCATGAGTCACCACACCCAACCAACTATTTCTTAAAGATGCCATATTTTGAAGGCAAACCTACATTCCATCCTGTGGAGACTCCCAATCCACTTGACCAATTCCCCCCTTGTTGGCATGTGGGTACCACCTGGTGCGGCTGGAGCTCTGTGCCCATCCGTGGGAGGCCTACCTCTCTTTCACCACCTCCTTCTCAATGAGAACCTGGATGAACAGACTCTCCCTGCCCTGGGGTCTGGCTTCAAAGAGGTTTTTGAGTACAGCCCTGCCTATGTAAACCCCACCTCCATCCTGTCCACCCAAGACAAGTCCATTGACAGGAGACTGGCCTCCCTGCACTGTCTCTCTGGAGCACTTCACACACACATGCACACATGCACACACGCACACACACACACCCCTCCACGGATATACACATACACTCCTCAGGCACACGCACTACAAAAAGTCACATAAATGCACAAACATATGCAAACACATTGCAGGTACTCATTTAGATTCTCCTTTTTCTTTCTTTTTTTTTTTTTTTTTTTAGAAGGAGTCTGGCTTTGTAGCCCAGGCTGGAGTGCAGTGGCGCAGTCTTGGCTCACTGCAAACTCCGCCTCCCAAGTTCAAGTATTCTCCTGCCTCAGCATCCGGAGTAGCTGGGATTAGAAGTGCCTGCCACCATGCCCAGCTAATTTTTGTATTTTTAGTAGGGATGGGTTTCACTATGTTGGCCAGGCTGGTCTCGAACTCCTGACCTCAAGTCATCCGCCCTCCTCAGCCTCCCAAAGTGCTGAGATTACAGGCGTGAACCACTGTGCCTGGCCTAAATTCTTCTTAAAGATAAAAATATCCATCAGTAGACACATACAAAAGCACCTAGACCTATCTGAGTGCATAATGCGTCCAAAGATACATGCAGACACACACATACATACACACTTATGCACTCTCACATACACATAAATGCATATGATGATATATACTCACATTTCCTGGTCTATCCCAATCCCAAACCTGATCCTTCCATAGCCTTCTCCATTTTGGCTGATCATGACTCTCTCCTTCCCGTTTCTCAAGCCAGGGATCTTGGAGTCCTCCTTGATTTCTCTCTCACACCCCACATTCCAATGCATCTGGGAGTCCTGTTGCCTGGACCCCTAAAATATATCCATAATAAACCACCTCTCACCACCTCCACCACCACCACCTGGTCCAAGCCACCACATGGATCATTGGATTATCGCACCAGGCTCCTAATTGTTCTCCCTAATCTGCCCTCAACCCCAGAGTCTATTCTCAAAGCACTGAGAGAGCCTTTTCAATCCTGGTTAGAAAAGATGATGCTCGGAACCTTGCAAAGCTCTGTTTCACCCACAGTGAAAGCCATGTCCCTACAATGGCTCAAGGCTGTGTGAATCAGCCCCTGTCACCTGGCTCACCCGTCTCCTCCTCTTCTCTCCCTGCCCACCCACTTCTTTGTTGATCCTTGAACCTGCTGCTCTGCCCATTGCAGGGCCCTCACACTGGCTGATCCTCCTGCCCAGACTGCTCCTCTCCCAGATCTCCATCACTGTATTAGTCTGCTAGGGCTGTGTAACAAAGTACTGCAAACTGGATGGCTTAAAACAACAGGAATTTACTGTCTCACAGCTCTGGATGCTAGAAGTCCAAGATCAAGGTGTCTGCCAGGCCATCTTTCCTTGGAATATATCTATGGGGATGATCCTCCTTTCCCCCTCCAACTCCTCCTCCTTTGTTTCTTGTTTTGAGACCGGGTCGTGCTCTGTTGCCCAGGTTGGAGTGCAGTGGTGCAATCTTGCCTCACTGCAGCCTTGATCACCTGGGTTCAAGCGATCCTCCCACCTCAGCCTCCCAAGTAGCTGGGATCACAGGCGCATGCCACTGTGCCCAGTTAATTTTTTAATTTTTTGTAGTGACAGGGTCTCACCATGTTGCCCAGGCTGGTCTCCAGTTCCTAGGCTCCAGCGATCCTCCTGCTTCAGCCTCCCAAACTGTTAGGATTACAGGTGTGAGCCACCATGCCTGGCTCCAACTTGTGGTGTTTGCTGGCAGCCCTTGGTGTTCCTTGGCTCCTAGATGAATCACTCCCATCTCTGCCTTTGTCTTCACATGGTCTTTTCCCCATGTGTCTCTGTCTCTGTGTCTCTTCTCTTCACAAGGACACCAGTTATATTAGATTAAGCCCCCACCCTATTCCAGTGTGGTCTTATCTCAGCTAACTGTATCTGCAACAACCGTATTTCCAAATAATATTTGTCACATTCTGAAACTCTGAAGGTTAGAAATTCAACATTTTGGGGAGATTTTCAGGGGCATAATTAAACCTATACACAAACTCTTTCATGCCCTTCGAGGATTTTTCCAATGCCGTCTTTTCAAAGAGGCCTGCCCTTACCACCCTGTAGAAAAATGTGACCCACCCCCAGTCTCCAGCTCTCTTGATCCCCACACCCAGCTCTGGCTTTCCCTTTTTCCATAGTAGTATTCACCTTATAACTTGCCATCTAATTTAACTTCTTCTTTAGTTTATTATTTATTGTCTATCTCCATCTGTTGGAAGTCAAGTTCCATGAGGACATGGCCTTTGCGTTGGTCACTGATGTATCCCACATGCCTAGAAAAAGACTGGCCCAGAAGGTGTTCAGTAAGGTGCCGAGTGAAGACTTGGATGCATGGTGCACATATATGTACTGCTCACATACATCACTTGCTCATGTACGCACCCCCAAATGCATGCACATGCACACATTGCACAGATTTTCAGCCCTATTATCTATTGCTACATAGCAAGCCACCCCAGTCTTGGTGCCACGAAGCAACACCCTTCTACTATGCTCATGGATTCTGTGAGGCGAGAATTCAGGCAGGATGCAGTGGGAATGGCCTGTCCCTGCTGCAACACATCTGGATCCTCCATGGGGAAGAATGGAATGGCTGGAGGTGTCTTCACTCACATGTCTGGTGCTTGGGCTGGGATGTCTTGAATGGCTGGGTACTCATCCGGCATCTCTTTCTCTCTCTGTCTCTCTCCTTGAGATCTCAGGGCCTCTCCATGTGGCCTCTTTTGCGTGGTAGCCTCGGAGTAGCTGGGATTCTTAAATGGCAACTCAGGACTCCAAGAGTAAGTGTTCCCACGAACAAAGCGAAGGCTGCGTGGCCTTTTTTGACCTCACTGAGATTTGGTCAAAGCAGTCACAAGTCTACCCCGATTCAAGGAGGGGAGGACATAGATCCCACCTCTTGATGGGAAGGATGTGAAATAATTTGCAGCCGTATTTTAAAATGGCCACACATGTGCAAACAAGAACGCTTATAAGTACACACACACACACACACACACACTTAGACTTTTTCCTCAGAACCTCTATTCTGAGACCAGACATATATAAACATATATATGCACAGGAACACATGTGCAATACAGACACATTCACACAAGTATGCGCATAGTGACAGCTGTGCATACACACACAAATGTGCACACATGCTTACACACACGTATACACAGACTCAGGTCCTGCCGGGATGCCCACTCCAGGGCCTGCAGCCACACCTGCTCGCTCCTAACACTAGGCCCCGGGCCTGGCTGAGCTGGGGGCTGGGCTGGGCTGGTGTGGTTGCCCAGTATGGGGTGGGCCTTCTCTCCGCACTACCTCTTCTTCATGGCAGGGGCCTGGCAAGAAGGAAAACAAATAACCTTGCGGTGTTTAAATAAGCAAAGTTTTGTGCAAAGCAGAGGTTAATGTACTTTATTGTTCAATGTCATGTTTATAGTGGATTGGTGGAGGGAAAAATGTGATTAATTGCCCCGAAGCCCACGGATCTACAATTATTTGGTTGTTGTGAACAAATAAAGGACTACAGTATTCATCATATTCAAATGAGGCAGCAGAATAAATGATGGCGGGCCGGGTAGGAACAAAACCGAGGCGTGTTCCCGCACAATCCGAAGGCGACTGGCGCCTTGTCAACCAGACGCAGGGTGGTGGCGGGAGCCGAACCCGTTTGTCTCTGTACCGCCAGCGAGGGCTGGGCTGACCCTGCAGGTGCCGGCGTTAATTCATGTCACACCTTGCGCCTCCATCCTGCGTGGTATGAAAACTAGGCGCCAATTTCGTAATAAAGACTTGTTTCCGACGAGGCCCGGTTTGGGGCGGGGGCACAGATCTTCATTAGGGCCCCTTTCCCGGGCCACGCTCGTTACAGAGCACAGGTACTGGCTAAATGTGTCCGATCATTCATCATGATTTCGCCCTCCACTTTGTCACAGCGTGAGGATTTAAGGAAGATAGATGGTACAAGATGTTGTCTCCTCCGCAGACGCTTTCTGCTCTGGTAAGTGTGTCCGATGCAGAATTATTTTGCCACTTTATTATTTCCTAGTGAGTGTTTGTCAGAGCTTCGCCTCTTGGAAGGAGCGAGTTGTTTCCTGTCACTCAGGGATGTCGCGGGAGCGGTGATGCTTGGCTGGGCTCGCCAGCCAGCTGGAACCCGGGCTGGGTCCCCAGGCAGGGCTGTGGGGGGTCCTGGGCGTCTGAGCCACAGGGCGAATGTCAAATCCAACAGAAATCAGGGGAGGCAGGCTTTGGGGGAAGGCGGGGCACGGGGGCTCTGAACACGCTGGTTTGAGGGGGTTGGGGGGGGAACGTTGCAGGACCTGGCCTGGCTGTAGGCCAGGCTGCAGGACGGGGAGCTGTTTGAATCAGTGTCCAAAGGGCTATGAGAGCTTGGCCTTGAGCTGAGCCAGCTGGAGAGGGCATGGGCAAGGCTGGGGTCCTGCGGGGCTGCTGATGGCCTTAGGGCAGTGTGGCCAATTCTGGTGCCTATTGCTGGCACCAGACGAGCTTCCTGCCCTGACCAGGGCAGGCAAGGGGCTGAGCGGTGACCAGCAGGGATCCTAGTTGGGTGAAGATGACATGAGGCAGAAGACGGGGGGTGAGTTCAGCTTGAGCCCAAAGCCCAGCCCGTAGCCCCAGGTTTAGGTCCGGGAACCCTTGGGACTATTTGGAATTCCTTCCAGGTCATGCTGGGACACAGGGGTGTGGGCCCTGGAATCTGAAGGTGAATCTGGCCCCGAGAGAAGGCAGGAACATGGGAGCCACCAGCCTGTCCTGTGATCCTGTCTCACTGGTGTTCATTCACAAGGATCTCTGAACTGGCCCCATCCTCCAGGGTACCAGTGACCCCCACTGTCTCTGCCCCTCAAGCGCAGAAGAGAGAAATCTACTCTTTCTTGGCTTTCTGTCAGCCTAGGTTGATCTGAATGGTGAACCCAGAAGGAATGCCCCTCAGAGGAAACTTAGAGGCCCAACCCAGGGGAAGCCCAAGCCAGGGTGCTTGAGGCACAGAACCTGGGGTGCAAGGACCTGGAGACCACAGCTGGCCGTTCTCTGATCCCAAGATGCTGCTGCCGGGGACGGCCCACCCTGCGCCTTATCCACGTCTCCCTCCTTCCCCTCCTCGAAGTCTCCGTGGAGTAATACAGGACAAAGCTCACAATTTTCCCATCTGTAAAATGGGGAGGAGAACATGACTTCCTCCTGGCATGTTGTAGGTGTTCTGTCCACCCAGGTGTCCCCTCCCTGCCTCCTCTCTCTCTGGTTCCTAGCCGCTGGAAGTCCCTCATTTGCCTTTGACCCGTTTCCCATGGGCCTGGCTGGCTCTGCTGCGGCGTTTCTGTGGCCCCGGGCTTCCCGGCTGGCATCCAGACAGGGTCTGCCGATGGGGCAGGCTGCATGAGATAGTGGAGGCCTGGCTGCCCCTCCATGCTCTGCGTCCCTTTGTGAACAGCCCCCTAGGGAAGTGCACCCGTTCTTGAAGCTAACACCCTAGACCTTGCCAAGTCCTCCTCCTGCCAGCCCTGGGATGAGCCCTGGGACACAGTCTCTACCCGTCAGGAGCTCCCAGTCCGGTGGCGGGGAAGAAAAGTGAGAGGACCATTACTCCAGCACACGCCACTGCGGGGCCATGGCCCTGGCCAGGAGTCCCCAGTAGCCCCCAATTCCAGCCCGACCGAAGCTGGTGCTTTTCACCCAGTGCCTCCCAGGTCCGCATTGCTACCAGGGGAGGGCTGTGCCGCTCTCACCTCCACGGTGCAGCTGAGAAAACTGCAGAGAAGGCTTGCGCTCGAGACATCTCTGTGAATGGGTCGCAGAGCAGGGATTCAAACACGCGCGAAATCTCGCCTTTGCGGACGCGGCGGAAGAGCTGATTGCCTCATTGGTGGAACATCCGCGATGAACACCCTTATATCCAATCAGGGCTCAGCCCCATCCCGGCTCTGGTCTTTCTCCTGGGACAGCTTCAAGAGGCCTCTTAAACTCCTGCCTCCACCCACCCACCCCCCCACATTCTGGCCATGCTTCTAGTCACCACCCAGTTAGTCCCCCCAGATCTGTGATTCCGTGAAGTTGCATGGTTAAGGTATATTTGGCTTTTTTTCTCCCTTAGTTTATCAGTTTTCTTTTACGGCCTGTCTCCCACTCATTAATTCATTCACTCACCATTTGCTCATTCGGCAAACACTAAGGACCTGTTATGTGCTGGCTTTGTGCAGTGAGATCAAACCCAGCAGGGCCCTCGCCAGACTCCCTGAAGAAGGAGGGCCCACAGGTATCTTATGAGACGGTGGATCTTGGGAAGCCAAGGGAGCGGGGACCTCAGCTGGTCCGCAGAGGAGTGGGGTCGGTGCTACTCATCACCCAGAGGCCCTCCTGCCTAGAAGCAGCAGCGGGGCCCTTCCCTCCAGCCCCCAAGCACTGCCCTGGATTGGTCCACATCCCCTCCCTAGCACTGTGGCCCCGGCCTCCTCTTGCCTCCAGATTATCCTTCTTCCTTTTTCTATCCTGCAGCCAGAACGATTTTCCTTGAACACAGACCTAATGATTTCATTCTCTGCTTCCAAAAGCTCACTGGCTCTCTATTGTGCACCGACTTTAAACCTCAACCTTGGATTTGGCATTCAAGGCCTTTCATGATCCAGCACCAACCCACCCAATGCCACCACTTACAAGCTGCATGATCTTAGCCTGTCCCTTAAATTCTCTCTCCACCTGCATTTCCTCACCTGTAACATGGGGATAATTACAGTACCTATCATGATGGAGTGCATTTTCCAAAGATGTCAGCTACAATATATATCCCATCCCACAAGGTCTTCTTACAAGAGCATTGCCACTCTTCCCAGGGGATAGTGGAGACAGTGGTCCCTTGCCCTGAACTTGGGAGGACTTTTGTCACTGCCTTGATAGATGTAGCACCAGTGACACTACAAGACTCCCAAGGTTCGGTCTTAAGAATGCCACGTACTTCATCGGGTTCTCTTGGGATGCCCACTGTTGGATTCCAGTGGCCATGCTGTGAGGAGGCCGAGCAGCCACATGGAGAGGCCACAATAAGTGTCTGGCTCACAGCACCAGCTTGTCATGTGAGTCACATGCATGAGCCATCCTGAATGTCGTCTGCCCAGCAATGCAGAGTGTAGATAAGCTGACCTTGCCAAGCTCCAGAGCAAAGCAAATTATTATTGATATCTTGAGCTACAAAGTGTTGGGGCAGCTTGTTACGCAGCAAGAGATAACTGAAACAACCACCCCCACGGGGTTGTTGTGGGGTAAGGAAGTATATTAGTTTGCTAGGGCTGTCATCACGAAGAGCAACAGATTGGGGGTCTTAAACAACAGAAATGTATTTTCTCACTCTTCTGAAGGCTAGAAGGCTGAGGTCAAGGTGCCAGCAGGGGTTGGTTCCTTCTGAGGTCTCTCTTCCTGGCTTGTGGATGGCCGTCTTCTCCTCCTTGTGCTTTTGCCTGTTCTTCTGTCTGTTGATGTGTGTGTCCTAATCTCCTCTTCTTATAAAGTCTCCACTTATACTGGATTAGGGTCCACCCTAGTGATTTCATTTCAACCTTATCACCTCTTTAAAGACCTTATCTCCAGATGCGATCACACTCTAAGACACTGGGGGTTAGGACATCAACATATGCATCTTGCGGGGATACAAGGCAGTCTGTTACGATAAGGAAATGCGTATGAAATGCTTAGAGCAGTACCCAGCACAGAGTAAGCACTCAATAAATGTCAGCTAGGGTTGTTATTCTAACTACCACCACTGCCATCTGCCTGGCCTCGGTCACACTATTTCCCTCCAGACCCTAAGGGAATGCTCTGGATCCCCAGGCCTCCTTTTAGACTGTCTCCTCGGCTTGCAGGGTCTAAACCTGTTCCCCATCTACCCAGATCCCTCCTGTGTTAGGAAGCCCAGCTCCTTTACAACCAGGCTGCCAAGTCCCCTTGGTTCCCGTCCCCTGCTTCTGGGGCTCTGTTTAGCGAGTATTCTGGCCTGCTGTGTATGAGAAGCTTGGACTTTTTTTGACCTGAGACTTTGTTTTGTTTTTCAATATGGAAATGGGGGATTTTTTTCTAATTATAAAAATAATTCGTGTTCAGTTTATAAAACCCAGACAGTACAGAAGGTTGATGAAGAAAGTGGAAATCACCTAGATTTAATGACTTTTAGCATTTTGGTTGCTGTCTTTCTGGAATTTGTCCTATGTGTGTACGTATATATATGTTTTTCTTGATTCTGGGACAACACTGACTGGGGGATGCATCACTGATTTAATTACACGGCTCTTTTGGAGAAAAGAACTATGCATTAAACATATCCATTAATTGCAATGCACATCCTGATTTTAGAAATGTTCAAATGTTAAAAAATGTGCATCTTAGAATAAAGAAAATATATGCATGTATTATCTATGTTTTTCAAAATGGAAATCTCTATGAATACTGTTATATGACCTATTTTTTTAAAAATCTGAATAACAAAGTGTAGCCATCTTTCCACATCAATAAAGGAACGCTCTTGCCACCAGTTTTAATAGATACATAATGTTCCACTGGACTGATATATCATAATGCATTTATTCCTCACTGAAGGGCATGAAATCTTTATTATTAGTCTGATGCAAACACCTTTATAGACCCTCGTCCTTGTTTTTCTTGGATAAATTCCTTAAATCAGCACTTCCGGCCAGGAGAGTGGAAGTTCTTTGCCCAGAGTTGACTGTCACCAGCTCACATGCTCCCCAAGGATAGGACCTGCCGCTGAACCACCTGTGGATGCACCCGCGCGGGCCCTGTCACTGAGCCGGGTACAAAATAAGGCTCTGGGAATGATTGACATGTATCGATTTTTTAGTAATAACAAGTCAGGAGACGGATCCTGCATGAATAGTCTGCCGGGAACTGAGATGTGTGATTAACTCAAGTTTCTGAACCTCGGATCAAAAAATTAAAAAGCACAGTTTTGGGAGTCAGGGTGGTCTCAAATCCCAGCACTGCTACTCAGTGTGTGATGTACTGTCCCGAGCCTCAGTTTCCCCATCTCTACAAGATCATGAACGTCCTTGGCAGGCCTGTGTGGCTGGGTGTCTGCCTCAGCTCCTTGCAGTATCTAGGAGGAGAGAAAACCTTGGCAAGGTCCTCCCAGGCACCAATTCCCTAAGAGTGCTTATGCCTGGGGAGACCTTGAGTGTAAATTGAGGAGCATGGGGGCACCTGAGGGCTCCAGGGCCTCTGAGAACAAAAGCGAGAACATCTGTGCCTCCACGAGCTCTGGGCGCCATCTGTGAGCTTGGCCCCGAGTGGCACAGACCACTGGAAGCCCACAGCGAGGGCAGGGGGACAGGTCCTCTGTGCTTTCTAATAATAAGATGATAAGATGAGGAATCACAGCTGCCATTTGCTGAGTACTCCTTATGTGCCAGGCACCTACCAAGTGCTTTATATTCATTTTCTTACTTCATCCTCATTGCAAGGTAGAAATTACAGCCCACTTTACAGAGGACAAAACCTGGACTCAGAGAGCAGCTGGACCAAGATCTTGGCTCTGTGCACTTCTCCCCACTGCCATCTCTCACCTGGATGTGGGTAACAGCTTGTACTCCCCACCCCATCACTCAGTCCTTCTCCACTCTGCAGCCAGAGTGGGCTTTTGAAATCACCAAGCTGAGTATGACATTCCCATGCTTACACTCTTCTTCAGCGAGCCTCTCCCTGGTGCTGTTGGGAGGAAAAAAGTCCCAAGTACTAAATAATCCCAAGCCCTAAACTTTGGATCCTGCCTGGAGCTCCTGGTTCTCCAATCCTTCTGGCTTTACTCACGCCCCTCACCTTTGGTGCTGGGTTCTAAGCACACTGGCTTTCTCTCAGTTTCCACAATATGCTAGTTCTCTCCTGCCTCAGGGCCTTTGCACAGCTCTTCCCACCCTGTGAGCAACTTCATCACTACTCACCCTTTCAAGTTCAGCTTAGAGTCAAGTTCCTCTCAAGGAAGCCTTCCCTGCCATTCCAACCCCAGGTTAAGCCCCACTGCCCTGTTCTGTAACCGTATGACACTTGCCATCATTAGGGTGAATCAAAGGATCTTGCGTGAATACTCTGCCAGTGGTTGACCATTTTAGACCTACACCAATGTCAGTTTTCTATGGTGTAACCTGATAAATATTTGTTGTGTTATCTCTTCAGTGTTGGGCCCCCTGACATTTAGGAGAGGCAACTGTCTGTTGCTCACCATAATTTCAACCTAGCATCATACACCGACACAGATTACAGCCTCGATACTGTGATGGGTGAACTAATGATTACATTGCAGGTCAGGATTAAACCCCAGTCTCTCTGGGAGAGTTTAAACAACTTCGCACCAAGTCTACACTAACATGGGGGCCGCCTGCCTACCACGTGTCACCAGCCATGGGTTGCAAAGACAGGCCATGGTGCCAGCCCTGCTGGATGGACAGCAATGGCACACAGTAGCAGGCTCCAGCTGTCACACAGTCTGACCCAGTTCTCCAGGACTGTGTTCGGTTTCACTGGGAAGTGGCCAAATGGCAGTCCGGCTCAACTAGATGGAGGGACCCAAGATTTGGGGCCAGACCTCCTCCCCACCGGCCGGGTGTTCCAGCCTCATGGCCTGTGCACTGTGCACCTGAGGCCACATGGTGGCAGTGTTGGAACCGACTGGGCTCTGGAGGAGTTGAACGAAGCCTCAGCCTCACTCCGCAAGATGCCCTTAGAGGCCGCGTCGCTGCATGTGCACACTGTGTGCACAAAAGGGTGTGCGCGCAGGATGGGCTGCAAGTGTGCATTGTGTCAGCGTGTGTAGGTGCCTGTGTGTTTGTGTGTGTGGGGGATATCTGGGGTGTATGTGTGCATAGGCCTAAACATGCACTTGTATTTCTGCGTGTGGGTGTGTGTGGGTGCCCTCACGCATCTGTGTTTATCAGTGACTCTATGCAGGTGTCCATGTGTGTGTGTATGTAACTGTCTGCTTTGTAAGAATGCCTTCGGTGCAAAAGTGTTTTCATGCCGCTGGTTTGTGCATGTGAGGTGTGTTTCTGTGTGTGTGTGTGTCCGTCCATTGAACCTCTGGTGCAGTGAAGGGAGAGTCAGTGGTTGAGCGCGTGTGTATATCTGGGTATCAGGATACACTGAGGGCTTGGCCTCCCTCCGCTGGCCTTGCCTCTCCCACCATCATGTGTATGGACAGCTGTTCTGATTCGCTCCCCAGCCCCCAGCCTCGGGCTCCAGCAGGTGTAGATCCCCTTAAGGTGTCCTGCTCCTCCTCCTGTCCTTCCTGCCATGCCTCCACCCCACCAAGCACCAGCTCCTGCAGGTTCAGATCTTTACCCAGATGTACCTGCAGGGCTCCAAGTGTGTGTTGCAGGGCCGGGGGGCAGGGCTGGAAAATCACCTCTTGACCCCCGTGCCGTGGTGGAACCAAAGCCCCACTCTAGCACCTGCCTCTGGTAGTCTTTCGTCTGCCCGCAGGATGAAGCTCTCCTCTCTGGGGAAGGTGCACCCTTATGGCTAGGGGCCCCGGTGGGTCCTAAAAGGGCAGACTTCACTGCTTGGCCAGGTCTCCTGTCCTCAGACTAGAGGACCCTAAAGATGGGGCTCTGTGTCTCCCTCTGCCCTCAGGGTGGAACCATGGCTCAGATTTTATCGCCCAGTCCTAGAGAGAATGTGGGGACCCTGTCCTTCTCCAGGCCCTGCCTCTTGCCCTGTGCTGGCATCTTGCAGCATGGGGTCCAGCACCCTCCCAGCCCGCCCCTCCCCCTGCCAGGCAAGAACCTGGAGTGCCATGTCTGGCCATGTCTGGCCACCCTTCACCCCGTGATTATTAATAATTGGGTATTAGGTGAGAGGCGACTATTGATTCCAGCGCGGGCAGCTCCAGGTCGGGGTAATTTATGGAAACACTGGCGTCCCTGGTGATAAATAATGAGGTGATCACAGAGATGGGTCACTAGTGAGTGGCCTCCATCGGCTGCCCTGTCCACTAACACACAGGCTCGTAAATGGAGGGAGAGATGGAGAGAGACCAGGCCGGCTTGTAAAGACAAAGGACGCGTTGATGATGAGAGGCGCCAGGGATACGGGGAAAGCAGAAGCACGAGTCAGCGGGGTCCACGCGGTGGGGGCTGGTGGGAAAGGGACAGGAAGACACAGAGAGGACAGAAGGACAGACAAGGACACAGAGCAAAAGACAGGGCAGGGGAGGGAGAAGAACAGGGAGGCAGACATAGAGTGACACACAGGGGCAGGGAGAGCTAGACAAAGCCAGAGAGGATGAGCAGCAGGGAGCGGCAGAGCTGGGCAGGGCAGGGACAGTGGTGGGCACACTCAGGGGCAGAGACAAAGGGAGACGGGCCTCGGGAGTGCCGAGTGCCTACTAAGTGCCGGCTCTGCTCTGTGTTCTCATAGCATTGGCTCATGTTATCGTCCTGACAGCCTCGAGGCAGTGATTCAGAGTATGGACTCCGGAGCCAGACTGCCTGGGTTCAAATCCCAGCTCTTCCCCTGGCCCTGGCTGCATTGCCTTAGGCAGGTCACTTCTCCTCCTGGTCTCCAGCTGCCCTCATCTGGAACATGGCGCCAACACGATACCTATGCCAATCATGGTTGTGAGGGTTAAACAGGTCCATGTCTGTGTACTTGGGGATCAGTGCCTGGTACTAGTGGGTGCTATACAAGTGTGTGCTATTGTTTTCCCTGGTTCTAGTCAATTTCCTGCAATTGCATTTGATTTGACTCTCTTCTGTTCCATAGGGTGTCTAGTTTACAACGCATGAGCCAGAGAAAATGAGATGAGGGACGACGGGTGGCTTTGGGGAGACACCCTGCAAGAGGAAAGGTTTGACTTGAGTGTGGAGGTGGAATTCGAGGAAACGGCATATTCCAGATGGTGGGAACAGCTTATGCAACAGCATCACAGAATTTCCAGGTTGCAAGGACCCTCGAAGGCCCAGTGTGTCCAGCAATGCCTGGATTCCCTCTGTAATTTCTCCCCGCAGGGTTCACCCAGTTGGCCATCTCCAGGGATGGGAAACTCACTCATCCTTGCAGAACTCTAACTCCGAGAAGGTCCTTCCTCAGAATCAGCCTTTATGTGCTACCCCCCAGCTCCCTCTACTCCCCCCTCCAATCAGCCCTGCAGAGGTGGGCAGTCAGCAACAGGGAGCTCTTCGCAGCCCCCTCCTGCCCCCAGCATCAGGTGCAGCCCCTCTCGGCTGCTCCCGATGCTTCTCCTTGGTCAGCCAGCCTGGCCCCTCCAGCTTCAGGCAGCTCCTCGGCTGGCTGCTCTCCTGGGCTGCTCTCACAGAGGCAAAACCAGCCACCTGGGCTGTTCACTTCACCCTAGACCCAGTGCTCAAACTCTGCTGCCCAGAGCCCCGGGGTTCTTGGAGAGTGCTGGGGGCTGCCCCAGGGCTGAGGGGGTGACTCCTCTCCCTTCCAACTCTGTGATCTGTTCCAGGTAGAAAAAAACCATGAACCCTGCTAGTCTGTAGGCTGTGGAGGCTGCTGCCCAGATGGGAGGCAGCCTAGAACAGCGGCACATCCTGGGTTGGTGCTCTGGCCCTGCTGCTCATCGACCAGGTGACCATGCACAGGTGCTGCAACCTGCGGGAGCCCCACTTTCGTCCTGTGTCACAGAGCCTGCAAGGAAAGTGCTTAGCAGCAGAGGAAAAGCCCCTTTAGTGGCCCCTCCCTCTCCCCCCACCATGGCCCCTTTTCCCACACACCCTGGGTAGCCTGAGACTCTCTCCTTTCCGTGTCTAGGACTCAAATATGAGAGCCCCTATGGGTCCTGGACACATTGCCTTGACACGACCGGGCTCCTCTCTCCTTGCCTGGGCTCTGGACCCAGCGGAGCTCTCTTGCTCACACTCTGTGGGACCTGCGAAGGTGCCACCTCTACCTTCGTGCACAAGGAAGTGAAATACAGCTGAACAGGATGGAGCCTGGGGCACTCCGTGGAGATCCCACCCCCACCCACCCGTGGACATTGGCTGTAGTCGTGGGGTTATTTGCTTGTGTCTTTGTCCATCCCACATTTCCCCATCTTGCCTGAGCATGTCCTGGGGATCTCACCATGCACTTCACAGGACCCTAGATCCCATCTTACAGCCTCACTTCTCTGACCTGTTGGGCTGGTCACCCTGTGGACAAGGACATGGACCAATCTGATGTGGTCTTTTCTTTTCTTGTTTTTTTGTTTTTTTGTTTTTTTGTTTTTTTTGAGACAGAGTCTTGCTCTGTTGCCCAGGCTAGAGTGCAGTGGCATGATCTTGGCTCACTGCAACATCCACCTCCCGGGTTCAAGTGATTTTCCTGTCTCAGTCTCCCCAATAGCTGGGATTACAGGCAACTGCCACCACGCCCGGCTAATTTTTGTATTTTTAGCAGAGACGGGGTTTTGCCATGTTGGCCAGGCCGGTCTCGAACTCCTGACCTCAAGTCATCCTCCCACCTCGGCCTCCCAAAGTTCTGGGATTACAGGCATGAGCCTGATGTGGCCTTTTCCTAGCAACCCCATTGCTCTCCTGGATTTACCACTTCTTCTTTTTAGATGCTCTTAGAACATCCCTTTATAGTCCATTCTAGATTTTTTTTAGACAAGGTCTTGCTCTGTCACCCAGGCTGGAGTGCAGTGATACAATCTGGGCTCACTGCAGCCTCAACCTTCTGAGCTTAAGCAATCCTCCCATTTCAGCCTTCCAAGTAGCTGGGACTACGGGCATGCACCACCATGCTTGGCTAATTTTTCATTTTTTTTTTGTAGACAAGAAGTCTCGCTATATTGTCCAGGCTCATCTCAAACTACTGGGCTCAAGTGATCCTCCCACCTTGGCCTCCCAAAATGTCGGGATTACAGGCATGAACCACTGCACCTGGCCTCATTCTGGAGTCTTAACTGAGCTAGTGAAACTCATACAATACTATTATTACTGAGCAGGGCAGTTAACTCGTTTTTGCCGTTGTTGTTTTCCCACCTTATGGGTCTCCAAGGACACAGTAGAGGATGGGTGGCTGAGCCAGTGTATGTGTGAGGGTGGGGAAGGAGGTGGAGGGAATTATGTGCGGAATAAGGAGTGGATACTAGCTGTTGGCAGAAAAGCGTTGAACACCAGGTTAACGAGCCTGGGTTTATTTTGTGAGTAGTGGAGACCCACAGAAGCCTTCTGAGGTTATGCTTGAGCAGCTGGAGGATTACCCTGATGGTGGGTGTTAGATGGATGGGATTGGGGGAGTGTGGAGGCAGGAAGACCTGCGAAGGGTCTGGGGAACCAGCCTGGGGGGATGGAGGGAAGGCCAGCATAGCACAGTGGGGAAGGTGGAGAGGAGAGGAAAGGTTTGAAGCCAGTTTGCAGGCAGGCCTAGCTGAATTTGAGTTGACTGCATGGGTTTGGGGTGGGGGAAGGAGAAACCAGATCTGATCGCTGGTTTGGGACCCCATTAATGGAGGAGTGGTGCTGCCACTCCTAAGGGGTGAAGGCAGCTTGGCTGAGGGTCAAGGCCAAGAGGCAGATGGGCAATTCAGTGGTGACTGTGTGGAGTTGGAGGAGCCTGGGAGATATTGTGTTCGGGAGGCCCCTGAACATGACTGATGCTCAGAAGTGTGGTCTGGCCAGAGATAGAGTCAGGGTGGGCAGGCAGGCCTGGGGGTCAGAACCACCAGAGAGAATGGGGTGCCTGGAAGAGCCAGTGTGCCTGCCCAGCATTGCTTCACCCCTGCATGGTGATGCTGGGCCTTCGTGGCTGCTTCTTCCATCAGACTGGGAAGACTGGGAGCTCCTCAGGGCAGAGATCACTGTCTGCACCCAGCCCAGAGCTCCGGTGCCAGCACACAGCCTGGCACCTGGCGAGTGTAGGTCCCTGGGGAAGGCAAGGAGGATGCAGCATGGAGCTAAGGAAGGCACAGAAGGGCAGGAGGAGGAGACCTCCCGGACCAGGTGCAGCCCATCAGAGCCTCTGGGGAGTGGGGGCACAGCAGAAGGCTGTGGTTTTTGGGGAAGCAATGGGAATGGATACCCACTGGCACCCACACGGGCTTCCATCTCACACTGTTCCCTCACCAGCCCTGCAAGGTGGATTCTGTGACTGCTTTCACAGATGAGGGACGGGGCCAGGATTGGAGCCCAGATCTTCAAGGAAAACACATCTTTTGCTAAGGAGAAGAGCATGGACCCAGTTGGACCGCCCCTACTCTGGGCCCTGGCCTTCCCAAAGCCCCCCACCCTTCTGACTCCGAGGTGAACCCTCTGGGTCTCCAGTGCCCCTCCTGGCTTCTTACATAGCATGCTCCTCTCAGGGTCTTGTCCCTTGTCCTCCCAAGGCCACACGGCTGGTGGTGGAGGCAAGGTTCACATCAGGTCTGTGTCGCGAGGCTGCCAGGCCCTGCGCTGCGGCGCCTTCCACAGGACAGAGTTTCCACGCTAACCCCTGGGTGCTCTGCTTAGGGTTCCCGGGCGAGACCTCCCCTGCGCCCCTCCGCTCCCCACCAGCAAGCCCCCTGCGCCGCACTGTGTTCCAGCCCTGGGCCCTCTCACGGACACGGTTGGTTTAAGGGTCTGTCTCCCCGTCCCGGGCCCAGGGGGCTCCTTGAGAGGGAGCGGGGTGGACCCATCTGTATCCTCTGGGCAGGGCCTGGCACAGGGGAGGAACCAGGGCCACGTGAGTTGAAAGAAGGAACCCACAGGGGAGACGGGGGCGAGAGGTGTCCCCCTCCAGGGCCCTGCCGGGCGCGCTGAGCTCCTCCCATCCAGGGTCCGCCCCAGGCTGTGCAGAGCCAGCGGGGTAGGGGGCGGGGGGCTTCGCTCCCGACCTCCAACCACAGGGAGAATAAAAGTTTGTGAAATATTAGTTTAATAAGACATGCGACTACTGTTAAGGATCCGAGCGGTCCTTATTTATTATTCATGCGGCTGCGTGATTTAGGGGCGAGCGGGTCCGCGGAGGCTCGGCTCGGCAGCCTCTCCCCTCGCTGCTTCCCCTTCCTACCGCTCCCCACCTCCTCGCCCCCTACACCTGCCCGCACGCGCAGACGCATCTTCCTGCCCGGCCCTGGGGTCTAGGGTGGGGCTGCGGCCACGCCTCCTACACCCCTTCTGGGCCCTGCGGCGGCACTGGAATCTCCTAATACCAGGAAGAAGGTCCGGGTGCAGAGGCCTCTCCCTAGCTCTGTGGCCAACCCTGATTGGGGGTCCATCTTTTGCTCCATCACTTCCTTCTGTCTTCCTTCCCTCCTCTTTCCCCGGTCGGGAACCTCAGAAAGTAAGGAGAATGGAATCTCAGGTGGGTGCAGTTCAGTGGACAGATTGGGAGAGTTGGGAGGGGAAGGGGCTATGCCTGCCCCAACTTGCCGCGTGACCCTAGGCAGACTCCTTGCCTTCTGTGGCTCTCAGGGACCTCTCTAAAACTAAAGGTTGGAGTGAATCCCCTGAAAGTTCCTCAGCTTTTTAAAGGGGGTTGGGGAGGAAGTAAAATGTCCATATAGTGAAATGTACAGATCTTACCTATACAAGGCTTGAATATTGATCAATGTACACATCCGTGAAATCAACACCCCAATCAGGATACAGAGTTTTCCCTACCCCATTAGCTTTCTTCTTGCGCCCTTGAAGGCAGGAAGCTCCCTCTCATACTCCCAAAGGCAACCACTGCTCTGAGAGCCTTTGCCGTACATTAGTTTTGCTTGTTCTTGAACTTCATATCAATTAAATCATACAGACATGTACTGTTTTTATCCGCAGTCTGTTCATGTTATTGCTGAATAATACTCCACTGTATGACTGTCACAGATCCATTCTTGCCTGCTGATAAGCATGCGGGGTTGTTTCAGTGTTTGGCTATCATGAATAATAATAGCTTCTGTGAATATTTGTATGGGGGTCTTTTTGCCTCTGAGTAAATACTTAGGAGTGAAATTTCTAGCTCACATGATAAGCTTATATTTGGTTCTGAAAGCAACTTTCAAACGATTTTCCAAAAGGTTATATTTAGACTCTCACTGGCTAAGTTAGTTTTCTAGTTGCTCCACATCCATGTCAACACTTGGAATTGTCAGGCTTTTAAATTTTAACCATTCTATTGAGTGTAGTGCTGTCTTATTGTAGTTTTAATTTTCACTTCCCTTATGACTAATATTACTGATTACCTTTTCAGGTAATTATTGACCATTTGTATATTTCCTTTTGTGAAGTGTATATTTTGCTCATTTTTGGAGGGATTGTTCACCTTTTTGTTATTGATTTGTAGGATATATTTTTATATTAAAAAGACAAAGCCAGGTGTGGTGGTGTGCACCTGTAGTCTCAGCTACTCAGGAGGCTGAGGAAGGAGGCTCATTTGAGCCTAGGAGTTTGAGGCTGCAGTGAGCTATGATTGTGCCATTGCACTGCAGCCTGTGAGACAGAGTGAGACCTCTGTCTTAAAAAAAAAAAAAAAAGACAAGTTCTGTGCTAGATATGTGTATTGTGAATATTTTCTCCAAATCTGTAGCTTGCCTGTTAATTATCAGTATATTTTGATAAGCAGTTTTTAACTTTAATAAAGTCCAGTTTATCAACTTTTTCTCTCAGTTCATGCTTTCTTCTGTCCTCTCAAATTAATCTTTGCCTAGGAATGTATTTCTCCTATAATTGCTTGTAGAAGCTTTATAGATTTAGCTTTTATGCTTCATCTTGAATTAATTTTTGTGTGGTGTGAGGTAGGGGTTGAGTTTTTTTTCACATTCATTTATTCAGTTGTGCCAGCACTAATTGTTGAAAAGCCTTTCCTTTTCATATTGAATAGCCTTGCTGCCTTTGTTAAAAAAAAAAGAAAAATCAATGGATTCTCTATCTGTGAGTCTGTTTCTGGACTCTATTTGAGTTTGTTGATCCATTTTTCTGCCCTTGTGCTGGACCTCACTGTCTTGATTACTGTACCTTTTGAGTAAGGTTGAAAATCAGGTAGAGTGAATCTTCTTTTTAAAGATTAATGATGTTATCTATCGTAGGTCCTTTGCTTTTCCACATAAATTTTAGAATTGGCTTGTCAATTACTGCTGAAGGTCTCTTGAGACTTCAACTGGGATCCAAATTTTTCCATAAGTCACTTTATAAAGGGTTTCAGGAGGCTACCTGGCTCCCCTGTCCCTGGCTTTGGTGCCCTACCCTGCCAGTTTGGCCCAAGCTCCAGGCTTGGCACTCTGAAAGTCCCTGAGTGGCCACCTTCAACTATCCTTCCTGCTAATATCATTTCCTGAAAAATCACTATTTCACCTAGGACATTGTCCTTTAATAGAAACCGGCCCAGAGAGAAGGCTGGGGTATCCAAGAGCCCAGAACCCCACGCTTATTGTGACAGTGCAATCTAGTCCTAGAGGTAAAGAAACAAGAGTCATTGCCTGGGTTGAAATGTTATTATCTCTGGGATTTGCTTCAAAATAATTGAGGGAGAGCAAATGGTAAAATGGATGAAACAAAATTGGTTATGAGTTGATCATGATTGAAACTCGTGAAGGCTGCAGAGGGCTCATGATATTATCAGCTCTACCTTTGAATGTTTGCAATTTTTATGGCAAAAATTTAAAAAATATACCCTCTCCAATGAGTCAACCTCCTCCCTCCCCTCCCATTATTTACCCCAAGCCAGGGCCTGGATCCTGCTGCTCTTTGGTTAATGACAACCCCTTGGCCATCTGCAGCGTCCCCAGTGGCCACTCTGTCCCCATGCCCCGTGCATCACGGAGCAGATGCTGACCCTGTGGGGGCGTGACCTGGCTGTGCAGTTGGCCGTATCTGGGCGTCTCCTGATGTGGAGTCGGCAGGTGGGTTTCCACATCACCTCAAATGATTTTTAAGCTGATTGAACTGGAACAGCTGCCACCCACAGCCCAAGGCAGGGCCCCAGGCCAGCCCCAAGCAGCGACAGCCAGTGTGGCTGGACACCGAGAGCAGGGAGGGGGTTGCGGGAGAGGAGGTCGGAGAAGGGGGGCAGGGAGGGGAGCAGATTGTGGAGGGCTTTGGGGTTGTGGCTGGCCTTTGAAGTGAGGTGGGCCCCCTGGAGGAGGGCTTGGAGTGAAGAAGCAGCAGTGTCAGCCCTGTGTTGTGAGAGGTGCCTGGGACTCATGCATAAATTGCTGGATGGAGGCAGAGAGATAGGTAGGAGGCTGCCCTGGCCATCCAGGTTGACTGTGACTGACACAGGCTTGCACTAGGGTGGCAGTGGTGGAGGTGGCCTTTTGACCACTTTTGTGGTCTGGTTGGGGATGAATGTCAAGGGAATTGCTGATGAGTTTCCTTATGGGTTGGAGGTGAGTTGAGGGAGAAGGGGAGGTGTCAAGAATATCTCCCAGGTTTTGGCCTGAGCAGCTGGGACAATGGGGTTGCCATGGAGGAGGGTTTAGGGAGGACAATCAGGAGCGTGGCTGTGGCCATGTCAGGTATATGGTGCTCAGTGCACAGTCACAGGGAATTGTGGACCGGGCCCCTGTGTGTGCAGGCTTGGAGGCAGGGGGAGGCCAGGGCTGGAGGCTAAACTCAGGGACTCAGCCATGTGACGGGATTGGAAGACATAACACAGGAAGGGGCCACCTGAGGAGTGTGTGCAGCTGGAGGTGTCTGAGGCCTGAGCCCTGAGCACGTCGGGGTTTTAGGATGAGAAGAGGAGGAACCAGCAAAGGAGGCCAGGGAGGATGGTCAGAGAGGTGGGAGCACAACTGAGAGCATCTTGGAAGCCAAGCAGAGGCAGTGTTTTCAGGAGGAAGGTGCGAATGACCATGTCAAGTGCTGGCTAGAGGACAGATATGAGTGGATTGGGCAACAAGGAGGTCAGGAGGTCACTGGAGACCTTGACCGAGGGCACTTTGGTGTGGTAGCAGAGTGAAAGCCTGGTAAGACTGGGGGCCAGAGAGGATGTCGGACCCCTCCTCCACCCTCTCAGCAGTTATTCCAAACTTTTCCTATGTCCCCAAGGATCCCCTCTCCCCACCCCTCCACTTGCTCTCTGGAATTTCATCTCACAGTTAATGGACAGAACAGAAGGCACAGATCAGAGCTCCTGCCTGCCTCTGCCAAACTTGCACGTCTCTTGGACTCACAGCCTCTGCCCTGCTTCCCCTCGGCCTCAGGAGAATGGGGGTCTCTGCTCCTGAAGGGCGCTGCCTCTGCCTGTGCCCACACCCCCATTTCATCTCATCTCCCCAGAAACCCCCTCCACCGAGAGCCCTCCTCTTCTGGGGTCCCCAGCCGCCTCCCCTTCCCTGGCACATCCTGCCATGAAACCTTATGCTGTCCCATCTCTTAAAATTTCCCTGGGAGCAAATTTCTCATTTCATCAAAGCTCTCAATTTCCTTACTCTGCCAACTTTCTTAAAATAGTCTATATGGGATCTCTTCGTGGGCTCATGGCCTCACCCTGGGGAGGGCGGTGGGGGTTGCAGGTGCTGCCCCTGAGCTCATTTCCCCCAAAGTGACACCTTTTCAGACAAGAGGTGCACAGAAAGCACCAAAAAGCAAGGCTAGGCTTAGAGATCTACTCCCTTGACAGTGAGTCTGGCTCTCCACTGCACCCTTCACTCACTGCAATCTAACTTTGTTTCCTGCGTCTTCATTGAAGACATCTAGAACAATGCTTCCTGCTTCCTTGCTTCCTCTTGCACTCCCACGGGGCATGGCCAGGGCTGGGCCACACTGCACCAAATAGAGGAGGCTGCATGAGATGGGAGGGTGTCTACCCGGGATGCCCCCACAGAGACCAGAACTGCCCGCCACGGTCACAGCCTAAACTGATCTGGCTGCAGCAGTTTGTAAAAATGCACGGGTTAAGGTGAGAGATTCTTAAGCAAGGCTGTCAATAGGGCAAAGGAGGTGGTGGCCTTTTTGGTGGTGCTGGTTGCATGGATGCAGGCGAACACCCAGGTTTAACAGACTCTTGCAGTACTAGAGTTTGCACCAAAGAAGGAAGCTGGGTGTCATCCCTGAACCAGGGGTGAGCCAGGGAGGAAGCAGCTGGGGTTGCAAGTCCAGAGCCCTGACCCTCAGCCTCATTACCCATACACCTCAAATTGAGGCCTCCTTCCCTGCTCAGCCTTCTCCCCTTCCCTGGAGGAGGCTGGGGCTGCACACAGCACACTGCACCCCGAGCTCCAGTCGGGAGAGAGGAGTTGAATATTCAGTATCTGGGGAGACAATAAAAGTCCCAGGAAGAACCTGGCTAAGGCAATTACCTCTGCATAAATGCATATATTATTCATCCGTGGCTTTGAATATATAAATAATACTGATACAATTTGCATGTGTTAAAAGGAGATGTAATTACCCACTGATGCCTGTGAGCGCCTGGTACCCACTGGCCACATCCCAGGCCTGCTGCCCCACCCCCAGTGGCCCACCTTTGCCCTTCTAGAGACAGAATACATCGCATATGGGTTTTCTGCAGTTGTAAGGAAGCCAATCTTGAATGTCCCTGGGGGTTTGGCTGGACGGTGCTTTTTCAAGAACCTGTGGGCTGCTTTGCTGCCCGACTCTGTTCTGGAAACTTTGGGCTATTTTAATATGATTATAATAATAGTTACTTTTAAAATCACATTTTTAGTTACAAAATAATGGATGGTTCTTGGATAAAATTTGGAAAATACGTAAGCTTGAAAATGAAAAAGAAAACTCATTCATTATCTCACCGCCCAGACAAAACCACAGTCCATGTTGTCTTATTTCCTGCCAGTCTTATTTTTCTATGCATAGATAAACTTCTTTTTACAAACTTTGGATTATATTATACATAATGTTTTCTAACCTGCTTTTATCTTTTATAATATGTCATAAATATATGAAGAAATAGAAAAGGCAAATAAATATGAAAAGACAATCTCACTAGTAATTAAGGAAAATACGAATTATAATAACAGTGAGACATAAATTTTCGGCTATCACATTGTTAAAGATTTAGAATAATGATAATCCCCACTGCTGGTATATGCATGCAGAAACAGGCTCTTCCAAACAATCATTGCTGGGAGGAGTGTAAATTGGAATTTTTTTTGAAGAATAATCCAGCAATATGTATCAGAAGGCTTAAAAATATGCATGCCTTTTGGCCTCCAAAATTCCACTCCTTAGCATTTAAATAATCACGAAGATAGGAGAAAATATAACAATGCGAATCACACTATTTTATCATAGCAAAAAATTAGAAACAACTCTAACAGGCCAGGGCTGGGAATTAGTGTAATAAGTTGTGATCTATCTACAAAGCAGAATCCTTGCAGCTAATTACAATGAACACACACACACACACACACACACACGCTCACACTATACAATGATGTGTAAAAAGGTGTTCCCAAAATACTACATTGGGACTTCTGGCTAAATAGGGTAAGTTGAAAAAATGTTTTTATTTCTGCTTCCCCCTGAAACCGCACTAAAATAAAAGGGATAAAAATGCATAAACCCACAAGGCAAAGTGAATGTGAGAGGAGATGAGAGACAGGAATTTGGGAGAAGTGGAGTGAGGATAATTAATTAGAGCAACTGATGAAGATGAGCATTGTGAGCCAGCAGAGGGGATGCTGGCAATGAACTCCACAGCACAGCACCCCAGGAAGAGGTAGGAGCTTGGAGCATCACCTACCAAGAAATATGAGGTTGAGGCATGGGGTCGAAGGAGGAGGATTTGTTTGGTCACTCATTCAACAATTGTAGGACATCTGCTGTGCTCCAGATTTCTGCTTTCATGGAGCTTACATTCTAGTTGGAGAGACAAATGAATAAGTGAAACATATAGGATGTTAGACAGTGGTGAGAACCCTGGAGAAAAATGAGGGAGGGAAAAAGACAGGAAATATTACATTGGAGGAGTGCAATTTTAGAGAGGCCAGGGAAGGACTCCATGGAAGGTGACAGATGAGTCAAGACGTGGAGGAAGAAAGGGAGTGAGCCATTCAGAAAGCTGAGTACAGACTGTTGCATCAGAGGGGACAGCAAGTGCAAAGGCCCTGAGACTGGAATGTGTCTGGCGTGTTTGAGGGACAGTAAGGAAGAAAATGTGGCTGGCGCCAAGTGAGTGAGGGGAAGGCCGGTGGGAGATGAGGTCAGGGAAGTAGCAGTGGGTCCTATTATGAAGAAATAGTATTTAAAGCCTGAGTGAATGAGATTACCAAGGGAAAGAGTGTGGACAGAAAAGAAAGCCATGGGGCAGGTGCAGTGGCTCACACCTGTGATCCCAGCACTTGGGGAGGCTGAGGTGGGAAGATTGTTTGAGCTGGGAATTTGAGATCAGCCTGAACAACATAGGGAGACCGCATCTCTACAAAAATTAGCCAGATGCAGTGGCACACACCTGTGGTCCCAGCTACTTGGGGGGCTGAGGTGGGAGGATCACTTGAGCCCAGGAGGTGGAGGCTGCAGTGAGCCATGTTCGCACCACAGCACTCCAGCAGGGGCAACAAAGCGAGACCTTGTCTGAAAGAGAAAGGAAGGAAGAAAGAAAAAAGAAAGAAATAAAGAAAGAGGGAAGGAAGGAAGGAAGGAAGGAAGGAAGGAGGGAAGGAAGGAAGGAAGGAAGGAAGGAAGGAAGGAAGGAAGGAAGGAGAGAGAAAGAAGATAAATAAAGAAAAGAAAAGAAAAGAAAAGACAAAAGAAAAGAAAAGAAAAGAAAAGAGAGAGAAACCAGGGACTGGGGCATGGCAACATTTAAAGTTCAGGGAGAGGAGGAGGACCCAGCAAAGGGTTCAGGGAGCAGCAGTCAAGAGAGGTACGAGGGAAACCAGGAGAGTGTCATGTCCTGGAGTTCAAGTAGAGAATGTGTCTCCAAAAGGAGAATGACCAGTTGGTGTGTATCCTCTTAGAGGTCAAGTAAGATGAGGTCTGGGAATTCAGACTTGGCAACATGGAAGTTGTCAGTGAACCTGAGGGACCGTTTCAAGGGAGGGGAAGTGAAGAATGAGTTCAAGAGAGGACAAGAGTAGAGGAATTGGAGCAAGGGTTTAGACCAGCCGTGTCCAGTATATACAGCTACCTACGTCATTTTTAAATTAATAGTAGCCACGTTTTAAAAATTAAAAGGAACAGGTGAGATTAATTTTATTAATATATTTTATTTAACCTAATGTATATAAAAATTATCATTTCCATATGTAATTGATATAAAATTATTAATGAGATAGTTTGCATTGTTTTTCATATGATGTCTTTGAAATGTGGTGTATATTTTACCCTTACAATGCACCTCGATTTTGCTGGCTACACTGCAAGTGCTCGAGAGCCACATGTAGCTAGGGGCTGCCATATTGGACAGAAGAAAGGTCTTCCAAAAAGTTTTGCTACAAATGGAAGGGAGACATGAGATCAGAAGGCGGGAGGTGGAGTAGGAGTGAGGCTTTTTGGATTTGGTTTTGTTTTGCTTTTATGAGAGAAATAATAGGGTGTTTATGTGTTGGATTTAGATGTTGGATTTAGACGAGAGTTTGTAGAAAGAGCTGTGAGATCTCCCACCCGCTCCCTGGCCTATTTTTCTAACCCACACAGCAACTGTCCCTCCCCTACCCAGCAAGGGAATAGATAGATATTATGTATATATTAGTTGCCAGAGGCTGGGAAAGTGGGGGTGGAAGGATGAAGAAAGGTTTATTAATGGGTACAAACCTGCAGTTAGAGAGAAGGAATATGTTCTAGTATTCAATAGCACAGTGGAATGACTATAGTTAACAGCCATATATGTCAAAATAGCTAGATTTGAAATGCTCCCAACACAAGGAAATAATACATGTTCAAGGTGATGGATATTCTAAACACCCTGACTTGATTATTACACCTTGTGTGCCGGAATCAAAATATCACATGTACCCCATAAATTGCAAATATTATGTATCAATAAAAATAAGTGAATAAAAAAAGCCAGCAGCTATCAACTCCAAGTTGCATAAGAAAGGAAATATTAATATAGTACACTACATGGCTCAGCAGTGAAGCTAAATACTGGTTGTGAGACTCTAAGGAGACTCTAACCCCACTGAACCCATCCAGATTTCTAACTTACAGAACTGTGAGCTAATAAATGGGTGTTGTTTTAAGCCACTAAATTTGTGGTAATTTGTTACAAAGCAATAGAAAAGCAATACAGCTAACAACAATAAGCATTGATTTGATTAATGAATTTTCAGATCAGCTGGATGGTTCTTGTAGTCTTAGCTGGGCTCACTCATGTGTCTCAGGTCAGCTGCAGATTGGATAGGCAGATCTGCTGATCTGGGCTGGGGTCTGTCACATGTTTTGGGGTCAGCTGGCTATAGGATGATCTGGATGGCTTCAACTGGAACAACTTGGTTCTGCTTCACATGGTCTCTCAGCCTGTAGCAGGCTAGCCCATATTTGTTTATATGACAGCAGGACAGGGGTCCAAGGCAGTGGGAGCTGCTGGGCCTCTTGATCAACTGGCACAGGATTGCTTTTGCTGCATCGTATTAGCCAAAGTAAGTCAAAAGTCTGTCCAGATTCAAGGGGTGGGAAATAGACTTGATCTCTTGAAAGGGATTTCTGCAAAGTTGCATTGCAATGGGTGTACCTACAGGAAGGTACAAAAAATGGGGTTACAATCTCCCTTGCTTTCTCATCCCTGAAAACCCCTACTTTTCACCCAAAGTCATCCCACAAATCTATCCTCTGCCCCTCATCCTTCCTGTAATCAATTCACTGATGCCCATGTCACTCCTTGGTTATTGATTTTAGCTCCTGGCTTGTTATTTCTCTCTTCAACACTACTACTGTTTTATTCTGATGATTTCAATATGCCTGGAGATGATCCTTATGACATCCCGGGCTCTCAGTGCCCAAGTTCCTTTCCTCCATGATCTCCATCCTATCTGGGCCCCTCCCTCCCATGGTCATCCTCTAGACTTTGTTATTACCAGTAGTCCCTCCATCCTTTCCATCTTATTCACCCTCCTCCCTGAACACCACCTTCTGTGCTTCCAACTCATTCCTTCTAGTGCCTCATCCCTAGCTATCCTTTGACCCCCTAGAGACCTACAATCATTGATGACATCTTCTCACTGTCCTTACCTTCTTTCCTCCTGTGTTAGGCTGTTCTTGCATTGCTATAAAGAAATACCTGAGACTGGGTAATTTATAAGAAAATATGCTTATTTGGCTCATTGTTCTGCAGGCTGTACAGGAAGCATAGCAGCACCTGCTTCTGGGGAGGCATCAGGAAACTTCCAATCATAGAGGAAGGCAAAGGGGGAGCAGGCACAAGATACCGCAAGAAGAAGAGCAAGAGAGAGAGAGTTGGGGTGGGGGTGGCACACAGTTTTAAATGACCAGATCTCACAAGAATTTACTCACTGTGATGAAGACAGCACCAAACCATGAGGGATCTGCCCCCATGTTCCAAACACCTCCCACCAGGCCTCACCTTCAGCATTGGGGATTGCAATTCAGCATGAGATTTGGGTGAGTAAAATATCCAAACTATATCACCTTCTGACCCAGCTTCAAATTCACAGCCACACATTAAGATCTCTCCTAGTCTTCTTTCTCGCCTCCCTCATCCCTCTCTCACTTTGTCATATACATTTGGCAAGACCACAATCCGAGTGCAATCCAATTCCTTCTCAGCTGCCAATCAGCTGAATGTGACTGAAGAAAAACACACAACCACCATCACTGCTCTTGCTTTAAAATAACACCAGGAAACTCAATGGGCCTTGATGTGGCCCAGCCATTGTAATCTACTTCCCTAGTCCATTCTCTCTCCCACCTCCTAGACTCTTTCAAAACTTCCTCTTTCCTCATTCCTTTAACACCTCCTCCACCATCCTCTCTCTCTCTCTCAGATCCACCACCACTTCCATCCACCCACCAGCATGTGCACCCATACATCCTCTGGCTTCTTTCCCATGCCCGTAAACCAAATCAACAAAGTCAACCCTCCACTTGAGCACTGGATAGATTCTTCCCTTCTTGCCTACTCAAGGGCATTGCCCAGAAGTTCTCTCCCCTCTCCTACATCACCAAATTTTCCTCCCAATAGATCATTCCTCTTGTCCTGTGAACATGCCAGTACATGTCCCATGTTCATAGGACAAACAGCCGCTTTTGATTACATCTCCCTCATCAGCTACTGCCCTATTTCTCAACGCCCTTTGGCAGCAAAATCCTGCAAGTGTTATCTATGCCCATTTTCTCCATTTTTCTTCCTTTCATTCTTTTTTAAACCCATCATTCCTTGGAAGCCATTCATATCCAAGCTACCAGTGACCTCCATGTTGCTAATTCTGGGGGATCACTTTTTCATCCTCACATTCCCTGAACTCTCAGCAGCATTGGGCACCGTTGCTCATTCTCTTGGAAACACATTCTTCACTTTCTTCACCTTCCTCACCCTTCTGGCTTTCCTCTCACCTCACAGATGCTCTCCTGTTTTGTTGGGAGATCCTCCTAACTGCTCTGTGCTGCCAGTCCTGTTCTCCTCTCACTCCCTTCTACTCTTGCATCCACAATGATCTCCCTGATATGGTTTGGCTCTGTGTCCCCACCCAAATCTCATGTTGAATTGTAATCTCCAGTGTTGGGGAAAGGACCTGGTGGGAGGTGATCGGATCATGAAAGCAGATTTCCCCTTTGGTATTCTCATGATAGTGAGGAAGTTCTCACGAGATCTGGCTATTTAAAATGTGTAACAATTCCCCCTTTGCTCTCTGTCCTGCTGGCCGTGTGAAGATGTGCTTGCTTCTTCAACTTCCACCATGATTGCAAGTTTCCTGAGGCCTCTCCAGTCATGCTTCCTGTACAGCCTGTGGAACGGTGAGCCAATTAAATCTCTTTTCTTTATAAATTACCCAGTCACAGGTAGTTCTTAATAGCAATGTGAGAACAAACTAATACACTCCCCAAAGCTCAAATCTCATTGCTATAGATATCAGCAAGAATAGGCTTTTTGAAATCTGTGTGTGGAACGCTTCTATCACCTTATTGTTGTGCCATCACATGAAAAAGTTTCAGAAGACATGGGCTGGAAAATTTCTTCAGTATTTTTGCAGGGTGAGGCTGGGAGTATAGACTTTACAGGCTTTTTCTCATCTATGAAAGCAAATCAGCTGCTCTCATGCTAGACAAGACAAGCACAAAATTCTTATGACACAAGATCTTTCCCTCATAACTCTACAGATTTTGCTTCATTGCTATCTTGTGTTTAGTGTGTGTTGGACAAGTCTGAGCAAATCTAATTTTGGCTCATCAGAGGCAACTTGTTTTTTGTCTGCCTATATTTCTATAAGGTCTTATTCTTATAATAAAAACATCAAACAGAACATGTCTATGTGTGTATTTCTAATAACTAATTTGAATATTTTAATCCATGGGTTTACTAATTTCTTCATTTTTGAAAATTTTCTTCTATAGTATCTTTATTACTTCTGGTTTTCTTCTCTCTTATTCAACAATATCAATTAATTCAACAATATCTATTAGTTAACTATTGGTTATCAATTAATTGAGTCTCTTCTCTGTCACTCTGTCATTTATATCAATCACTTTTTAGAAAAACTGGTTTTCCTTCCTTGACTTTCAGAAGAGCTTTTCAAGTTTTCCTTCACAACACAGATTCAGTTTATTACAGGGTTGATTTTTTTTTATTAATGTTTCTAATTCTGGTTTTAACTGTAATTTAGTTTTTCTCTTGTTTCACAATATTTCTAGACCTGATGCTATTCTATTTTCATTTCTGCTGACCTCATTGCTACATTCCTTTTCAACTCAATCTTTGGCCTTATTATCTTCTGTTTTCATAATGTTCGTGTTTTCCTGACTCTTACTGAGAGAACAAAGCAAATGCTTTTTAATTCACTTTTGCTTCCTATGGCAAAATTTCCCTAAAAATCTGTGTTTCCTCTAGTTTTCACATTTCACAATGCAGAATCTCTTGATAACCCAGTGCTGTTACCTCCTTCCTCAAGGAGGTGCCTGTGAACTAACTCCAGGCATCGTTCTGATGGTTTCTTTCTTAATTTTATGATTTTCGTGGATTTTGTGACTTGAAGAGGAACCTCTTTGTTGAGCAACCAGGTCATGAGGACAATGCATTCTTGATTTCTGTGAATGCTGTACCTATTTCCATGCAGGAAATAATTAATGGACAATTACTATCTGCAGAATGCAACTCCTCTCCTCCTCTGCCGTTCTGTCTGGTCCAGTTTCCTCTGGATCCTCTCAATCCCAGGTGGGTGGAACCCAGCAGCACTTCTCTTCTGGGAACTATAGTTCAAGGAGGCTTAAATTCTGGGATGAGAGAATGATTTAGGGAGTGGGGAGTGGTGAGGGGGACTCAAATCTGCTGCCCTAAAATGTCTCTGTAGAGCAGGGAGTTGCTTCCTTCTCCGTCATTGAAGTGGGGCTCAGAAGAACAGACCAGTGAAGTAAATCCCCTGCCATCTTTTTCTTGTCTGTCCTCTTCGTTCGGCTCAGGGTTTTATCCTTGCCTTGGCTACTGGAAATCTTTCCCATGGGCTGGCGGGTCTTTGAATCAGAGCCCTGGTCCCAACTGCTTGGTGATGCCTGCCTTTCTTTTTGTATGTGTGTGTGTGTTGGAGTTGGAATGGTAGGAGAGTGTAGAGCATATCTAGAAAGACTTTTAGTGCATTTTACAAACTGGCATCGTTCCTATTATGTTCTAGGTGCTCTCAAATCTATTCCATCATTTTATCCACAATAATGTGCTAGGTAAGTACTAATATTAGCCCATCTCACAGATGAAGACACCCAGCCAACAGGTGACAGAGCTGGGATTCAAGGGCAGGTGCAGAGAGCTAAATGCCCATGCTCTCCTGCTCTCTTTTTCTTAAATTGAGGTGAAATTCACATAACATAAAATCAACTATTCAAAAGTATAATCCAATGGCATTTAGTACATTTACAATGTTGTGCAGCTATTGCCTTTATCTAGCTTCCGAACATTTTATCACCCCAAAATAAAACCACCAGTCCACTGAGCAGTCACTCCACTCGTGCCCTTAATCACACCTTCTCAGCCATATTGGAAACTCCATCTTTGCTGGCCACCCTGCTGCCATTAGCGTGGGGTAGGTGAACCCTGTCACCCCCAAACCTGCCTCAGGCCCATCCCTGATACTGCCCCAGCAGCCTTGCCCCTCCTCATGCCCAGGGTCTGAGCCCAGTTTCTGCCCTGACCTGAGGATCCCATGAGTATCTTCTTACTCCTCCTTGCCCAGCTGCCTGCAGGAGCTCTTGGGGCTTCAGGGCCATAAAGAAGGAAGTTGGGTCCTTCCATGCCTCCTGGGCATGGGGCAGGGGGAAGACTTCCTCTCTTTTGGGAGGAAGAAACAGGAATGTACCAGGCAATGGCCAGGGCACTCACACACAGTCATCTTCCTTAATCCTTTCAGCAGCCCCTGGGCTCAACATTACCAACTCTTGGGTAAAAATGAGGAGTTGAGGCTCCCCAAATCCACGTAACTTGGAGCTCAGAGGCCACTTTCCCCAGTCCCTGTCCTACTCTGCCCAGCATCACTCCCTCCAACCTCCCTACGAGCTGTGGCCCTGGTCCTGCACAGCCCCTCCAGGAGACAATGTCTGGGGGACATCTCTGAGTCCCACCAGGTCCCCCCATTACCCAGAGCTTCTCAGGCTCAGTGGTTGCGAGTGATTCATTGAGTCTTATGCATAGGGCTTAACACAAGGAGCCAGAGGAATTTCAGTTAAAGTCCATCTTCTTTGAACACATATACTTGGCAGGAATCCACGTGTCCCGTCAGAACCCTTTGTCCCCATAGAGAGAAGCTTCTGGAGCCAAAACATTTTCAGTCTGACCTTACCACAGCCAGAGAGAAACCTTGTCTGACAACCCCCTAGACAGGTCACCTGCTCATGTCTAGATTTAGTCCATGTTAATGGACACATGGCGGCCTGAAATTAATGATGAGGTGCCCCAAAGACCTCTCCCATTAGCCGGCTTTGGTGGCGGCATGGCTGGCGGGCTTTTCTTCGCCCTTCCCTTCCTAGCTGTTAGCTGGTCTAGATCCCAGCTTGTGCAGGGTCAGCTATAACCCGGTCAATGAGACTGCAGGTTAAGAAAAGAGAGCATCTCTGCAGGCTTTCTGGCGCTTACAGCACAGGTGCTTGGCACATGGCGAGCCCCCCAGGGTACTGGCATCACTGTGCATGCCCCATGCCATGGACACGGCTGGCAAGTGGTTAAGGGTGGGGCTCAGGTCCAGCCAGGAGACCTGGCTTGATGCCTGCCCAGCCTCTCTTCAGCTATGTCATCCTGGGCACACTACCTCATATCTCTCAGTTCTGTTTAGAGTGCCGTGCTTTTCAGAGTTGCGAAGGTAAACATGAGATAGCATGTGAATGCTTGACAGAGTGCCTGGCTCCTAGTAAACATCAGTCAATGCCAGCTGTATTTATTTAGGTTAGGCCAGCATTGCAGGCATTATTCACTATTATTATTATTATTATTAATTGTGGAACTCTATGCATGTTGTCTATGGGGACTGCAGAGTATTCATATTTACAAAACTGTAGTATTGCATATCTACAGGTTTATGTTCTTAGAGTTCAGGCTTCTGTCTACATGCACTTGCCCCTCTCTCCCTCCCTCACTAAGTCCCCAACTCACCTCCGGACACCTTCTCCAGGATAGAGGCAAATCAGGGAAGGTGCTGCCTTGGTCTAGCAAGGTCACTCTATGTCCTTGTGTGTCTGTGTCTCAGTGTGCGTGTGAACTGGTGCACGGCTGTGGGTGTCTGTAGTGATGACTCCACACGTCTGTACGCTTGTGCATGAGTGTGTCTACATGTGCATTAGTCAGCTTGGGCTGTTATAACAAAATACCACAGGCTGGGTGGGCAAACAACAGATACTTATTTTCCTCACAGTTTTGGAGGCTAGAGTTCATGATCAAGGTGCCAGCAAATTCAGTTTTTGGTGAGGGCTCTCTACCTGTCTTACAGATGGCCACCTTCTCACTGCGTCCTCACAAGGCCTTTTCTCTGGGCACAGGCAGGGAGAGCAAGAGAAGGAAGGGGAATGGGAAAAGAGGAGAGGGAGAGCGAGAGATTGGGCGCCTCTTCCTCTTTTTATAGGGGCAACACTCCTTTCAGATCAGGGCCCCACCCCTATGACTTCATTTAACCTTAATTACCTCCCTAAAGGCCCAATCTCTAAATACAGTCACAGTGGGAGTTAGAGCCTCAAAATATGGATTTTGAGGGGACACAATTCAATCCATCACAGTGTGGGATTCTGCATCTGGTGAACGTGGATATGTCTGTCCAGGTTAAGGCCCGCGTGTCCGTCCACACATGTGTCTGCGTCTCTGCGAGCAGCTGGGCTGGGAGGGAGGCTGGTGAGGAGCCGCACCTGCCAATCACCCCCTCCCCCCTGAGGTGGAGCGAGGCAGGCCGGGGCGCCAACAGAATCAAGCGTGGGCTCCTCTCTGCCGATCAAGATCTATAAATAAAGTTGTCTCTCTGGCATGTTCCACACCACACGCAGCTCTTTAATAAAATTGGCTGAGATTTGTGGATAAGCCTGAAGCAAAGTCAATGCTCGGTGTCAATCCCACGCTAAGAGGGGCCTTCGGGGTCAAGCTGCTTCCTGGATATGATTCCATATCAAAGATGTGTCAGCCGGGTGCTAACCAGCTCTTGCTGTTCAGGGAGACGCCCAGCGCTGGCTGGGTTCGCAGTGGAGTCCCCGGGCCAGGGTGCCAGGGTGGGAAATGGAGAGGGGATTGAGGGGGACACAGCCAAAGCCAGCTTCTCTGTGGGACTCAGCCACTCCTGAGGCTTGGGGACTCACAGGTCTTCCCTGTCTGAGAAGCAGGGAGGATGGGAGGTCACAGCTTCGCTTTGCTACTCTTCAAAGCCTCCATCTTTCAGGTCTGGAGGGGGCATCTGTTGAGGGGATGCAGCCAGTGTCTTCCCAGGTCTCCTCTACTCCCCAGAGGCTGCAGGGAGCCTCTCCCCAAAGCCACACACAGAGAGTCTGCCGACGGCAGGTGGGGGTCACCTGGCTTCCCCAAGCTCCCAGCTGGTAGCTGGAGTGACCAGCGTGTGTGGAGGCCCTTGGAGGATCCTGTCCAGCCCCAGGCCACTTGGGGAGGATGAACATCTAATAGGCATGCTGGCCACACTCGATGAGGCAGAAAAAAGGGGAAATCAAAAGAAGTTTGGTTTAATTAAGTATCAGGGAAGATTTATGCAACTTCCTCTCCCTGTCATAAATATTAATGAGGGCAGCCGGCAGCCGGCTCCTGCAGCATCCACCACCCGGCTGGAGGGAATGAGGACGGTTTGGGGCTGGGGAGGGCAGCGGTTGCCCCTCAACACACACACATACACACCACACACACACACACACAGACACACACACACCACACAGACACACACACACTGCACACCATACACACACACACAACACACAGACACACACACCACACACACCATAAACACACACAACACACAGACACACACACCACACACAAATACACACACCACACACACAGACACACACATTACACACAAAGACACAGACACGCACCACACAGACACACATACCACACACACAGACACACACCACACACACCAACACAGACACCACACACACACACATACACAGACACACACACACAAAACACACACACAGACACAGACACACTGACACACGCCACACACACAGACACAGACACACACTACACACACAGACACACCATGCACACACACCACAGACACATACATAGATGCACACACAGACACACACACAGACACATACCACACACACATACACAGACACACACCATATACACAGACACACACACCACACACATACCACATATACCACACACAGACACATACATAGATGCACAGACACATACCACAGACATACACAGATACACACCACACACACATCACACACAACCACATATACCACACACACCCCACACACAGATACATACATAGATGCACACAGACACACACATACACCACAGACACACACCACACACACTGACACACACACCACAGACACACACACTCACACACACAGACACAAACACACACAGACACACTCACACCACACAGACACACCCCATCACACATACACAACACACTCACACCCACATCCCACACACAGACACACACACACACACACACATTGGGTGCTGCAGTGCCTACCTGGGGCAGCCAGTGGGTTGAAAGTCCCCTGCCAAGCCCTCAGCCACTGGGCCAGGAGGTCTGAGAGAGTGGCTGGCCCCTTCCTGCCCGCTGGCCAGGCTGGGGTGTGGGCAGGGCGCCTCTCGGCAGCCTTGGCCTTTCCTCTCTGGTGACTGACTGAACCCCAGGCTGAGGGGAGGCAGGAGCGTGACAGTGAGTGGCAGGGGTAGGGTCTGTGTGTGCTGTGGGGGTAGGGACCAAGGGGAGGCACTCCTGATCTGGGTTAGGGTGCCTGGGAGTGGAGTCGGGGGTCATGTGTGTGAGTGTGAACAAGGCCTAGGGTGAGAAGGTGGAATGGGGAGTCCCATGAAGGGCTGCATTAGGATGGCTTCCTGAGGACACAGGTGTGGGGACAAGAGGAAGGAAGGCCAAGCAGGGCTGCCATGTTAGCAAAGTCCCATGGAGGTCACTGTATTAGGCGGGGTTCTCCAGAGAAACAGAACCAACAGGATGTGTGTGTGTGTGTGTGTGTGCGCGCATGTGTGTGTGTGTCTGTGTGTGGGTGTGTGTCTAAAAGGAGGTTTATTTTAAGAAATTGGCTCACACAACTATGGAGGCTAAGAAGTCCCAATATCTACTGTCAGCAAGCTGGAGGCCCAGGATGGCTGGTGGTGTAAGTTGCAGTCTGAAAGCTAGCAGGCACCAGACCCAGGACTTGCCGATGTCTCCATCCATGTCTGAAGGCAGGAAAAAAGTGACATTCCAGCTCCAGCAGTCAGGCAGGAAACATTCCCCCTTCCTCGAGGAAGGGTCCACCCTTTTCTTTAACTCAGGTTTTCACCTGATTGGATGTGGCCCACTCTCACAAGGGAAGCTATCAGTCTCCTTCCGTCTACACATTCAAATGTCACTCTCACCCAGAACAATCCACACACCCAGACTAACATTTGACCAAATGTCTGGGCACCCAGTGGCCCAGTCAAGTTAGCACATTAGTGTATGCATCACAGTCACCTTGGCTCCATCCAGCAGGGGCGCTCTTGAGCCCAAGGCCCTGACTCCGCACAACTGAGGAACCACGGTTCTTGCTGCGTTCTATTGGCCAAAACAAGTCACAGGCAGCCTGAATGCAAAAGGCAGGGGAATGTAGCACCTCCTGGTGAGGGGAGCTGCAGAGCCACATAGCAGGGAGCTGGGAGGAACTGGGGGCATTTTTGCAATCTCCCTATCATGCCCTCTACATTTCCACCCTGGCCTGAGGGCTTTACCCAGAAGGTCTCAGTCCAGCAGACAGTGACCAAACACCAACATTCAGTGCCTTGCCTTCCCTGCATCACTCTATTCCAAGCTCCCCCAGTCCAGTTGCCCTCTCCCTTCCAGCCTCGCCCTGCCACCACCTATTCCCATTCCTGCTCCACCTCAGTGAACTTCTGTGAGCTGCCACGGCAGGGATCTGTGGGAGTTGATAAATATGTGGCAATGTCTGGTGCTGGACCCAGCCAGGACAGGAAAGTCAATCTCTCCCTCCCACGGCCCACAGCCACAACCCACAGCAGTCAGGCAACCCCCAAGGGATTGCAGCTTCTTTGCCAGATGGACTGAGTATTTGCCTCAGGGGTGGGTGAAAGACCCCTGCTGATTCACCTGCTGAATGTGCTGTGGTACTGTCAGCCAGAGTGGGGACAGACACTACCTTGACCCACCCCAGGTGTGCACCTGTCCCCGACTCTTGCTGGTGTGCCAAGCAAGGTTGGGGAGTAGGCAGCCAAGAACCTGTCCCTGAGAAGCCAGAAGGCGAGACTGTGTGTGAGCCCAGGTGTCAGACTCCTAGCTCCATTATCCTATCAGACTTCACTTACAAAACACAGATGCAAAGGTCAAATGATTAAGAAGTTCAAAACAGCAGCTTCAGAACAGTGTCTTTTCTTTTTTTTTTTTTTTTTTTTTTTTTTTTTTGAGATGGAGTTTCCTTCTTGTCACCCAGACTGGAGTGCAATGGCACAATCTCAGCTCACTGTAACTTCTGACTCCCAGGTTCAAGCAATTCTCCTGTCTCAGCCTCCTGAGTAGCTGGGATTACAGGTGCCTGCTACCATGCTTGGCTAATTTTTGTATTTTTGGAAGAGATGAGGTTTCACTATGTTGGCCAGGCTGGTCTTGAACTCCTGACCTCACGTGATCTGCCAGCCTTGGCCTCCCAAAATGCTGAGATTACAAGTGTGAGCCACTGTGCCCAGCCCAGAGCAGTATCTTCTAAGCCATAGATTCAAGAAGCAGCTTGGCTTAGCTGGATGTTTCTCCCTTTGGGGATATTTTGGGGTTTGAGAAGAAGGAGGAGCTTTTTCCTCATATAGCTACTGTACCTAAAGATGGGGGGGGGGGGGATGGAAAGTGTTGTAGTATTTACCATTAATTGGTAAGTAATAAAATAATTTTTAAAACATTACTTCATATTAAACAATTTATATGTGTGTATTTAAATAAAGAGATAGATGAAATAAAATGCAAAATTTGCATGACCTTTTAGAAACAAATAATAAATATTTCTTTGCTTGTAATAAGCCACTTTAGACTGCGTCCCCAGATCTTTCAGGGAATATTTTCTATTTTCTCAGGGTTGAGGGCAACTCGTGTGGAAATGTTTGGCCTTAGTTCCAGTTCCTGCTCAGTCACTTCTTGGAAAAGACACTCCCCTCTCTGAACCTCACTGTTTTCATCTCTGGAATGAAATCTCTAAATTCCATTGCAGCTCACATTGTAAGATTGTACAGTAACTTTGCTTCATTTCTCTGGGTATCCTTCTTGTCTGCTACCATGCCTGGCACATGGCAAGTGCTCAATCCACCACTGTTGGGTAAAATTCAGATGAGATTTGGCTAATATGTCTGTAGAATAAATCCCTAACAGTGAAATTGCTAGATCAAAGGGCTTGTGCACTTTTAATGTTGAAAGATTTTGCCCAATTTTCTCCAACAAATGTTTTATGCATTGATATATTTTTCACACCTGTGTCAACACTGTGTGTTAACAAGGTTTTGATGTTTGATGGAATAATCAATGAGAAGGGGTATTTTGCCATAGGTTTTCATTTCTGCTATTTTGAGCTAGGCTGAGCATCTTTTCATTTGCTTAAGAGCCATTTGAGTTTGTGTTCTTAGAAAGCTGTCTCTTCAAGCCCTTAGCTCTTCTAGTGGGTCATTGTTTTTTATTTATTTTTAAACCTATTGTAGGCATTCTTTGTATTAAAGAAATCAGTCATTTATCAATCTGTTTGTTGCAAACACCTTCCCTAGTGTGTTATTTGTCTTGTCACTCTATTTTATTCTTGCACATTAAACTTTTTTTCTCATTTGAATTCATCTCTTTTATGGCTTCTGGGTCTTGTGTCTTATTTCAAAAGCCCTCTCTTATGACAAGATTGTTATTTTTAAATCTCTATTGTTATAGTACTTTTTATGTTTTTAAACTTTATATTTAAATGTTTCAGCTGTGTGGAATGGCTTTGATGTAAGGCGTGAGGTAGGGATCTGATGGCTTTTTTTCCAGATGGTTTCCTGTTATGCCAATACCATTTATTAAATACTCCATGTTTTCCCTTTGATAAGAAATACTACAAGAAAAAAACAAACAACCCCATTAAGAAGTGGGTAAAGGACATGAACAGACACTTCTCAAAAGAAGACATTCATGTAGCCAACAAACATGAAAAAACGCTCAGTATTACTGATCATTATAGAAATGCAAATCAAAACCACCATGAGATACCATCTCATACCAGTCAGAATGGTGATTATTAAAAAGTCAAGAAACAACAGATGCTGGCGAGGTTGTGGAGAAAAAGGAATGCTCTTACACTACTGGTGGGAGTGTAAATTAGTTCAAACATTGTGAAAAACAGCGTAGTTATTCCTCAAAGATCTAGAAGTATAAATACCATTTGACTCAGCAATCCCATTACTGGATATATACCCAAAGGAATATAAATCATTCTATTATAAAGATACATGCACACATATGTTCATTGCAGCACTATTCACAATAGCAAAGATGTGGAATCAACCCAAATACCCATCAATGTTAGACTGGATAAAGAGAATGTGGTACATATACACCCTGGAATACTATGGTATTCCATTAAAAAGCCTTAAAAAGGAATGAGATCATGTCATTTGCAGGGACATAGCTGGAGCTGGAAGCCATTATCCTCAGCAAACTAATGCAGGAAGAGAAAACCAAACACTGAATGTTCTCACTTATAAGTGGGAGCTGAATAATGAGAACACATGGACACATGGTGAAGAACATCACACACTGGGGCCTGTTGGAGGTGTGTGTGGCACGGGGAGAGCATCAGGAAGGCTAGTTAATGGATGCAGGGTGATGAGTTGATTTGTGCAGCAAACCACCATGCACACATTTACCCATATAACAAAGCTGCACATCCTGGACATGTACCTAGAACTTAAAATAAAATTGAAAGGAAAAAAAGAAAAAAAGAGAAAGAAATACTACCTTTATCATACATTACATTCTCATTTCTTACTGGATACATTTCTGTGCTCCATTTGATCAACTGGCCAGTCTTTCTACTCTTATATCACAATCACAACATTTTAATTACTGAACTTCAGTGATTTGTCATAATATATGGTAGAGCTATTTCTTCCTCATTGCTCTTTTTTTTTCCAGAATGTTGCTGGCTATTCTTGTGTATATTTGGTTTTCCAGATAAGCTTTATAATTGGCTTGTCTATTTAAAAAATTCTGTTGGCCTATTTATTGTGATCTTACTAAATGTATATATTAATTTAGGAAGATTTGATCTCTCTTAACATTTTAATCTTCAAATTGAAAAAAATCTATCATTTGCTACTTAGAAGAAAACACCAAGAAAAACATAACAGATAAAAAAATGATGAGCAAAATTTTTCAAGCAAATGCAAGGGAAACGAAAGCAAAAGTAGTAATATTACTTCATCTTATATTGATCAAAGTGATCATCCATAATGAATACAAACAGATATTAACTTTTATGCAATTACTAATACCATATATCTCTATATAAAGCAAAATTGGGAACATAAGGAATGAACAGAAATAATTGCTGGGGGAGACTTTTAGGAGCACTATTTGATTCCTCCATATACCAAGTAGACAACCCGTAAAATGTAGAATTAATCTTTAGTCATTTAAAAAATATGACCAAATTAACAGAAACACTTAATTTGTACCTTAATAATAAAAAACCTGTATTTTAAATATTCTTAGAAAATTTATAAAAATTGTTTATATAGCAGCTGTATTAGTCCATTCTCACACTGCTGTAAAGACACTACCTGAGACTGGTAATTTATGAAGAAAAAACGTCTAATTGGCTCACAGTTCCACATGGCTAGGAAGCCTCAGGAAACTTACAAACATGGCAGAAGGCAAAGGAGAAGCAAGTACCTTCTTCACAAGGCGGCAGGAGAGAGTGTGAACGAATGAGGAAGTGCCACACTTAAAACCATCAGCTCTCAGGAAAACTCACTCACTGTCATGAGAACAGCATGGGAGAAACCGCCTTCATGATCCAATCACCTCCCACCAGGTCCCTCCCTAGACATGGGGGGATTACAATTCAAGATGAGATTTGGGTGGGGACACAGAGCCAAATCTTATCAGCAGCCCACACATTTAAAAAGCTAAAATTTCTAAGTCTCTTTCTCTGAACACAGTTAGTAAAACTAAAGGTTAACTGAGTCCTCTAGAGAAACCAAAAATCCAGCTATGTCACAACAGAAAGCTCTTTGTAAAAACAAAAACAGGCAAACCTCTGACAAATCAAAAAATATCAGACAGAATATTAATATATCAAGATACAATTGAGAAATTAGATAAAACAATAGCTAAAGAAGTGATTTTAAAAAATTACATTATAAGGGATTGTTATGGGAATCTCTGTACTTATATGTTAAAATTTCAATAAAAGATACTTCTCTGGGACAATATAAATTACCAAATTGACTCAACGTTTAAGTTTAAAAAAAAACTAAATGGACTAATAATAATGAAAAAAAATTTTAAAGTTATAAAAACCTACCCCCTAAAGAAAGATTGAACCAACCATTAAGAGTATAAAAGTAAAAGTTAATAAGGCAATGTAGCATAAGCTACAAAATAGACAAATGATATAAAATGAAGACCCCAGAAATCAATCTCCTGCATTTAAAAAAGTATGGTATATTACAGAGTCAGGATTGCAAACCATCAAGGAAAGAATGGATTAGAACAACTGGTTATCCACATGAAAAATATATATCCTTATCTTATACCATAAACAATTATAATATGCTGTTTATGGATGAATTAAAGATATAAATGTGAAAAGCAAAACATTAAAACAGTTGGAAAAAAATTTAGGCAAGTTACTTGACAAACACAGAGTAGGAAAATCTTCCTAAATAAGACCAAAAAGCACAAAGTATAAGTGAAACAATTGATAATCTTAATTATATTAAGCTTGAGACCTTCTGTTTATCTAGAGAGTAAAAATATCTGGCACACATATTCAGAGAAGATATTTGTCTCAGTATATAGCAATAAATTAGATTTAGAATATCCTACAAAGTAAGAAGAAAAGGCAATTCACCTAATAAAAAATGGACAAAGTATATGAATAACAAATTATTCAGAGATGAGGAAACCCAAGTGGCAAATGAACTTGTGGAAAGATGTTTAATGTCATTAGTACTAGAAAATACAAATTAAAACAACGAGAAACCATTTCAAATATCCATCAGATTGACAAAATTGAGAAATCTAACAGTACCAAGCATAGATGGGAGTGTTGAGAAATGGAAACTCTTGTACACGGCTGGTAAGAATAAAATAGTTATAATCACCTTGGAGAGCAACTAGAATAGCTAATAAACCTGAAGATGCTCACATCCAACTAAGCAGTTCTACTTTGAGGCATGTGCCTTAGAGTATTGTTTGGCAAACTGGTGTCATGATCCGTTAAAAAGTCATGAACTCGATTTGGAGAGTAGAAACCAGTATTAAAATAAATAGAACAGAATGGAAATTATCAGATTGCATCACTTATAAGGATAAACATTATTTTATAAAACTTTTGCTTTAATAATACACATATGTGCCTTGCATTGTGTTATAAAATAACTTGTGATTATTAGTTGAAGTTTTAAAATTTTTGAAAGTCACTGCCCAAAGAAATTCAGATACGATTTCTAAAGGAACATGTAAAAGGGTGGCTTTTTGTTTTGTTTTGGTTTTGGTTTTGTGTGTGTGTGTGGTGTTTTTTGTTTGTTTGTTTGTTTTGGGACAGAGTCTTGCTCTGTTGCCCAGGCAGGAGTATAGCACAGTGATCTCGGCTCACTGCAGCCTTGACCTCCCAGGCTCTTCCCACTTTAGCCCCCTGAGTATTTGTAGAGATGGGGTTTCCCTATGTTGCCTAGGCTGGTCTCGAACTCCTGGGCTCAAGAGATCCTCCTGCATTGGTCTCCCAAAAGTGCTGGGATTACAGGTGTGAGCCACCGTGCTGGGCCAAAGGTGTTTATTGGAACATTGCTGTAATTGCAGAAAAAAGGGAGAAACAATAGAAGCCCATCAAATAGGACATTATATTATAGGACGATATCTTTAGCAAGATACCATTTATGTAAAATTTTAAAACAGGTAAAACAACACTATATATTTTTATGTATATGTATCTTATGTAGTAAAAGTTTTCTAACTTGGAGGAAATAATATACTTGGGGTCCAGATCATGGTTATCTCTGGGGAGAGAGGAAGAGGGATAGGGCCATGGAAAAATTCAGGATATTCAACTATCTGTAATGTCTTATTTCATTTTTAAAAGATTTGAAAGAAAAACAAAGAATAAAATCGAACAAATTCAAACCCCTCACCAAAGCAAGGCAGACATTTAAAAGCTGGATTTATTGGTGAGTTCTTTTAATCTTGTGAGCAAAAAATAATAATTCCCATGGGTATAATAAATTGTTCCAGAACACAGGAAAAAGGTGCAAAGTTATCTAGTGCATCAGTCAGCTATTGCCACAATACTACTACATAACAAATCACCTCCAAACTACATGATTTAAAATAACAATCATTTATCCTTGCTCACACACCTGTAGGTCATTTTAGTATTGGCTTATCTCATCTTGGCTTGGCTGGACTTGTGTCCAAGCTGAAGGTAAGATCCACGTATACTTCATGTTTATCTCATCTTTTGGACCAGTAAACTAGCTGGGGTATGTTCTTCTCACAGCGATGGCAGAATTGCAAGAAAGCAATCACACTGCTCAAGCACATTTTAAGCTTCTGCTCTTAAAACATCCACTCATGTTTCATTGTCCAAAGCAAGTCACATAGCTGAGCCCAATGTCAAGGGGCAGAACATACACTCTGCACACCATGAAGACATGACAAGGATGTGGACATCAAATTCTACTGCAAAGGAGTAAAGATTTGGTTGCATAATTCTATCTAATTTAATCTACCTTAACTATTTCATTGTACGTAGCTAATAGAATCTGAAGCCGACGCTGAACAGAGATAGCACAAAAATTTTTTAAAGGAAAGAAAGTTATAGATAAACCTAATTTGTAAATTAAAATGTGAAAAAAAATTTTAATTAGTAAATTAAAATCTATGATGGCATTCAGAAAATCACCTTTTATGTCGAAGTATAATTTGTCACAGGATTTTAAGGATTTCTTACAAGTAAGAAACCCAATAACATAATGCATCATATCAGAAGGACCAATAACAAAAACAAGTGATAACCTCAATGAATGCGAAAAAGACAAGAATAAAATTTAACACTCATTGCTAATTTTACAAACCTGTTTAAAAACCAGGAAGAGGAGAATATTCATTAACATCATAAAGCATACTTATATTAAGAGAACAATAGAATTATGGGGATACAATAGAGGCATTCTCTTGAAAATCAAGAACAAAACAAGCATGACTACTTCTATTTTTATTCAACACTGTTTTGCTCAATGCATTAAAATACATAAGCATAGATAAGAGGTCTAAGTATTTGAAGGGAAAAGATGAAACCATTATCACTTAGAGATGATACAATTATATACCTAGAAAACATAAAAGTATTAACTGAAGAACTCTTAGGCTAATGAGTAGTCGAATACAAGATAAATACTTGAAAATCAATAGTTTTTTATCTCCTGGCAATAACCAGTTATAAGATATAACAGGAAATAGATTCTATTTACAATTGCAATAAAAACATAAAATATTTAGCAGTAATCGTTTAAAAAAAGCACAGACATTTTATGTGAAGAATGCTCCAAACCTTTTACAGAGATATACAGGACTGAAAAAAATGAAAATGTATTCCGTGCTCAAGAATAAGAAGATGAAATATTGTGAAGATATTTATGCTTCCCAAATTAGTTAATAGGTTTAATACAGTTCCATTCAAAGATAAAATGGGTTGGACCAATCTGATAAAGTATTCTGAAGTTCATCAGGAGGAATAAAGTGTTGAGCTATTGAAAAAAGAGAGGTAATGAGGGGACACTAGACCCATCCAATAATAAAACATATTGCACAGTAATGTAGTAATTTAAAAAGAATATCACTTTTACTGTATTTCACAGACAACTCAATGGAACATGATAAATAGCCTGGAAACAGACTTTGGTTGCGAGGACTCACAAATAAGATGTTTCATTAACGCGTAATTTCCATTAACATGTAAGTTGCATTTGGTTACATGTAACAGAAACCTGGCTGTTGGTGTCATTTCTCTCGTGAAACAAGCTAGCCAAGGGCGGGCAGTTCAAGATGATACAGCTACTCTGGGATTAGAGCTTCTTCATTTCTCTTCCACCATGCTTGGTGAGTGCCTTCCATCTGGAGCTGCAAAAATGGCTGCTCCATCTTGAGACATCCCATCCACATTATAGACATATGAAGAAGGAGGGAAGGGAGGGAGTGAGGAAGGGAGAGGGGAAGGGAGGGAGAAAGGAAGAAGGAATGGTATCTATATCTAGAAGTAGAACTATCTCCCGTAAGTCCTCAGCAGATATGCACTTATATCTCATTGCCCAGAATTGAGTCAACTACCACCCCAACTGTAAGGGAAGCTGGGAATTTTTTTTTTTTTTTTTTTTTTTTTTTTTAGTAGATAGGGTCTCTCTCTATTGCTCAGGCTGGATTGCAGTGGTGTGATCATAGATAACTGTACCCTTTACTCCTGGGCTCAAGAGATCCTCCCACCTCAGCCTCCAGAGTAGCTGGGACCACAGGCACCTGCTACCATGCTCAGCTAATTTTTAAATTTTCTGTAGAGACAGCGGTCTTGAACTCCTACTTCAAGCTATCCTCCTGCCTCAGCCTCCCGAAGTGCTGGGCTTATAGGGCATGAACCACCTCACCCAGTTGGAAAAATACTTTTTAAAAAATAGGTGTGCACATTCCTTCCCCAAACAAAATTAAGATTCTGTTGGTAAGAAGGGTTAATTATTCTAGGCAACCAGCAATATCTGCCAACAGAAAACATCTCAATCACTATGAGGAAGAAGGGTGGGAAGGAGCAATTATTTGGCTAATGAGGGTAGAGAAAGTGGCTAAAATGTTTTGATTAAAAAACAACCTCAAGTTAAATTTTTATCCACACCGAATATGAATATAATGTCCATAGGATTTATAGAATGAAAAGTAAAGTCAGAAAACTAGAAGAATGTGTATTCTAATAAAGGGCATATTTAACTCCATCAAAGTGAGGACTTTCCAGGCACATCAGCTGAGGAATAAGTATCAAGGAACACACTGATAAATTCCATTTGATTCAAATAACTTAATTCTATAAGTTAAAAATCCCATTGTCAGAATTAAAAGGCAAGTGACAAACTAAGAAAAGAATCAGAAAGTGTTACTATCCTTATTATCAATCAATCAATCTATATCAATAAGGGATCTGTATCAATAACGGAAAAATCAAGACCCCAATGAAAAATGTTGGCAAAGGAGACGACAGTGCATGATGAGGAGACCTGGGTTGTAAAAGCATATGAAACAGTATGCTACTTTGAATAAATTGATTACAATTCAAAACATCCTGAGCATTTACTTTTTCTAATAAAAATACAATTTATGCTCCAAGAAACCGAGAAAATGCAGAATCGTATGAAGATGAACACCAAAATCATTGTGCTTCAACAACTGAGAGGTAATAGCTTTGTTATGTCCTTCCACACTCTTTTTTTGTTCTTTCACGAATACCTTTAATTAGTTCATTTTTCTCAATTGCTTCTCCTTCTGCAGACCTTTTTTTGTTTTCTGATTACCTCACATTTTATTGTACTTCTGTTCGTTATTCCTCTAGCAGGGCATATTGCATCTCCCTCAATATCAACCTTCCACTGGGGGAAACAAGGAGGCTAGGTCTTGGGTAAGTGGCTAGCAGCATTTTCCCCAGGACGCAAACATAATACAGCTCTAACTTAACTGCGAAGGAGGCTGTATGACTCGTGGAGGAGCACACGACATTCCATATGCACTTATTGTCACTACTGCACAGTTCTGCTTAAACTTAGCATGTTACGGTTTTCGTCTTACAGTTTTCATTCATGATGAATGTACATGGTAAAAGTAAAACCCTTGAGAGTTTTGTTCCTACTGGACTTATACATACAGAGGTAATAACTACACATGTTGTACAAAACAAAAAAATTCACCACCCAACAGTGCTGGAAATTAAACAGTTTCAGTATTTTTTTTTTCTCCAAATGGCTAGCTAATTGTCTTAACATCGTTTGTTGAATCCTTTTCTTTTTCTTTGAGATAGAGTCTCGCTCAGGCTGGAGTGCAGTGGTGTGATCTTGGCTCACTGCAACCTCTGCCTCCTGGGTTCAAGCAATTCTCCTGTCTCAGCCTCCCAAGTAGCTGGGACTACAGGCATATGCCACCACACCTGGCTTATTTTGTATTTTTAGTAGAGATGGGGTTTCACCATGTTGGCCAGGCTGGTCTTGAACTCCTGACCTCAAGTGATCCACCTGCCTCAGGCTCCCAAAGTGCTAGGATTACAGGCATGAGCCACTGCACCTGGCCTTTTTTTTTTTTTTTTAACTATTTGTGTCTATTTTTAGACTCTAGTCTGTCTCATTATTTTGTGTGTTTATTCACGTACAAGTACCTGACTGCTTTAATATTGTAGCTTTAAAATGCATTTTTAATAGCAAGTAGGGCAAATGTATTCATTAACTATTGGTGAGTAACAAACAAGCCGAAACTTAATGGCTTAAAACAAGCACCAAATTATTTGTATATAAAGATAAAAATTAATAGGCATGTTTTGTTTAATAAATTCTGAAATTAATCAATATATTTACCCTTCTCTCAAACAATACAAGGACCTTAAAACACTAACTCAGATAACCCTGCTTGACTTATGTGTTATTACTACCCAATGTATTAGTCAGGGTTCTCCAGAGAGGCAGAACCAACGGGATATAATACAAGGTGGGTTTATTAGCGGACTTGGCTCACACAATCACAGAGATGGGGAAGTCCCATAGTCTCTGCAAGCTGGAGAACCAGAGAAGTAGGTAGCTTGGCTCAATCCAAGTTCAGAAGCCTCAGAATCAGGGAAGCCCACGGTGAGGCCTCCAGGCAGACACCAAAGGCCCAAGAGCCCCAGGAGGTCACTGGTGCAAGAGCCCAAAAGCTAAAGAAACCGAAGTCTGATGTCCAAAGGCAGGAGGAGAAAAGGTGGCCTGCTATGGAAGGGAGAGAGAGAGCAGAGGGAGAGAGAATCCCCCTCCCTTCTGCCTGCCTGTTGGTCCCAACCCCTTTGCCCAGTAATTAGATGATGCCTACCGACATTGAGGGCGAGTGTTCCTCTCTCAGTCCCCTCACTCACATGCCAATCTTCCCTGCAAACACATTCATAGACAGACTCAGAAACCACATTTCACCAGCCAGCCAGGCACCCCTCAATCCAGTAAACCGACAGCTAAAATTAACCATTGCATCCAGTATTTTCTTCTATTCATTTGTAACCCCCCAAGTTTGGTATTATGATTTTTACCATTTTATATAATAAATATTTATTTGGATATGCTAATATAGTCACCATTTTCTTGGCTCATCATTTCTATCTATAACTCAAACTTTCCTGTTAGGGTCATTTTCCTTTGCAGGACACTTTTTAGAAGATGTTTTAGTGAGAGTCTGTTAATATTAATTCTCTGGGTTTTTATTTGCTTGAACATGACTTTATTTTATGATTGTTCTTGAGTGATAGTTTCATTGACTACACATTTTGAAAAAGATTCTATTGTGTTCTGGGTTTCATCATTGCTTATGAAAAGTCACCTGTCTGTCATTGTTATGTAGGTAATCGGCATTTTTCTGTGTGGCTGCCTTTTTTTTTTTTTTTGAGATAGGGTCGGCCAGGCATGGTGGCTCATGCCTGTAATCCCAACACTTTGGGAGGCTGAGGTGGGCAGATCACCTGAGGTCAGGAGTTCAAGACCAGCCTGGCCAACATGGGGAAACCCCATCTCTACTAAAAATACAAAAATTAGCTGGACATGGTGGCAGGTACCTGTAATTCCAGCTACTCATGAGGCCGACACAGGAGAATCACTTGAACCCAGGAGGCAGAGGTTGCAGTGAGCCGAGATTGTGCCACAGCACTCCAGCCTGGGTGACAGAGCGAGACTCTATTTCAAAAAAAAAAAAAAAAGAGGCAGGGTCTTGCTATGTCACCCTCTGGCTGCGGTGCAGCTTGACATGATCCTAGCTCACTGCATCCTTAAACTCATGGGCTCAAGCTACTCTCCTGGTTCAGTCTCCCAAGAGGCTAGAATTACAGGCGTGAACCACCATGACCAGCTGATCTTTTAAAATTTTTTGTAGATATGAAGTCTCGATATGTTGCCCAGGTTGATCTCAAACTCCTGACCTTAAGCAATCCTCCTGTCTTGGCCTCCGAAAGTGCCAGGATTACAGGTGTGAGCCTCTGCACCCGGCCTTTGGCTGCTTTTTAGATTGTCACTTTGTCTTTGCCGTTCTTCGGGTTTATTGCAAAATGTCTAGGTATGGATTCCTTACTTGTTATGCTCAAGATTTACTGGACTTCCTCAATCTGAATATTTGTGTCTTTCATCAATTCTGAAAATTGATAATATCTCTTTTTTTTTTTTTGAGACGGAGTGTTGCTCTGTCGCCCAGGCTGGAGTGCAGTGGTGCAATCTCAGCTCACTGCAAGCTCCACCTCCTGGGCTCGCGCCATTCTCCTGCCTCAGCCTCTGGAGTAGCTGGGACTACAGGCGCCCGCCACCACGCCCGGAGAATTTTTTGTATTTTTAGTGGAGACGGGGTTTCACCGTGTTAGCCAGGATGGTCTCGATCTCCTGACCTTGTGATCCACCCGCCTTGGCCTCCCAAAGTGCTGGAATTACAGGCGTGAGCCACCGCGCCTGGCATAATATCTCTTCTAATATTATCTCCCCCACTCCCCATTCTCTTGATTATATCCTACTGCTACTTTGGAAAAAATGTGTTTGTAGACTTAATGTCTTTATCCTTGATATGCCATAGCTTTTATTTCATGTTTCCCATTTTCTTTCTCTCTGTGCTTCATCATTGGTCATTTGTTCAGCTCTATCTCTCAGCTCATTCATTATTCTTTACTTGGACCATGTCTGATCCACATTTAATCCATACACCCAGGGTGGAGTGCAGTGGCGTGATCTCGGCTCCTGGGCTCAAAAGATTCTCCCACCTCAGCCTCCCAAGTAGCTAGGACTACAGGCACATCCCATCATGCCTGGCTAATTTTTTTTTTTTTTTTTTTGGTATTTTTAGTAGAGACAGGGTTTCACCATGTTGGCCAGGCCAGTCTTGAACTCCTGACCTCAAGTGATCCACCCGCCTTGGTCTCCCAAAGTGCTGGGATTACAGCTGTGAGCCACCATGCCAGGCCAGACAAAACTATTTTATATTATGTACTTAACAGTGCCAACATCAACTGTCTTTGCAGGTCTGATTCTGTAGTCTTTCGTTTCTGCTACCGCCCACGCATGGTGCTTTGTTCACTTGTGTGTTTTGGGAGTTTTTATAGTAAACTCACAATCATTTATTTGCTATTTATCTAGCGGCATTCTTTGAGACTTTGGTTTAAGATGCGTTCCTTCAGAAATTTTTTCACTGGTTTCTACTAGGTGCCTGGAGACACTGATATAACAGGAATATTTCAAGCTAATCTCTAGCTTTTTGTTGTTGTTGTTAGTGGGGTGGTGTGTGGGCTACACAGTATGAATTCTAATAATCTGTGAGATGATCTGTTTAAGGTTTGGGGTTCTCTAGGGAAATTTTTTTGTTTTTTTCACTCATCAGAACACGGTCAAGACATCAAGTATCCCCTCATGGGAGGTGGTGTTGTTGGTGGTGTTTCTTTGCTAATGCACCCATTTCCTGAGGAATTTATCTTTCAAGGTAACAGATTTATGGGAGTTCTTTATCCGATTTCCCTCCTTGCATGGGATCAGAGGATGCTTTGAGCAACTAGTCTTCTTTTCTGGAATCGTACCTTTCACAGTCTTGGAGATCTGTTTCTTGTCTGCTCAGACATAGACTTAAAAGCACATTTTAAAATTTTACGCAGAACTTTGAGGTGTATTATACCAAGAGGCGTTCTCAGGTTACCATGGTACTATAAGCAGAAATCTCTCTTCATGATTCTTCACGTTTCTGTATTTTCCTGGTTTTCACATGTGTATTCTTCCAATTGAAGTTCCGAATTTGTTTATCAAGTTCAAAAAAACCTGCTAGGATTTTTACTAGGATTTCATTTAATGTATAGATTACTTAATGGAGAATTGATATTTTTATAATATTAAGCTTCCTACCTAGAGCAAGGAATGGATTTCCATTTAGTCAATTTTTCTTTTTCTTTTTCTTTTTTTTTGAGGAGGAGTCTTGCTCTGTCACCCAGTCTGGAGTGCAGTGGCACAATCTCAGCTCACTGCAAACTCCACCTCTCAGGTTCACGTCATTCTCCTGCCTCAGCCTCCCAAGTAGCTGGGACTACAGGCGCCCACCACTATGCCTGGCTAATTTTTTGTATTTTTAATAGAAACGGGGTTTCACCGTGTTAGCCAGGATGGTCTTGATCTCCTGACCTTGTGATCTGCCCACCTGGGCCTCCCAAAGTGCTGGGATTACAGGTATGAGCCACCACGCCCAGCCCAATTTTTCTTATGAGGTACATATAACCTCAAAAGTTATACCATTTTCTTTGTGTAGATTCCACATCTTTCTTTTACAATTTATTTTGAGTTGTTATATTTTATTTGTTATTTTTATAGAGATATCTTCAATTACATTTTCTATTTGGTTATTTTGTATATAGGAAACCTATTTGTTTTCATATGTTAATTTTGTAACTAGCAACAATATTAACTCACTGTTTCTAATAGTTTTGAGGTGTTTTAAAGTGGGAGTTTCTAAGTCAAAAGCATATCCTCTGCAAATAATTCTAATTTGGCCTCTTTTTAAATACTTGCACTTCTCATTTTCTTTACTTACATAATTACATATATACATAACATAAATGTATGTATATATAAATGTGTATATATATAGTACAATTTTTGGATAAAAATTGATAAGTTAGTTTGGACTGTTATTTTCTTTTACAAATATTTAAAACTTTGTATTACATAAAACTTTAAATATACACAAAAGTTGCCTGGATGCAGTGGCTCACACCTGTAAAACAGCACTTTGGGAGGCCGAGGCAGGGTTATCACCTGAGGTCAGGAGTTCAAGACCAGCTTGGCCAGCATGGTAAAACCGTGTCTCTACTAAAAATACAGAAAATTAGCTGGGCCTGATGACGTGCCCCTGTAATCCCAGCTACTCAGGGGGCTGAAGCAGGAGAATCCCTTGGACCCAGGAGGTGGAGGTTGCAGTGAGCTGAGACTGTGCCACTGCACTCCAGCCTGGGTGACAGAGCAAGACTCCATCTCAAAAAATAAAATAAATAAAATAAAATAAAAAAACACAAAAGTAAAGCATAGTAAAAGACACTTCCATATACTTATCACTTAATTTTGACAATTATCAATTCATGTCCAGTTTCTCTATATCCCTCCATCTTCCAAGCCCCCAACGAATTATTGTGAAGCAAATCTCAGCCATCAAATCATTTTATCTGAAAATTTTCCATGTGTCTTTCTAAAAGCAAAGGACTCCTTTGGAACAAAAATGAAACAAAACATTGCTACACCATCACCATCACACCTAAAAAAAAAACCCCAATAATTTCTTGATATCGTCAAATATCCAATTAGTGTTCGGGTTTCCTTGATTGCCTCATAAATGCTTTTTTCACAGTTGATTTATTTTGACTCAAGAACAAAACAAAAATCAAGGTTCATGCATTGCATTTGGTTGACAGGTCCCCTAAGTGTCCTTTGGTCTTCAAGTTGCCCCACTTTTTGGTTTTTATAATGTATTTGTTGAAGAAACCAGTCAATTGCCGTGTAGAGTTGCTCATTTTCTAGATTTTGTTGATGTGTCTTCTGAAGTCTTTTTTTTTTTAATTTATTTTATTTTTTGTGTGTGTTTGTGTGTGTGTGAGATGGAGTCTTGTTCTGTTACCCAGGCTGGAGTTCAGTGGTGGGATCTCAGCTCACTGCAACTTCTACCTCACAGGTTCAAGCAATTCTCCTGCTCCAGCCTTCCAAGTAGCTGGGATTACAGACATGCACCACCACACCTGGCTAATTTTTGTATTTTTAGTAGAGACAGGGTTTCACCATTTTGGCCAGGCTGGTCTCGAACTCCTGACCTCAGGTCATCTGCCCGGATTGGCCTCCCAAAGTGCTGGGATTACAGGTGTGAGCCACCACATCCCGATCTCCTGTGAAGGCTTTTAACGTGTTTCAATGTCCCTTCTGTAAACTCATGATTGGTTTTAGAGGCTTGATCAAATTCAGGTTCAGTATTTTTGTACAAATTCTTCAGAGGTGGTGTTTGTGTGCTTCCACCAGTGGTGCCGAAAGATCTGTTTTTCTGTTCTTGGGGCGTTAAGGTTGACCAGAGAGCTCCAGTGTCATCCACCCGATCATTCATTAAGACTGCCCCATCAGCCTGACTTTGGTGATCACTGGGTGGCTTTGTTTCAGAGGTCTATCTCAGCCTCTGTCTTGGCAGGTTCAATGTTTTGCCTATTTGCTCTTTCATCCAATCATCCACCTTTCTCTGCTCTGTTCTGAATGGGGACTGGGGAGCTGACCCATAGAGGTGGCATTTCCCAACTTCCTTTGTCAGCTGGATCCCAGCTAGGTAAACCCAATGGGAGGCACTGGCAGGGACCAGAGAGCTGCAAGAAGGAAAAGGCCTGGGTGGCGCTTCTCTCTCCCTCCCCTTCAGGAGCCTCTCCATCATCAGCTGCGCATCTTCCCTGGCTCCAGCTGCCTCCTGGTGACCTCTGCCTTTGATCCCTAGCAACATATCTTCTCTTTCTCTTTCCTGTGGTGGCAGCTTCTTGCTATTGCCAATGTCTGGGTCACCTCACTGTCCCATCTAGCTTCTCGGCATTCCTATCACAAGGGTGACCAATTCCCATATTAAATTACCTCTGTTTGACATATCTGGAGCAATTTTTTTTCCTCCTGGACCTTGAGAAGAAGTATGTTGGTACTGCTTTCAAAAAAAAAAAGAAAAAAAAGGAAAAGGAAGTTCTTATTTCTCTATGTTCCAGAGGAATTTAAAAGTATTGATAAGATCTGGTCTTAGCGGTTTTGGATGAATTCACTTTAAAACTGTCTGGACCTCAAGCTTTTTGGTGGAAAGCTAGAAAAATTTCTCAATTTCTCCTATGGTTGTTGATCTACATAGATTTTAGATTATTTTTAAAGAAGAAAAACAGATGAACAAATATCAGATCATTCTTTAAAAGCTGTAGATACAGATGATGTATTTTTAAAGTAATAATAACAAACACATAGAGAATGCGTTTTGTCTTGTTTTATTTCTGAGATAGGGTCTTGCTCTGTTGCCCAGGATGGAGTACAGTGGCATGATCGTGGCTCACTGCCACCTTGATCTCCTGGGCTCAAGCAGTCCTCCCACCTCAGCCTCCCAAGTAGCTGGGACTACAGGTGTGTGCCACCACACCCAGCTAATTTTTTCTAAATTTATTTTTTGTAGAGATCGGGTTTCACTATGTTGCCCAGGCTGGTCTTGAACTCCTGGGCTCAAGCAATCCTCTTGCCTCGGCCTCCCAAACTGCTGGGATTAGAGGGGTGAGCCACTGCACTTGGCTTGTTTTCTTTTTAATGATAGATTTGGATACCTTCAGTTTGGGTCAAGCCCAAAGCATCTTTCATAGTGATTAGAGGTTTTATCTCAAGATTAAAAACTGGCAGTAGAGGCGCATAAAAATAATCAGGATTGACTAAACTAAGTTACGGTCATCTGCGGAATTGAAGATATGAGTTGTGCTGGCATTGAGACTAATGAGAGACAGCTCTCTTAACCCGAAAGATCCCTGACCTCTGCCCTCCCAAACATTTCCTCCCACCCCTCCAACTGTTAAATATATTTCTAGAATTCCAGCAGTGATTGTTAAGAGAATCATTACTACTTCCTGCTTCATTTATTTATTTATTTACTTATTGTTTTTTAGCTGGAGACTCACTCTGTCACCCAGGCTGGAGTGCAGTTGTGCAGTCTCCACTTGCTGCTACCTCCGCCTCTCAGGTTCAAGCGATTCTCCTGCCTCAGCCTCTTGAGTAGCTGGGATTACAGGCATGTGCCATGACACCTGGCTAATTTTTTTGTATTTTTAGTAGAGATGGGGTTTCACCATGTTGGCCAGGCTGTTCTCGAACTCCTGACCTCAGGTGATCGGCCTGCCTCAGCCTCCCAAAGTGCTGGGATTACACGCGTAAGCTACTGCACCTGGTCTCTGCCTCACATTTTTATATGCATAAACCACTGTGCTCACCTTGACCAATACACAGTCTCCTTTTAGATCATTAATTTATTTATAAAGTCATTGAATATGTTCTGAGCAAAGGCAGCACCAGGCAGTGTTCTAGACACCAGGGCTATAGTGACAACCACAAGGGACACTGCCCCTGCCCTTGCAGAACTTACCTACCGTCTCATAGGGAAGAGACTTGGCCTTGTAACTGCAGTTTTTGGTAAGTGCTTAGAAGTCAAAGTTTTGGGTGCTTGGATGGGGAATGGGTCAAGGAAGGCTTCCTCAAGGAGGCAACTGAAGACTTTATGCTGAGACTTGAAGGATAAGTGGGAGCTGACCAGGCTGAGTTACATATGTGGAACTTATTTCATGCTGAGAAAAGAATTTGGGGTGGAAGTGAGTGCTTGGCCCTGGTTTTCTCTCTTCAAGCCCTCTGCACTAAAAACATTTTTAAAAATGAAAAACATTTCCATAAGTGGAAAGATGAAGGAAGGAAAGAAGGACGAAAGGTAGGAAAGGAAGGAAGGAAGGAAGGAAGAATGAGGGAGAGAAACACAAAACCAACGTCCTTCCTTCTCTAATTGATGCAGTTCTTGCCACTGGAGTTAACTGTGTGCCTTTGGCTGGGTCACCAGATCCCCCAAGCCTCAGTTTCCTCCTTCAGATAAGAAGTTTATGTTAGCACCCTGTGGGCCTGCCATGAGCATGGAACTGAGAATGGGTCATGGGGTATTTTTTAATGGCTATTTACATTTGTTAACCCAATTTCCATGAAGAACTGTTTGGGAGCTGCAGTCAGAGGGTTAGTGACCTAAGGCTCCCTGAGGCCAGAATTTGAGGGACCCAGGTCCAAGAGGGAGACTGGCACCCTGGGCTCCCCATCCACCCCACCCCACCCCCAGCATTCGCAAGCTTTCTCTGCTCCTGTATATGAATGAGGTGATCTTTCAGCTGCCCTTTGTCTTGGAAAAAAATTAATTCTCATTTGCATTACCTCGTCTAAATGTCACCCACCGATATTTTGTTAGACATTAGCGGCGCTGGCAGGGAGGGCCGCGGGGTAATTGTGTTCTGCCTGGTGCTGGGATTTACATAATTTCAGACAGCAATTAAAGAATCCTGGGGAATTTTTTTTCTCTCTTCCAACCTCTCCTACAAAGAAAGTGTTCGTTTACATTAAGCGCTCAGCTCCTCACTGTTCATTTGCATAAAATTAAAGGTTTTTGTGTTCCAGAACAGCAGGGTAACATTTAAAATTCCGTTTTAAAAAGCTCACCTTACAATAATAAAATGTTAATATCATTTCATAGGCAATGCAAGGTTGCCAGATGCCTTTCACTTCCAACTTGTATCCACTGCTAACTGCTTTTCCCTCTTTCTCTCTCTCCTCATCCCTCTTTCCTTCTCCCTTTGTCTTCGTCCATCTCTATTCTTCCCACCACATCTCCTCCTTAGCCTCACCCTGTGTTCTTATGTCCTTGCTCTCTCTCTGTTTCTCTTTCTCCCTTATTCTCTGTTTTTTTAGATGGAATCTAAAGGTCCTCGACCCCCACCAGCCAGAGACCATGAAACAAAGTAAAGTTTCCATGATTGTCCGTGAATAATGACTCTAAGCTCCCAACTGCCAGGTCCCAGGGGTCCTGTTCCTACAAGGTCCCCACATCACTCCTCACCCAGCCCCGTATCCCATATGTCCTTTCCCCAATCCTGGTTACTCTCACCTCACCTGTGAAGACCATATGCTGCCCCCATCACCACGGATATCCATGATGCCTCTGGAAGGTCACTCTCCAGCCATTGCTGCAGCTCCCCAAGGTGGCCTGGTCCCCAGTGTTCCTTCCGTTTATTCATTCACTCCCTCATTCTCTCTCATATCAAACAGCATTGAGATAATCATATTAGAAGATCCTGACAGCAAAGGTCCCTGACTAGAACCTCTCTCCTCTAGCTGCCCAGTCCTGGGGCTGAGTCCAGGCCAACCAGACAGGCTCCCTGACCCTATTCCCAGGACAAGTCTCCCTCAGACCCTCTAGGCCTTTCCTGCTATCTGGTCTCCCTCAGTCCACCCCAGTCCATCAGACATAGTTTAAGAACTCGAAACTCCAAGGGGAGAGGCAAAGGACTATCCTTGGTCCTGCTTTCCTGAGAGCATTCAGGAACCCCATGTCAATTTTGTTCACCTGGAGGGGCAATGGCCTTACTTTATTCACCAATAGCCTAACCCTATACATTCATTTCCAGGCATAGATATGAGGCATAGACAGAGAGTCTCGGCCAGAAATATGAAGAAAGAATCAGTTCTTTGATACAAAGAAGAGATTTCCAGCTATCAGGAGAGACAAGAGAGGAACAGAAGTTTTAGGGGCCAGAGTGGAAGGGGCTAGTCCTCACTGATGGTGAGGGGACAGAGTGAGTCCAGAGGAGACAGTCCTATGGGGCAACATGAGGTTTGCCACACTCCATGCATGATCCAGAAATGGGCAAAGGTAGGGGTAGAAACCATAGAAACATGTAATTCTCCCTTTCCTTCCATAGCCCATGGAGTGACAGCTCAAAAATGATTCAGAGATATAGAAAGATAAAGACAGTTTTGTTTACTGCAGACCACAGTTTTCTAGCTAATATTCATACTTACAAGTAGATAATATTTTAACGTGAGGCTTTAGGAGGTAAAAGATACTAGTAAAGGGGTTGGGAGGGGGGCGGGTACGTGCAGTCATTCCAGGAAAAAGGATCAGCATGGACAAAGGTTCTGAAGAGAGAAGACATGTAGCTGAACAATGGAAAGAAGGCTGGGCATCCAGTGCACAGAAAGCAAAGGAAAGGGGGTGCAAAGAAACAAGAGCATATGGCTCACACATAGGGAGAAAAGCAATTAAGAGAAACTAAACTGCCCTTGCAGAAGCTCAGACTTGGACTTTCTAGATCCAGGCTTTGAACAAGCTATTTTAGATATCACCAAAGAGCTAAAGGAAACCAGGCAAATAATGTCTCTCCAAACTGAAAATACCAATAAAAAGACAGGAATTTAAAAAAGGCACCAAACAGAAATTCTGGAGTTAAAAAGTACAATAACTGTAATAAAAAATTAAATAGAGGGATCATACCATTTTCGAACAGGCAGAAGGAAGAATCATCAAATTTGAAGATAGGTCCATTGAAGTTATTCAGTCTGAGGAACTGAAAGAAAAAATAATGAAGATAAATGAACAGAACCCAAGAGATCTGTGGGACACCATCAGACATATCAACATATGCATAATAGGAATCCTAGAAGAGGAGAGAGAAAGGGGAATAAAGGACCTTTGAAGAAATAATGGTAATACACTTCCCAAATTTGATGAAAAACATGAATTTACACATTTAAGAAAATCAAAATATCCAAGTAGATAAACTTAAAGAGATCCACACAGACTGTCCAAACGAACTGTTCAAGCCAAAGACAGAGAGAGAATCCTGAAAGCGGCAAGAGAGAAGTGACTAGTCACATACAAGGGACCCTCAATAATATTAATAGCCAGTTTCTCATCGGAAACCATGGAGGTTAGAAAGAAATAGGATGCAATATTTAAAGTTCTGAGAGAAAAAAACTCTTAATCAAAAATTCTGTATTCAGCAAAATTATACTGCAAAAATGAAGGAGAAATCAAGACATCCCAAGATTTAAAACAAACAAACAAACGAACAAACAAACAAAAAAGCTGAGAGAGTTCATTGCTGGTAGACCTACCCTACAAGAAATATTAACAGGAGTCCTTTAAGCTGAAATGAAAGGACACTAGACAGTAACCCAAAGCTATACAAAGAAATTAAGAAAACTGGTAAAGACATAGATTTACATAGGTAAATATAAAAGCCAGTACCATTGTTTTTTTCTCTGTAACTTCATTTTTCTATAAGATTTAGAAGACAAATGCATTAAATAATAATTATAAATGATTTGTTATGGCCATTATAAATCTTTGTTGATGGGCAAACATTGAAGAAAGATATAATTCATGACAACTACAACATAAAGCAAGGAGATGAAGCTATATTGGAGCAAAGTTTTTACATAATATTGAGAGAAAGTTGATATTAATCCAAGCCAGATTGTTATAAATTACCATGTCAATTATAACGCCCAGGACGAACACTTAGAAAATAATTCAAAAATATACATTAAAAGAAATGACAAGGGAATTAAAATGGTACTTTAGAACATCTCTATCCAACATAAAATAAAGCTGTAATGGCACAAAATGACAGAAGCAAGTGATTCCTTATCAGTAATTACATGAAATGTAAATGGATTAAACCCTCCAATTGAACAGCACAATGGCTGAAAAAAATGACCCAATTATGTGTCATGTATAGGAGATTCACTTTAGATTAAAAGATACAAATATATTGAAAGTAGAAGGATGCAAAAAGATATTCTATACAAAAAGTAACCAGAGCTGGAGTGACTATACTAATATGAGACAAAATAGACTTTGAGACAAAAATTCTTACAACACAAAGAAGGACGTTATACAATGATAAAAGGTCCAATCCATCAAAAAGGTATTGCAATTATAAACATATATGCATCTAACAACAGAGCCCCAAAATACATAAAGCAAATCAGTATCTGCTTCAGAACTGAAGGGAGAAAATAGATAGTTCACTAGTGGCAGCTGGAAACTTCAATATTTCACTGCCAATAATGTATGCAACAACTAGACAGAAGTTCAGCAAGCAAATAGGGGACCTGAACAACATTATAAGCCAACTAGGTTTAACAGACATCCATGGAACACTCCATCCAACAATAGCAGAATACACATTCTTATCAAGTACCCATGGAACATTCTCCAGGATAAACCATGTTAGGCCACAAAACAAGTTTTAATATATTTAAAATATATAAATCATACAAAGTATCTTCTTTAACCACATGGAATGAAATTACTAACCAATAATAGAATGAAATTTGGAAAATTCACAAATATGTAGAAATTAAACTACATAGTCCTAAATAAACAAGGGGCCAAAGAAGTAATCACAAGCAAAATCAGAAAACACTTTGAAATAAATGAGAATAAACATACAACATACCAAAGTTTAGGGGATGCAGTAAAAGTAATACTCAGAGGTACATTTATAGCTGCAAACACCTACATTTAAAAAGAAGAAAGACATGAAATTAATAAAATAAGCTTATGCTTTAAGAAAAGAAAAAGAAGAGCAAATTAAGCCAAAGCAAGCAGAATGAGAAAAATATTACAGCAGAGGTAAATAAAATAGAGAATAGAAAAACAATAGAGAAAATCAGAAGTTAGTCCTTTGAACAGATCAACAAAATTGGCAAATTCTTAGCTAGATTAGTCAAGAAAAAAAGAGAGAAGACTCCAGTTATTAAAACCAGGAATGAAGTGGGATATCATTACTGACCTTGTAGAAATAAAAAGGATTATAAGAGAATACTATGAACAGCTGTATGCCAACAAATTGGATAATCTAGATGAAACAGACAAATACCTAAAAACACAGAAACTATCAAAATTAACTGAATATGAACTAGAAACCTAAGCAAACCTATGAGAATAAAAGAGATTAAATCAGTAACCAGAAGACTTCTAACAAAGTCCAGGACCAGATGATGGCTTCCCTAATGAATTCTACCAAATGTTTAAAGAGGAATTAACACCAATATTTCTCAAACTTTTCCAAAAAACAGAAAAGAAGCAAACACTTTATAGCTTATCACATGAGATCACTATTACCCTGATCCTAAAGCTAGACAAAGACAACACAAGAAAACCACAGACCAATATCCTTTATGAATATAGATATAAAAATCCTTAATAAAATATTAGCAAATTGAATCCAGCAGCATATTACAAGGATTGTACATCATAACACCAAGTGAGGTTTATCCCTGTAATGCAAGGGTGGTTCAACATGCAAAAATTAATCAACATAATACACCACATTAGCAAGAATGAAAGACCCTATATGATCATCTCAATAGATTAAAAAAAAATTTAGTGAAATCCAACACCCTTGCATGATAAAAGCACTCAACAACCTAGGAACAGAAGAAAAATTTCTCAACCTGATAAACAGCATTTATGAAAATCACACAACTAACAGCATGCTTAATGGAGAAAAACTGAAACTGCTCTCTCTAAGATCAGGAACAAGAAAGGATGTCCACTCTCACTACTTCTATTCAGCATTGTAGTGGAGGTTCTAGCCAGGGCAATTAGTCAAGAAAGAGAAGTAAAAGGCATCCAGATTAGAAGGAAGAAGTAAAACTATCCTATTTGTAAATGGCAGGTTCTTATATGTAAAACACCCTAAATAATTCTCAAACAAACCAAAAAACTTAAACCAAAACTTAGAACTTAACCAAAAAACTTAAAAAAACAAAAAAACTTAACCAAAACTTAGAACTATAAGCAAATTCTGCAAAGGTGCAGGATACATGATAAATATATACAAACTTATTGTATTTCTATGCACTAGTAATGAATAATGCGAAAAAAATGAAATTAACAAAACAATTGTATTTGTAGTAGCATCAAAAATAATAAAATACTTAGGAATAAATTAAATCAAGAAAGTGAAGGACTTGTACACTGAAAACTACAAAACACAGCTGAAAAACTGAAGACAATCTTAATAAATGGAAAGATCTCACATTTATGGATCAGAAGACTTAATATTGTTAAGATGACAATGCTCTCAAAAATGATCTACAATTTCAATGCAATCTCTAACAAAATCCCAGCTACCTTATTTTTTTCAGAAGTGGACAAGTGGGTTCTAAAATTCACATGGAATTACAAGGATAGTCAAAACAACCTTTAAAAGGAAAAGCAAAGTTGGAGTACTCACACTTTCCTATTTCAAAACTTATGACAAAGCTACATGAATCAAAATCAGTGTTGTGCTGGCATAAGGACAAACATAGAGATCAATGCACTAGAATTGAATCCAGAAATAAATCCATACATTTATGATCAAATGATTTTTCAACAGGAATACTAAGGCCATTCAATGGGGGAGAGAAAAGCCCCTTCAATAAATGGTATGGGGACAACTGGCTATCCATATGCAAAAGAATGAAACTGGATTCCTCTCTCACACCATATACAAAAATTAATTCAAAATGAATTAAAGACCTTAATGTAAGAGCTAAAACTATAAAACTCTTGGAAGAAAATGTAGGTGTAAACCCTCATGACTTTGTGGATCAGGTAATGGTTTCTTAAATATTACACCAAAAGCATAAAGAAACAAAAGAAAAAACATATTATTTGTACTTCATCAAAATAAAAAACTTCCATGCATCAAAAAATATTATCAAGAAAGTAGATAAAAGCTTACAGAATGGGAGAAAGTACACGCAAACCATACATCTGAAAAAGGATCTTGTACCCAGAATATATAAAGAACTCTCATAACTCAACAACAAAAAGATAAACAATCCAATTTTAAGATGGGCAAAGGACTGAAATAGATTTTTCTCCAAAGAAGATATACAAATGCAAATGGCCAACAGGCACAGGAAAATATTATTAACATCTTTAGCCATTAGGGAAATGGAAATCAAAACCACAGTGAGATACCACCTCCCATTCACTAGGATGGCTACTATAATTTTTCATAACAAGTGTTGTCATTACTTGGAAATAAGGAAAATAACATAGGAATAATACAGGAAAATAACTAGTGTTGGTGAGAATGTGGAGTAATTGGAACTTAATACATTGCCAGTAAGAATGTAGAAAGGGGCAGCTCCTGTGGAAAACAATTTGAAATTTTCTCAAAATATTAAATATAGAGTTACCATATGACCCAGCAGTTCCATTCTTAGATGTGTAACAAAGAGAACTAAAAACATGTTTACACACAAGCTTGTATAGGGCACATGCTCATAGCTGCAATATTCACAATAGTCAAAAGTGGAAACAATCCAAATGCCCATCAACTGATGAATGGATAAACAAATTGTGGTATGCCCATAAAATAGAATGTTATTCAGCCATAAAGAGGAATGAAGTTCTGATCCATACTACAACGTGGGTGAATCTGGAACACATTGTGGTAAATGGAAGAACCCAGGACCAAAAGGCCACATGTTATGAGATTCCATTTATATGAACTGTCCACAATAGGCAAATCCACAGAGGCAGAAAATAGATTATTAGTTGCCAGAATCTGGGAGGAGGGAAGAATGGGGAGTGATTGCTTAATGGATACTGGGTGATATGGTTTGGCTGTGTCCCCACCCAAATCTCATCTTGAATTGTAGCTCCCATAATTCCTAGTGTCATGGGATGGACCCAATGGGAGGTAATTGAATCATGGGGGTGGGTCTTTCCTGTGCTGTTCTCATGACAGTGGATAAGTTTTACAAGGTCTGACGGTTTTATAAAGGGAAGCTCCCCTGGACAGGCCCTCTTTGCCTGTCACCATGTAAGACGTGCCTTTGTTTCTCCTTCACCTTCTGCCATGATTGTAAGGCCTCCCAGCCATGTGGAACTGTGAGTCCATTAAACCTCTTTTTCTTTATAAATTACCCAGTCTCAGGTATTTCTTTATTAGCAGCATGAGAATGGACTAATTAACAATGGGTTTCTTTTTGGGGTGATGAAAATGTTCTGGAATGAGAGAGAGGTGATGACTATATAACATTGTAAATACACTAAAAACCACTGAGTTGTACATTTAGAAATGGTTAATATCTCCATTTTAATTTTTACTTAAAATTTAAGTAAATAAAATAGCTGTAAATGGCATTATAGGAATGTAATTCCCCCTCCCATTATTGGGATAAATTTGAATAAGAACTATGGAATAAATAAGAGTATTATAATCCTACAGTTCATGCTCTTGATAAATACACTTTACCTCAGAGAAAGTCCTTGTCTTAGGAAATACACCCTGAATATTTGTAGACAAAGGGACATCATGTTATTTGCAAATAACTCTCAAAGTATTTAGGAGAAAAAATATATATGCATATATATGCATGTATGTGTGTGTATATATAGACATATGTGTGTACTTATATACACATGCACACACACATACATATATACGTATGTACACATAGATGTACGTTCATATATATGGATATATGCCGAGAGAGAGCAAGAGATAGAGATCACAATGATAAAACCAGTGAGGTAAAGTAAGACTTGGTAAATCGGAATAAAAAGTATATAGGTATTCTCTGTACTATTCTTGCAATTTTTCTATAAATGTGAAAATATATTTTAAAATGAAGGCTTAAGATGATAAATAAATGTATAACTCAATCAATAAAGTGACTATCGAGAGGAACGTGGGGCCTGGAGAAACATGGAGCTCTATGTACCTGGACAGAAAGAAATTTGGATGAAGAGGAGAAGAGAACAGGGTGGGTGAGGCCAGAAGCACTGTGTAAACCTGGGCCGGTGTACTCCTCCATAAAATGGGTACAGTAGCATGTCCATCCTGGAGTTCATGTGAGGATTCAGTAAGATACAGCAGGTACAATGCTAGGCTTAGTGCCTGGCATGTGGTTAAGCGCTCAGTAAATTATTTTAGTGGAACAGTTATGCAAATAAATTTATGACAGTTACAGAACACTTGCACAGTACTTAGACACTCCCAGCACTATTCTAGGTATTATACAGGTATTAATTCCTGTACTTCTCACGAAAACACCCTATGAGGAAGGAGCTACTATATCATCATCCCCACTTGAGGATGAGGAAACTGAGGCACAGAGCAGTTAGCAACGTGTCCAAGGTCACAATGTGTCTAAGTCTTGGAGCCAGGATTTGAGCCCAGGCTGAGTGGCTCCAGCAGCCTCTCTGCAATGTAATGACACTTCTTTAAAGGCCAGTACAACCTTTAAAGAAGTGAAGGGAAGGGCAGGGAAGGATTTTAAGACTCCTGGGTGAGGACCACTGGGCAGCAGATAGAGGCTGCTGGGATGAGAACAAAGTGAAACTGTTGGGAAATCCACAGAATTGCAGCCCTGGGTCTTCTGGGCTGCATTTGGAGGAATAGAAAGCACCATGGATGGAGGATAGCACCGCTATCCTCGAAGGTAACCTCGCACACTAGCAGCGGGTCTCATAGGCAGGCTCCAAGCCAGAGACTTGGCCAACAGGACCTGAAGTGGGGCCTGGAAGTGCCCAGCGCTCTGTAGGATGAATGCCCCACCTGGAGCAGCACAGAGATCCATTACTGGGGGCATGAAGGCTCTTGACCTCAGCCTTGGGCTGGCGTGACTGACCCCCAAAGGCAGGAGTACCAGGGGCTGTGCCTGACACAGTTGATTCACTAACCATGAGTTGGTGGAGCGTGTGACAGGAGGTCACTCAGATCTCCTGACCTCAGCCCAGGGCTCTCCCCTTGAAGTCCCCATTGAGACTGGCAAGGCCTGAAGGTGACAGGGAAGCCAGGGGACCCTGCCGAAGCTGTCCTTTCTCTCTGGCACGCTGGCCCCATGGCAAGATGGAGGGGAGACAGGTGCCCCACTCAGGCACCCCAGGAGTTAACAGCTGTGGGGCTGGCTGGGCCCTGCCCCTAATCAGTGCCTTGGTGCCTGCTCCTGGGGGTTCCTCCTGTCCTCTGGGTCAGAACAAACAGGCATCTCATTAGCTCCATTAAGCAGTCATTTTAGCTGCATGGTTCTGAGAAGCAAGTTTGTGCTTGGAAGGCACAGGGGTTTATTACATTTGCAGAAATAACACTTACACAGACAAAAGGAGTGAGCAGCCAGGGAGGAGGCCTGAAGGCACAGCAAGGGCGGTGGGCAGCCAAGCCTAGCTCCTCCCCTTCTCTAAGCTTTTGCCCAGGGCATGGCCTCTGCAGGAAAGCTCTTCTCGCTCCCTATTCTAGCCGCTCCCTGCCTTTGCTGGCCTGTATGACACAGCCCCTGGTACTCCTGCCCCGAGGGGCCAGCCACACCAGCCCAAGGCCAAGGTCAAGAGCCTTCATGTCCCTAATAACGGGTCAACCGCACCACTCCAGTTGGGGCATTCAGCCTACAGTGTGCTGGGCACCCCCAGGCCCCACTTCAGGTCCTGTTGGCCAAGTCTCTGGCTTGGTGTCTGCCTGTGAGACCTGCTGTCCGCATGCAGAGTCACCTCCAAGGATAGCAGATCCAGGGCTGCAGTTCTGTGGATTTTCCCAACAGTTTCACTTTGTTCTCATCCCAGCAGCCTCTATCTGCTGCCCAATGGTCCTCACCCAGCAGCCATGAAATCCTTCCCTAACCTTTCCCATCAAGACCCTAGAACCAAGGCATGAAAAACACATTGACTTGGGGTCCAGTTTCACAAGTGCCCATTCAGAACTGGCTCTCGGATCCATGAGGGGTGCTCCCAGTGGCCAAAGCTGGAGCAATCTGAGGAGCAAAATAAATGAAGGAGCTGGGGATTATAGCCCAAAATATAAAACAAAACCCACAAGCCCATTCTGATACAATCAATGATTGAATTAATGAATACATGGAAACAGAGAAATTAAGCGACTTGCCTAAGCTCACAGTGCCAGAAAATGGTGGAGTTGGGATTTCAGTGCAGATCTGTCTGACTCATGTATAAATAAATGAAAAGAGACAAATTTTCCATAGAGAAGAATTCCAAATAATTTCTGGAGATGTTCTGCCCACAAGGAGGAAAAGCAAAACTCCCACCCTTTAGGTGTGGGCTGTGCAGTGACTTCTTCCAAAGAATACTGTGGGCCGGGCACGGTGGCTCACGCCTGTAATCCCAGCACTTTGGGAGGCCGAGGCGGGCGGATCACGAGGTCAAGAGATCAAGACCATCCTGGCCAATATGGTGAAACCCTGTCTTTAGTAAAAATACAAAAATTAGCTGGGCATGGTGGCACGCGCCTGTAGTCCCAACTACTCGGGAGGCTGAGGCAGGAGAATCGCTTGAACCCGGGAGGTGGAAGTTGCAGTGAGCCGAGATTGCGCCACTGCACTCCAGCCTGGCGACACAGCCAGATTCCAACTCAAAAAAAATAAAAGAAGAAAAGAAATGCACCGTGTGGAAATGGGGGAAAGAGTAACTTTCCAGGAGAAGGCTGACACACACCACAGTCCAGTAATCAAGGTCAACATCAGCAGTGGTAAGTCGTACTGACAGGGACAGCATGTGGCCATGAGATGATGGGACGAAATGGCGGCTTAGCTCTGCGGTCCTCCCCAAAATCCATACCTCCAGTCTAATCATGAGCAAAGCAAAACATCAGACAAATTCCAATAGGGGGACATGCCACAGAATACCTGACTGATAATCCTCAAAACTGTCAAAAAAACCAAAAGAAGAAGGGAAGTCTGAGAAACTGTCCCAGTCAAAAGGAACGTAAGAAGACATGAGGACTGAACGCAGTGTGGTCTCGTGGGTGGGACTCAGAAACAGAAACAGAAACAGACAACCCAGATCTGTCTGACTCATGTATAAATAAATGAAAAGAGACATTTATTTAGGGAAAAACTGAGGAAATCTGAATAAAGTATGCACTCCATTAACAATTACAGATCAATATTGGTTTGTTAATTGCAACGAACATACTCTATCAATGTAAGATGCTAATAATAGGGGAAACTGGATATGGGGTATATGGGAACTCTCTGTACTACCTTACATTTTTCTGTAAATCTAAAATTATTCCAAAATAAAATATTTATTTAAATCAATCGGGCCGGGTGCGCCGGCTCACGCCTGTTATCCCAGTGCTTTGGGAAGCTGAGGCATGAGGATCGCTTGAGCCCAGGAGTTAGAGACCAGCTTGGGCTACATAGGGAGACCCTGTCTCTACCAAAAAGAAAAAAAAAGAAATTAGCCAGATAAGGCCAGGTGCAGTGGCTCACTTCTGTAATCCCAGCACTTTGGGAGGCCGAAGCAGGCAGACCTCTTGAGCTGAGGAGTTCAACACCAGCCTGGGCAACATGGCAAAACCCCATCTCCAGAAAAAATTTTAAAAAATTAGCCAGGCATGGTGGCCTGTGCCTGTAGTCCTAGCTACTCAGGAGGCTGAAGCAGAAGGATTGCTTCAACCCAGGAGGTGGAGGCTGCACTGAGCTGAGATCATGCCACTGCACTCTAGCCTAGATGACAGAGTGAGTGACAGACAGATTGAGACCCTGTCTCAATTTAAAAAAAAAAAAAAAGAAAAAAGAGGCTGGGTGTAGTGGCTCATGCCTGTAATCCCAGCACTTTGGGAGGCCAAGGTGGGCAGATCACCTGAGGTCAAGGGTTCGAGACCAGCCTGACCAACATGGTGAAACCCCATCTCTACTAAAAATACAAAATTAGCCGGGGGTGCTGGCATATGCCTGTAATCCTAGCTACTTGGGAGGCTAAGGCAGGATAATTGCTTGAACCCGGGAGGGGAAGGTTGCAGTGAGCCAAGATCGCACCATTGCACTCCAGCCTGGGCAACAAGAGCAGAACTCCGTCTCAAAAAAAAGAAAAAAAAAAAGTAGCCAGGGGAGGTGGTGCACACCTGTGGTCCCTGTTCCTTGGGGGGTTGAGAAGGGAGGATCATTTGAATCCAGGAGATGGAGTTTACAGTGAGCCATGATCATGCTTCTGTACTCCAGCCTGGTCCACAGAGCAAGATTCTGTCTCTAAAAATAATAAATAATAAATACATAAACATATTTGGCTTCTGGGCCCCTGTGAGCTGGCTGCCCCCACCCTACCATGTGCCATCCCAGCTCCCACCTCCACTGAATGTGGTCATGTTAACTGCCCATTGGTACCCTTGTTGCCAATCCGTGGAGCCCTTCTTCTTGTCTCCTGTGTCTCTGTTTGACTGTTTGACTCTGTCCCCAACTCACTTCCTCCCATCCTCTCCTTCCTGGGATGCTGCCATGTCAAGAAGCCCTCTGGTTCCTCCTGTTGTGGCTCTGACAGTCACTCCTGGGCATCTCCGCTGGCCTCCATGCCATGCCTGTCCCACAGTGCTCCCAGGAAGACCTCCTGGCCCTTCTTTCCACACGAGGCTGGTGTCCTGGGAGTGCCTCTCTGGCACACAGGGTGTTGTGGTGGCTCAGAGCCAAGGGTCTCTCTGCTTGCTCTGGGCCATCTCTGGAGGCCAGATGCACTTCTCATCAACTGTCCAGAATCAACATGTCCCACCTTCCCGTAAGCCTGTTCTTCCTGTTCTCCACCATCCTCCCCGGGGCTTGGGGCTGAGTCCCGTGTGTTGCCCTGGGCTCTTTCCATCCCATCTACAGCATCCCATCTGCCCCTGGTCCTTGGAGCTGGCTCCTTAACACTGGCTTCAGGCATTTCATTCCTTCCTGTGTCACCTCCCTGTGTTGTCACTTCCACCGGGTGTCCACACTGGCCTCCTCGCTGTCTCCCTGACTCCAGCTTCCTCCATTCAATCCACTCTCTACCCAGCAGCCAGGGCAGTGATTATAAACTGCCCATCCGACACTGCAGCCCTCTGCCTGCCATGCTAGTAGACCACAGATGACTAACTGGGTACCCACAATCCTTTGCTCTCCCCTTTCTCTCCGTCCTCACCTCTCACCCCTACCTCAACATCATCAATACACCCATGCAGCTGGCTCGCTTCTCACTTGCCCAAGCTGTTCCTGCAGCCTGGAACACTCCTCTTTCTCATTTTCTGATGGTTCTTCAAGACTAAGGAGACAGGGCAAACCTTCTCTTACCTGCTGGTGAGGCCAGGTTCCTCCTCTGTCCCCAGAACGCATGTGCTTCCCCTGCTGGAGAACCTAACGCATAAGGTAGGTATCAACTGCTCACAGAAGGCTTCATCTCCTCATTCCCTCCCAGCCTGTAAGCACCTCCAAGGATTGTGTCCCACACATCTCTGTACCCTCAGGGGCACTGGAGGTGCTCAGTAAATGCTGTGATAACAGCGAACATTTACAGAGCACCTACTATGTGCCGGATACAATGCCAAGTACTTTGCATGCATTTTCTCATATTCATCCTTCTCAAGAATGAATAAGTGCTTTTATTATTGCTGTTTTGGCCATGAGGAAATTGAGGCACAGAAAGCCTAAGTAACTTGCTTTAGGTCACACAGCTTACTAGCAATCATGGAGCCGAAATGTGAATCCAAGCTCTGACTCCTTCATTTGTCTTTTGAACTACATTGTCAATTTTGTTTCCTGTTCCCTTTTCCACTGAGCAATTTCATGACCCATGCCAATAAATATCATTCATAACATGATTTTTGTGGGTCCACAGCATTCCATCATATTGATGCAACATAATTTGCTTAACCAATCCTGTTATTAGCATATGTCCGATGGTGTGACTTTTTTTTTTTCCTTTTGAGATGGAGTCTTGCTCTGTCACCCAGGCTGGAGTGCAGGGATGCGATTTCAGCTCACTGCAACCTCCGCCTCTGGGGTTCAAGTGATTCTCATGCCTCAGCCTCCCCAGTAGCTGGGATAACAGGTGCCCGCCACCTTGCCCAGCTAATTTTTGTATTTTTGGTAGAGAAGGGGTTTCACCACGTTGGCCAGGCTGGTTTCAAACTCCTGACATTGGGTGATCTGCCTGCCTCCACCTCCCAAAGTGCTGGGATTACAGGCATGAGCCACTGCGCCCTGCCCGACTTTATTATTTTTTAAATGGTTAGCCAATTACCCCAACACTATTTTTTAAGTAACTCATGTTTTTTCCTACTGATTTGAAATGCCACGTTTATCATATATTAGTTATGTATACTCATGTTTTTTATATCATGTGTTTAATTTTACCAATTCAAAGTGTATTGAACTATAATATCCTCGTGATGCATTTTTTTTCATTCATTCACTCAGTAACTTGCTCATTCAATGAATATGTATCGAGTAGTTCTGTGGACCAGGTACTGTTCTAGAAACCAAGATTCCACCGTGGGCAATGGAGCAGTGACAACACCGCATCACCCTCTTGCTTCTTGCATTTTAATATCTGACCTTAGAAGTTGCTTTTGCCTCTGCCGGGTGTGGTAGCTTATGCCTGTAATCCCAGCACTTTGAGAGGCCCAGGCAGGCAGATCACTTGAGCTCAGGAGTTTGAGACCATCCTGGCCAACATGGCAAAACCCTGTCTTTATTTAAAAAATACCAAAAAAAAAAAAAATTTAGCTGGGCATGGTGGCACATGCCTGTATTCCCAACTACTCAAGAGGCTGAGGCAGGAGAATTGCTTGAATCCAGGAGGCAAATGTTGCAGTGAGCCGAAATCACACCACTGCACTCCAGCCTGGGCAACAGAGCAATACTCTGTCTCAAAAAAAAAAAAAAAAAAAAAAAAAAAAAAAAAAATTTGCTTTTGCCCCAATCAATTGCATTTATCAAGATGTTCTTAGGCATTCTTGACTATTTATAATTCCCAGTGAGCTAACATTGCAAGTAAGAAAATACATTTGGGATTTAATTGGAATGGAATTAAATGTATGGATTAATCTTAATGGAATTGACAAATTTTCATCTTCTTTCCCATGAACACAGCAGGTGTTTCCATATAGTCAATTCCTACTTTTATGTTAAGTTGAGCTTCACACATTTATTGCTAAGTTTGTTGCTGGATATTTTCTATTTTTGTTGTTACGGTGAATGTCATCTTTTTTCCATCATATATTCTAGGTGATTAATGCTAGTACATAGGAAAGGCATCGATTTTTGAATAAATCTTTTAAGTCAGCATCTTACTGAATTCTCTGATTAATTGTAATAGTCCCTAGTTGATCTTTTGAATTTTCTAGGTAAATAATCATAAAATATGTGAAAAATAATTTTGAGCCTTTCTTTTTTATAGTTTTACCACTTATTGTGTTTCTTTCCTTTTGCATTGACCAGTGCAAGATATCTGAAGTGCAATGGTAAGTGTTTAACAACCAGCTGTCCAGGAGAAATAACCCTGATTTGTAGCACTTGCCCATTTCTGTGGTCTAAACACTGCTACCATGGCTGATGTCAAGCCACACCGATGTCACTGGACAAGAAATTAAAAACAGATGCATACCTTTGCTCTTATGAGCCAGCTCGAGCACACCACTGAATAGAACACTAGACCATGAGATGGTTTGTGAGGAAAAAATACTGTGGTCAAAAATAAAATTGGACCTGCCAATTCTGCAGGTTACAACATACATGAGCATATCAAAGTCTCTGAGAAATCCAACATTTCATCATATTGATGCAACATAGTTGGCTTAACTAATCTTGTTATTAGTATAACATATTATACCAATATGTTATATGGGAAATACAACATATTTCCCAAATTTATTTGACTAATACAAAAAGTCGGAATATAGAACATCACAAAGGATTGGCTAAACAGTTGATGCCGTGATAACTTCATGGTTCCCCAGCCTCTAACGGTTCCCATCGTTGCCTAGCAGTTCTTCCCCTGGTCAGCTCTCTGTCCTGGCCTCCATTCTTGCCAACCTTCCCTGCTCTCCTCAAACCTCCCCCGCTCACCATCCTCTCCCTGTCTGTTAGAGGATGATGCCATAGCGCTCCCTCCCCATTGAACGTGCAGGCTCATCTCCATCAGCACTCCCCATCACTTCATTCCCTCTTGGTTGGTGGAGGAGACTGGGACTTCTATAGAATGAATCCTGCATCAGTACCAGTATTCCAGCTGCTGGCTGCCTCCACCTCTGGGGACCAAGGCCAACCAGCCATCCCTTCCCTCTCTGCTGGAGACTTCTCATCAACATCTAAACATGCTCGAGTCTCTCTCTACCCCGAAAACAAGCAAACAAAACCAATTCCTCACCTTCAGCCTCTCTGTATGTCTGTATGGGACCTCACAGTCAGGATTCCCCAAAGAATTGTCTGCTCTGTTCTCTTTTCTCCCATGGATTCCTTGACCTGCTTAAATCTGGCTTCTTTTTCCAATTCTTTACTGAAACAACGTCCAACAAGATCAACAATGATGTACCTGTCACTAAATGCGGTCACTGCTTCGTAGCCCTCACCTTCCCAACATGGCAGCTCCTGACCCAGTTCCCAGCCCTCTCCAGTGAGACATCCTCTGCCTTCCTGACTCCACGTCCTTGGACTTTCTCCACCTTCCCTGCCACCGAGCCTCCTCTTCTGGCCTCTTCCAGCCCATCTCAGTGTCCCTCAGAATCCCTCCCCAGTGTCCCTCTCCCCTAGACTTGCGCTCAAGGGAGTCACCACCTCCCAGGTGTCAAGCTTCCCCTCTGCACTATGGACTCCCAGGTCTCTCCAAGCCCAGAGCAGATATTTGAAATGGCATTCCATGGACCTTTGGGGAGAAATAATGGTGATGAACGATGGTGACCTGGGATTTTCATTCAAGCCAGAGCAATGAGATTATGGCTCTGGAATAAGAAGCAAGACCACTTGCCTTCCACACCGAGTTGCTTGGCCTCTGCCCTAAGTTTATGGGTTGGTGGAAAGAGGTTCTTCGAGGAGTGAACCAAGGACGAATCGTTCCATTGTTCTCTAACTCATCAGCCAGAAAACTCACCCCAAACTCATCACCGCTGCCCACAGGCCATGTTTTAGGGGGCTGATAGAGGAGTCCTCTTCCCACCACATCAGTGACAGCAGCCAACAGAAGGACAATAAAGAGAGGGCACCGGAGGCAGGGTTAGAGCTGGCGGCAGCAGCTGGCTGTTTGCAAACCACATGGCAACTGGGTGCCCTGGGCCGGGCTCCCCCAGCACACTGCACTGTGGTTATAGGTGGATGCTGAGCTTAAACTCCCTCCTTTGCAAGTTTTGATGAGGACCCTCTCGGGGGCATGGGGTGTCCAGCTTTTCCACTGGGTGGGTGCTCAGAGACAAAAATATTTCATATTTGTCACTACCGATGTCCCCAATTATTAACTGATGGTCTTAAGTAAGCTAGCTAACCTCTCTGAAGCTGCATTCTCTAGCCTGTGAAATGGGAATACTATTAGTTGTTATTGTGGGGCCAGAGGCTCCCTGCACAGGGCTCAGTACATGGTCGCCAGCAATGCCTGCAGCTGTGGGCCCCACTGAAGCCATCCTGTCCTCTGACTGGGGGAGGGAAGGTCTCCATGCCCATGCAGAGGGGATGAAAAGCCCCCTGCCCAGCAGGGGACTCTGTGCCCGCTTCCCTCTGTCACCAAGGCCTATATTAAGAACATTAAATGTCAGCGCAGACGCTTTAACTGCTCATGTGCGGGTGAGAGGCAGGTGGGGCACAGGTGTGTCGGGGGAAGAGAAAGTCGGGAGGTAGAAAAAGCAAGGAGGCAGCGGTGGGGGGCGGGTAGAAGAGCAAGACTGAATTCATTAGGACCTGCAGGAACAGGAGGAAGTGGGAAGCCGGAGGAACGAGCAGGCCCTGTGTATGGGACGTTGGTGAACAGTCCAGGAAGGCTGTAGGGTCCAGGGGCAGCCTGACGCCCCACAGGTCAGGAAGGGCCTGCTTTGAGCCTCTGCTTGAAGCCCCTGCAAAAATTTCCACTGGAAGAGAGGATGGGGTTGGTGGAAAGAGCCTCCCGGAAAGCAGACTGTCTGCGAAGGCGGCTGTCAAAGCAAGGCCCTGTTGCTAAGGGAACCGCCCGGGAAGATCCAGAGTGTGGAGATGAAGTCACCCCACCTCCCCGGCAGCCGTGGGGTTCAGGAGGGGTCCAGGGCTTCATCCGAGTCTGGATTGCTGCCTCCCCAGACAGGCGTTGGTCCCTGGAGGGCAGAGACCCTTTCTCCTCTGACTGTGCCCAGATGGGGCTACTCATTAGCAGGCTGGGCTGTGTTGATGACTGTTACAATGATGGCAAAAGAAAGCTGGGATAAAGGGGCCCGGGGGCAAACGGGCTTGGAAAAGCCCTGTTGAAGGACGGTCTAGTGCCAGGGAGTTCTAGAACCTCAGGCCATCTCCCCACAGCACAACATTTTGATTCCACATGAGGGTTTAAGGGACTCACCAAGGGTCTTCAATTAAATTGGGATGAGAATGGCTTTAAGCTAACCTGAGAATTGAAGCCATCAGGGTACGCAAGAAAGACACATACAGGCCAGGCGCGGTGGCTCACGCCTGCAATCCCAGCACTTTGGGAGGCTGAGGCAGGCAGATCATCTGAGGTCAGGAGTTCGAACCCAGTCTGGCCAACATGGTAAAACCCCATCTCTACTAAAAATACAAAAATTAGCCAGGCGTGGTGGCGGGCGCCTGTAGTCCCAGCTACTCAGGAGGCTGAGGCAAGAGAATTGCTTGAACCCAGGAGGCGGAGGTTGCAGTGAGCCGGATTGTGCCACTGCACTCCAGTCTGGACAATAGAGTGAGACTCTGTCTCAAAAAAAAAAAAAAAAAAAAAAAAGACGCATGCAGCTTAGACACATTGGGCTTCAGTTTCCGGCCCCAGCTGCCCACAGGGACCACTCAAGAGCTTTGAAACACACCATGCTGGGCCACACACCCCAGGGAGTCTGACGTCACTGGTTGGGGGTGAGGCCGGGGCTTCAGAGCTTTTTAACACTCCCACGTGACGCCCATGGGCAGCCAAGGGTAAGAACCACTAAGGTGTGGTCACTTCTTCTAAAGGTCATTCTGAAGATCTTGCACATTACACTTTTTGTTACTTTGTGAAACGTTTTATAGACAGGGAAAATAAATGATTTTCTCAGTCTTGGGTGGTGGCAGTGAGTGGCATCAGTCTCCTATCTCGGTTGGGGGGGACTCCATTCAACAGCTTGGAGAGGGGGCTGCACTGAAAAGAAGGAATATCCGCAGTACTGGAGCCAGACTGATCTTGGGCAAGTCCCAGCTCTGCCTTTGGTGACCTTAAGTGAGTTGCTCACCTTCCCTGAGCCTCGGTGTCTTTGTCTGAAAATGGAAATCATATGGAAGTTTCTAGAAGGAGGCATGAGGGCAAGGCTCCACTTATGGTGCCTGGCACAGAGTAAGGTCTCAATAGATAGGAGTTGTTATTATTGTGATCTCAAATTCATCCCACTTGGAAAAAGAGCTGGGTCCCTGCCCAACGCAGACGCCAGCTCTGAATTCCCTGCAGAGCGTCCCTGATCCCCTCAGCTAAAGCCACACACACTCAGCGCCAGGGTGTGGTACCCTCCAAGCTGATGAATGGATTCCCCCTCAACCAAGATAGGACAGTGACACCATTCATTGCCAACACCCAAGACTGAGCAAGTCATTGATTTTCCTTTGGGTGCTGGGGCACTGAGACAGAGCAGACCAGGCTCTGCCTGGGGGAACCTCCAGTCTTGAGAGGACAGGAGAAGAAAATGACGAACCTGATGCTGGCTGGTGAGGGCCACGCTGGTCTCCTGTCACCCTGGGGGGTTCAGGGTCCCCGCGCCTGAGGGCCCCTTCAGCTCCTATCTGTCTTGTCCCTAGAGCCCATCTCCTTGGCCCTGGCCCTCCCCGTCCTGGCCCCAGCACTCCACCCTTGGCGCTGCAGCTTCTGGAAAGGGAGGAGGGTAGCTAGATGCATTCGCTGAGGGTTGACCATGCACCAGGCTTCGTGCTCAGCACCCACATGCATCGCCTCAGTTCATGCTAACAACCATGGGAGGCGAGGGTCTCCCCAGCACCCTCCACAGCTGAGGAGGCTGAGGCTCAGAGGTGGAGTCATGAGCTTGAGGTCACACAGCTGCAGCGTACAGCCAGGATGACCCCCCAGCTGCAGAACCTGTGCCCTTGACCACTGTGCCTCCCTTCAGTGGAGCCTCTCCCATGCTCCCCGCCAGCTTCTAATCACTGGGGCCGGTTCCTCTTACCTGGCAGGGAGGGCTGAAGCCAGGGCGGGGGGTCGCTCCAGCCAGGAGCTTACCAGCCAAAGCCTGCATAGCATGACCTTCACACAGATAGAGCCTAGCAGCCCCCTCTGGGAGGGAAACAGAGCCAGGGGTCACACAGAGCCCCAGGCACGTGCTCCCTGTGGCCCAAAGCAGCTGGTGGTGGGCGAGACTGGGAAGGACCCTATGACACAGCTGGCTCAGAAGCTGGGGCCACCACAGGCGGGGACACCCGGGCTCTGGGGCCAGTCTGAGACCTGGGATGGTTCTGTGAGGAGGAAAAGGGGAGAAGCAGCTGAAAGAGGTGGTTACTTCATGACACCTCACATCTGTGTGACGGGGATGATAACAGCCCCTGTCTGGGCCTAGGCCCTGGCTTAGAAATGGTGCCTGGTCAACATTCTGGCTCCCCCGCCCTTCCAGACCTTGCGGACTCCACCCACCCCAGGCTCCTCCTCAGCCCAGACCTCCTCCTCCCCAGGAACCACATCTCTCCCACCTCAGTCAGACAGTCCAAACCTGGAAAGCCCACGCCATCCTCTCACCCACCTCTCCCCAGATGGAGGCCCTGAGGTAGCAGTTCTCAGCCCATTGGGTGGACTTGGAAGGTGAGGCCCAGAGAGGTGAAGAGATTTTCCTGGCTGGGTGCGGTGGGTCACACCTGTAATCCCAGCATTTTGGGAGGCCGAGGTGGGCAGATCACCTGAGCTCAGGAGTTCAAGACCAGCATGGTGAAATTCCATCTCTACTAAAAATACAAAAAATTAGCCGGGCGTGGCAGCACGTGCCTGTAATCCCAGCTACCGGGGAGGCTGAGGTACAAAAATAACTTGTACCTGGGAGGTGGAGGTTGCAGTGAGCCGAGATTGCACCACTGCACTCCAGCCTGGGTGACAAGAGCAAGACTCCGTCACAAAAAAAAAAAAGAGAGAGAGATTTTTCCCAAGGGTGTGGTAGGATCAGAATCCAGCATTCCTGGTTGCTTTCAAGGTTGGGACCCCCTGAAGATTGGGAAGTGCCCCCCTGGTCAGACTGGGGGCTCTAGACCATGCCCCTGACACATGGAGGCTCAGGATCTGAGAAATGCTGCCTCGAAAAGATGCAGGACTGGAGCTTCTATGACCCGGATTCAGAGAAGACCCCAGGACTTAGAAGGAGGTTTTCAGCCTATAAGAGGTCAGGCAGACAAAAGTACAGGCCTGGATTCCATCCCACCTCCACCACATACTGTTTAGGGGACACATTACTGAGCCTCAGCACCTTGATCTATAAAATGGGAAGTAATAAGACTGTGATGGGGATGCAGTGAGATGTGCAAAGAAAATGCTGCGCACAGGCTGGCCGCGGTGACTCGCGCCTGTAATCCCAGCACTTTGGGAGGCCGAGGTGGGCAAATCGCTTGAGCCCAAGAGTTCCAAATTAGCCTGGACAACATGGCAAATCGCCGTCTCTATAAAAAAAAAAAAAAGAAAAGAAAAGAAAAGAAATACAAAAATTAGCTGGGCAAGGTGTCAGGCACCTGTAGTCCCAACATCTCGGGAGGCTGAGGTGGGAGGACCACTTGAGCCTGGGAGGACCACTTGAGCCCAGGAGGTCAAGGCTGCAGTGAGCCAAGATCACACCACTGCACTCCAGACTGGGTGACAGAACAAGACTCTCAAGAAAAAAAAGAAAGAAAAAGAAAGAAAGAAAGAAGAAAGAGAAAGAAAGAGAAGAAAGAAAGAAAGAGAGAGAAGAAAGAAAAGAAAGAAAGAGAAGAAACAAAGAGAAGAAAGAAAGAAGAAAGAGAAAGAAGAAAGAGAAAGAAAAAGAAGAAAGAGAAAGAAAAGAAAGAAAAAGAAAGAATGAAAAAGAAAGAAGAAAGAGAGAAAAAGAAAGAAAGAAAAAGAAAGAAAGAAAGAGGGAAGGGGAGGGAGAGAGGGAAGGAAGGAAGGAAGGAAGGAAGGAAATGCTGGGTACAAAACACAGCACATAGTAGGTGATCATTAAATGACCCTATCATTTTGTTGGCATTAAGGAGTCTAATGGAAAAGGCTGACAAGTTTAAGGACAGTAGCAGGATGAAGCAGTCAGGGGAAGTGCCAGGGCCTGAGGGCGGCAAGCCTGTATCTTTGTCACATGCACCAAGCAGTGGGAACAGCAACCAGATCCACCCCCCACCCCCCATATCAGTTACCGCAGAGCAGGCACAAAGTAAATATGCAATGTGGGCCTGGGGGACCGAGGGAGAAAATCTGGGAGTCTGATCCCAGGTCCTCGGACTCGTCGGTGGTTGTATCAGCTGTTGTATGACTTTATGGTCATTTATAGTCACTTAAAACAATAAGACTTTATCTTTGTTCGCATTTCTATTGACCAGCTGGGTGGTTCTTCTGGTCTCAGCTGGGGTCATTCATGCATTTATGTTCAGTTGAGGGTTGGCTCCACAGCTCTGCTCTCCTGACTGGGCTCTCTCACATGTCTGAGGATTGGGTGACAGGATGTCCCCAGCTAAGACAACTGAGCTCTGCGCCAGTGGTCTCTTGCCCACTGCAGGCTGGCCTGAGCTTGTCCACACAGCAACTGGGCAGAATAATGAGAGAGAGAGAGCACAAATGTGTGCAAGACTTTTTTGAGGCCTAAGCTTGCACCTAGCACACGGCTCTTCCCCCACGTTCTACTGCCCAAAGCCAACCCAGGATCCAGGGATAGGGAACTAGACTCTCCACTCTGGGGATGCAAGGAGAGGTGAGAATTACAGCCATTTTTGCAATAATCTCCCACAGTGATGGTTAAGAACATGAGCTGGACTCTAATTCCCACTCGCTAACCGCTTGCTGGGAGAGCTTGGGCAATGTCTTCTCTTCTCTGAGTCTGTTTCCTCATCTACAACACGGTCAAAGCAATTCCAGCTCCCCGAGAGTTTTGTGGCGATTCGGAGCAATCAGGCATTTGAAGTGCCTAGCGTGGTGCCTGGGCCTGGTGAGTACCAGAACATGTGGGTTCCCTCCCTTTTCCCCAGGAAACCGAGCTGTGGATGGCGATCCGATGTTCACACTTTGCAGGAAAGGGCTGGGGGCCCGGTTGGGGGTCTGCTGCACCCCCACTCCCTCCCTACCTTTCATCTTGCCCCCTCTGGAGCCCTCCTGCTGGGGCCTCACAGCACCCGGGGTCTTAAGGATAGTTAAGTAGCAAACTATGTGTTCATAATAAAATTTGCCGGCTTCTCACAGACATCCAATTTGCTTACCATCCAAAGAGAAGGATTGGGTGCCTGCTTCTGAAATTGTTTTAATCTCTGCCACAGAATGCTTCTGGCAGGGTTTTTCAACTGGAAAATAGGAAATGAGTTAGAAACAATGGAGGAACGTGAATAATCTCACTTAAGACGTTTGATCTTGAGATGAGATGAAGTTGAAATCGATTTCCCGGTTCACAGCCAGACAGCGGCGGGTGGGAGGGGAGAGAGCTGGGGGAGATGGGACATCCAGGCCTGTCTGGGCTCCAGCTCTGCTGGGACAAGGACCCCCCCGCTCCTGCAAAACTCTGACAAACTGCACAGTGGGTGAGAGGTTGCCCCAGCCCCATCACCTCAAAGGCAGGCATGACCGAAGCTCTTTGGTTTTTCCAAGTCTATGTTAATGGTTGACAAACCAGCCCACACATCTGTTTAACAGATATTCACTGTGTGCCTGCTACGTGCCATGGCCTGTCCTCAGGGAACTCACAGGAGGTGACTGTGAACAGGATGGAGAGTGAGGAGCTAATGTTTGTGGAGGACTGTCTATGTCCAGGCATGGGTTAAGAAGGCTGCATCCATGATGCTACACAGAACCGGGAGTCAGGGATTCTTGTGCCCTCTTTTCAGATGAGGAAATGGCCTCAGAGCTATGTGTGTCTGACTTTTCGGAGGACAGGATCCAGATGTGACTGCAGAGTTTGTGTGCTTTGCATGGAGGGGTATTCTGTCCAGGCAGGTGGCTTGGGCAGAAGCCAGGCAGGAGGGTACAATAGGGAGAGCTCAGGGAGCCATGAGGAGGCGTGGGTGGACTGGACCTTGGCAGTGCCAGGGTCTCTTCCCTGCTGCCCCCTGCCCAATTCAACTTGGAGAAGTAGCCTGGCCTTAGGTCTAGGAAGGGACATGTTCTCAAGGCCCAGCCAGGCAGAGTGAGCGGCCACTCACACCCTGATCTTCACACAGACACCCTCACACATCACCTGAACACACAGACCTAGACAGACACACACGTTTATAAATACAGACACACAACACATACTGTATGGACAGAGACAGCTAGACGCACGTGTGTGTGTGTGTGTGTGTGCGCGCGCACGCGCGCGCACGTCAGCGCATACACGCATGCTCACACTCTCTAAGAGGTCACAGTCTCTTTGGGGGCAGCGACTATGTCTGTCTTGCTCACCACTCTGTCACCAGCACAGATCCTGGCTCATAACAGGGCCTCTCTAAATAATGATGAAGTTGAACTCAATTCCCACACGGAAACACAGACACATGCACACGTGGTTTGTGTGCATGGCGGCTGATGCTGGCGGAGAGGTGGTTTCGTCTCTGCAGTCCCCAGTGGGGGTTTCAGGGGACTTTCACGGGTGGAGACAGAAGCTGCCAAGGTGGAACCTAGAGGGTGAGCTGGGTCTGGGGGAGATTCACGGCTCTCGGTCTCTTCTCCTGCAGCCTGGCTGGGCTTAGGGACCTAGCCTATCTGAAAGCCTCTGTCTAGCTTTCCTGCCATTAAGCCTCCATGGAGAGACCCCAAACCTCCCCCTATAACAGCCTCCACTAGGGTCTGGCCTCTTGGGGTCCTGGGTTGGGGGTTTAATGCATTATTGATTTCCCCAAGAAGGGAAAGTGCTGCAGCCATGGGTCCAGGTAGCTTATTTTGTGCGTCGATGACATTCAGGTACTAGTGAAAAATTATACCAATTATTAAATCAGCCATTATTACTTCAAAGTGCAATCAGTTGTCACAGCGGAGAGAGCTTGCACGGCGCGTTATTAGTCGGGCTGTGTGCACGGGGAAAGTGCTGAGAGGGGAGACTTTAACCAAAGGGCAAATGCATGAAATTTACTTAGAAATAGCGATTTATCACCCCTGGGTTTCCTACTGCTCAAATCCAGGCAGACACTTCACTGGCAGGAGACAGGCTCCGCGGCCGCCCCTGCCTCCTGCAGCTCCCACCCTGACAGGAAATGAAAAATTGAGAAGTCGTTGTAACAGCTTAAAGATGCATTATCCTTTTTGATGTGCAATTTGAGCTTCATATCCAAAGGCAGATGAAATCACCGCACCCACGCCAGGCAGAGCGGAAAGAGCCACCTTTCCATGTGCTGGGAGGGGGTGGTGGTGGGGGCGCCAGCCGGCCTGGCCCCACCTGGCCCTGGCTGCCTCTCCAAGCCCAGGGGACACCAGGGGGCCAGCACTGGGGTCAAGGAGACAGAGCGATCTCAGGCAGAGTGGGAGGCAGGGAAGGAAGAAAGAGATGTAGCGTGAAGAGAGAAAGACATAAAGAAAAAGAGACATGCAAATGCAAAGAGGGAGAAAGAAACAGAAGAGAGGGTGAAAGGGAACGAAAGAGTGGGAAATAAAGAAAAGTAGAAAGATGAGGCATCGTGAGCCACAGAGACAGAAAGTGGGAGGAGAGGGACAGAAAGGTAGACAGAAAACGCCCACCAGAAACCAAATGTGGGCAATGGCCGCGTGCCTAGGGAAGACGTGTGTGCACGTGTGAGTGTATGGGTGCACACGTGTGTGCATGGGTGTGAGCCAGTGTCAGTGGAGAAGAGTATGCACATGTTCACACGAGTGTGCGTGCATGTGTGAGGGTGTTGTGAGTGTCTGCACACAAGCGCTTAGGTGTGAGTATGTGTATGTGAGGGTGAGGTTGGTCCTTTCCCTGTCGGGAGGCTCATCAGCCTTTGTTATTTTTCTTCCCTTAGATTGGAAGATTGATGAGGGCAGGGGCGGTAGCTGTATGTAGTTCTCCCCACTGCTCCTCCAGGGCTTGACACAGTGTCTTGCACATGGCAGGGACGTAATGACTATTGGATGAGTGTGTGAGTGTGTGCAAGTGTGAATCGGTGAGATCAGAATCACAGCTGCTGTCAGAGGAGGACCACGTCAAGAAGCTTTCAGCCCAGACGTGTGCAGGAGAAAGTAGATGCTATATCTGTCAATCACTGTCTTTGATTTTTCTCATTGCTGTGACCCCACCTCCATCAGCCACACAGCACAGTGAGGCCCCAGAACCACCTTCGCCCCCACCATCTGCCAACTGTCCCTGTTCTTATGGCATCGTGCCTGGCACGGCCCACTCCCTGCAGGACATCCCTGGATCGTGGGCCACTGACAGCTGAGGGTGAATGGAAGCCCTCACTCTAGAAGCCAATGGAAGGTCAGGGACACAGGTGCATGACTCAGAAAGACCAGGGTGACTCTTACCTCCACGGCCCTGTGACCTTGAGCAAGCGATGGCGTCTCCCTGAGCCTCTTTCCTTATTTGGCAGATGGGCCCTAGGGCTGTGAGGGGCTCTGACACCCTGTGTGGGCCCCGCACTGGGAAGAATGAGCCTGTCATGATGTCACAGAGTTTCAGCCAACCTTAGAGGGCCGGTGGCAAGGTGGCCACTGCCCATAGGGACCCCAAAATGAACCCCTGTGTCTCCATATGCCCGGGGCCCACAGTTGAAGATCTGAGACCCATTCACCCGATGGGCTGCCCTGGGGCCTTAAAATCAACCCTGTTGTTTGAGGGTGGTACGGGCAGGGCTCACAGGAGAGCATCAAGGGGACGACACATACAAGTCCCCACTTTGCACACATCCCTAAGAAAGCCGGGTGGGGTACCTCAGAGGTAGAGGGAGAGGTGAGGAGCACTGGGGCCGGGCAGATAGGTCCACCTCCATCACCTGAATGGAAACCTCAGCAGCACACCGGCCCTGCCCATCTTGCCGTCACTCAAGTTAGCTGAGCGCATAAATCATTTGTCACTCTCAAGTTGAGTGACCTTGGCAAAGCACTTCACCTCTCTGATCCTTCACTTTGTCATTAGCAAAAGGGTTCCCACTGCATGGGCCACCGAGGCCTGGCTGAGTGAGGCGTGTGCAGTCAGCCACGGACGGGAAGGAAACCATAGCAGCAATATTTAATATTATTCACAAAAAAAGGAAAGAAAAGAAGGATATATGTAAGGGTGGGTATCTCTAGGTGATAGAATTAAGGATGTTTTTTATTTTCTTCTTGTTCTTCTTTGTATTTGTTAGGTCCTTACTGGCTTTATAACCAGGAGAACATAATACATTTACTTTACAATAAATAAGGAAGTCTTTTATAAAATTCCCAGGAGGGGGCCAGGCGCAGTGGCTCACGCCTATAACCCCAGCAGTTTGGGAGGCCAAGGCGGGCAGATCACCTGAGGTCAGGAGTTCAAGACCAATCTGGCCAACATGGGGAACCCCTGTCTCTACTAAAAATACAAAAAATTAGCCAGATATGGTGGTGCACGCCTATAGCTCCAGGTACTCAGGAGGCTGAGGCAGGAGAATTGCTTGAACCCAGGAGGCGGAGGTTGTGGTGAGCTGAGATCGTGCCACTGCACTCCAGCCTGGGTGACAAGAGCAAAACTCTACCTCAAAATGAAATAAAATAAAATAAAATAAAAAAGTTTCCAGGAGGGGGCAGGTTTTCCCAGGACCCTCCTCGCTGCTGCTGAACCTGAGGATGATGGCACCTCACTCCTCCAGCCTGGGGGCATTTGCGCCCCAGGGCTCAGGGCTGTGCAGGGATACCTTTGGGGCCCCAAAGCCCCCAATCCCATTTCCTCGAGCAGCTGGGGGGCCTGGCATGTGTGCAGAAGAGGTCCATTCCCTTTCAGGCTCACCTTCCTGCTGAGCAGTCTCACAAAACCTCTGAACCTGAGTCTGAGGCTCTTCCTAGGTGCACTGCCACCACCATGGGGCCAAACGTCATGGGTCCTTTCGCTGTCTTCCCAGGAGACTGGAAGTTCATTGTCAAAACACACAGACACACAGACATGCCTCTGCCAGGACCCACGAGCCCTTGCTGTACCTACCCTCCTTGTTCTTCCAATCCCTGTGCCAGGCATTCACAAATTATCAAAGCAAACTCAGCAGTATTATCCCCATTTCCGAGGCAGGGAAGCTGAGGCCCAGAGATGGGATGTGATTTGCTGCAAGAGTGCTGGGGGCGAGGCAGAATTCACCCCAGCCTGCCCGACACCAGGCCTGTGCCCTTTCCGTGACACTGTCTTACTAGTAACAGATGGCAGGGAGAACGCAGAACTAATCAACTGCTCTATTGATTTCAACTTCTCCATTGAGGAGATCGATCTTGCCATTAGAAAGGGGCAGACAGACATCGTTAGTGGAAATTGGAGACCCAGCTCAGGGAGGCAGTTGGCAGTGCAGTGGATGCTGCTCCGTCTGAGCTCTGGTTGCCTTACAGGCCCGGTATGGGTCATGCCTAGTGGGCACCAGACAGGAAAGGGTGGCCAAGGCTCTGGGACCCATAGACCATGCAGCACCTGAGAGGTGCCCTCTGGCTGGCTAGGGATGGAGGTGGGCTCTGAACACCAGTTTCCAGTTCACTACAGTCATGGCAAGCCTTCTAGCCTCAGTCATGTTGTTCATCTGTCTGTCTTTCCATACATCCCTCCTTCATCCATCCATCCTTCCACCTCCCTAGTCATCTAACCTTTCCTGAATTCCTCCTCTGAACCAAGCACTGTGTAAGATGTTAGGGTTCTGAAGGGGAACCTTGGCATGCCCATCTTCTAGTCAGGGGCTGGGGACTGATTGCAATTTATCCTGTTTCACATTTTTCTCAGTGACCCAGATGACCCACCAAGGACTGGCAAATCACTGAAGTGACAAGCTAAACCTCAGGCCACAAAATAATCCAGATGTAAATTCTCCCTAGAAGTTGGTCCTTTTCCTGTTGGGGGGCTCATCAGCCTTTGTTGTTTTTCTTCCCTTAGAATGGAAGATTGATGAGGGCAGGGACCGTGGCTGTATGTAGTTCTCCCCACTGCTCCTCCAGGGCTTGACAGGGTGCCTCGCACAAGGCAGAGGCCCAATGGCTATTGGGTGAATGGATAGATGGATGGATGGATGAATTGTTGGGTGGATGGGTGGGTGGATGGATGGATGGATGAATTGTTGGGTGGATGAATTGGGTGGATGGATGGGTGGATGGATAGATGGATAAATGATTGGATGAATGTATGGATGGATGCATGGATAGATGGGTGGATGGACGGATAATTGTCGGATGGATGGATGAACTGGATGGATGGATGGATGGATGGATGGACGGACGGATGGATAGATGAATTGTTAAATGGATGGGTAACTTGGATGGATGAATTGTATGTATGTATGGGTGGGTGGAAGGATAGATGAGTGGTTGGATGGGGGGGTGAGTAGATGAGTGGATGGGTGAACGGATACATGTATGGGTGGATAACTGAAATTGTTGTGGCTCAGAGAGGCTCCCAGATGCAAATCTGAAAGAGTTTAGGAGCTTATCCCTTCCATACAGTTGTTTCTGCAGCTTGAATATCCCATTTTGATTTGCTTAATTCTGGTGGAAGGGATCTCACTATGCAGCCAGCAGCCTACTCCATGGCTGGATGGCTCTCACCGGAGACTGCCCACCTGGGCCAAGCCAGGACTAGGAAGCTAACTCCCACCATTAAGTTTAACCCTTCATCAAATAAGTTAAATCATGTCATTGAAGGCAACAACCCTTCTCATCCATGTGCAAAGTTCTCATAGCCTTCATCTGTAATCCTGATTACCTTTGCATCTGGGTGGCTCTCAGCTCACTCAGAAATGTCAAGTTATTTCTTAAAGTGAGACTCCCTGAGGAGAGGAAACTCCCTAAGGAAGCAACACTTTGGATAAATTTTCACTAGTTCGGAAATGATGGAGACTATCACCTCCTTTGTTCTAGACTCCATATCTCTATTAATACAGCCTGAGATCAGACATCAAATGATCTAACATATGTGGAGGTGCTTAGTACTGTGCCTGGCAGTGTTATGCAAGATTTTGCTGGGACTTTCCAGAACTGTTCAGACATAGACCAAACAAGATTCAAGGCCAAAACAAGCATGGATTACTATGCTGCAGGAACAACTGTCAATAAAATCAATGAAATCAAATGGGGTGAAAACGTAGGGCTGCCCAGCACAGGTTCTGGTATGCATTAGAAATGAGAGGTCTCTTGCAGGGTGTGTCACACTTTAAGAATTGGGATTCCACTTAAACACCCTGATCCTCGTCCCATGAACCAGCATCACAGACTCAATCTAATGCTACCCTCGTGAAATCATGAATGGAAGATGGTCGATTCAGATGGCCCTTCCATAGACAGAGCACTTACTGCATGCTCAGAATGTCACTCAGTGCTTTGCCAAGTCATCTCTTGCTACATCTCATTATGGTGGTTGGGAAGCAGCGTTTTTTGAGCACCCACTGTGTGCTATGTGCTAAGGATGGGAAGATGACAGTGAGCAGGGCAGCCCTGGTTCCTTTCTTTAGCTCAGCTGCAGTTGGTAGGAAATCTTTGCCAAGCAGTGTGCAGGGGAGTTCACCTCCCACAGAGTTGGGCAGGGGGTCACTAGGGTGGGGTCCAGACTAGGGAGAAGCCAGTGAGGCACCTAACCTAAGGAGGCACTCACTCTCAAGGGTGTGCAAGTGTGCACAAGTGTGCAATTGGCACCAGAGTGTAAGCACCTTGTTACATTTTGCACTGTGAGCACTTCACTTCTCTTACTTTAGTTCCAAGGGAATGCTGCCTAAGGAAGGAGAAACTGGGTCCCCGGAGGGCAGCCCAGTGTGGGGAGTGGAGCCCTGGGAGCCAGGGGTATTTGTCTGGCTGCAGGGGAGAGGCAGAAATGAGAGCCCCAGGTGGAGAGGCAGCTCAGGGAGGCTGTGGGGCAGGGGGTCAGGGCAAACCCTTACACGATAAACAGACGCAAGTCACTCAGTTGCTCAGCAGCAAAAACTATTACTCACAATAATGAAGGACCAATTGTGCCTCCCCAGGAGGGAGGGACATTTCTCAAGGGCTCTCTGACACTCCCTCTACCTCCCAGCCCAGAACAGACAGCCCGAACGTTCCTCACAGCCTGTAAGGAGCTGTGAGGGAGGCCCAGAGCTAGTAAAGTCTGGGAGGCAGGGAAGGGGCACCCTGACTCCCCGAGGTGCAGAGAGGTTGGTCCCACAAGGCCCCTGGGGCCAGGGGAAGGGGCTCCCAATCAGTCCTTGGAAGGCTGCTCTGCAAAATGAGAGCCCGAGCAGGCAATTGCCTCTGGCACATGAAAAACTCCAGATCTATAACTTCCTGGAACATAATTAGCTGCTAACTTCAGAGATGCATTGGGGTTTGTGTAATAGGCACTGGGGCAGCTCAAGAACCGCGGAAACTGGGAGAAAAATGGGGCCATCTGGCTCGAAAATGGAATGAGACAAAAGGCTTGCAATGCAGAGCTTCCTGCAACTGAGACGCTGAGACCTGAGGAAAATCGTAATTATCATGATCGCTCCCTTCTATGGGTGCCAGGCACTCCGCCAAGTGCTTCACATTCGAGCTCTTTGAGTGTTTACATAACTCCATGGTGCAGGCATCATTATCGGAAATGACAAGCGACTGTCCAGAGGTCACGGACACAACCGGGATTTGAACACACAACTGATTTCAGAGTCCAACTCCCATCCACTGTCTCTACCACTCCAGATAGAAACTCCAGGTCCTCAAGTCACTCCCACCTCCCCAGGAGAGGGTGGGCACGAGGAACAAATGTTAGAAAATGACCTCTTCCTCTTTCCTGGAAACCCACCCAGCCCATTCTGATCAAGGGTGGCAACAAGACAGAGACGCTGAAAGCAGAGAAATGATCAGACCTGGTTCCTCCTAGGGCATCCATCCCAAGGGACGTATTAGCTGGGACAAGTTATACCCGCCTCTGTAACAAATAACTGCCAAACCTCAGTAGCTTAACACAATAGAGGTTTATTTCCCACTTGGGAAAAGGGGTAAAGTCCACTGGAGTGGGGAGGGCTGAGCTCTGTTCCACACAGTCATTCAGCGGCCCAGGCACCCTCCATCCGTGGCTCTGCTCTTCCCTGGGGCCTCAGAGTTCTCTGTAGAAGGGGCCACACAGATCAGCCCTAGGAGTACTTCACTTCCAGCAGCATTCAGTCACATGGGTCAGACTCAGCCACATGACTACATCTGCTTGCAAGGGAGACTGGGAATGAAGGAGGAAAAGGAAATAGGCTTACTGAAGTGTCACAGAAGGGAAGCCTGTTTCATCCCTCCACCCCTCCCTCCATCCACCCATTATCCATTCACAATGTAATGAGATCTACTGTCTGCTGGGCACCATGCAGTGTTTTAGATAGAGCTGGGAGCAAAACAGACCGTGACCTTGACCCCATAGAGTTCAGCCTAGAGGAAAAGAGAAACATTTTTATAATGAACAAATTACAATTATTGTTAAATATTGTATTCTTTTAAAGTGTAGTGCATACATTACACTTTAAAAGAATATAATATTTAACAATAATTGTAATTTGGGCGCACAGGGGCCCATAGCAGTGTGTGGCACTGGGGCCTGAGCAAGGCTGAGAAATCCAGGAAGGCTTCCCTGAAGAAGTGTCTTTTATGCAGTCGTAAAAGACATGAAGGGATTCGTTGAGCGGGCTGTATGAAGAGTTTTCCAGGCAGAGGAGACAGTTCAGGCAAAGGCCCTTGAGGAAACTTGTTCCTGCTCATTGTGGAGTCACTACCTATCCAGACCTGCCCAGATGTATGTCTGCAAGAGGCCCCTCCCTGGACCCTCAGGGAGGGCTCTTGGAATGTCTGGGGCTCTCCCTGCAGCCTCCATACCTCACTCCTCCTGGCACTGCCCCCTCTCGACAGGCTTTCCCAGCTGAGTTCCCAAGAGGGCAGGACACTACCCTGGACCAGCTCCATTTCTATCTCCATCCAGACTGCAGGCCTGTGGAGCTTGAATGTAAGCCTATGTCCACCGGAGACACTCTTGGGCTATGGATCTCAGGTCACCAAACCCTTCAACCCTGAAGGTTTAAATGCCCTCTGGAGAGGCTGGGCCCTGCTGACTTGCCTCAGACCAAGCCCTGGCCACAGCACCCCTGGGCAGAGTACCCCTCGCCTCCCAGTACCCCAACATGGTAGGGAAGGAGATTCTTTTTAATTTTTTTGAGACAGAGTTTCGCTCTTGTCGCCCAGGCTGGAGTGCAGTGGCGCAATCTCGGCTCACTGCAACCTCCGCCTCCCTGGTTCAAGTGATTCTCCTGCCTCAGCCTCTCAAGTAGCTGGGATTACAGGTGTCTGCCACCACACCCGGCTAATTTTTGTATTTTTTAGTAGAGACAGGGTTTCACCATGTTGGCCGGGCTGGTCTTGAACTCCTGACCTCAGGTGATCCACCTGCCTCAGCCTCCCAGAGTGCTGGGATTACAGGCATGAGCCACCGCACCCGGGTGGGCCACAGCGCCCAGCCAGGAAAGGAGATTATTGACTAATACTTCCATGGCCTTGGGGGCCCAGCTATCTGGCAAAGCACAGCCCTGCCATCTCCCTAGAATCATCCATGTTGAATAGAACCACCTTGACAATCCACTTACTGGTGGTGACATTCTAAAGGGCAGTTGCTAAGTTGCTTTCCAAGAGGCTGGGCCCTGCTGACCAGAGGGCCCCAGTCTTCTCTGAGCACATGGTAAGTACGGAAATAGCAAGGCTAGAGACAGAGACTAAGTAGAGCTGAACTGCTCTACATCCTAGAGGGCTAAGAAGTTTGTGGTGGGGTGGGATGGAAGGAGACAAGCCCACCAGGCTGGCCACTGGGAGAGGCAGGGGACAGCAAAGAATCCCTGGGCAGAGGAACAAGGGAGGAAGAGCTTCTCTATTGTCTCTAAAAATACTCAGCAAACATTATTCACTGGTCCTTCTACTTGGGAGTCCCCACGGAGATGCTGAATTCTGCAATCAGTCTGGCATGGGGCACAAAGCAGAGAAGTAGCCCATGGGCACAGGCGCTGGAGAACGAAGGGACGGCCACATCTGGGCCACCAGCAGGATGGGAGATCCTTTCAAGGCTGCGGGTTACCTGAGTGGCAGGTTGTGTTTTCCCTGTGCTATTGGCTGGTAGGTGCGGCACAAGCTCAGGGCAAGCAGAGGTCTAGAGAGTTCATGCCCCTAGAAGCAGACATGGACAATGACGTACGGTGAGACATCAACCGGTAAACAGCCAAGTTGTCCTGTCCGGCAGCTGGGTTAACTCCGAGGCATGCCCTGCGTCTCCTGAAGCTCCCCAGCAGATTCTACTCCAGTTGCCCATGATGGCAGCTTGTCTGACAACTCATCTTCTATCCACTCTTTCTCTTCCCTGTCTCCCTTCCCCACTCTCTGCTGGTGTTTCCTGGGATCACTTCTCAGATATACGACTTGCTCTGATATCCTCTCAGGTTCTGCCTGTGAAGCAGCTCAAACCAAGACAACAGGTCCAGTGCTTGGCAGGACCATGACTGGTGCACTGTCTTCTTGGTCATGCTCTGATTGGAGGATTATCCTTGGCCGGTGGTTCTCACCAGGAAAAGTGTGCTCTCCTGGGTCCCCTGCAAACCAACAAGGTGCCCGAAGATGGTGTAAAAACACAGATTTGTCCCACCTGGTTTCACCCCACTTTCCTCTCTGGTCCCAGGCCTCAGGGTCTGGACATTTCTGCCAGGGAACATCTGTTCTGCAGAGCAGCCAGGACTCCCCCTGCCACCCCCCACCAAGGAGTGGTTCTAAGTTAGCTTTCTCATAAACGGTTCTCACATGGAAGAAAAGCAGCTGTCGCTGAAGCCACGTCAATCTGAGCGGTAAAAGGTTTGGGCAAAAACATATTTTATTGTTCTTGCTGTCAGAAACATAAAGATTGAAGGGGCATGTGACTCGGTAATTGCTGTGGACTTTTTTTCCCCCTTGACAATAAACATAAAACTTAAAACTGTATTAAAATCATTTGACAATTTTTATGCTCAAAGAGCCTGGAATGAATAATGGGTTTTTTTTGCATCTAAAATGCACTCTCTCGTCAACCTATAAAACTGTCAGAAATAAATTCATCAAAAGCAGATTATATAATTAAAAGGCGCTATTTGTGTCTCTGCCCGGTTGGGATCAGAATTGTTTGTTTGTCTCCCTCTCCCTGTCTTTTAATTTTTTAATTTTTTCAAAGCTCTAGAGGAGACACCCTAGAGCTAGTCTGCTTTGTCCGGGGGAGATGACAAAATGAGGGTTTCCTTGGGCAAATGCAGATTTCCTGCTGCAGCCAGCCCCCACTATGTCGATGCCAGTAGAGGACAGACCGCCTCCCAGCCAGTGCAACCTCCTGGTGAGCCCAAGAGGGCAACATCCTACGCTGGGGAAGAGTTCCTTTCCCTGACCCAGTAGCAGAGAAGAGAGAGTGAGACAGAGATATTGAGTGTGCACCCATCTCCCTCTCCCATTTTCTTCTCCTTCTGAGCACTCTGGGGAGTCACGCCTCCCAGTCAACTTGCTGTTGGTTGAGGTGAGGAGACTTGTTCTTCCCAATGAGGTGTGAGCATTGGTGGTATGTGTCATTTTGGGGCCAAAGCAGTGAAGTGCTGGTCCTAAATCCTCCAGTACTTTCATACTCTCCAAGGCAACCAGGGAGGTGTGTTCCCAAAGCTGCCACTACAGGAATGTGGAGCCTCCTCCAGCCTGGATCACTGAGTCACTGTGTGGAGGACTTTGTCCTGGAGAGTCACCTAGACCAACAGTAAGCTTTGTGTGTTAAGCCACCAAGACCGGTTTGTAACCTCAGCATAACTGAGCCTATCCTGTCTGTTTGCAAATGTAATCGGTTTTATTGCTATTCAGGGATGGTGAGGCTAACAGATCAGAACGTGATTACCTTGAAAAGATGGTTTGTTATACTCATAGATCCCTAGAGAGAAGCCACGCCAATGCCATGGACGTGTCATACCAGGAAGCACCTGTCAGTTTGGAAGCAGAGTTGAGGGGAGGGCAGGGAAAATGTGTTTAAGAGCCCTTGTGGTGGTTTCCACAGGAAAGAGAGGGTGAGCAGGCTCAGCACTGACTAGCGTGAGTAACATCAGCAGGCTCTGGGGGTAGGCGCTGTCCCCAGGGTCGGGAAGCGGGCCCCGGAGTGATTAGGGCAGGTGGATAGTGCCTCCGGAGTGTCAGAGCCCCACAAAGGAGGTGGGTGGGTAGATGGCTCTGGATTGGCTGGTCTGCATTTGAAAGGGGCTCACTCTGGGGCCGGTTGTTTGCTGTCTCTAAGGATTCTCTAATCTCTCCCCGGGGAAGGGCAGTCCCTCTCCCTCTAGTGGCGGCAAGTCCCCAAGCTATTTTGAAACAAAAGGTGTGGTTAGTGTTTAGTACACCGACTGAGCCAGGGGATCTTGGTGGTGTCCCAGCAGGGAAAGGGCCAAATGCCCACTCTCATGAGTCACGGGATACCGAGTGCGAGGAGAGAAGTGGCAGAGCGCAGGTGGAAGCATGGAGGTGGTGGAGGTAGGAGCTAAATTTGGGGATGGTGAAGAAAGCAGAATGCCGGAACTTCGGGGACCCATGGAAGAGATGGTGAGGTACAGGGACCTGAGGCTGAGGCTGGAGTCCAGGGTCTGGCTTTGGTCTTAGTCTGAGAAGCTGTGGGACTGTGATCCCAGACTTTAACCCAGAGGGAGGAAACCTGTAAGAAGTTGGCAAGAGGCTGGCACACCTAGAGGAGCACAGCATATTGTTTTTTTTTTGTTTTTTTTTTTTTTGACGGAATCTTGCTCTGTCACCAGGCTGGAGTGCAGGGCACGATCTTGGCTCACTGCAACCTCCAACTCCCTGGTTCCAGCAATTCTCCTGCCTTAGCCTCCTGAGTAGAGGGAGTACAGGCAGGCGCCGCCACACCCAGCTAATTTTTGTATTTTTAGTAGAGATGGGGTCTCACCATGTTGGCCAGGATGATCTCGATTTCCTGACCTCTTGATCCACCCGCCTCGTCCTCCCAAAGTGCTGGGACTACAGGCGTGAGCCACCGTGCCCGGCCGCACAGCCTGTTCTTAAACTTGGGTCTGCCCACCAGGAACCGCCCTTATTCCACCAAAGCACAGAAACCTCCCACAATGAGACCAGGTGCCCAGATGGACCTCCTGGCCTCCAGGACTCACTGACCAGGCTCTCTTGGGGGCAGGAAGCCCTGGGGAGAGCCTCCCAGGCCAGCCCCCAGTCAGGCCCCATGCAGCTACCTTAATGTCTTTGAATGCTAACTCAGGGCTCTGGAGTCCCCAAATTTCCCCACCGACTGGGCTTACTTCGGTAAGGAGACTGAGCTGGCCAGGCCTGGGGTCATGGAGGCATGAAAAAGGAAGGGAAACCCATGCAAGATGAGAAGAGACAGAAGCAGAGATGGGGAAGGAGGGAAGTGCTAAGTGATTAACATTCTCTGAGCCTTTACTGTGTGCCGGGGACTTCACTTTCATGGCCCCAGGGAATACAGAATCTTAGCCTCATTTCACAAATGAGAAAATTGGGGTTCAGAGAAGCTCAGCAAGTGGTGGCCGCTTGTCCAACATAACACAGCCACACTAGGCCGTCTGGGTCCAAAGTGTGTGTTTGGAAAGCAAAATATCCATCTGTGGCTCCTCGGGCTAAGTGGAATGTTTGGCTCCAACTGAGCCAGAGAAGTAGGAACACATGGATTTGCTCTCAACTCGGGACAGAGGAGACGGGCCAGGCAGGCGTGGAGGAGACCCTCAATGCAGAGGCTCTCAAGAGGTGCTGCCTTCTTCTTCGAGGACGGGATGTTTCTGTAAGCCTTTCTTATCAGGCTAAAGAAGAATCCTGCTATTTCTATTTTGCCAAGCGAGGTTTTCCTGCAAAATGGATGCTGAGTGTTAACAAGTGCCTTTTTATCAGCCCTGGTTTTTCCCTCTTGGCCTATTAATATGATGAATTATATTAATAGAGTTCCTAAAATAGAACTGTCCTTGCCTTCCAATAATACACCCTACCTGGTCATTGTGGAATATCCATTTAGTATATTGCTAGATTCAATTTGCTAATATTTTATTTAAGATATTTGCATCTATATTCATAAATGAGATTAGCCTGCAGCCTTCTTTTTTTTGTGCTATCTTTTGTCAGGTTTATTTAGTTTTGTAAATGAGTTGGAAAGGCTTCTAGTTCTGAAAATAGTGTGGATGAGATATCCCCCAAATCTTCCTGCCACAAACGCCTAGAAATGCCCAATACAGTATAACAAATACTTGAGCCTACAGAAAAGTAGAGAAAATTTCCAGGACCAAGAAATAAAGTAGGAACTGAAAACCAAAGAGATAAGCACATGACCTGTCACTGCAGCTGTCCAGGGAAAGGAGAGAGAGGATATTTATACCCACATAGGCACAGGAGACAAGGCTTTGAGTGTGAGTTAGATGAAAAGCTAGACTTGACATCCCTGTGGCTTGTGTTCTCAGTGAGGGGTAGACTTGGGAAAAAACCTATCTTTTGATATAGGAAGAGAAGAGAGAAAATACAGAGAATCAGAGAAACAACATTCAAGGAGAAAATAAGAATGATCCAGATTGATTTAAAATAGTCATAATTCACCAATAAACACACAATTCACTCATGGTTAGGGAAATGCAAATCAAAACCACAATGAGATGCTGCTTCACACCCATTATGATGGCTACTATCAAAATACAGAAACTGGCGGGGCGCAGTGGCTCATGCCTGTAATCCCAGCACTTTGGGTGGCCTAGAGGGGTGGATCACTTCAGGCCAGGAGTTCAAGACCAGCCTAATCAACATGGTGAAACCCCTGTCTCTACAAAAAAAAAAAAAAAAAAAAAAAAATACAGAAATTAGCCGGGCATGGTGGCGGGCACCTGTAGTCCCAGCTACTTGGGAGGCTGAGGCAGGAGAATCGCTTGAACCTGGGAGACAGAGGTTGCAGTGAGCTGGGGATCACATGACTTCACTCCAGCCTGGGCGACAGAGTGAGACTCTGTCTCAAAAAAAAAAAAAAATTAATTAATTAACAAACACTGACAAGGATGTGGAGGTTTAGCTGCTATGGAAAACAGTATGCTGTTCTTCAGAAAATTCATAGAACTACCATATGATTCAGTAATCTCACTTTTGAGTACATGTCCAAAAGAACTGAAAACAGGATCTCCAAGAGATATTTGCATACTCTTTTTTTTTTTTTAATTTGAGATAGGGTCTCGCTCTGTCGTCCAGGCTGGAGTCTGGTGGTGCAACCTTGGCTACTGCAACCTCCACCTCCCAGGATTAAGCAATCCTCCTGCCTCAGCATCCCAAGTAGCTGGGATTACAGGCGTGCGCCACCACGCCTGGCTAAATTTTGTATTTTTGATAGATACAGGGTTTTGCCATTTTGCTCAGGCTGGTGTTGAACTCCTGGGCTCAAGTGATCCGCCCGTCTCCGCCTCCCAAAGTGCTGGGATTACAGGCGTGAGCCACCGCGCCTGGTCTGCACACCCATCTTCATAGCAGCATTATTCACAACGGTCAAGAGGTGGAAGCAAACCAAATGTGCATCACCGAATGAATGAATAAACAAAATGCGGCATTTATATAGAATGGAATATTGTTCAGCTTTAAAAAGAAAAGCTTTTCAAAGCCTTAAATAGGAAGGAAATGATGACACATGGAACAACATGGGTGAATCTTGGGACATTACAGTAAGTAAAATAAGCCAGTCACACAAAAAAAAGATAATTACTGTATGATTCCACTTATATGAGGCATCAAAAGTAGTTCAATTCATAAAGACAGAAAATAAATAGTGATTTTCAGGGGTGTCGGGAAAGGGAATCGGGAGTTTTTGTTTAATAGGTACAGAGTTTCAGTTTTGTAAGATGAAAAGAGTTCTGGAAAAGAGTTCTTCAGTGGTAGGGATGATTATACAACAGTGTGAATGTACTTAATGCCCCTGAGCTGTACACTTAGAAATGGTTAAGAGGGTGAATTTTACATTATGTGTATTTTTATCACAATTTAAAATAATAATACGTTTTAAAAATATTCACAACTTAAGAAGCCCAGTGCATCCTGAAAAGAATAACTAAAAATAAATTCATATCTTGATGCTCCATAATGAAATTGTAGGACAACCAAACAAAGCAAAGAACTTTAAAAATAATAAGCGAGAAAAGAAAGATCAATAGAGAATGGAAATTGGACTGACAGCAGACTTCTGGCAACAAGAAAAGCCAGAAGACAATGGAATGATATTTTCAAAGTGATAAGAGAAGAATGACTGTCAACTTAGAATCTCATCTAGCTAAACTATCGCTCAATGATAAGGGAGAAACAAATGTAATTCTCAGACTGCTCCTGAAAGAACTACTACAGGGTTTATTTCAAGTAGAATGAAATTGAACACAGAAGGAAAGAGGGAGATACAAGAGCGATGGAGAAGAAAGAAATGTTAAAATAAGATTTGGGCTGTATAGGTCAATAATAATGATGGATTTTGGAGGTATAAAAATAAGATAGGACTAAAACACCATGTAAGAATACCATGTAAGCCAAAAAAGGGTATTCTGAATTGTACATGTTTATAGTTTTAAAGGAGGAGGGTCGTTATTATTGGTTAACATTAATATTTGTTAAGTCAAGTATTAATGTTACAATTTTTAATGTAAGTTTTTAATACATGCAGTTCTCCAATAAAAGAGGCTTCTCAGAGAAATGACGGATTCTAGTAGTAGGGGTAGAAATATATAAAATGAATCTGAGCATCTTGTAGTGCCAGAAAGTTGAAACAATTTAAGCAACAAAATAAATAAAGGAGTAGTGGATTATAACCCAAAGTTTAAGATATTCATAAGCCCATTCTGATACGAATAAATAATTGAATTAATAAACAAATTGGGATGCTTGGGGTGATAGATACTTTATCTACCCTGGTGTGACTATTTCGCATTGCATGCCTGTATTAAAATGTCTGCTATAACCCATAACTATATAGACCTACTATGTACCCACAAAAATTAAAAATTAAATTAAATTAAATAAACAAATGAGAGAAAAGAGATAAATCTCCCATGCAGAAGAATTCCAAATAATTTGTGTAAATAATCTGCCCTCAAGGAGGTGAAGTGTGACTCCCCATGCCTTAAATGTGGCGTGCATGTAGAAACTTCCTTCCAAAAAGCAGAGTATGAAAAAGGGGGGAAAGGAGTAACTTCACAGGGAGCAAGATGACAAAATTCCTTCATACAGATGATCAACATCAACAGAGTTGTCATGTTGATAGTATTTACCCTGGATATGACGTGATGCAAAAATGACATATTACCTCTGTGGTTTCCCCTTCAAAATCCATAACTTCAGTTTAATCATGAAAAAACCCAACTGAGGGATATTCTACAAAACAATTGACCTTTACCCCTCAAAACTGCCATCAAAAATGAAAAAAAAAATGAGAAACTATCACAGTAAAGAGGCGCCTAAGGAAACATAAATGGTATCCTGAGTGGGATCCTGGAACAGAAAAAAATTACATAAATTTTAAGGACATATGAATAAAAATGTATTTTAGGTAAAAATAACAATGGATCAATATTGGCTCATTAATTGTGACAAGTAAATTATACTAACCTAAGATGAGAAAAATAGAGAAAACAGTGTGGGGTTTCTGAGAACCTCTATTCTGTCATAATTTTTCTGTAAATCTGAAATTATTCTAAAATTAAAGGTTTAGTCAAAAAAATCTTAAAGGTAAGCACTATAAGACTAGAAATGAAACGCAGAGGAATGAAAGGGAGTATAAATTCAACTACTTCAAAAGAAGAAAAGAAATGAAGCACATGAAAACTATGGTAAACAAGAAAGTGCAAAGTAGTGTAATAGACTAAATATAGGCATATCAGCTTACAATAAATATAAATGGACTAAACTTTATGCATTTAAAATCAGATGTTCAGACTGAATTTTAAAAATAAAAATCCAGTTATTTGAGGACAAAAATATAGAAAGTAAAAAAGAAAAGTTATACAAAGAAAATACTAGCCAAATAAAAGTTGAGGGAAAAAACAGACTCTAAGGCAAAATTATCATTAGAGACACATCATAAATGACAATGATAAAAGGAACATCTCACTTATAATATATAGCAGTTGTGTTATATTACTATGTACGCACCTAACGCCAGTCTCACAAAATATATGAAACAAAAATGTACTAGATTATTTTTAAAATTGACAAATCCATTACCATAGTGGAAAATTTTAAATAAAATTAATCAATAATTTATAGATCAAGGAAACAAAAATTTGGCAAGAGTATAGAAGATTTAAATAAGACAATACACTTGATATAATGAACAAACATAGAATCCTGCAACAATTATAGAAAACCCATTCTATATTTCGAGTACATACGAAATGTTTGCAAAAACTGATGGATACAAGGTCAGAAAGCAAATCTCAACAAATTTCCAAGAACTGTTAGCACACAGATCATTTCTTCTGACCATAATACAATAAAATTAGAATTAATAAAAGATAAGCTGTTAAACCCTATGTTACAGCATAGTTGTAAATAATTTATGGGTCAAAGAAAGAATAATTATGGATAATACAAATAGTACATATCAAAATGTATGGGATGCAGCTAAAGTAGTACTCGGAGGGCATTTACATTCGACAAGAAAAGAGATTAAAAAATAATAAGCTATGCACCCAACTCAAGAAATTAGAAAAAGAACAACAGAGTAACCCAACGAAAGAAAAATGAAGAAAACGATAAATATAAGAGCAGAAAATAATTAAACTTAAAACCAAACAATAATAAAATCAGCAAAACCAAAGGTTAGTTAAGAAAAAGAGAAAGCACAAATGAATGATATTAGGAACTGACAAATGAAAGAAATACAGCAAAAAGTAATTTTTAAAATCACAAAAGAACATTTTGAACAACTTTATGCCAATAAAATTGAAAATGGCCAGTTTGCTTGGAAAATGTGATGTATCAAAACTGTCTCAGGAAGAACTAAAAACTCAGAAAAAACCTGTAATCACCAAAAAATTGAATCATTAATGTAAAATCTAACCTATCTACCATGCAAAAGAAACCCCACCAGGCCCGGAGTCAACTTTGACCAAATATTTAATTAACAGATAATCCCAGTTGCACCACTCAGGGTTCTCCAGATAAACTGAACCAATAGAATGTGTGTGTATATATTCTCTCTCTCTCTCTCTGTCTCATACACACACAGAGAGAGGGGGAAGGGAGAGAGAGAGAGAAAGAGAGAGAGGGAGAGAGAGCATGCCAGAGATGGAGACACAGATTGAGAGATTTGTTATAAATAATTGGCTCATGAAATTATGGAGGCTGACAAGTCCCAAGATCTGAAGTCACCAAGCTGGAGGAGACACAGGAGAACTGCTAGTGTAGTTTCAGTCTGAATGCCAGCAACTTAAGACCCAGGAAGAATCAATGTTTCCATCAGAGACCAAAGGCAGGAAAAAATTGATGTCCCATCTCCAGGCAGTTCGGGCAGGGAGTGTGCCCTCTTATTTGTGGGAGAGTCAGCCTTTTTGTTCTATTTGGCCATTCAGCTGGTTGGATGAGGGCCACCCACATTAGGGAGGGCAATCTGCTTCACTCAGTCTAGTAATTCAAATGTTAATCTCATCCAAAACACTCCCACAAACCCACCCAGAATAATGTTTGACCAAATATCTTGGCACCCATGGCCCAGTCAAGTTAACACATAAAACTAATCATTATATAAGTCTTAAATTATCTCAAAGAATAGAAGAAGAGGTCGTGTTTCCCAACTTTTTCTAGGAGTCTGGTAATACCTTCATTCAAAAATCAGACAAAGACAGTAAGATAAAGGAAAATAGAACTTATCTCATAAACATAAAAGCAAAAATCATGGATGAAATATTAATAAACAAACTCCAGTATTATTAAAAAATGTGAAGTTGGATTTATGCAAGGAATACAAAGATAACTGAATGTAAAGAAATTATGGAATTCACTTCATTAACAAATTAGCAAAGAAAAAACATAAAGCTATTTCAATATATCTAGAAAAGCATGTGATAAAGTTCAACATTCATCCATGGCAGGGAATACTCTTAACAAAAAAGGAATAGAGAAGATATAGAGAATCTATGAAAAACTTATAGCAAGCATTCTATTTGATGGCAAAATTGTTAGAAGCATTCTCTTTAAAATCAGAAGTAAGACAAAGATATCCTTTATAACTACTTTATTTAACAGTGTAGTAGAAGTTGTGGACCACACGATAAGACAAGAAAAAGAAATATAAAATATAAAAATTGAAATATAAAAATATAAAAATTGAAAAAAACACAAATTTTATTATGTGCAGATGGTATGCTTGTCTACATAAAAAATCCAACAAAATCATCACACAAACCATTAGACTATACAGAAGAGCTTGAGCAAGTTTGCTTGATATAAGACCAATATACTAAAGTGAACTTAACTATATTTAATTTTATGTTCCAGTAAAAACAGTTCACATTTTTTCTATCATTAATTTTTTAATTGTGGCAAAAACATATAAAATGAACCACCTGAGCCCTTTTTAAATGTACAGTTCACTATCTTAAGTACATTCACATTACTGTGCAATAGATCGCCAGAACTTTTTCATCTTGCAAAACTGAAACTCTATACTCATTAAACATGTTCCCCATTTCCCCCTTCTCCCAACCTCTGGGAACCACCATTCTACTTTCTGTCTTTGCAAATTTGACTTTTGATACTTCATTTAAGTAGAATCATACAGTATTTGTCTTTGCGTGAATGACTTGTTTTACTTAGCGTAATGTCCTCAAGGTTCATTTATGTTGTGGCGTTTGTCCGAATTTTCTTCCTTTTTAAGACTGACTGATATTCCACTGTATGTACACGCCACATTCTGTTTATTCATTCATCTGTCAAACATTTAAGTGGCTTACCCCTCTTGGCAATTTCATGTAGTGCTACTATGAACATAGGTAGGCAAATAACTCTTCAAGATCCTGTTTTCAGTTCTTTTGCATATGAACTCAGAAGTGGGTTTGCTGGATTATATGATAATTCTGTTACTTTTTTGAGTATCCACCATACTGTTTTCCATAGTGGCTACACCATTTTACATTCCCACCAACGGGGCACAAGGGTTCAATGTTCCCCACATCCTTGTCAGTGCTTGCTACTTTCTGTCCTTTTGATAGTAGCTATCCTAATGGGTGTGAAGTGTTGTCTCATTGTGGTTTCAATTTCTCTAATGATTAGCGATATTGAACATCTTTTCATGTATCTACTGGCCACCAAATTTTTAATTTAAAAAACATTATTGAAACAAAACCTATAAGGTACCTAAGAATAAATCTAACAAGAGCTGTGTTTGAATTATATAGGAACCAGGCATGGTGGCACATGTCCCTAGTCCCAGTTATAGGAGGCTGAGGTGGGAGAATCCCTTGAGTCCAGAAGTTCAAGGCTGTGATGAGCTGTAATCACACCACTGCACTCCAGCCTGGATGACAGAGCAAGACCCTATCTCTAAAATACATTTTTAAAAATTATAGGGAAAGTTACAAAGATTGTTGAAAGACTCAAAACACCCTACATAAATAAAAAGATGTATCATTTCATAACTGGAGAAGCTCAACATCATACAATTCTCCCTAAATAAGTTCAATATAATTCCCCTCAAAACCCCAACAGAGATTTTCATGGAATTCATACACTGATTACTATCCAGAATATCTAAGGAACTCATACACACCCATAAAAAAATAGGGAGGCTTTCTGTCTCTTTTATACTCTGGTACAAATTAAATGGTTCAGAAAATATCTTTTTGCTTGGCTCTGAAAGATGCATTGGGCCAAGTGATTTTTTATCCATATTCTAAACTTCTATCTTAGTTATTATTTGTATATTTACATTTTCTGTTTTATAACTTTATATTTTCCTAGGAAATTCTTCATTTTGAGATTTTCAAATTTATTCATGTAATATTCTTTAATAATTTGAAAATAACCTCTTCATCTATGGTCTCAACTGCTTTCTCATTTATGATACTACCTTCTTTTTTATATTCTTCTTGATTCATCTTACCAGAAAACTGTTTTCTTTTATAGATGATTCTACAGAAGTAGCATTTGGGTTTTAAATCACATCTGCTTTTAAAATTTTCCGTATCATTAATTTCAGATATTGCAATGGTTTGAATGTGACCCCCACTTAATCCCCAGTGAGGAGAAGGTGGGACCTTTGAGAGGTGATTAGCTAATGCCATTGTCATGACAGCAGTTTAGTTATCACCGGAGAGGGTTCCTGATAAAAGGATGAGTTTGGTTTCCTTCCCTTCTCTTTCTCTCATGTGCTTTCTTGCCCTTCCACCTTCTGCCATGGGATGACCAGCAAGAATGCCCTCACCAGCCTTAGACTTGCCAGCCTCTAGAACTGTAAGAAATAAATCTCTGTCCTTTATAAATTACCCAGGTCTCAGGTATTCTGTTACAGCAGCACAAGATGGACTGTATTAGTCAAGATTCTCTAGAGGGATAGAACTAATGGAATATATATATATATATGAGTTTATTAAGTATTAACTTACACTATCACAAGGTCCCACAATAGGCTGTCTGCAGGCTGAGGAGCAAGGGGAGCCAGTCGGAGTTCCAAAACTGAAAAACTTGGAGTCCTATGTTTGAGGGCAGGAAGCATCCAGCACGGGAGAAAGACGTAGTTTGGGAGGCTAGGCCAGTCTCTCTTTTCACATTTTTCTGCCTGCTTAGATTCTAGCCACTCTGGCAGCTGATTAGACCCACCCAGATTAAGGGTGGGTCTGCCTTTCCCAGCCCCCTGACTCAAATGTTAATCTCCTTTGACAACACCCTCACAGACACACCCAGGATCAATGGTTTGTATCCTTCAATCCAATCAAGTTGACATTCTGTATTAACCATCACAAGTCCACCCCTTGTCAACTTGAACCCATACACATGGACTAAAGTAGCTATTATCTTCATTAATTTCTTTCTTCTGTTTTCGATTTTGCTCTTTTTTTTTTTAATTTCTTGCATTAGATACTTAGCTCATTTATTTTCATTCTTGCTCACTTAATAATAAAAGCAATTAAAGCTGTGAATTATCCTATGAGTACAGGAATAGCTGCATCCCCTGCGTGTTAATGTGTCATTTTGTCATTGTCTTTTTTCTAAATATTCTGCAACTGCCGTGTGGTTTCCTGTCTCACAAAATAATTGTTTAGCAGAGTGATTTTTCATTTTCACAAAGATGTTTGTCTTACGCTCTTTGTAATTAATTTCTAGTTTCATTGCACTGAGGTCAGGAAAATGTGGCCTGTATAATTTCTTCATTTGGTGGAAGTATTGTGTGTCTTCTTTCTGGCTTAGTTAACAATCAATTTTAAAAATATTTCATGGACATCTGAAAGCAATGTACATTTCTTGTTGAGGCAAAAACCTCAAATATATAGTTACCAAAAATAAGCTTATAGATAATATTAATTGGATCACTCATGTTTTTATATATTGGCTATCTATTGCAGAAGTGAAATACTGTGAGAAGTTTGATGATGCCCCCCACTATTGCTCTGGTTTATACTCTGGTACAAATTAAATAGTTATACTGGTTTAATCATTATAATATCGAACATTTCTCTGCCACACATTTCTACTTAAGGTGGCACTTTTAACTTATACTAAAGTTCTGCACATATATGGCTCTAAATCTTGGCTTTGTTTTCTCATCTACTGGCCTGTCTCTTATCTGGTACCTATTAGACTTGAATGACTATAGGGTTAGTATCTCTCATGGCAATTTTTTTTTGTAATTTCTGGTTACTCTTATTTTTATGTATTTCATGTAGATTTTAGAATCAATTTGTCTAGTTTTTCTTTAAAAAAAAGCATATAGACACTTTCATTGGAATTACATTAAATTTATCAATTAACTTGGGGAGAAATTACCCTTCATGACAGCACGTCTTCCTACCCCAGAACACTGAATGTATTCCCATTTGTTCAAACCTTCTTTAGAAGTTTCAGAAGTGTTCTAAATTTTTTCTTACAAGTTATGCAAATTTTCTGATAAATTTATTTCTGAATTTTTTCTGCTATGATAAATGAGGTATTTTATTCCGCTCTACCTTCTAACTGCTTGCTTTTGTACACAAGAACTGTTCGCATTCACATATCAATTTGCCCACTACTATCTTGTTGAATTCTCCTGCTGTTTATAGTAGTTTTAAATGTGATTCTCTTGTGTTTTCTGTATATATGACCATATTGCCTGCAAATAATGTTGTTTGAGTTCCATTTCTAATTTTTTATCACTTTAATTTCTTTCTTTTGGCAAGTACCTTCAGCTCAATGTTTAACAACAGTGTCATAGCAGATATTCTTGTCTTGCTCCTGATTTCAGTGAGGAAACTTTAGCAGGGATACTTCTGGTGCCTTCTCATTAAACATGATACTGACTTTTGTCCAGAGACAGATGTGCTCCATCTTATTAGGGAAAAATCCACCCATCCCTATTTTATTAAATGTTTATATCAAAAATGAACGTCAGAATTTTGTCAATGGCTTTTTGGTGTCTATGAAGATGTTAATGTAAGTTTTCTCCCTACATCTATTACTATAATAAATTGTATTATATGTTCCCTAATATTACATAATTTGTACATTCACGAAATAAACATCATTTGGTCATAATGTATTTTTCTTTTAATGTGCTGTAGATCTAGTTTACCTCAGCTTTATTTAGGATTATTTGCATTGTTTTTCATAAGTGACTGTGGTTTCTCTTTTTTGTGCAATCTTTCTTGCATTTGGGTGTCAATGTTCCATTTGCTTTATTGAAATAAGTAAAAATATTTCCCCCCTTTTTAAAGCTCTGATAGTTTAAATAATATTGTAATTATCTGCTTATTAGAGGCTTGGTAGAATTTCCCTGTGAGATAATCTGGGCCTGGTATTTTTGGGGAGAGAGCTCTTCAGCTACTTGAACAATTTCCATATGGAAATGAGTAGATTTTTCCTCCTTTTGAAATCAGGTTTGGTCATTCACACTTTGAAAAAAAAATGTCAAATTATTTTATGTTTTTTTAATGTATTTGCATAAAGTCAAGCAAAGCAGTTTCATGATTCTTCACTTTCTTCTCTTTCTGTGGTTATTTTTCTTTTATAATTTCCTATTTTGTGTATTTGGGCTTCCTTGTCCATTTTCTTTATTAGGTTATCTTGCAGTTTATCTATTTTATTGTTTTCCTCATGTCATTAGTTCTATTTTTCTGCTTATTAACTCATAATTTCTTCTATTATCTTTATCAATTTCTTGCTTCTGTCCTGTTTTGTTGTTCTTTGTCTAACTTCTCAGATCAGATGTTTAATTTTCTTGTTTTCATCTTTGTTGTTTATTGATAACATTTAAGGCTTTTCCTCTGAGCATTACTTTATTTCTCATAGGTTCTGATATGTAGTTTTCTATCTTTATCTTCTAGATTTCCTGCAGTTTCTATTTATATTTCCTCTTTGACCCAAGTACAAGTTTATAGATAATTTAAGAAATTTCTAGTGGTAGAGAATTGTTGACTTTTTTTGTTTTTGCTTTTTTCTCATTTCATCTTTCATTTCAAGTTTTAGTGCATTGGGTAAGAGTTTTCCAGTAAGCATTCTCTTCTTCTCTCTAAAATAACAGAACCTTAATTTTGAGCTTGGCACATAGCTTCTCAGAATAAAAATGTTTCCCAGCCTCCCTTGCAGCTAGGGGTGGTCATGTGACTAAGTTCTGACCAATGGGATGTGGATGGTGATATGTGGCAACTCTGGGTGGGGATTTGAAAGGGGAAAGGGATGTGCTCTTCTTTTATTATTACTCCATTTTGCTGCTTATAACAAATATCTTTGCAAACAAATCTAACATCTAAGACTGGCATAGCAACAAGCTAGAAGGAGTCTATGCTCTCAGTATTTTCCCAGAGCCCTGGGAAACTTCATGGAGCAGAGCAAACTTTGAATCACATGCTTTTGACTATTACATGACACAGAAATATTTTTCTATTGTTTTAGCCATTGTTATTTTGGCCCTCTGCACACATAGCCAAATTATTCTATAATGAATACCATTGCCAACAGTTTTTTTTTCCTGTCTGAATACTTACAGGATTTTCTCCCTTAATCCTTGAAATTCAGTTTCACCTGGCCATAGGTCTCTTCATTAACTTCAGCTAATGTTCAAAGAGCAATTTGATTTAATGATTCCTTTGGCTATTTTATTTCTTGGATCTTTCCTCGAGGTTATCTTTTCACTAAGCACATTCATCTTTTATTCTTTTCTTATGAATTATGGGGGGTTTCTTGGTACCCATCTTTTAAAGGACTCCACTCCATTTTTCTGCGTCTTCAATCTGTTATTTCCTGCTTCCATTGCCTTCTGAAATGTAACAGTTGCACTTTTCAGCTGAAAATCATCTTTTTCAATCTCAGAGGATGCCTTTTTCAGGTATACAATAAATACCCCCTCGAATCTTAATGGGCACACAAATTGGAGATTTTTCTAAAGATTTCTGTTGATTCTGGTAGGAAGTTTGTCTCAAGGGAAACATTTGTGTTGATTCCTTTATGAGAACTGCTGAGTCTTTTCACAGGGCCCATGGCTTTCCTCCCTTCTCTTATTCTATATTTGTCCATCCCTGAGGGTTGAGATGGGAGCCCTGTTCCAATCTTCCAGGCCCAGATGATGGGAGTAGGAGAGGAGGAAAACATTGGAGTTCTTGCTCTTTGTGAGTTTCAATGTCTAAGGGAAGTAAGAAGGTGAGATGCTAAGGCGCCCATGCCATGGGAACATCAGCGCTTCACGAGTGAACCTGGCTTCTGAAGCTGGGGCAATGTCAAGTGTCTGGAGTGTGGCCCTGCCTCTGTCTCAGGCATGGCCATGCCAGGACCCTGCTGAGGTTGCACCTCCCTCTACTGAGCCAGCTCCAATGCAAGCCGCAGGCTGGCACCTTGTCTCACTGTATGAGGTGCTTCCAGAAATGGCTCCCACTTCCTGCCCTGCAGCCCACCTCATCTGCCTCCCTGTGCTGCGGCAGGTTATGCAGTTCTGAGGGGATCCCTCATGCCTAGGGAAGCCACCTAGCCTGGCAATTAACATGGTCCAGGAGTTAAACGGCCGTGGCTTCAAGTCCCATCTCTGCCACTTATCAGCTGAGTAACTGTGCGTAGTTACTCAGGGATGGCCTCCTGGGCCTCAGCTTCCTCTTGCGCAAAACCTGGTCAGTGACAGCACCTGGTCACAGTGCTGAGAGGAGGGTTCACTCTGAGACGATGCGTGCCACCTTCTCAGCATGGGACCTGGCACGTGGTAGCTGTGAAATCAGTGGAAGCTCTAATTACTCCCCACTGATGGCCCCTCCCTCTCACACAATGTGTCCCACCAAGGCCCAGCCTTCCCCCAGGCAGCTTCCTCCAGCTTCTAATGCATCAGTATCATCCTCACCTGTGTTCCCAGTGGCAAGGGTCCTCGCTCCTCCTCTACTTTAACAGGAGGAGGGAGGAAGCACTTAAACAAAAACGCTCAATTCACCATTGTTTTCCATAGCCTGGCCCGTCCATGCCTCTTTCAGCTCCCTCAGGCCGTCAAGCTTCCTGAGCCACAGGCTTGGCTTCCCATCTTCCCCAGACACCATGGTCTCCCCAGGTTTGAGACCACTCAGCTTAGGGGAGAGAGAGCCTCCGTCTTGCAGCCCCTGGCCCTACAGAACCCCATCTGCTGGGTTCCCCCGCCCCGGCCCTCCTTCCCCGCTGAGCCAAGCTGGCATCAGCTGGAGAGTACACACTCACTCAAGAGGATTTTGCTTCACAGACCAGGAAGATATTTTGGAGAGAGGCTAAGCAAAGAGATGATTGGCAAAGATTTAATCCACCCCTTCCCTTGGTAGCAGTAATGGGTAAGAGCTTAAAGTTAGGGAGAGATGAGACCCAGGGCACATCACAGAGAAGGAAAACAGCAGCAGCAACAACAAACAACCAGTATTTGCTGGGCGTGCACCATGCGCTAAGCGCATGCAATCCACCCTTTCATCTTTAGAACAGTCCTGTGAAGTAGGAGATTTTATTGTACCCATTTCACAGATGAAGGACCTGACTTATCCAAGATCACACAGACAGTGAGTGGCTTGTCTGGGACTCTCTCCCCTGCATCTGTTGGATTCCCGAGTTTATGCACATAACCACTGCTGTAGACTGACTCCCGTTCCAATTACAAAACTTTGGCCAATAGTGTCATATTTGCCACAGTGATCTGTGGGTCATTGAGAGACCCAGGCCCCCATAGAATGGATGGGTGTCCATCACCCTCTAGCCCATTTCCTCTTCCAGCTCCCTCCCTCCAAAGTCAAAGCTGGAATGACCAGCCGGGACCACCCACATCCACTTCTGGCCCCTTCCTCTCCGGCCATAACCGAGAGGATCGCATTCCCAGAGTGCGTGCACACACTGGGGACTCTTCCGATAACATCTGACTTGGCTTTTAATTATTGGGAAATGATTGTTGGTTTACAGAGCAATATTTATCCAGCAAATTGCTAATTAATGCACTGAAAAATGCCAAGTGGTATCAAATATTTGCTTTTATTTGCACTACCAAAATATTTTTATTTTTGGTGAGGCCCAGAATGGATGAGAAGGTGCTGAAATGTTTAAACAGGGTGTGTAAAGTTTAAGCTGAATATTGAACAGGGAGGAGGGCTAGGCTTTGTGACTTTGTGGCTGGGGCTCTGGGGATGTTCTGTGGACTGGACGATGCTCGGAGTTGGCCCTGAGAGCAGTGTGCAACCCTTGAGATATTAATAAGTTAGGGGACCAGCAAGGCACAGATGAGGACCTCTGAGGGGCACAGAGCATCCTCACTGGGGTCCTCACCACCTTCTCCTCCTCCTCAGCTTCATCCTACCCCTCCGTCCTTCCCTCTCCTGCCACCACCACCACTGCCACCATTCCCTCCCTCACCGTCCATTTACTCATTATATACTGTATTCTATATTCCATATTGGATGTGCACCACAGGCTGGACATTTCCCTGCTGCTGGGGAGACAAGTCCCCTCTGCTCATGGAGCACACACTGGATTTTGACACCTATGAAGCAGTAAATACATGAATAAGAAAATGTCATTCAATTTCAGAAGTTATTAAGAAAATAAATCTGGGAAAACAATAAGCAGTCGTCACTTCAAATGAGTTGGTCAGGGCAGGTCTTTGTTGGAGGGAAAATGTCATTTTAGCGGAATGATACTGATGAGCCAGCCACTAAAGGCAATGGGGACAGAACTTTCCCAGCAGCATGAACAGAAAGTGCAGAGGCCCTGAGTCAGACGGAGTAGAGTGGCTGGGAGCAGGGCAGGAGGTGGTGTTGCCAGGGCGGGGGCATTTCATTCTATTTCGCCATGGGGAGCAATTGCAGCCCTGAGGGGAGAGTATCCCCCAGTAATGGGCTTTGTTTACTTTGGAAAAGCTCCCTCTGGCTGTGGGGTAGAGAACTGGGCAGGGGACCAGGGTGGAAAGAGCATGCCCCTTGCAGCTGTGACTCTTTATGCTGCAGGGACCACATGAGACGTGGAATGATTGGACCAGGGTGAGGACTTGGAGATGCAGCAAGGGAGGCTTGGTAGGGGGTGTGGGGGTTGTAGGTGGGATCTACAGCCTTTCTAATGACTGGGACGCAGAGGTTCTAGGTGCCAGGAAGAGGACTGGAGGTCTCGTCGCCACCTCCACGGCCCCCTAGCAGCCATTTCATCCTTGTCCTAAAACACAGCGGCTACCATGGTTGAGGACGTACATGCGCATATTTGCTTTATGAACTGGTCTCACTCAAAATGGCTAACAATGCCATGAGGGAGGTATATTATGCCTGTGTCTCTCACCTGGCCTTGCCAAGCCACTGAAAAGACGGAATGGTGACCAGCAGATGGCTGTTATTCACTTGCTCAATCAACGAGCATGAGCTCACAGGGCTCCAGGTGCATGAGACAGTGGTACGCAGGCTGGGAGCCTTCTGCCTGCACCTGCGTCTCTGAGGGCCCCACTCCGGCCTGGAGCACCTGCTCTTGTCCACCCTTTATTTAGGAATCACCACACCAGATGTTCTACAGAGTTTCCCCCTCTGTCTGGCCCCTCGGTAATGCAGGTATTATTATCCCATTTTACAGATAGGGAAACCCATTTCCTTACCTTTAATCTTGACTTGTCCAATCCTCTCACTCACCAGCTGAATGATCTTTCTAAAGTGTGTACCCAAAGACACCCTGCCTCGCCCTCAGAACCTGGCTCTGCCACTGTATTAGTCTGTTTTCACACTGCTATAAAGACACTACCTGAGACTGGGTAATTTATAAAGAAAGGAGGGTTTAATTGACTCATAGTTCTGTATGGGAGGGAGGCCTCAGGAAACTTACAATCATGGCAGAAGGGGAAGCAAGGCACGTCTTACATAGCAGCAAGAGAGTGAGAAGGGGACTGCCAAACACTTTTAAACCATTAGATCTCCTGAGAACTCACTCATTATCATGAGAACGGCATGGGGGAAACTGCGCTCACGATCCAATCACCTCTCACCAGGTCCCTCCCTCAACGTGTGGGGATTATAATTCTAGATGAGATTTGGGTGGGGACACAGAGCCAAAACATATCAGCCACCAACTCCCACTCCCACCCCTTTCCCCACCACTCCCTCTTCTTTCAGTGCCCAGAGCTGCCAAGCACTTTCTCCAGAACCCTGCCTGGAAGTTTCTCTCCATCCCTTCTTGCCTCACTCCTCCTTCTCCTGCTGGCTCCCATCCCTCCTGCAGGTCTCACGGCTTCCTTGTGTGGGTGGGGTGTATCTGCCTCACCTCTGCGTGGCACAGCCCTTCTTTGTGAACTCATGGGCACTTGTACTTAACCGGCCATGCTGCACTGGGGTGTAATGTCCACGATCACTGGGAAGAAGATCAAGGCTCAGGTGTGTGGCCCTCCTCCCCACCAGGGGAGCTTTTGGAGGCAGGAGGGCTTCGTCAGAGGACCACACATCTGCATTGTGGCTTCTCTTTCTTCTTCCATTAGTCAAATGTGCCCTTAGACCCTGGGACAGCTCCAGTCCCTGCAAAAACCAGGTCCAAGGGGTGGCGGGGGGTGGGGAGAAGAATGTGAGCATTTTGGAGTTTTGAGCTTTGACCTGGTAGGTGCTGGATGTTGGATGTCCAGTAAGACCTGGATGCTGAAGATCATCAAATGCCCCATAACAAGGGGCCCACCCCAGACACAGGTCAGAGGTAAGAGGCCACAAGTCCTCCTGCTGACGGTCCCTCTCTCCTTCTTCCTTTATCAGGGAAGGCACAGCTTCAGCATCAGAAAAAAACTGGAAAGTCACTGTGATTTTGGAAAGGATAAGATTGTAATAAGGGCCTCTCTCCACTGCCCCAGGCCCCTGGACCAGAGGGCACCCCGTGGCCAAGACATCTCCTGGGAGCCACTGTCCAAAGAGATGCTGCCTCCACTTCTATCACTCCAGACCCCAGGGGCCCCTGAGAGATGGTAAGCACCACGGAGGCAGAGACCCCCTCTGCCCTATTCCCTGCTGATGCCCCACTGCCCAGCACTGTGCTTGGCACAAAAATGAATGAATAAATGAATGAGCCCCAGAGAAACTGAGGGGCTTTGCCCGTGTTGCTGAGCTCAGGGTGGGTGGAGCCGCGTGCTCATAGAGGGTGAAGGACCCCCCAGCTGAAGCTGGCTCAGAGCCAGCAGCTGAATGGTGAGTTGGGAGTAGGGGGACAGGTTTTAGACCCAAGCACAGTGTCCAGGGAGAGGGCAGGCAGGCCCAGTGATGACCAGGGGTCAGGACTGGGTTGCCCAAATGAAATGGGGAACGGAGCTTCCCAACACCTCCTGCAGGCATCACTGCTTCTCCTTCCTGGCACTCTGTGTGTTTGCATCTTTCTCTGACTCTGTCTTCCCTCCCCATCTCTTATGCTCTATATGTGGGGTTCTCTCTCTTTTTTTCTGTCTCTCTGCCTGTCTCTTACTGTGTCTCTTACTTGACCTTGATTTTCCTACTTTCTCTCTCTCTCTCTCTCTCTCTCTCTCTCTCTCTCTCTCTCTCTCCTTAACACAAAGTCCAAGTCTGACTCTTTCAGGGAAAAATTATAAACTGCAGCCCTGACACAGCAGAAAATTGTCCAGAGACACAGAGCCCTTGACAAGCAGAGGAAGGAGCCAGCCTTAGGTATAGGGACCCAGGGATACAGAAAGAGTGTCTTCTACAAAGAGCCAGATTCAAGGTCAAAGAGCAAGCAAGGCAGGCCAGGGAAGAGGAGTGGGCAGAGCTTCAGGCACTGGGATCCTGTGCATGTGGGCCCCCGAGGGTCCTGGAAGAAGTCCCTAGTTCTGGGCAGCAGCAGCCCCCCTCCCTCAGAGCCTGTGACTCGCACCCCACTGCCACCCTCTTCCCTGCCCCTGCCCAGACAGCAGTATTCCAGGAAACTCACCAGCCAAGGCCTCTGGCAGCCTTTCTCCAGAAGCTGGGAGCTGGGCTGACCCCTGGGGACCTCCCCAGCAAACCTGATTGAGGATCTGGAGCCAGCCTGACCTGCCCGGCCCTAATTCACTTACTTCCAGGCTCCAGTTCTGATGGATGGAAAGGCTGGGGTGGGACTGCCCTCAGAGACCCCATCACCGGCTCAGAGCTCTGTATCAGCCCTGGGAGGGGGGTTGTTGGGGGATGGAAGAGTTCCTGAGTCTGAGAAGGCAGGGGCTGTGTTCTCCCCAAAGAGGCATGATCCTGGAAAAACCCTGCCCCATGCCCAGGTCATCAAATGCAGGGGTGCCACGTGCAGATACAGGCAAAGGCTCTCCCTAAATCTGTTCCTCTCGGGTCTTCCTCCATCTCCAATGACCAAGCCAGAGATCCAGGTCATCCGGACACTCCCCTCCCTCACCCCTCCCTCACCGCACACCCTTTTCATCACAAAGTGCTGCTCAGTCCCGTCCGGTTCCCTCTGGCATCTGCCCAAATATTCCTGCTGCCACTCCCATCTCTTCAGTCCTGCCACCCATTTTCCTCTAAGTAAACATATTGAGCTTTCATTTTTAAAAATTTAATTTGGAAATAATTTTAAGTGTACAGAAGAGTTGCGAGAACGACAGAGAGTTCCCATATACCCCTCCCCTATCGCCAGCACCTTACATTACCACCGTATATTTGTAAAACTGAGAAACCAACATTGGTTTGCCGCTAGCAGCTGAACTCCAGATTTTATTTAGATTCCATTCATATTTCCATTCTTGTTCTTGGTCTGTGTTGGATCCAATTCAGGACACCAGTGGCGTCTGCTTAGTCTCCGGGCTGTGACCTTGACAGTTTTGAAGAGCACTGGGCAGGCTTGTCAGCTGGGTTTCTCATGGTTAAACTGGGTTATGGGTTTAACTCATTTATGCCTGAGGTTGCAATTTTTTGAATTTTTGCAATCAGACCTTGGCGATGACCTTGAGCAGTAGGATGTAAATAACTCCCACATGCTTAGCGTTCCAATAATGGAACACTAGGCATAAATGGGTCAAGGGAGGAACCACCGAGTGGAAGTGCTCTTCCCACCACTCCACAGCACGGCTATACGAGAGCCACACCACGTCACTGATGATGGCAGAATTAACTTTGACCAGTTGATTAGGGTGATGTCTGCCAGGGTTCCTTACTAAAAGTTACAATTTTTCCCTTTCCCAGCCTTTGGAAACAGAGCTTTTTAACACGCAAAGAACACATCACTGTCCTACTCAACAGCCCTCAATGACTGCCATCCACTTGGGAAAAATCTGAACTTCTTGGTCTCCAAGACTTCAGCTGGCCTTACCCAGACTCTGTTTGCCCCAGGTCAAAACAAAGGTCTTGCCACAGGGCCTTTGCACAAACCATTCCTTCTCTGCTAAATGTTCTCACCCCAACTGTCCCCTGGATATGAGTCACAAGTCGGGGATGCTTTCTCTGCTGTCCTAATCCAAAAGGAGTCTCCCCCATCATTCTCCCTTGGAGCCTGTTTCTTCCTTTGCACTCACAGTTACAATTACACCTTCATTTCATCATTTATTTGCCAAATGTCTCCCCGTGAGGGTAGAGGCCAAACCTGTTTCATTCACTGCTGCAGCCTCTGTTCCTAGTTTAGTGCCAGACACTCAGGAGGATGTGTGCACACAGAAAATATATGATGTTATTTTGCCACTGTTTAGACAGAGGGGACAACTTCAGAATCAGGGGGGCCCTCTGATTCTCCTGCAGATGCAGTGGGAGCAGCTGGGAGCCACCCAGACTGTAAGCTCATCTTCTCTGCCATGCCCCCAACACCTCTCTCTGTGCCAAACATCAGTAAATATACATCGTATGATTGGATAAAGAGGTGACGGGAGGTGGTCACCACAAAGCCCCTTTGGACCAGACTCTAAGTTCATTGTCATCCAGGCCTTCAGCAGTCCTCCTGGGGCGGGGGGGGGGGGGGGTCCCACTGAGGCCTCTGCCCCTTTAACCTTATCTAAAACCTCCCCAGCTCAGCTCGCTTTGCTCCAAGCCCCAGCCCTCCTCACTGTTCTCGAGCAAGCCACCACACCGCCACCTCAGGACTTTGCACTCACTGTTTCTTCTTCCAGAAATGTTCATTCCTGCAGATGCCTGCATGCTTTTCTCCTTTGTCTTTCCAATTCTGCTCACACTCTCACCAGAGCCCTTCCCCACTAATCTAAACAAAACTGTCCCCTTTATCGCTCATTTTTTCTTTAGTGCACTCATCTGCATGTATCCATTTCTTTTATCCATTTATTGCTTGTCTCTTTCGCCTGAAAGGTCAGCTCCACAAGGGCAGCAATCCGGGTCTGATTTCTTCACCATTGAATCTCTAGCACTTAGAATGGAGCCTGGTGCATAGTAGGTGTTCAATAAATATGTGTTTAATGGATGGATGAACCTGCATGACTGGGGAGGGGAGCCCACCAACAGCCTCAGCTGCCACGATGATTCCTTTTTGCCCACGTCTGGAGAGTGATTTTGCCTGGATGCATGTGGGGTCCTTGCAGCCTCCAAGCCACAGACGTCTCCTCTCTTATGCTGTGTGGGTTCCTCCCACAGGACTGAGCCCCTGCCTTCACCTACTCACTGGTTATGCTGCTTCATATCCTAATTGCCTGCTGCTCAGGGGCTCTGACCCCTGTCCAGCTCCTGCCAATCCCCTCTCTTTGTGGGCGTGGGTCTGTTATATTCCCCAACTCCCAGCTGCTGGCCAAGGACCTTCTGTCAGGGACAAGGGGCCCATAAACCTTGGTGCTCGTGTGTCAGCCACTGCCTGCTGCCTGTGCTGGAGCCATCAGGCACACCTTCCAGACCACATCTCCTTAACCTCTGTTTTCTGTCCCTCTAGCCTCCATACATTGGATCTTTGGCTGTCCCCAAAAGGACTGCCCTGTAGCCTCCTGGAGAGGGCTTCAGCCCCATCTCCACTTCACCTAGCCCTGTGCCCTACTTACCAGCCTGGGGCCACAGCAGACCCCAGAAACCAGAGTGATGGAGGCTTTTGGCTTATGCTTAAAGAGTCCTACACATGGACTGGGGAAAGGACCAATAGCCTTGTGGCAGGCGTGGACCTGTTCTGTGTGTCTGTGCTTACAGCAGAAAGAGGTGTCCCTCCCCACCTGTGCCTTTAACCCAGCTCTCCCACTTTCAGGCTGCAGAGGGACCAGGACATAGCAGCATCCGTGACTGTCCTGCCCAGCACAGGCTTCAGGTTGTCCTTATTACATGAGTGGGTTTCCAGGTGTCTTCCCTACTTCTGGCCCTGTGGATTTCATGCTAACTTTGGCTTCCTGAGAATTGATTCTTGGCACCCCTGGAATTTGGTTTAAACTTTCCCTCGGGTCCCTCCTCCAAACTGTAGCATGGCTCAATAGGCAATAAACTCTCTGAAACTTTGCTGGAGGCTCTGAAAGGGCTTTGGCAAAAGGTATTAAAGTGTAAAGTGACACCAGAGAGGCTAAAATTAAAAGACCAACAATATTAAGTGTTGACGAGGATGTGGAACAACTGAAACTTTCATATACGGCTAGTGGGATGGGAAATGGTACAACCCCATTGAAGAACTGCCTGCCAGTATCTACTAAAGCTACACATGTATCTACCTTGTGACCCATCGACTGCACCCCTAAGGATTCATGTAGGAGAAATGAGTTGCACATCCACAAAAAGACATGTACAAGAATGTTCACTGCAACCTTATTCATAATGGCCAAAATCTGGAAATGATTCCCATACCCATCAACAGTAGAATGGATAAATAAAATGTACTATCTTCACGCAATGCAAGAGCACACGGCCGTGAAAAAGTGAATTACCAGTACACACAGCAATATGGCTGGAGCTCACAGACAGAATGAAGTGTGAAAGAAGCCAGCTACAAAAGAGTGCAGGCTATATGACTGCACTTATAGAAAGTTCAAGAATGGGCAAAACTAACCTACTTCATATGGAATCCTGGAAAGGAGTGCTGGGGCACTGGCCAGAGGGAAACTTCTGGATGTTGCAGATGCTGTGCTTTTTTATGGGTGAGAAGGGTGCTTGTTGGGCTGCACACTTAAGATTGTGCACTTTGCTGAAAGTTTTACCACCATAAACAATAATATTGGCCAGGCGTAGTGGCTCACACCTGTAATCCCAGCACTTTGGGATACCAAGACAGGTGGATCTCTTGAGCTCAGGAGTTCAAGACCAGCCTGGGCAACATGGCAAAACCCCATCTCTACAAAATAATAATAATAATAATAATAATAATAATAATAATAATAATAATAAAATTAGCCTGGCGTAGTGGTGTGCACCTGTAGTTCCAGCTACTCAGGAGGCTGAGGTGAGAGGATTGCTTGAGCCCAGGAGGCGGAGGTCGCAGTGAACTATGATTGTGCCAATGCACTCCAGCCTGGGTGACAGAGCCACACCCTGTCTCAAACAAATAAAGATAAAAAATATTTAAGGTGAGTTGACAAAGTACTTAACCGTGGCGTGATGAAAATCAAAGTGAAGTAAAGCAGGAATTCTTAGAAGTTAAAGAATTCATGAGAACCCTTATCAACAGCTCCTCGTAAGAGATTATACCTGGGAGATTAGATTGACTTAAATGTTTTTCTAACTCTTTAAAAATAGAAGAGTAATAGTGGGTAAACGGATTAGGTGTTAATACGTATTTAAATTTTTATAATATTTAATCATTCAAAAAATAATTTGCAGGTGTTTTACCCTTAATTTTTATTTACTGACCAAATATTATTAAAACAAAAAAAAAATCTCATTGAGTATTTTGTTACCCTCATGGTTCTTGACCCCAGGCAAATATTTTACTTAGTCATCACATGATTGTATAAGTATATTTTATATTCTATATCACTCATTTTATTGTCCCTTTAAAACTAGTATTTCAAGATCTAATAAAAACCCAAATTCATTCTCAGCTAGCTTTTCCAGTATTTGGTTCTTATCTGAACTTTATTTTTTATGCAACTGGAGTTGTTTTGATTTGAAGTCTAAGGTGTTTCTAAATTACAAACTATTTTTTCAAATTGCTAATCAGTTTTCCAACAGCATTTGCTAAATAACTCATCACCCACTTATTTTGTGGTGGTTTATCATATTTTATTTTTACATGTGATTGCATCTATTTCTAGCATTCTATTCAAATCCATTAAAATCTATTTCTCTTTTTTCATCAATATTTTCCCTGTTCCAACTATTGCTCTTAATGATATCTTTTAATATTCAGTAAGGTTATATATCAGTGCTCTCCTTTTCCAGAATATTCTTTGATGCTCTGATCAATGTTACTTCCAGATGAATTTTGGAATCATTTTATCAAGTTCCTTTTGCGGGGTTGTTTGGTATTGCATTAAATCTGCAAATTAACATGGAGGTGGTTTGACGTTTTTACAATACTCGGTCTTCCCATGCAGAAAGGCAGTATGCCTCTCCATTTATTCTGGTCTCCTTTCATTTCACCAATAAAATTTTGTAGTTGTCTTTATATGGGTCACACGCATTTCTGATTAAGTTTATTCCTAAGTATTTTTCCATTGCTTCTGGGAATGGCATCTCTTTTTTCATTACAGTTTCTGGCGGAGTATGGCTAAGAACACAGGAACGCGTTGATTAGGGTAAATAGGTCTTGTCTCTGGCCTCTTTACTAAATGACTATTTGTTTGTACACATTTGAGTTTCTTCCTTTGGATGTTTGGTTCCAGATCACATTGACTGAGAATACTTTTTGTCATGGTGGTATTGGATGGGGTTCCAAGGCTGTTGTCTGATAGGCCTGGGGAAGCCTTACCTCGGCTGGGATGGCATCTGCCCTGTGTCTCAAGCCTTTGTCAAAAGCCTTGGCACCCTCCTGTTCTCCCTTCTCCTCGTCTAGCCCCCTGCCTGGCACTCCCAGCCCCTGGCAGAGGTCTCCCTTCAACTGTAATGGACTCCCAAGATTCTGCTGCTGTATTAATCAAAGCAATCATCACCAATTGCCCAGGATGTGTCTGGCCCTTGGCCAAGCCTTTACATCATATCTTTAATTTTTAAATCCCTGAAGGGTATGTACGATTAACCAGAGAGGCCAAAGGACTGGCTGGGATCACACAGCTCGTAAATGGCAGACCTGGAATTTACATGTGTGTTTCTTCTATCCTGCCACGTTGCTCCCCTCTGCAGTGTCCCAGTCACTGTCCCTACCCACCAAGTGGGTCCCTGGAGTAGCAATGCCTTGCCAGCCTGGACACCTCAGGGTTCAGCATGCCACCCAGGGCATTGTAGTGGCAATACCGGGGTCCCGGCTAGTTCTGTCACCTTAACCTCGTCCCACCTGCTCCAGAATTAGGACCCATACATTTTCACCTAAGCCCCTTGTGTTCTGAGAGTTTGGTGACCACATGGCAACATTCCTTATGAAAGATGTGATCATTACCGGTACCCAAGTCCCAGGTTCCTTTGAGCAAATGCTCTACCTGAATATTTACCATGGCAAAGGGCAGTTTTAGAAGCAGTAGTAGGAACAATAGCAGCTAACGTTTACTTGGTTCTTACCACAGACACTGTGTCTACTGCGTTACCCACAGGTCCTCATTTCTCTTCATCACATCCTGTGAGTTAGACATGGTCTATCATTTTACACATGAGGAAACTGAGGTTCAGGGAGATGAAGTTACTTGTCCAAGGACATTCAACTTGTAAGTAGCAGAGCCAGAATTTGTAACTTGAAAGCTTGCTCAGAGGTCTGGTAGCTATTCAGATGCTTCATGATGAACCCAGGACTTTCTATATTGTTCAGACAAATAGTGTCCTAAAGCAGAGGTCCCCCAAAGCTGCTCCCCAAACTGGTGTGTCTTCAGTACAAGCAGAGGGACTCTATAAAAATGCAGAGGCCCGGCTGGGCATGGTGGCTCATGCCAGTAATCCCAGCATTTTGGGAGGCTGAGGCTCGAGGATCACTTGAGCCCAGGAGTTTGAGGCTGCAGTGAGCTATGACTGCACCACTGCACTCCAGCCTTGGCAACAAAGGAAGACCCCCCCAGCCCCCCGCCAAAATGCAGAGGCCCAGGCCCCAATGTACTGAGGAATCAACATCTCCAATGGGCAGCCCGGAGCCTGTGTTTTTTGTAACTGCCTCACTGGGTCTGGTGATTAGCCAGGCTTGAGAATGATTATTCCAAAAGGAGGCTCCTTTGCCATCTGATGATGTGGACATTGGTCTATTTTGGAATGAATCCTACCGCTAATAAATATTAGTGAAAAAAAAAAAAAAAAAAAAGCAAATAACCCAAGCATTCAAGCATTCATCACTGGGGTATTTTTGTATGTTTGGCAAATGGGAAGGAATTTCTAAATGAAGATGCCAAACACATATTCACTGTTCAGAAAGCAGTAAAGATTTGTACTATTTAAAGAGTCAGCACAAATTGATGAGAACCACATCAAGTTCCAGTAGGTTTGCCAAAGATCCTGCACCGAGGCCAGGTACCTGAACAGGTAACTCCCCAAGAAGGCACAACCTTAGTACACCAGAGCATGAGACCTGCTCAACTTCATACATGATTTTTTCAAAGATAAAAATAATGAGTTGCTTTTGAAACCTACTAAATTATAAAACAAGCATTTTGTTTGTTTATTTATTTTTTATTTATGACAGAGTCTCACTCTGTCACCCAGGCTGGAGTGCAGTGATATGATCTCAGCTCACTGCAACCTCCACTTGCCGGGTTCAAGTGCTTCTCATGCCTCAGCCTCCCAAGTAGCTGGGATTACAGGTGCATGTCACCATGCCTGGCTAATTTTTGTATTTTTAATAGAGACGGGGTTTCACCCTGTTGGCCAGGCTGGTCTCGAACTCCTCACCTCAAGTGACCTGCCCATCTCGGCCTCCCAAACTGCTGGGATTACAGGCATGAGCCACCACGCCCAGCCAAAATAAACATTTTAAACATCACCCAGCAGTTAAGATCATGGTCTTTGGAATTAGCCCCACCTAGGTTTGATACTGACCTTCTCCGCCCCCTGGCCGTATGGCTTCAGGCAGGTGGTGTGACCCCTCTGAGTTCTAGCGTCCTCACCTGAAAGCTGAGCATCACGGTCACGGTGATCTTGCAGGGCTGCTGTATTAACTGAGACAGCAAATGAGATGTGATAGCCTGAGCCATGGCCCACAGTGGGTGCTCAGTAAGTCTGTGCTGTTGCCAGCCACCGTTACTGTGGGTGGTAACTGTTATGCGTCTATACTGCCTGTCTTTTGCTAGAGACCAGTGCCACAGTCCAATGGAGAACTTGCACTCAGAACCCTGGGCTCAAGCCCCACACAGTCTCACGTCAGGCCAGCCCTAGCCGGTGGCCATCCCTCTTCCTGCCCCTCCTCACCTCTGCCCCCGGTGCTACCTCTCCCTGGATCCCATTTCCAGCCCCGGGTGCATCCCTCGGAACAGGGCTCCTAAACCTAAACGGGGATGTTGACTTGATCTAAATGAAATTTAGCATCTTCTTCCATTGGGAATGTGGCATCGGCAACATCCGTGACTGTCACTGGTAGAAAGCACGGGTGTTCCCACATCACCTTACAGTTGCCACGGGTTTCTTAGAACATGCCTTATGCTTGGTACCAACTTGAAATCATGGCAGCTATTTGACTTGACACCAAATCTTGCCATGTAATGTGTTAATAAAGAAGGATCTGTGTGGGCCTATCGCAAATTTTTATACTTTGATAGCTATATTTTAATAAATTGGTTTTCTTTATAATCTTGTGTGTATTACCTTACACATTTAAAAACCAGTGCTCTGGGAAGGGGCCCACAGGCTTCCCCAGGCTGCCAAGGGGCCCCGCGGTACACTAACAGCCCTGCCTTTGAACTTCTGCAGTGGATTCCAGCGTTCTCTCCATTTCGCACATGAGAAAACTGAGCCTCAGAGAGGTCTAGTCACTTGTCCAAGGGTGCCCAACTAAAGAATGATGAAGTGCCAGCCTGCCCCTGGCAGTCCCAAGAGCCAGTGCCTAGCCCCTGCCCCTCCTGCTTCTGGCGGCTGAGAATACAGACATGGCTCTGACATGTCCCCTGCTCCCCAGGAGGGCCCGGAGCAGCTGGCAGACAGATCACTCTATAACCCTAATGCAGAGTCTTAAGCCTGAAGCCTTTCTAAAGGGAAAACCCTTTCAGGCTGTAGGAGGTACCCTGATTTGATTCTCCTTTGGGGAGTGGGGTAACCAAAATGTTCCGGGGGGTAGGGTTGGGATGGACCTGAGGGCTCGGTTGGGGTACACTGACTGGTGACTAACAGCGGACGGAGCTGGGGGTGAGTCCCTGGAGTCCCTAGAAGAGTGTCCTGAGACCCCAGCCAAAGAGAACAAGGCTGTGTCCGTGGTGGAGGGCCAAGAGGCCCGAGAGAGAATGGGAGTGACAAAGCCTAGCCCAGCACTGCGAGCCGCCTCACGCTGCTCTTAGGAACTCCGTACTCTTAGGCATTCGAGGTTTGTCAAATGAATGAACAAGTAGATTTAGCCTGGAGCAAGCAAAGGCTGGATTGGCCAGCGGTGTCCCATGAAAGCAGAAAAGCTGCTTCTCTTGCCCTCATAACGCCTGGCCTCAGACACTCACCTTGGTGGTCGGGAAACCAGAGCTGGAGGGCCCAAGCCCCTCAGGTGGGGGCAGCAAGGGTGAGGAAAGAACTGTGAGCCCCTTAAACCCCAAGAGCTGACTCCTTGACCCTCAACAGAACCTTCTGTGGGAGCCAGTCCTCAGCGTCTGACCTCTAGCCTGCTCACAACCCCCATTAGCCATGCATTCATTCATCCATTCATTCATTCCACAAATATTTAAGAGCCTACTACTTGCCAGAGAGTGTTCTGTCACTGTAGGTATAGCAGGGAACAAAATGGACATGGTCCTCATTCTCATGAGTTTTGGGGGGGTCTAGGCGACAGGATGGGACCACAGATTCAAAGGACAGATAATGGCTGGGCACAGTGGCTCACACCTGTAATCCCAGCATTTTGGGAGGCTGAGGTGGGAGGATCACTTGAAGCCAGAAGTTCGAGACCACCCTATGCAACATAATGAGACCCCTGTATCTACAAAAATAAAGAAAATTTGCTGGGTGTGGTGGCACGCATCTGTAGTTCCAGCTACTCAGGAGGCTGAGGCAAGAGGATTGCTTGAGCCCAGGGGTTCAAGACTGCAATGAGCTATGACTGCACTACTGCACTTCAGCGTGGACAACAGAGTGAAACCCAGTCTCAAAAAAAAAGAATGACAAATAAACTCATGAAGAGAAAGTTGTTTAGAGTTCTCAAAAGCCAATTCACACAGGGTGGTGAGATAGCGTGATCCCCACGCTACCGTTCACTTCTCTATTACAAAGTACACAGCTTTGCAAAGCACTTAAATCCCACCTAAGGCTGTTTCTCTCAAAGTTTGCAGAGATTAATCGCATTAAATCCATCACCTTTCACTAATGCAAACAACCATTCTCTGCCTGGATAATCTTAGGCAAGAAGGAAACCAAAAATGATATCCAGGTCAGACCCAAAAAAGGAAAGACCTCGAATTGCACTGCTCTTAAAAGCACTTAAAAGGAATTGAATTAGAACTGAGACAAAAAAAAAAAAAAAAAATTGGCCCCCAAATCCAACTCCCGCTGACACCAAGTTAGAAAAATAACTGAAGAAAAAGGATGTAGCACGTCAATCAAGATATGATCATTTTATTTTTAAAAAAATGAGAAGCCTTTTGTTTTAAGAGGAGCAGGCTGGTAATTTGGAGGCAACGCAGAGCGAGGAGCTTTCATATTTCCAGACAGAAAAGATTTGGCTGCTGATGGAGAAGTTGAGGGTTGCATAATGAGATCCCGCTCTGCTGAGGTTCCTGTTCCCAAAGAGGAGAGGGGATCGCAGCCGTCTGGCTGATTGATAGAAGTCCAGGTTGGCCATGCCGAGACAGGTACGTACAATCTCTCCTTTGTTGGTAATCAAAGTCGGCTGAATGAGGACTCCATCCTTTCTTTCTTACTCCTATGTACCAATTTGAGGAGCTCAGATGAAATGTGTTGCATTACACCAGCACCAATAAGTCACACTATCTATGTTGTGACACACCGAATATTACTAATTGTCAATCACAAACCACAAGTCTTGTCAAGACGCTCCCTTCTCAACTGGCTGGTTCAAACCTGAAGTGATTTTTAATCAAGTGTTAATAATACAGCATCTGTCAGTGGACGGTGGGTATCAGACAATCAGGAAAAGTGAACGGATGACATGGCAAATTTTAATGTTTTCATTTTCCATTCTTCCCAATTATCGGTGGGATTTCTGTCAGCCTGAAGAGTGCACTGACATTATTACAGGTGAGCTTCTCTGTGACGAAGGAGGAAGGTGGCTGTCAGGGCTCCCAGGGCAAGGGTGCCTCACCCCGCCCTGCCAGAGACGAAATCCCCACCCTCAGGAAGCCCGGGGGAGAGGGAGGCTTTGGGTCTTGCACGGAACCCCCCCAGTGCAAGCCCACCTGTATTAGGAGAGCTAATGCTTGGCCCCAGCCGGGTAGGAGATGGCTAGAGGCTGTGCCAAGGCCAACGGCGGCCCCTCTGTGGCCTTTTCTACTGCCCCATCGGGGAGCCTCTCACTCCCGTGCCCATGCACATCCTGGACTGTGGGACTCCCACTTGAGCAAGAACTGACCAGAGCTCCCATTTGCTTTTCCTTATTCCTTTTTTCCCACGTTGCCCACAACCTGTGCTGGGGCCGTGATTCCAAAGAACACAGAAGGAAGAAAAGAAGGGGCAGGGGAAGAGGGGAGGGCCTGAGAGGCAGCTGAAGCCTCAACGTTGGGGGTGGGGGCAGAGGGGCATGACCTTCTCCTTTTCTCCTAAAGCTGCCCTGCCCAGGACCCCTGGGAGCTCAGTAGCAGAGGTCCGAGGGGTTCCACTCTTTGGGAACTCGCTCGTGGCCTCCCTTTTCTCACTCCAGAGCTCAGAGCCAGAAGGGATGTTGGTGGGAGTCTAATCCATTTCCGACTCACCACACCCAACTCGATTATTGCCTAGCCAACTTCTTGCATGCTCCCAGCCACAGGGCACTCATCACCACTTCGGATGGCTCATTCCACTGCCAGCCAGCTCTGGTTGTTAGGACCTTCTTCGCAACTTCTGCCCCACTCCAAGAGGGCTGTGTGCGGCAGTGCTCTGGTGTCCTGGGTTGGGGAGGTGACCCCTGAGGGTGGGCTGAGCACGCCCACCCAGCAGGCACCCCCACCACCCACCGTTGCTGAGTTTCTCCCCAGCATCTGGCAGTGAGAGCCGCAGGTCCGTCTTGAAGCTTCCTCCTCGCCTTGCCTCCTCCATGCCATGTGCTCCTCGTTCTTCTCGCTTCTCCCTGGCTGCCTCATCTCCATCTCCATTTCTGCCCAGCTCTTCAAACTTGGGCTTCTCAAGGCCTGTACCACAGCTCTCCTGATGGCACAAGCCCATGAATTCTCTCTTTTCAACATCAACAAGTTGAGGACTGAGTCCAGATTTCTCCTCTGCGCCCTATCCAGGACCGTAATTGTCATATCACCCAGACATCTCCACCTGGATGATCCATGAGCACCTGAAATTCAATTTGTTCCCCAAGAGAATTTTTTACCCCCAGTTCCCAAGAGAGCTCCTATTTAGGGCCTGCCAGCTTGGTGCAAAGCATCACCATCGTCCCCCAACTCCCACATCAGAAAACTGTGAGTGTCACCCTGGAGGCCACCCTTTCCCCAGCCCCATGTCCAGACCAACCATCACTCTGCCTGCTGCCACCTTTCTCACCCCTTCTCTCTCCATCCCACAGAGCTCCTGACTCAGCTCAGGCCTCTGGGCTTTTCCCATGAGCCCCAGGAGCCCCTGTCTCCCGACACTTCCTTCTAGTTCATCCTCTACCCTGATGGAGTCATCTTTCCAAACCCAGCTCCATACATTCCCCTGGAGGGCATCCCTAGTGTCTATGGGGCAGCAGTCAAGCTCATGGGTCTCAGTATTCCCATCTAAACAATGGCACCATGAGTAGCCAGCTCTTAGGGTCATGGCTACGCAGCACCTGGAGGGAACGAGATGATCACTTATTGCCTTCCTTCACCATCCAGGCAATATCTCCTCCATTCTGAATAGAATCGATTCAATTCCCTACCGACATTGCAAACAGAGGGTGAGAACTTGTCATCGCTGTGCATCCTGGCCTAGCCTGGGACGGGCTCAAGAACCTGATCCCACATCCACTTCTCAAACAGAGAAGGGGAAACCCTCAGCTTCCACCTGTGGCTTTTCTAAATAATTTGGCCTTGGTACACTTCCCCCAAAATCTTACCGCTCTGGGGAACCTGAGATTGACCTAACCCTCCAGCCTCATTTTATCAAAACAAAAACAAAACCAAAAAGACACCAGCATGTTAGTTATCTACTGCCATGTAACAAAAGACTCCAAAACTGAAAACAACAAACATTTGCTATCTCGCAGTTGCTGAGGATCGGGAATCTGGCAGTGGCTGAGCTGGGTGGTCCTGGTGCAGGGAATCTTGGCTGGGGTTGCAGTCAGCTGAAAGCTTGGCTGGGGCTGCACCTAGGTCCACTCAGGTAGGTGGCCCCAGCTCCTCACCCATGGGACTCCCAGGAAGCTGCCCTAGAGTCCTCATACCATGGCAACTAGCTTCCCCCAGAGCGAGTGGTGAGAGAAAGCAACAGAGATGGAAGCCGCGGTGTTTATAACTTAATCTGGGAAGTGACCGTGTGTCATTTCTGCTGTGTTCTATCGGTCACACAGGCTGGCAACATGCCGGAGAAGGTGCACAGGGGTGTGGATACCAGGAGGTGGAGCTGCCACACCCAGCTTGATCCCCACGTCTGCTTCCAAGTGACGCCTATTTGCAAAACTCAAATAAATACAGCCTCAAAAGGGAGGTATTTGCTCCATTAGGAGACTAAGGCAAAGGGAAGGAAAAGCCCTCAGAACAGGAAGGCCAGAGATCCAGGTACACCGATGAGAATGCCTTTAACTCACCGCCTGGCCCAGAGCAAGTTCCTGCCTCTGCCAGGCCTCAGTGACCCCATCTGCACAGTGGGAATGAATGAGATGATGCCAGAGGCCTCTGAGATGCTGTGGTCCTACGAGTCTCAGCTCTAGGATGATGCTGCCCAAGGCCTTGAAGGTGCTTTCGGTGACAGCAACACTGATAGAGAAAGAATCAGAAGTGCCCAGTCCAGCCTGGTGGCCACCTCCATCGCTATCTTGAATCCCTGGGACAACAGCTTTTACGTCTCATCTCTCCTTGTGACCATCTGATCTGGGGCGAGAGAGGTGAGCAAGGACCCTGGGGGTTGAGGAGTAGAGCAGAGAGTCCTCCCTGTTTGTCTGCCCAGACCCTTCGAAACTGGGCTTGCCAAGTCCTCCCCTGAGGATCTTCCTCTTCTGAACTCTGAACCCTGGCCTGAATATGACAGGGGTCCCCAGAAGGGGGTCTGGAGAAAGTTCTGCCCCCGTGAGCTGCTGCCTACTCATCATTTGGGTGAGATCATGCTGTTGGATGTCTGTCTGCCTTGGCAACCTGTATTAGTCTGTTTCCACACCACTGATAAAGATATACCTGAGATTGGGTAATTCACAAGCAAAAAGAGGCTTAATGAACTCACAGTTCCACGTGGCTGGGGAGGCCTCACAATCATGGCGGAAGGTGAAAGGCATGTCTTAGGTGGTGGCAGACAAGAGAGAATGAGGAAGAAGCAAAAGCAGAAACCCCTTATAAAACCATCAGATCTCATGAGACTTATTCACTACCATGAGAACAGTATGGGGGGATCCGCCCCCATGATTCAATTATCTCCCACTGGGTCTCTCCCACAACCATGGGCATTATGGGAGTACAATTCAAGATAAGATTTGGGTGGGGACACAGACCAAACCATATCACCGCCTAAGCTGCCTGGCTGTGCTTTTGTTGCTACCCTGCCCAGGCCCTCCCCTTGGGCCCAGGAGAAAGAGTGTGTGTGTTTTATCCCAGGAGAGCTCTGGCCACCCCCAGCTGGTTTTCTGTCCACACAGAGGCCCAAGTCTGTGGACACAGTCACACTCAGGCCCACAGATCCACATGGGATCCCATGCTCCAGGCAGGCCTCAGCATGGGCAGAGTGAGCCCAAGCTTGGAGGTCCACCCAAGCAAAGAGCCTTTAAGATGAAGAGGGAAAAAATGAAAGAATTATTAATACAACTAAATAAATCAGCCATTATGGGAAAAATCTGAGTTGCGTGGACTTCCAACACTCATCTTACGGGTTAGCATTGCTTTTGTTTTGCATCCTGTATGCAACACACCCTCCCTCCAACCTGTTTAGTGCTCAGGGCCTGGGTAAGTCCTAATCAGGTCTGGAGTGTCAGGTGAAGAGGGGCAATGTCTCAGCCCACCCTGGGGTTCAGGCCTGCCGCTCCTCTATCCCCAAATCCCACACTGCTCCTGGTTCTTTCTCTAGACCCCCTTCTGGGGACCCCTGTCCTATTCAGGCCAGGGTTCAGAGTTCAGAGAGGAAGATCCCCAGGGGAGTACTTGGCAAGCCCAACTGCCAAGGGTCTGGGCAGATAAACAGGAAAGACTCTCTGCTCTACTCCTCGTGAGCCCATTCTGCAGAAGGAGCTGCCCTGGCTCCATCTGCAGCATGGGCTCAAGCTGTGTTCCTGGGGTTCCTTTCTCCACCATAGTCACCAGATATGAAAGTACAGTTGCCACTCTGAAGAGAGTACAGATGGACGAATTACAGTGAAATGCAGTTTTGCCATTCAACCTTGGAGGAGACCTATCATTACTTACTAAGTTGAACCCAGACACCTCATTCTGCTGTTTAAATGAACCGTAATGGCCTTGGATCTGTTGAGTAAGTTGGGTAAGGGGAATTCATTAAAGCACAGAGCCCTCCCAGGCATAGATGGGGATGAACCAGCAGGACTCTCCTAGCTGGGAGGGGTGCTGGATCAAATGGCCTGGCTGTGTTCTCATAGTCCCTTCTCTAGGTCCATTACCACCATGGTGGGCACTGTCTCTCCTTCAATGCCCTGGTCCTGTGAGGTTTCACCTCTCCCTTAGTCACCGCAACAGAACTGAGCCAGGCTGGTGTCTCTAAAGAGATTTAGAGACACAATGACTAAGAAATAAACACAGGTTGCAGGAAGTCTGGAAAGAACCAAGTTTCTGAAGATTAGTTTTCTGGCACTAAACTAAACCCATCAGCTGCTGCAGGGTCCTTCCTCCCACTCCCTGGACCCTAGAGCCAGCTTCATCAGCTGCATTTCATATTCTTCCAGGACAAGCCCCTGCACAGTGAGGGTCAACCTCTCAGACTCAGTGAGGTCTTTCTCCTCAACTCTAGCCTGAGGGCTTGGATAGCCATCAGCCCCAGAGATGTCCCAGGCCCCCCTAAACAGGCCACCAGCTCCACCCTGCTTGGTGCTAGATGTGAGGACCTGCTCAGACTATTGCAACCCATGTGCAAGGAAGCTGTGTGGTTAGGCCTTTTTGGTTGAGAGTAACAGAAACTCATCCAAGTAAACTTTAGTGGGAAAAATAAATATATTTTTAAGATCTAGGGATACACATAGAATGCAAGGATTTCTAGAAGAAACTGGAATCAGGGACGAGGCTTTCTCTGCCTTGTGTCTCTGTTCTTCCTCCTCCCACCCTGCACAGCAGCCTGTCTGCTTCTCCAGGTCCCATGGGAGAAGATGGATGCCCCACTCATGCCTTTGAGTGTCCATGTCATAGATCCAGGTATCCCCCAACATGATCTGACCTTCCCTTAGTCCAATTCCAAAATTTCAAAGGGAGACTCCAACTTGCTAAGATACAGTCAAATCAGCTATGGCCAGGGACGGGACCAAGTCGCATCAATATGCTCAGGAGCAGGTCCCAGAGAAGAGTGGCCACTGCAATTTGGGCAGAAGGTTCATCCACAGAAGTGCTCTGACCTTAGCCCAGCCAAGACAGAGCCTAGGCCACCCCATAACCAGCCTATGCCTATAGGGAGGAAAAACACTCATAGGAACAGGAAGCCTATTCCCTTGTAAGCTCTGATGATAATGATGTCACCTTGGGACACAAGGCCCCCTTCTCCACCATTCAGTAGGTGGAGGGAGGATGGGGCTTCCGTAAATATCAGAAGCACCATCACAAAGCTCCAAGCTGGAAGCAACCTTACAAAGTTATACAGATAGCGCTAGAAGAGAGGTGAGACTTGTCCAAGTGACAGGATGATCCTTGCCTCCCTGCCTAGTACTCTGCCCAGTAATAGAAGAGCCACCTGCAGCAAGAATGATTCTCTGTGACAACAGTGAATTCAGAATGTTTGTCAGAGGCCACCGAGGATCGTTGGAGGCAAACTAACATTGTGCATCTCTTTTGATGGAAACCTGTAGGGACATATCCAACTCTAGAGTGTTGAGGGAATTGGGGCAAAGGGGATCGACTTGAGCCTTGATTCTAGGATGAGCCCTGCCTAGCCCTTTGAGACATGCAACAGAGAGAGGGAACACACACACAGAGAGGGGCGGCGGGGCGGGGTGGGGGAGAGACAGAGAGATTTCCAAAGCAAGCGCAGATCATCAGAATAGATCCAAAACCCGCAAAAAGATTCCGAGACTCCACAGTGATAGTGGCGTGCTGGGAGCTGTCCTGAGTGCTGACCTGGCTGGCCCCTTCTCTAAGGATCGTCTATCATTGACCCTAGAACATGCTCTGCCAATTGGACTGCTCTCCAGTGAGGTCTTTGTTCAGCAGTGACCCCGGCATATTAACCTACAGGGTGTTGTATGGTGGAGACGATGGGTACAGGTTGCCCCTCCTCACCCATGGTTAGGCCCCAAGCCAACAGGGCCCTCTCACCCGGACTCCCTCCAGGCTTCCCCCTTGGAACCATCCCCAACCTCATCCGAACAATGTCATGAATTTTTCCTCCTTGATGAACTTCAAAGTCTTTTAATGACTCTTCATAAAGGAACAGTGGGGCCAAAAGTTGAGCAAAGGAGATGATTAAAGTACCTTATTAAAAGCAGCCTTGTAGAATTCTCCACATGAAAGCAAGCACCATTATGAGGGCTTATCCTTATAAATGACGCTTCGCTTTTGCGAACATGCTGAAACCTGATTAGAGTGACAAGCACTGACTGATACTGCAAACCTGTTAATAACATGAAAATTAGAAGAGGCTCATGCAAAGAAGGGAGATTAATTTAGCCGGAGTACATCTCGCGCAAATTGCAAAGTTGTGAATATGTTCTCAGATAATGAGCCTTCCCAGTCATCAGCTCACTTGTCATTTTCTGTAATTAATGTTAAGGAAGACGCCTTCCTGATGGTTCGTATTACTCATATACCAAGAAAATTTCTTCAGAGAAATAATTTACATTTATTATCATCGGTCTGTTTGTGTGGTTTATTTCGCGCCGGAGTAATTTATTGCAGGACCGTTTGCCATGCCTTGATTAGTCGCTCGTCAGGACGGGATGTAATTTTTTTTGCTTGATGGCGACGTCTAAAACTTGACAGTAGTGTAACACTCCTTCTTGTCTCCGGATGGGTTTTTTCACTTAAATAAACTTTGGGGCCGAGTGCCCCCAGGCTGTCTCCCCAGCAGGATGAAGCCTCGACACATGGCATGCCTGCCTGCTTCCAGGAGCAGCAAAGGACTCGATGCCATGCCCCTCCAGGAGGTTCTAGGCCACCCGCCTCACCTAGGGCCATGGCTGGAGCTTGAGTCCAAGAGTTTACTTCACCCTCTCTCATTCCACTCCTGTTCAGGATGAAGAAAGGTTTGCTGTCTGCCCTCAACTCCACACTTGCCCTGTTATATTCCTTCTCCCTCAGGCCACCTTCTATTGTAGATTCCTCTGGAATTGCCTTTCCCCCAATATCTGGTTATGTATTTCTTTCAAACAGCAGAGGAAATGCTGCAGACAAGGTTCTGTCTCCAACACAAGGCAAGTCTTTTATTCTACGTTGGGTTTCATTCCCTGGCAGCATAGCACACTGGGGAATGTGGGGCTGTGTCTAATAAACCCACCTGCCCCACCTCCATGTCTTTTTCAGGTCCCACTAAGACCCAGGATGCTAGGAGGAGGGGGTAACATGGAGGAATAACAGACCCTTATAGAACAGAGCTGAGTTCATCTCAACATGACACCCTGAGCCACCTTGTCCCCAGGGTCACCGACCGGCTCTGCACTCTGAGTCCTCAAGGAGTAAGGACACTGGGGCCATAGCTCTCCAGGACAGTTCCTTCACTGCTTTCTCTGTCTGGCTTCCACCGAGATGAAACAAAATGGCCCTCACAGACACTTAGAGTGTACCATTCATTGTGCTAAGCTCTTCGAATGCATTAGCTCATTGGATCTTTAAAGCCATTGGAGGTAGATATTATTGAGAATGTTCTACCCATGAAGAACTGGAGGTTCACGGAAGTCAAGCGGTTTGTTAAACGGCTCAAGGTTAAAGCAAACCACAATCATCACCATCATCATCACCATCATCACCATCATCACCATCACCATCATCACCATCACCATCATCATCGTCATCATTGCAACTAATGTTTACTGTGTGCTTCACTGTCAGGTCATGGGCTAAACACTTCATGGGCACAGTCTTGTAGGAGATAGGTATGATTATGATTCCCATATAAAAGATGAGAAAACTGAGATACAGAGAGTTTAACTCACCTACCTAAGGTCTCATAGCCAGTGAGTAGTGGAGCGGGGTCTGACACACACAACAAAACGTGCATCCATGCCCACGGCACTCCACTGCCTCTCTGGAAATACATTCTTCCAGTCCTTTCAATGGGTTCCCAGCAGAGCCCTTCAGCCTTCTTTTCTCCCCCTCCCTCAATCACCCCATTTCTTACCCCAGGTCTGAACTCGAGAAGCATTCTGCCAATCTCCCCAGCAGGGGTGGCCAGGCCGTGAAATGCACAAACAGATGCAGTTAGCATGAGTTACTGACCCTTGCACTGCAAATGAGGCAGACGATACAGATCAAGGTTCGCAGACAGAGATAATGATTTTTTTTATTAGACGTCTTCATCCCGAACCAGTGGCGTGGCGCTGGGTCGACCAGCAGCGCACCGCTGGTGTCGGTTAATGATAATCTATATTTATAAAACGATAGTCCATCAAAGTGGGATGAATATTTTAGAAGCCACAGACAAATCAAATTGTCTTTGTCAAATGGGCGCGTGCTCCGGCACTGAGCGTGTTTTATGGCTCTTTCTGGGGTGAGAAGCGAAGGGTTCCTCTCGCTGGCTAGAGTGCTGCCTTCCTCACTGAGGCTGGGAGATGAAATCTGTGTCTCCACTATTTTTAAAAACCCAATGAGCTGTGGAGATTGACATTAGCGCCAGAGAACTGTACTTTGTTTGATGAAGTTAAAAAAGAATGTATGAAATGACATAGCAGCATCTTTGTGGGAGAGTCCATTTACACTTAAAGAAATAAATTTGTTCCTTTGGAAGTCTCAGCTGGAAGCGGGGGAAGGAGAGAGGAGACAGGCTGAGGCCATGGATTTCAGAGAGGAGATGGAGCAGTTGGGTAGGGGGAGGGTAAGAGGAAAAGGAAGAGGAGGATGTGGAGAGGTGTCCTGGGCCTGGACTTGACCTCCAGAGGAAACAGAGCTACTGTGCCAGAACCACTTTCCCCAGAGTCAAGAACTCTTGTTCCATTACAAAACCAGCTATACGAGCTTGGGCAAGTCATGTCCCTTTTGTGAGCCTCAGTTTCCCCATCTTTCCAATGAGGAGAGAAATAGCTCCTCCATGGGCCATTGTGAAGACTTGGTGGCCCAACCTGAGTAAAGCCCTTCATGGTCACCCACACATAGTTAGGGCTTCAGGGAATGTTATTTCCTTTCCTCTGTCCCATCTAGCAGGAACCCAGACACCACCCTGCTAAATCTGAGCTCTGGCCACCACCTACCCAGGACAATATTTACGAAAGTAACAGCCACTCTTCACCAAGGGCTTTTCGTGTGCCAGGTGCTGTGCTAGGCACTTTACACTCATTATTTAATCTTTTCGAGACTGTAGCAATGTTGTCCAATAGAAATATAATGTGGGCCACATATATAGCTTTTAAAATGTAAAAATAGGTAAAATTGCTTTTAATAATATATTGTATGTAGCCCAATAAAACAAAAATATCATTTCAATATGGACTCAATATTAAAAGTATTGACCAGGTATTGGCCGGGCGCGATGGCTCACGCCTGTAATCCCAGCACTTTGGGAGGCCAAGGCGCGTGGATCACGAGGCCAGGAGATCGAGACCATCCTGGCTAACACAGTGAAACCCCATCTCTACTAAAAAATACAAAAAATTAGCCAGGCATGGTGGCAGGCACCTGTAGTCCCAGCTACTCGGGAGGCTGAGGCAGGAGAATGGCGTGAACCCGGGAGGCGGATTTTGCAGTGAGCCAAGATCATGCCACTGCACTCCAGCCTGGGTGACAGAGTGAGACTCCATCTCAAAAAAAAAAAAAGGTATTGACCAGGTATTTAACTTTTTTTCATACATGTGTTCCCTTTACACGTACAGAGCCTCTCAGTTCCCACCCACCACGTTTCAAGCGCTCAATAGCCTCATGTGGCCAGTGTCTGCTATATTTGACAGCACAGATATAGAACAGTTCCGTCATTGTAAAAAGTATTGTGGGAGAATGAAGCTCTAGAAGATAGACAGAATTATTATCTCCACTTTCCGAGGTGGAAAGAAACTCAGTGAGGCCCTAGGTCACACAGCTGGTAAGTGGCAGATCCAGGAAGCTGGGTGTGACTGTCACCACAGCTCATGTCCTTCTTAGCTACACAGTCTCCTGAAAACCCTGGTTTCTCTCTGTGTCCCCCAGGGCCCAGGGGCTGGCCAAATGACCTCTGACCTCAACTCATTAGGACAACCTAACCCCTGAGAAGTCTAGAGACATAGCAGAAAGTCTATGTCTCTCAACAATCTATTGCTGCATCACAAAAACCCCAAAACTTAGTGGCTTAAAACAATCCTATTTCTTATGATTCTGTAGGTCATGGGGATGGGTCATCCCTGTTCCACGTGGTATTGACTAGGGTGGCTTGACAGGGGCCTAAGGGGCCCAGGCTGGCCTCTCTCACACAGACGCAGCTGGCACGGTTCAAATATCTGTATGCTGCCTGGGACAACTGGGTCCCTTTACCTATGATGTTGGCTGGAGCCTCAGTTTTCACTCTCCTGGCCTCTATCTCCACGTGGCCGCTCCTCCTGCAGGGTGACTTGGACTGATTTACACGTCAATTTGTTTTTCTCTGAGCTGATGCGGAAGCTACAAGGTCCCTTCAGGTCTGAGCTCAGTAATCTCAAGACATCCCTCCTGCCACATTCCATTGGTCAAATCAAGTCAGGCAGCCCAGATTCAAGGATACGGGGAAAAAGACCCCACCTGTTGAAGGGAGGAAGGCATGTGCATGCAGAGATGGGAGGAATTGTTGGCAGCCATCTTTGCAGAGAAACTCTCACAGAATGAGTCTCTGGGCCATGGAGACAGGGGCTGGAGTTTGGGGGCTTCTTGGCCCAGCCTCACTCTTGCTGATCCTCAGAGCACCTTGCCCTGTGTCAAACAATTTGCTGACATGGGCGGAGAAGCTTTCCTGGATGAAGTGTCACAGCAGGCTGAGAAAGGGCAGGGACACGGGAGGGAGGCTGTTTGCTAGGCTCCTCCCTCAGGGAGTCCAGAGACAGCATGAGTCTGAGTGCCACCTCAGACAATGACAGGAATGCAGAGCATTCTGGAACCTTCAGGACTCCACAAAGACCAACCAATAAACCTTTCAAGGTCAAAACAGTCTAGGAGCTAAAGCTACTAAGAAAGAGACAGCTGGAGGTAAGATGGCCCGTACTGGGAGAGAGACCCCAGAGGAGAGAGCAGGTGGAAGGGGTTTCAAAGTGGAAACCCACTTTGAAGAGAGTACTGGGGTCCAGGAGAAGAAAGTCAAGGATGCCTGGAAACGAGGCATTGGACCAAGACATGGAACCCAGGACACAGACGTGGAACCCTGGAACAGGTGGGTGGTCAGTAAAGAAAACAATGAATGGCCGGGCGGGTGGCTCACACCTGTAATCCCTGCACTTTGGGAGGCTGAGGCAGGTGGATCATTTGAGGTCAGGAGTCTGGCCAACGTGGCGAAACCCCATCTCTACTAAAAATACACAAATTAGCCAGGTGTGTTGGCATGCACCTGTAATCCCAGCTACTCGGGAGGGTGAGGCAGGAGAATCACTTGAATCTGGGAGGCAGAGATTGCAGTGAGCCAAGATCACGCCACTGCACTCCAGCCTAGGCGACAGAGCAAGACTCTGTCAATAAATAAATAAATAAATAAATAAATAAATAAATAAATAAATATCAAGATCCTTGGAAATGTATAAAGTCCTTTCATTAGAAAATTGGAAGGCAGAGGGGGCAGCCTACGCATCCCAAATATTCCCTGTCAAGTTGTGATATCAGGAAGCAGGAGTTACTGACTTGTTCTGTTTTTTAATTTTTTTTATACTTTAACTCTAGTTCATTATTTAAAACTTAAAATTTCTATTTTTATCAGAGAAAATTTTACTGTTCAAAATTATACAAAAATAGAGAATGCAATTTAATCAGCCCCATCTACCCATCACCCAGCCTCAACAATTCCCAATTCACAAGCAATCTTATTTCTAACTATAACTTCCGCTCCTGATTCCTAGATAATTTTGAATCAAATATCAGACTTCCCATCAACTCATTTGTTATTTCAGGTGTATCTCTACAAAATTCTTTAAAAGTCTCAAAATGCCATTATCACACCTAAAAAATTAATAATAATTCTTTCTTGTCATAAAATCCAGTTAAAGTTTATATTCACCAAATTGTCCTGTAATTTTTTCTTACAGTTTTTTTAAATTAAAATCCAAATAGTCCAGCCACAGTGGCTCATGCCTGTAATCCTGACACTTTGGGAGGCCAAGGCGGATGGATTGTCTGAGCTCAGAAATTCAAGACTAGCCTGGGCAACATGGTAAAACCCCATCTCTATAAAAAAGACAAAATTTATTTTGTATTTTGTATAATTTTGTATTATTTTGTATAATTTGTACAAAAATTATTTTGGTGTGGTGGCGTGCATCTGTAGTCCCAGCTACTTGGGAGGCTGAAATGGGAGGATTGCTTGAGCCTAGGAGGTCGAGGCTGCAGTGAGCTGTGATTGTACCACTGCACTCCATCCTGGATAGCAAAGCCAGACCCTGTCTCAAAAACAAAAACAAAAAAGTAAAATCCAAATAAAGTCCATCTGCAAAGTTGCAATTGACGTATGCAATTAAAAGTATGATCTCTTTTATATATTCTGTTCCACTCTTCTGTTTTCTTTGAATGTTTTATTGAAGAAACCAGATCATTTGTCCTGTAGAATATCTACTAGTCTGGACTCTGCCAATTGCATCCCCACGATATTTTTTAGGATGTTTCTCCATCCACTATATTTCCTATAAGTTGGTAGTTGATCTAGGGTCTTGGTCAGATTTTATGTTATTATTTTTTCAGCACTACTCCATAAGTGCTGTTGCACACTTTCATCAAGAGATAATGTCTGGTTATCTTTTCTTGTCTTTTATTTTTTTGAGACAGGATCTCACTCTGTCACCCAGGATGCAGTGCGGTGGCATGATCATGGCTCACCACAGCCTTGACCTCCCAGGCTCAGGTGATCCTCCCACCTCAGCCTCCTGAGTAGGTGGGGCTACAGGCACACACCACCATGCCCAGCTAGTCTCAAACTATGTGCCCAGGCTGGTCTCAAACTCCTGGCATCAAGCGATCCTCCTGTCTTGGCCTTCCAAAGTGCTAGGATTACAAGCATGAACCACCATGCCCAGTCGCCTTTATTTTCTTTCAGGGATGTTTGAAGCTCATTGCCTAGATTCTTTATTTCATTAGAGATTGCAAAATAGTTATATTCTAATTTGTATCTCCCTCCTCATTTATTAGCTGGATAACATCTATAAAGAGAAATTTCCCATCATCAATTAATTGGTAACCTGAAGTAAAGTTCATATGTTAATGGCAGCATGAGCACCTTATTTTTTCTCTGTATTTACCTGTTTTCAAAATAATCCAATGGCTCTCGAACGTCCTCCAAAGATGACCTATGAGGATTGGTTTGGTTTGGTTTAGTTTAGTATCATTGTAAACTCATGGATTTAAACATATTTGATGTGCTTTAATCCATTGCAGCTATTATCCTTGTGTTCCAATCATTAGCCATGGACCCTTTTTCAAGTTTGCTTCCGGGTCTTTGTATCTACAATCTTGGAAGTCTTTGATATATCTTTGCTTTCTAGAAAGACAAGACATTCCAGGCTTACCTTGTACATTTCCTACCTTAGATCTCAAATCAGTCATTTCTCCAAGGAATCCTGGTTTCTAGGGGAAAAAATGTATTTAGAAACCATAATCCGAGTACTGGGAGTGCTCAGTGCTACTGGATTTTTCACTGTTTTTACTGCTTTTCAGTAGGCAGAGATAGGCAATGTGTCTTCTCTTTAAACATTTTTAGGTAAAATACATTATGAATTTATACTACTTCCAACTCAAATTCAGAGTTTTTATTTAACTTTATAGAACTTATATCTGCATATCCTTTTTTACATGCAAAAAAAGATCCTAGTCCTCAATGAGACTAACACAATTACTCACTTATTTTATTTCACTCTGTGCACACCACAGTCTTAGAATGACAGGACCAACACTTCACCAACAATGTGATTATGGAAATTAGCTTAGGGTTGTTTTTACAGTTCCTTTTACCTTTCATGTATACCCCACTGGTAATGTAAAGCCAGATTCCTATATTTTAAAGTCACTTGGGATAGTTGCTCTTTTTGTGATTATGTCACCAATGGTCACACATTTAGGTTGAGCCTGGGAGGAGGAGGTTGCAGTAAGCCATGATCACACCACTGCACTCCAGCCTGGGCAACAGAGCAAGACTCTGTCTCAAAAAAGAAAAAAGAGGCCCCAAACATCTCAGATACCATCAATCTAAGGACAGATGTGGCCCTGTTAATACAAATTCCCAGTTAGAATGTCACTGAGCACCCACCTGTCATTGTAGGATCCCAGCCAACACCATAAATACACACCAGAGTGCTAACAAAGAACACATGTGTAGTGTGTATCAGGCACTCTATTAGCACTTTACAAACATTAACTAATTTAATTCTCACAGTAGCCCCCAGAGGTAGGTATCCTTAACACCTCATCTTGCAGAAGAGGAAGTGAGGTGCAGAATGGTGAAAAAATTTGTCTAAGGCTGCAAAGCCAGGAAGTGGCAGAGCCAGGAGCAGAACCTGGGCAGGCTGGTTCCAACATCCACAGACCTGACCACTAGGCTTGCCTGCCTCAAAGGTGAGCACGCAGGGGTGCCCCCACTGTGTGGGAGGCATTTCTCCTGGAATTTCAGCCTCCTCGCCTCCCTGTGCACAGGAGGAATCTGTATCACGCCTCCTCCACTGCCTGCCTGGCCACTGCCTCCAGGATGAAGCACTGCTCCAGGGCACAGCATCCTGTGCTATGGCAGGTTCCAGAAGGTGGCACTGCCCTGGGATCTACAGTGAGGACAGAGAGGATGGCCTGCCCCCTCCCACATGGTGGCAACCACATCCCTGATGCTTCAAAAGCTTCACAGATGATGTTATTGCACAGTCCTGGGAGTTGAGAGAGGCAGGAGAATGCAACACACCAGGACTTGGAAGGGTAAGAGGACCCAAGAGAGACCATGTGTGTCATTACAGGACTTGGTTGGCCTCTAGGGGTGGAGAAAGCCAGAGAAGAAGAATAGCTAATATTGGAGATAGCTTGGGGTATTATACTCACCAGCTCACATAGCCCTCCACATACTCTGGGGCTGACACTCTTGTGATCCCCATTTCACAGAGGTTAGAACAGAGCACTGGTAGTGGAATCATTTGCTGAGGCCACATAGCTAGTGAGAATCAGACTGGAACATGAGCCCTGAAGTGTCTGGCCTGCAAGTTTATGCCTTACCCCTGCCTGGAAGAAGGGTAGAGGCTTTCCCTTGTACCACACCATTGGCTGGATGTGGTTCCTTGCCTCCAATGCTGTCACTGAGTCCTCCCTCACTGAACATGTATGTATGCCATTCTCCCATCAAGAGGTGGGGGTCGATTCTTCCACCCCCTTGGAATCTCGGTTGGTCTGAAACAGCTTTGGCCAATAGAATAAGGCAGATGTGTCCGGGCGCGGTGGCTCACGCCTGTAATCCCAGCACTTTGGGAGGTTGAGGTGGGTGGATCACGAGGTCAGGAAATCAAGACCATCCTGGCTAACACGGTGAAATCCCGTCTCTACTAAAAATACAAAAAATTAGCCAGGCGTGGTGGCGGGCACCTGTAGTCCCAGCTACTCAGGAGGCTGAGGCAGGAGAATGGCATGAACACAGGAGGCGGAGCTTGCAGTGAGGCGAGATCGCACCACTGCACTCCAGCCTGGGCGACAGAGCGAGACTCTGTCTCAAAATAAAATAAAATAATAAAATAAAATAAAATAAATAAAAAAGAATATGGCAGATGTGATGCCTGGCCAGTCCCAGACCTAGGCTTTAAGAAGACCAGCAATTCCTAACGAAATCCTTGCTCCAGGGGAGTCAGAATCATTCAGGTAATCTAACTCTATACCCTGAGTTCGCCATGTTCTGAGGAAGCCCAAGCTAGCCCCCTGGAGAGGCTGCAAACAGAGACACAGAGATGTCTGCCCAGCCTATTCAGGCACCAGACATGTGAGTGAAGCAACCACCTCAGACACTCCAGCCCTTGTTGATGCCACACAGAGAAGACCCACAACCCCAGACAGGTGGTCCTAGTCAGGCCATTCCAGCCATCTCCAGCTGAGGTCCCAGATACAATGGACCAGAGAGGGACTACGTCCACTGGGCCCTGCCTGAGCTCCTGACCCACAGAATCATGAACATAATACAATGGTGTTGTTTTGTGCCGTTTTGGTTTAGGGTAACTGGTTACATAGCCATAGATAACCAGAACAGTGAGGCAGCCGCATCACCAGCCATGCAGCCGGGTGCCGGCTGCCCTAGGAGGCAGTCCCCAAAGGGCTATAGCCCCAGGCCCTCATGGCAGTGGGAAGCTGAAGCCCCAGTGGGTGTTGAGGGAGGAACTATGCCCAGCATGTGATTTAATGGCCTCTGGGGCAGGACAGCTGCCTTGGACAGTTTCCTGGGGTGGTTGCCAGGAGGACCTGATCCAGCATGAGGAACGTGTTCAAAGTTTACATCTCCCTTTTCAGGCTTTCCCGGGGACCAGAACAGAGAAGGCCTCTGGCTAAGGGGCACCCAGTGCTACCCACCTGGTTTTGGTACGGATGATGCCTGAACCACTTCCCCAGCACCATTGCAACACTCAGTGCCTCTCAGACAAATGCTCAACCCTTTAGGCCCCGAGGCAGCCCCCTCCTCCTGCACAACCACCCTTTTTCCAGGGCCCAGTGGAGGCCTCACACCCTGGTCCAGGAATGTGGGACCCCTCCTCCTGCCATGTCAGAATCCTCTGAGAGAGACAGAGGCAGACAGAGAGAGACCCCGACCAAGACAAAGGTGTAGAGACAGAGAGAGAGACAGAGAAGCAGACAGAGATAAAGAAACAAAGACACAAAGAAAGAGACACAGAGAAAAAGAGATACACAGAGAGAGACAGAAACAGAGGGAGAGAAAAGAAGAAAGTCAGAGAGAGAGGCAGAGGAGACAGAGATACAGAGAAAGAAGGGGGGAACCAGAGCAAATGAAGGAGAGACAAAAGACAGCGAGACAGACAGGCAGAAACAAAAAGGGAAGAAGTGATGAGATAAAGCCAGGGAGATGACAATGACAAAGGCGGGTGAGGCCAAAGTGGGGCTGCTTCATTTTCACCAGACACCTGATTTACCTTCTCCCAGGCTCTGCACCCACATCCTCCTCCGACGCCCCATCTCAGCTCCCCACGGCGAGTCCCAGCTGTCCCTCTGTTTGATCCCAGACTACTCCAGAGTGGACCTGACAAGCTCCCAAACCTGACGGATGTTCCCACTGCCCAGTGCTCATGTCTAAGCCCCTTAAGCCCCAGAGGTGTGGCCTGTCTCCCTAAGAGAAGTTGCCACCCCCAGGAGATCCTAGAAGGCTGTGCCCCACCTTGGGCCATCTCTGCTCTCCAAGGGCCAGTCCCACCTGTCACCCAATCCTCCCTCTGCAGCTCCAGCTCTAGGAAAAGGCCCCTAGGGGTGCAGCAGCTTTGGGCTGGGAGAGACAGAGTCACAGCAGGGGCAACAAGGGGCTCAGGCCTCAGGTCAGGAGGGCCCAGAAAGCCGCTTACTAGGAAGGGTCTCCACCTCCCCGCTTTCTTCCCTCCTCTCCTCTCTCGCCCTCCCACTCCATCCAGCCGATGGAGGTATAAAGAAAGCCAAGAGGGTCTCCCCTGAGCAGGCTCCATAACTCAGCCTGCCAGCGGAGGCCGATATTTAAATCATAGCTTACTTTGCTTTGTGTGAGGGAATTTATTAGCCTACCACATAAATGTTTTATTCATTAGGCCACGTAAATAATGCATGCCTGTTTCCATGGAGACTTAACCCTTCTGCTCCCATAGCCCTGGCCTGCCCTGGCCTCCCACCCTTGTAGGATGTTGTCACACCCCTGGTTCTGAATCTGCACAAAGCAGGAAGACCAACCACAAAACACAGTAAGAATCCACAGCAGTAGTCTTTGTATTGCCTGTAATTTACTAAGCCCTCTGTGAGCCTGATGCTGTGCTCAGCAATTTATCCCCAATGCTGTCAGGTGTCAGCGTCCTACATGCCACCATCACCCCCATTTTACAGATGAGAAGACTGGAGCTCTGGGAGGAGGAGGCACTTGTCCAGGGTCACACGGGGGCACACATGGGGCCAGGAGTCACACCAGGTGCAAATGATTCCAAAGCCCAGTTGTTTAGCCTCTGTGTCCCCACTTCCCTACCCACCCCACGGCCCTCTTGAAATGGCAGGGAGTTTCTTAGGGGCGCCTCACAGACAGGCATTCTCCCCAACCCAGTCTTCCTCTGCCACATTAGCTGGTCTCTCTCTGCAGCCCGCAGAATCCCAGCCGTCAAAGGCTGAAGTTGTGGGGATCACCCAGACCAAGCCCCAGGAACCGAGGTGTGAACTGATACCCAGAGTGGCACGGAGAGACCTGCCCAAAGTCACACCGCGAATCCCAGCAGACCAACCCTGGAACCTCAGGTCCCCCTCATGCCCTGAGCTGCTTCTTCTAGAACCTTCTGAGGTCCATAGGTAATAGTGCTGGCCCCCACCCCTCACCCCACTTTGCGGACTCTGGAGCATTGAGGTGAAGAGCCTGGCGCGGGGTCATCAGCAAATTGGCAATGGGCACGTGTGGGGAGGCCCAGGCAGGCCCCCATTCCTCCCGGTCACATCTCACTGCTCTGCTCAGTGAGCGTGGTGGCACACAGGCCACCTCTGCCACTGCAGCTGCCTGTTAGGCAGCTTCCTCTGGATCCCGCTTGGCCCCTGGATGACAGCAGTGTGCAGAGGCCACCACGGCTCCCATGACCAGGTTCAGGGGCATCCTGGCCCCCTCCACCGGATTTCTCAGCCTTTGAAAACAGAAAAATCATGGGTGAACCCAGAGCGGCTCGTGGAGAAAAGCCCAACCACACTGGTGTCTGCAAAGCCCACCTTAAACATCACCTTTGGCCACTGCCTCCCAGCTTTCCCGGCTTTCCGGCAGTCCTGTCCCCAGATGTGGCCTAAAAGCCTCCCTGACTGACTATGGAGGCCACAAGAGCCTGGAGCATGCCCAGGACTATGTTAAGCCCTTGACTCCCTGCTGTCATCTCACAGCAGCCTTAGCAGGGCCACCTGGTTGACATCATTTTCAGAGGAGGAACTTGTGTCTCAGAGAGGTGGAGAAACCTGTTGGGGTCACATAGTTGGCAAATAGCTCTTAACACAGGTCAGAGTGTCTTCCTGTCCTCCTTGCAACCCTTGACCGCTGCTCCCAGAGGGCAGGCCACGGGCTGCTGCTGGTGCCTACATGCCATTGCGTTACTACTGGGGAAGTTGTATTCCTCTTAACTGTCTGCAGACCTGCTCAAGTGAAGAAGAAAGAAGACAGTCTCTGGTGCTGGCTTGTCCAACACCTCATCAACATCCCAAATCACCCTTTTTTTTGAGACAGGGTCTAGCTCTGTCATCTCGTCAGGAGTACAGTGGCACAATCATAGCTCACTGCAGCCTTGAACTCCCAGGCTCAAGTGATCTTCCCACCTCAGCCTCCCAGGTAGCTGGGAATACAGGTGCACGCCACCATGCCCAGCTAATTTTTTTATTTTATTTTTTGCAGAGACGGAGTTTCACTGTGTTGTAAGGGCTGGTCTTGAACTCCTGGCCTAAAGTGATCCTCCTGCCTTGGCCTCCCAAATCACCCTTGTTAACAAAGATTGTAGGTCCTGGGCTTGGAGCCCTCTGCAGGATGCAGACATGGAATTTATTAACCTCAGTGCATTTTCATTGTATTTATTTTTATAGTTGCCTCCACCTACAGCAATAACACTGGTTTCTCCCTTACTAACAATAATGATGACAACATAGCTAAGACGTGTACAGCACTTACAACAGGTCTGGTGTTGTTCTGAGCTTTGCGTATTTTAATTTCACCTAATCTTTGGAAACCCTGTGGGGTCAGATCATTATTATTCTTGCTGAAAAAAGAAGGAAACTGAGGCTCAGAGTGGTTGGTACTGACCCCAACGTCACACAGCGGGTGCTGCAGCCACAACTGGAATCTTTCACAATCATAGTGTCTCCCACGGAAGGTAAATTTTCCTTTTAAAATAAATATTTGTAAAAAAATAAGGTCCATTTGTCATGTGTGCTAATAATCATGTGAGGAGTACATGGATGATCAAAAATCCTGAAGGCGACGCCTGAGTGCCGAGTTTGCCAGTGCTAAGCTGAGGTGCTCTCAGGTCTGCCTGGGGGTACGTGTGACATTATCTGACCATAGGCCCCACCCCTTGTGCTTGGAGCCAATGAGAACAAAGTCTGAGTTGGACGTACAGGATAGGCCCCACCCCTAGGCTTGGAGCCAATGAGAAGGAAGCTTCTGTTCTCACAAGAATGGGGCCAGGGAGTGGTCGCCTATACTCAGTGGATCCTCAGAGGGCCAAGGGGAGCCGTGCCTGGCGGGCGTCATCACAAGGACTCCTCACAGCTCCCCACAGCTGGGTAGTATCATTGTCCCCATTTTACACAGGAATGAATTGAAGCATCTGCAGGTCAATAACCTCACACTCCCTGCTGGGCGCAGTGGCTCACTCCTGTAATTCCAGCACTTTGGGAGGCCGAGGCAGGCGGATCGCCTGAGCTCAGGAGTTCAAGACCATCCTGGGCAACATGGAGAAACCCCATCTCTACTAAAATACAAAAAAGTAGCTGGGTGTGGTGGCACGTGCCTGTAGTCCCAGCTACTGGGGAGGCTGAGGCACGAGAATCGCTTGAGCCCAGGAGGCGGAGGCTGCAGTAAGCCAAGATTACACCACTGCACTCCAGCTTGGGTGACAGAGTGAGACTCCATCTTAAAACAAAACAAAACAAAACAAAGCAAAACAAAACAAAAAGAGCCTCACTCTCCCTCTGCAGCCAGTGGGGCCCAGAGCCAGGATTTGAAACCTGGTAGTCCGGCTTCATGGCCCATAGTGCTTAACCACTGTGCTCTATGATTTCAGTCCAAAAGCCAGTATCATCTGGTGGGGTGCGGTGGCTCATACCTATAATACTGGCACTTTGGGAGGCCGAGGCAGGAGGATCACTTGAGGCCGGGAGTTTGAGACCAGCTTGGGTAACATAGCAAGACCCCATCTCTATAAAAAACAAAATGAGCCAGGAGTGGTGGTGCACACCTGTGGCCCTGGCTATTCGGAGGTTGAGGCAGGAGGATGGCTTGAACCTAGGAATTCGAGGCTTCAGTGAACCATGACTGCACCACTGCACTCCAGCCTGGTGACAGAACAAGACCCTGTCTCTAAAAAACATTTTTTAAATAAAAATAAAATGATTTTTTAAAAAAACATCATCTGAGTCCCCTAGATACAGCCGTGCCTGTAGCTAAATCTACCCCTGGACTTTTCCTGAAATCCAGCTGATAAATTTCCCATTTTTGCTTAATCATGGAGAAATGGACGAAGGGCATTTTTACCTACAAAGGAAGGGATGATGGTGTCCCTTCCTCCCTTGGCTGGGAAACATAAGCTCAGTGGATTCTGCATACAGGTTCAGTCCAAGACTCAGTGTCCCCAAGTGACAGGCAAGGCAAATGTGTCAGTGTTGGGACTAAGTGAGGGGTGTGAGGCACCCTCAGGTGCTGACCGTGTACTTGCAACACGCTGATGGCAAGGAACTCTTTATATTTTGTGTCCAAGGGGCCACACTCCCCTCACCCAGCCCCAGCACTGCTCTGTGGACATGTGCCACAGGCATCATCCTGGCATCTTTTCTTCGGGCACTGGTGACCAGGAGGGCATGGTTCCACCTAACCTGCATACCTGTACCCTGTGACCCCCAGACCTCCACAGTGGTGGGCACCTGTGGGTCGTTTCCACAGACGTGACCCGCATTTTCCTGGCATGCTCCCTCCACCCCCACAAAAGCACACCAGCATAGGACCTCCTCCTGGTAGCTCTGGGATTCCCCTAGAATGGAGACCACCCGCAACATTCTCCTGTCCCCCCCTTTTGAAGTCTGTGTCCCTTGCCTCCGATACCAACAAGGCTGCCAGCCCTCCTTGCACCAAAGGACTCCTGAGTTGTCTGCAGCCCTCAATGAGCTGAAGTCGCTGGGTGGGTGCAGCCCGGGGAGAAGGCAGCTCTCTCTAGGCCCCCAGCAGCTCCGCCACTGCCCCCAGTCACCAGCATCCCCATGAAAGTTGTCCTCAGCTCCTGCCCAGACACTACCTCTCCACGGCTCAGATGTGAGTCCATGGGTCCAGGAGGTGACAGACATATTCTTGCCCTTCACCCTGCACCCTTCACAATGTCCTCCTTGCCTTTGAGACTACTGACACAGACCCTGATGCTTCAGACATGCCCGGGAGTGCCCAAACCCCCTGCACACTCACCCACCATTTACTGAAGCCTCCAGGCTCTGTTCCAGGCATGGCAACTCCTGGGAACAAAATGGCACTCTTCCCACTTTCCAGAGGAGAAAACCTGTCAGAAAGGGCCGAGAACTTGCCCCAGGATACACAGCTGCTAAGCTAAGGAACCCAGGTGGGATCCAGATGTGACGCTACTGCACTCCACTGTGGCGGAGAATGAAGACCATCTGACTCCACTGTTCCCTTCTTCAGTCGCCTTCTTACCTCCAGGACTAGTGGTGAAAAGCCACACTCTTCTCCCCGGGGAGAAGGGGCATCCCCCCAGCCCTGAGAGCCAGCAGAGTCCAGGGCCTCCCAGAGCTCAGGTGATCATTAAACCCCTGCCCCAAATCTTCTTGCTACACAGACACACACACACACACACACGCACGCACACACACACACAAACACAAACATGTCCCTCCAATTCTTCTGCCCACTCTCACAGGCTCCTTCAGCCTGCATTTTCCCACCAGCTTAATTCTGGTCTCTGGCCCAAGTCCTCAGCACCTTTACTGCATTGAGATCACCAGCCCCTGTGGGACCCAGTGATGGCTCAGACTCCCAGAGCAGGTCAGCAGTCCCACCTCTCAATCTCCCTGTGCATCCCTGATCCAGGGTCCCTGTCAGCTTCAGGGACTTTACAAGTTCAGCCCCGCCAAGGCTCTGACCCAACCCTGGATAGGGTAGAAGGTGGATCTGGGGACCCCGAGGGTCAGAGGTACTTTGATCGGTGGAAGGGGACGTCCTGAACCCTTCCCTTCCCTGCTGTGTCTGTCCCACTGACATCCCAGGTCTCTGCCTCAGTTTCCCCGCCCAGCCCTGCAGCCTCCTACTGGGAAAGGCACCCTTTCCTTCCCTGGTAAGGCCAGAAGCTCAGATCCCCAGGAGGGGCTCAGTGGGCATTGCTGAAGGGAAAGGAAGGGAACTGGGCTGAGTCCCTGCCTCAGCGCTTCCTCCCTCCTTGGATAGTGGTACTGGCCCAAAGCTAGCCAGAGTCCCCATCACCTGGGGGACCTGCTGACTGGTCCCTGGCCACACCCTCAGGGCTCCCTCAGACCCATCTCACCCAGCCTGATGCCTGATGATCCCCATTAATAGACACAGCCTCTCTTCCTCAAATGAACTCTGATCCCTCCCACCTCCAGGCTTCAGCACACTTGGTCCCCCCCAACCCAGAATACTCAGCCCAATCCTCCCTTGCCCATTAGCCTGGTTCTCTCTTAATCTCTCAGATCCCTGCTAAATTCCCTGATCCTGCAATCAAAATCCAGCCTCCCTATGATACTACGTACACTTAAGCTCCTTGTTTTGTTTTGTTTGAAACAGGGTCTCACTCTGTCACCCAGGCTGGAGTGCAGTGGCACAATCACGGCTCACTGCATCCTCCACCCCCCAGGCTCAAGCAATCCTCCCACCTCAGCCTCCTGAGTAGCTAGCTGGGACCCCAGGTGCACACCACTATGCTTGGCTAATTTTCTTATTATTTGTAGAGATAAACTCTCTCTCTGCTGGCCAGGCTGGTCTCGCACTCCTGGGCTCAAGCAATCCTCCCACCTTGGCCCCCCAAAGTGCTGGGATTACAGACGTGCACCACTGCACCTTGCCTGGACATTTTTTTTTAAATAGTGGTTATTGCATTTACCAGGACTGATTGTTTAATTAACGACTTACTCCATGAGGCCATCCTCTATGCCAGTTGCAATTCCTGACACATGGTGGATCTCTAGTAAATATCTGAGGAATGAATGAGTGAGTTACCACCCAAAAGGCCCCAGTCCTAGGAACAACCTTTGAGTGACTGTACCCAAAAATCACCCCAAGAGACACACCAGAAATACTTGGGCCAAGGTCTTTGGTGAGGCCATCGCACCTCTGTGGTGACTTTTCTGAGCCAGCAGGGGCAGCTGCATCCCAGCCCTGGGGCTGATGGTTCTGATCAGCACTCCTGAGATGCGATGCAGGCCCCAGTGCTGAGATGGTTCTTGGGGTGGTGGTTACTCCCTGGCATTCCTAACCCAGGCTCTATGTGGACCCAGCCCCTGCTTCCCAAAGTGCTTCTTTGTACTGTACTTCCCAAGTCCCTCCCTCCATCTCCAGCAGGGCATGCTCAGGGCCTCAGGGACCCTCTTATAAGGTGCTGTGTGTTGAATTGTGTATCCCAAAAAGACATGTTGGGCTGGGTGCAGTGGCTCACACTTGTAATCCCAGCACTTTGGGAGGCTGAGGCAGGTGGATCACTTGGGGCCAGGAGTTTGAGACCAGCCTGGCCAACACAGTGAAACCCCATCTCTACTGATAAATAGAAAAAATAAGCCAAGCATGATGATGCACACTTGTAATACCAGCTACTTGGGAGGCTGAGGCACAAGAATTGCTTGATCCCAGGAGGCAGAAGTTGCAGTGAGCCGAGATCATGCCATTGCACTATAGCCCAGCCTGGGCGACAGAGTGAGACTGTCTCAAAACGAAACAAAAAGACCTGTTGAAGTGTTAAAATCCAGTACTTGTGAAGGTGACTTTATTTGGAAATACGGTCTTTGCAGAGGTAATCAAGTTAAGATGAGGCCACACTGAAATAGCATGGGCCCTTCATCCAATTTGTTTATGTCATCATAAACAAAAGAAAGAGAAACAAACAGGGAGAAGGCCAGGTGATGACAGAGGCAGAGTGCAGGCCAAGGAACTCCAAGGGTTGACAGCCAGCACCAGAAGAAGCTAAGAGGCCAAGGTCTATCCACAGTCTCTCAGGGAGTGTGGCCCCATTGACACCTTGATTTCAGACTTGTAGACCCCAGAACTGTGAGAGGACAACTCTCTGCTGTCTGAAGCCACCAACTTTGTAGTAAGTTGTCATGGCAACCCTAGGCAATGAATGCTGAGGGCTTCCTGGCCCTGTGGGTCATGGTCAGATGCCTAACATGGAGAAAGGTCCTGGACTTTGCTGGGACCCGGGCTTGCAAGCCACTTTTCACTAGGGGATGGCACAGGGTGCTGGACACATATGCATTGGAGGGGTAGCACAGCAGTACACAGGCCAGGAGGCTGTCTGGGTGCAGGGCTGCTGGGGAAGCAGGTCCTCACAGAGCATGGAGGGATGGGCTGCCGCACATCTGTGGACCACCAGGCCTGTTTCTCCAGTGACCCCCCCATCTAGAAGGGACCCCAGTTTCTCCTCCCATAGCCTCGTGATCATCATCTCACAGAAGACTTCAGCCCTTGGACAAGCTACCAGCCAAACAGAGCAGAGAAATCTCCAAGAGGTCTGTTTCTGAAAATGGGAGAGCATGACTCAAGCTTTAGACAAAAGGATTAATTCCAGTAATACTAACGACGCCTACTGAGCATCTACCCTGTGGCAGGCACTTGGCAGGCATTATCTGAGCTCGTGTTCTCGTGGAAGAGTGGGTATCAACTCCCCCCTTTATACGTGAGCAAGCAGGAGCTCAGAAGAAATTGGCCCAAGTTTCCCTAGCTGATTTTGATAGAATCAGAATTTGAGTCTAGGCCTTTCTGACTCCAAAGCCCATCATGAGTGTCCAGCCTCCCCATGGATGAGCAGGATATGCCAAGAGATACACTTTGGTCTTGGACACCCAAAGAATGGAGGAGACACTTGTGAAGACACACAAACTGGGATATGTCAGTAACTTGGGATGAGATACGGACAATGGGGCTATACCCAGGAGGGTGTGGCATGGATCAGGAGCAGGGCTGCCTGTTTGTCTCAGTCCCTGCTGGTTCCAGGCTCTCACAGATGCCCCTGGGGCTCCACCCTACACAGGCCTAAGCCAGTGACAGCCCAGGCCAGTGGCAGATCCAGAGTCCTTCATGCCTGGGGTAATGTTAGGAATGCATGGCTGCTCCATGAAACTCATGCCCCATTCCTGGGTGTACCATGAGCTTCAACTTGAAGCCTCCAGGCTTGACGCTCATTGACACCCCAGTTGGCCACGCTGGTCTCCTGCTGGGATCTTAGGCTAGCACCTGCCCAGCTTGTCATATTCCCAACCCCTCTGGCCAAGGCCTGAGGCTGACTGCTTCTGGCATCCACCCAGGCCTCTTTGGTCTTTGCATCAGACTCTCTATGACCCTGAACATAGCAACAACTCTAGAAGTGTCTGCCCAGCTCATAGTCTAAGAGTTTTCCTTCTAGGGATGGTTCTATGCTTTGAATGTTCCCTCCAAAACTCATGTTGAAATTTAATTGCCATTGTAACAGTATTAGAGGTGGGGCCTTTAAGACGTGATTAGGCCATGGGGGCTCTGCCCTCATGAGTGGATTAATGCCATTATTGTGGGAGTGGGTTAGTTATGATGGGAGTTCAGCCCCCTCTATCTCTCTCTGTCTCTCACATAAGCACTTTCTCACTATGTGATGCCTCCTGCCATGTTATGACACAGCAAGAAAGCCCTCACCAGATGCAGCCTCTCAAACTTGGACTTCCTGGCCTCTAGAAACATGAGCCAAATAAATCTGTTTTCTTTATAAATTTCCCAGTCTGTTGTATTCTTTTATAGCAGCAGAAAACAAACTAAGACAGATGGGTGTGGTAGCCACATTCAAGAGACGGCATTGTGCAGTGGTCAGGCACAGGCATGTTAGGACCAAACTACTGGGTTTTAAGTCAGCTCAGCCACACACTGGCTGTGTGACCATGGGCATGTTACTTCAATTCTCTGTGCCTCATCTATAGAGTGAGTCTGATAAGGGTAGTGCCTGTATCATACAAGCATTGTATGACGATGAGGAATTAAACATGCAAAGCACTTAAAATAGTGCATTCTAAGAGCTTAGTAAATGTTGGCTGTTATCATTACCATCATCATAACTTTCACATGTTCTTGTCATCAATATTATTATTCCAGTGTGACTCTATCCATTGCTGATTGGACCAAAAATGTACATCTGACTCAGCCTGGGCCACTTATGTTCTCAGGCTTAAGAATGTGGAATTTGTGCCCAGGACCAAAGGGCACAAATCAGTCTAGGCTTGTCCTGATGACAGGAAAACACAGAGTCCATAAGGTGACCCTGTGTGTCCGCAGGCATGGGGGAGCAGGGAGAACCCAAGTGCAGACAGGAGAATGAAATAGAAGCACACTGAGATACTCAATTGAAAGGCCATTTAGCTCCAGATACAAAGAGAGATGGAGGGAGAGTCTTCCCAATGGCTCTCTGACTCCATCCTCTCAGCCTGCTGTGCTTGAGGACTATGGCTCATGGGTGACAGGAAAGGCCACAGTTCATCCAGGAGGAGAGAGATCCCTCCCCCTACTTCATAGCATCATCTCTCATGCACTGCTAGCTTCCTCAAAGCCCTGTGTCCCAAGGGTCCCGGAGCTCACTCTCCAGAGGAACCAGCAGAACCTCTGAAATGTTGAGGTCCTGAGGACTAGGTTAGGAGCCCCTCCCTCACTGCTTTCACTTCTGAGGGTCACCAAGTAATCCCAGGAAGCCTCCACGTCCTGTCCTTCTAGACCAAAGTAGGGCCCAGCAGAGAGAAGCAAAATTAGCCTGGGTCCCAGATCACAGGGATGAGACCCTGCAAGGTACATAGGCCCAGCCCCTCGTGTTTGGATAAACTGAGTCTCAGCTATCCTACCCAGAGCAATCGCTGTGTCAGGGACCCTGTCTTGGTGAAGGGGGTCTGCAAGGTGAGTGCATACCTGCATCTGACTTCCCTCTCCCTTCTCTCATGCCTCTGAATCCAGACACCAAGGACATCCACATGGCCACTAATACTTTTCAGTTCTATCTGATTTTTTTCCAGCATTTCACTTTGCTGATCACTCTCCACTTCTTGAAACACCCTCCCTCTGTGAATCCCATGGCATGACACCTCCCTGTCCTCTTCCCTGCTCCCCAGCTGCCCCTTCTCTGCCTCCTTCTGGGACTTTCTCAATGATCAGTTGTCCTCCAGGTGCTGTCTTTGCAACTCTTCTCTCTCCACACCCTCCCTGGATAGTCTCATCCACTCCCTGGCTTTTCCCCCTGTCTGGGTGCCAAGGATGCCCAAATCTCTCTCCAGCCCAAACCCTTTCTGGGGCTTCAGCTCAAGAGCCCAACAGCCTTTCTCACAGCCTCCTGGACGTCCACGTCTCTCCAAACTCAAATAGCTCAACACTGGGCTCCTCCTTCTCCCTGAAGTAGGACTATCTCACCCTATCTCAGTGAATAGTGTCCTCCAACTTCTAGTAGCTTCAGCAATAAACGTCTGGGCTACCTCACTCTCTACTGCAAATAAAGCCCATTAGCTAGTCCTGTCAAGTCCACCTTTTAAGCATCTTTCTAATCTGACCACTCTTCCCAGCCCTCGTTCACTGCTGCAGCTCAGATATACATTATTGTTCCCCTGGGGTTGTCTATCAGATGTTGATGTTTAATAAATCTGTAAGTCTAAAATACAAGAACTAGTCCCTACTTGACCAGACTAGGGAACAGCTCAGAGTCTAGCTCAAAAATCCAAATCTCAGCACAGAGCTCAGAAACTGGAGCTCATGTCTAGTCTGGAGCAAAATCCCCTCCCAAGACTCACAGGATGAAGCCCAGGACTCTGTACTCAGCCCATCTCTCAGTCTAAGGAGTCACATGTGTCTCAACCCCCTCCACCAAGGTCCCTTATTGTATTTTTCTTAAAGAAAAACAAGTGTCGATGGGGAGAGGGTTAACAGTTTATTCTATTTTTTCTGAGTGATTTTATCACTGTCGTTAGAACATTCATTGAAGTAAGTGAGGAATCCATCACAGGCTGACAGCAGTGTGCAGACTAATGGCTGTTAGATGGTAATAATTTTTAATATGATTTTTATTTCACTTAATTTCATATGTGCTTGACAAAAGGTCCCCAGTCACTGGGGAGCAGTGCGGAACTGGGAATATGCTCACAGGAAGGTCTATTAAGCCAGGTGCTGGAAGCATTTCAAAGAAACAACTTTGCCATTCGGGGGAAAGCTGGGAACTTGGTTGGGTGAAAGGAGCTGGTTTCTGGCACGATGTCTGTATCATGCCCCCACAGACACTGGCATATCCACGCCTCGTGGTACCATGAGTCAAAGAGACAGGCACTGAAATGACAGGTATGCCCACAGGCACGCATGCAAACTTGCCAAGACTCATGGACATAGATGAATCTTATCTGGTCAGAGGACACACAATCACACCCAATACGTCACACTCCAAGTTTTCAGAGAAATGCGTAGTAGGTTTGTGCACATAAAGATGAAAATTGCAATGGAGAGAGATGGGGAGGGAGGGAGAGCAAGACTCATTCCTTGACATGACACACAGTCTCACCCTAGAATTCAGCTCTCTCACTCTCATTCTCTCCCTCTCTCTCTCTCTCACACACACACACACACGCACGCAGAGAGAGAAAGAGGATCACATACAGAGAACATATAGATTTAGCCCCATACAGAGACACATCTCACACATGTGAGAATAATCACATATAACACATCCCTCGGTCACCAAGACAGACACACACATCCTACCAGGTGTATCCTACAGCCCCTTCATGGATCACGAAACCCTTCGGGTTTTCTAAAAATTGAGTTTAACCACTAGAGGAAGAGGTGGGAAGACCAACACTTGTGCCCCATTGCAAGAGGTGGCCACGGGAAAGGGGAGGGAGGGGCATCCTGTTTGTGTGGCCTCAGCTTCCTGGATTCCAGGACCTCCTGACAGGAAGTCGGGGGTGGAGGCCTAGCACAGGATTGGCTAAGATGAAACCAGATCAGACCAGAGCCCATGTGTGAAGTGATCCAGGGTGGGTCCCAGTGTCTTCTGGGGATAATCTTGAAGAGATCCTGGCTGGAGCATCCAGTGCCCTCCAGACATGCAACAGACCAGGGGGACACAATACAAAGCTCCAGACCCTGCAGAGAACCTGTCAGCCCCAATGAAGGAGTCTCAGCCACAGGAGGCCAGGCTGGCCTGGGCACCTGCTCACACATCAGCAGGAACTTGAGCCAAAACAGGGAGCCCAGCCCAGGACCCAAGTGGCCAGAAAGAAGAAGGCAGGAAATAAAGAAGCCACAGTCTGATGCTTAAAACATCCATGTTGCCTGTCCATGACACCCCAGACACAGAAGCAGCAGACAGATCATCATTCCCCCAGACAGATAAGGAAAGCCCCCACCAGGCCAATTGTCCCACCAGGCCAATTCTCATTTGCTCCAAGACAAGGCTTAGAAGAAGAAGAAGAAAAAAAACAGAAACAAAAAAAACAAAAAAACAAAACAGACAGAGCCTTATATCTCTTTGGCTCCCCCTCTAGAGGAAGAGTAGAGCGGTGTCCATCACATCCTGCAAGGCATTGTACACTCCTGGCCATGAGCCTACCAGGAACTTCTTGCTGATGAACCCTCAGCATGCTGTCCTTTCAGTCTGGCTCTGAGAGGGGCTGTCCTGTGAGGCTAAGAGAGGAGACTAGAGTCATACTGCTGAGTTTCAACCCCAGTTCTGCCACTCACTAACTGGGCAAGCTACTTAATCTCTCTGTGCCTGTTTCCTTATGCACAGAACTGGAAGAGCAAGTCTCTACCTCACAGGTCATTGTAAGGATCAAGTGAAAGAATCTGGATCTTGGAAAAGGTCATCTACTGTGATTCTTTTCTCCCCATTTCTTATAAGGGTGGGAATTGGCTGTTCCCAGGTTCTGTTAGCGTAGAGAGGGATTTTTGAAGGCTGAGGCAGTCAACCCATCATGTCACTTTTCCCCAAGCCATTCACTAACCCTGCCTGGCTTAGGGATCCTCAGCACCTGCAAGATTGAGGGAGAAGCCAGACTAGATCGCAGTATTGTGGTCAATCACTGTCTGATGTGAGTCCCCTAACACAGACACACACAGACACACAGACACACACAGACAGACAGACAGACAGACACACACACACACACACACACACACACACACACACACACAGTTTCAGACGTTCCCTCTAGTCCCTGAGAAGCCACACACCCCTCTGACCTCCTCCAAGCTGAGAGGCTGCCCCGAAGGTGATCAGGACAACGGACAGCAGCAAGCCTCTGTCCATGGTACTGCATGGGGCTTTCCTCCTTTCCCTCACTGCAGTTCCCACACTGCACACTCGCCCCTTCCACATTCTAACCAGGACGTCCGGCGGGACACTTATCAAGAGACTGCAACCCCAGAAGGTTCAGAGTTATTGGTTGAGTGGGAAATTCTGCATCTGAAGAAATCCTTTTGTAAAGGAATATGGCTGGGGGTCCTGAGTCAGCCCCGCTACTCGTTTGCCCAGGGACACCTTCATACTCCCTGTCTCTGGGGTTGGCCATCCCCAGAACTCTACTCCCAGGCTGGCATCTCCAGTACACTGGGAAATGGTCCAAAGAGGAAGTCTTTGGCCTATATTTACTAGGCACAGGCTGTGGGCCAGAGTCTGGGCTAAGCCTTTCACATGCATTATCACAGTTAATTCTCCAACAACCCAGTGAGGTAGGTGCTATTGCTATCTCCACTCTGCAGATGAAAATCCTTAGATTAGAGAGGTTATTGGCCTGCCCTTTACAGAGCTCGAGGTGGAGGCGCAGGGTTTGCACACATGTCAAGACTAAGCACCAGTGATTCTGTCTTGGTAATTTCTGTGGCCATCACCCCTATTGCCTATAGCCAGCAAAGAAGGAACTCTTAATGAATATCCATTGAATGAGTGAATGTATATTTTAATAATCCCAAAGCTCTTGTCCTAGCCTCTTCATTGCTCTGCCTCCTAACTGGGAGAAGGTTCACATTCAAAGTTGTTTCTTCGGCCACTGAGATTCTCCCACCTGTCTCTTTTGGCAGGAGCTCTCCCCCGCCACAGCCCCCATGGAGCCCAACATAAACCTCCATTGCCCTTCCACAGGGCTTGGCCATCTCAAACCTCCTTGGATCTGAGGCTGAAGGTCTTGAGATCTGGCTCCCCACAGCCTGGAACAGGCTCATGCTGGTCAGGCTGCCAGGAGAAGCCTTGCCAACTCCGCCTCTTTAGCTGGAGCTGCTGTGGAAAGTGGTAAGTGCCCAGAAATGGCAGTGATCATTATCATTATCGTTCCTGTGGAACACCAGGGTTGTCCCCACCTTGGCATCTGCAAGGGACAAATTTAAGCTCATTTCCAAGATCTCTACCCAGTAATAGTACTTTTAACTCAGAGTGGGGAAGATTCTGCAGGAATCTCCAGCTTGCAGTGCCTGAGCTCAGAAATCCTCCCAAAAACTTGGGGCCCAGTGATTCATTTGTGGGTTACAACACATTTCAATATAGGTTGAGATTTTCCAGAGCCATGTTTTTAAGTCTTCATGGAGGCAGGTCAAATTCTAACCTCAAAGAGGGTAGTAAATAATAAGAGTCCAGACTTGTGCCAATAACAAAACAATAGCAACAAATTACTGTTGATTTAGCATCTACTGTAAGCCCAAGACTATGCTAGGAAAAAGGCATAGAAAGAACCAAACAAGGGTCTTGCCTCCAAGAATCCCAAAGATCAACAGAAAAGAACTTCAAGTAAATGGACAGTCAATTCTTTGTCAAAGATGACTGACGAGGAAAAAGATGGGGATTCTTCCTGGGCCAAGTTAGCTGAGAGACCCCCGCATCCCTGACAGCCTTCCCCAGAACCCACAGTGGATCCAGTCACCCATTGTCCCAGTTCCAGACAGCACAGCCAGGTAGAAGCAGTAAAATCTAGTGATCATTAATGGCACAGATTCAGGAGACAGACAGCTCTTATTCAAATCCCAGTTCTTCCACTTCATAGCTATGTGTCTTTGTACAAGTTATTAATCTCTCACTCATGGCCCCAGTATTCTCAGTTGTAAAATGGAATAAAACCTAACCTATCTCAGGGGGTATTGTAAGGATTAAATGAGTGGATGATTACAAGAGCTTAGAACAGGGCTTGGCACATAGCAAAGGCCATAGAAGCATGCGGTGGTGGTGGTGGTAGCATCATTTTCCCAGCATGCAAGCCCATCAGAGGCTGGCACCAACCTGGGGAGGCAGCACTGGGGACCCAGCATCACTTCACTCCTGCTTTTGAGTTACTCACTCCCTGCCTGAGCTCACAAACCAGCCATGGCCAGAGCCAAAACAGAGTCCTCTGCTCATCTCAGATATGTAGGCAGCCCCAGCTCCCTGCCAGCCATTCCCTTTCCTCTGATTCCTATATATTCACTATTTTAACTCCCAGGAATCAGGCACTTACTTTGTGGGGTCCTTGGCATACAAGATGCCTCTCCAAGTCCTCACAATAACGCTTTGAGGTGGGGACTATCATGATCTCCATTTTCCAGAAGAGGATACACAGGTTCAGAGTGGCTTAGGCCCAGGCAGGGTAAGTCCAGTGCACCAGCTCTGAACCATTCAGCTACATGGCCTTCATCCACAAAGGATGTGAGGCAGTTCTTCCCATGGAATCTTCCTGCAGGCCTGCTCTCCCTCAAAGTGACATCCACAACAGCCTGGCTGCAAAGGGGAGCATGGTGGCTGTCAGACCTCTGAGCCCAAGCTAAGCCATCATATCCCCTGTGACCTGCACATACACATCCAGATGGCCGGTTCCTGCCTTAACTGATGACATTCCACCACAAAAGAAGTGAAAATGGCCTGTTCCTGCCTTAACTGATGACATTGTCTTGTGAAATTTCTTCTCCTGGCTCATCCTGGCTCAAAAGCTCCCCCACTGAGTACCTTGTGACCCCCCACTCCTGCCCGCCAGAAAACCCCCTTTTTCCTTTACCTACCCAAATCCTATAAAACGGCCCCACCCCTATCTCCCTTCGCTGACTCTCTTTTCGGACTCAGCCCGCCTGCACCCAGGTGATTAATATCTTTATTGCTCACACAAAGCCTGTTTGGTGGTCTCTTCACACGGACACGCATGAAATTTGGTACCGTGACTCGGATCGGGGGACCTCTTGTGGGAGATCAATCCCCTGTCCTCCTGCTCTTTGCTCTGTTGAGAAAGACCCACCTACGACCTCAGGTCCTCAGACCGACCAGCCCAAGAAACATCTCACCAATTTCAAATCCAGTAAGCGGCCTCTTTTTACTCTCTTCTCCAACCTCCCTCACTATCCCTCAACCTCTTTCTCCTTTCAATCTTGGCGCCACACTTCAATCTCTGCCTTCTCTTAATTTCAATTCCTTTCATTTTCTGGTAGAGACAAAGGAGACACGTTTTATCCATGGACCCAAAACTCCGGCGCCGGTCACGGACTGGGAAGGCAGCCTTCCCTTGGTGTTTAATCATTGCAGGGATGCCTCTCTGATTATTCACCCACGTTTCAGAGGTGTCAGACCATGCAGGGACGCCTGCCTTGGTCCTTCACCCTTAGTGGCAAGTCCTGCTTTTCTGGGGGAAGGGCAAGTACCCCAACCCCTTCTCTCCTTGTCTCTACCCCTTCTCTGCTTTTCTGGGGGAGGGGCAAGAACCCCTCAACCTCTTCTCCTTTAACCTTAGCGGCAAGTCCCACTTTTCTAGGGGTCAGGAACCCCCAATCCCTTATTTCCACACCCTGACCTCTTATCTCTGTGCCCCAATCCCTTATTTCCATGCCCCAACCTCTTAACTCTGCACCCTGATCCCTTATTTCCATGCCCCGACCTCTTATCTCTTTGCCCTGATCCCTTATTTCCATGCCCCACCTCTTATCTCTGTGCCCTGACCCCTTATTTCCACACCCCAACCCCTTTCCCATTTTTCTGGAGGGTAAGAACCCCCGAACCCCTTCCCTCCGTGTCTCTACTCTCTCTTTTCTCTGGGCTTGCTTCCTTCACTATGGGCAAATTTCCACCCTCCATTCCTCCTTCTTCTCCCTTAGCCTGTGTTCTCAAGAACTTAAAACCTCTTCAACTCACACCTGACCTAAAACCTAAATGCCTTATTTTCTTCTGCAATGCCGCTTGACCCCAATACAAACTCGACAGTAGTTCCAAATAGCCAGAAAACGGCATTTCCATTTTTTCCATCCTACAAGATTTAAATAATTCTTGTCGTAAAATGGGCAAATGGTCTGAGGTGCCTGACATCCAGGCATTCTTTTACACATCAGTCACTCCCTAGCCTCTGTTCCCAATGCAACTCGTCCCAAATCTTCCTTCTTTCCCTCCCACCTGTCCCCTCAGTCCCAACCCCAAGCATCACTGAGTCTTTCTAATCTTCATTTTCTACAGACCTATCTGACCTCTCCCCTCCTCACCAGGCCGAGCTAGGTCCCAATTCTTCCTCAGCCTCTGCTCCTCCACCCTATAATCCTTTTATCACCTCCCCTCCTCACACCTGGTCCAGCTTACAGTTTCGTTCCATGACTAGCCCTCCCCCACCTGCCCAGCAATTTACTCTTAAAAAGGTGGCTGGAGCTAAAGTCATAGTCAAGGTCAATGCTCCTTTTTCTTTATTCCAGATCAGATAGCGTTTAGGCTCTTTCTCATCAAATATAAAAATCCAGCCCAGTTCCTGACTCGTTTGGCAGCAACCCTGAGACGTTTTACAGCCCTAGACCCTAAAAGGTCAAAAGGCCGTCTTATTCTCAATATACATTTTATTACCCAATCTGCTCCCAACATTAAATAAAACTCCAAAAATTAAATTCCGGCCCTCAAACCCCACAACAGGACTTAATTAACCTCACCTTCAAGGTGTACAATAATAGAGTATAGGCAGCCAACTAGCAACATATTTCTGAGTTGCAATTCCTTGCCTCCACTGTGAGACAAACCCCAGCCACATCTCCAGCACACAAGAACTTCCAAACGCCTAAACCGCAGTGGCCAGGCATTCCTCCAGAACTGCCTCCCCCAGGCGCTTGCTACAAGTGCCAGAAATCTGGCCACCAGGCCAAGGAATGCCCGCAGCCCGGGATTCCTCCTAAGCCGTGTCCCATCTGTGGGGGACCCCACTGGAAATCGGACTGTTCAACTCACCTGGCAGCCACTCCCAGAGCCCCTGGAACTCTGGCCCAAGGCTCTCTGACTGACTCCTTCCCAGATCTTCTCGGCTTAGCAGCTGAAGACTGACGTTGCTCGATCGCCTCGGAAGCCCTGTAGACCACCACAGACGCCGAGCTTCAGGTAACTCTCACAGTGGAGGGTAAGTCCGTCCCCTTCTTAATCAATACAAAGCCTACCCACTCCACATTAGCTTCTTTTCAAGGGCCTGCTACCCTTGCCTCCATAAATGTTGTGGGTATTGACAGCCAGGCTTCTAAACCTCTTAAAACTCCCCAACTCTGGTGCCAACTTAGACAGTACTCTTTTAAGCACTCCTTTTAGTTAGCCCCACCTGGCGAGTTCCCTTATTAGGCCAAGACACTTTAACTAAATTATCTGCTTCCCTGACTATTTCTGGATTACAGCTACATCTCATTGCCGCCCTTCTTCCCAATCCAAAGCCCCCTTTGCATCCTCCTCTTGTATCCCCCCACCTTAACCCACAAGTTTAAGATACCTCTACTCCCTCCTTGGTGACCGGTCATGCACCCCTTACCATCTCATTAAAACCTAATCACCCTTACCCCGCTCAATGCCAATATCCCATCCCACAGCATGCTTTGAAAGGATTAAAGCCTGTTATCACTTGCCTGCTACAGCATGGCCTTTTAAAGTCTACAAACTCTCCTTACAATTCCCCCATTTTACCTGTCCTAAAACCAGACAAGGCTTACAAGTTAGTTCAGGATCTATGCCTTATCAACCAAATTGTTTTGCCCATCCACCCCATGGTGCCAAACCCATATACTCTCCTATCCTCAATACCTCCCTCCACAATCCATTATTCTGTTCTGGATCTCAAACATGCTTTCTTTACTATTCCTTTGCACCCTTCATCCCAGCCTCTCTTTGCTTTCACTTGGACTGACACTGACACCCATTAGGCTCAGCAAATTACCTGGGCTGTACTGCCGCAAGGCTTCACAGACAGCCCCCTTTACTTCAGTCAAGCCCAAATTTCATCCTCATCTGTTACCTATCTCGGCATAATTCTTATAAAAACACACGTGCTCTCCCTGCCGATAGTGTCCAACTAATCTCTCAAACCCCAACCCCTTCTACAAAACAACAACTCCCTTCCTTCCTAGGCATGGTTAGATACTTTCGCCTTTGGATAGCTGGTTTTGCCATCCTAACAAAACCATTATATAAACTCACAAAAGGAAACCTAGCTGACCCCATAGATCCTAAATCCTTTCCCCACTCCTTTTTCCATTCCTTGAAGACAGCTTTAGAGACTGTCCCCACCCTAGCTCTCCCTGAGCCATCCCAACCCTTTTCATTACACACAGCCAAAGTGCAGGGCTGTGCAGTCGGAATTCTTACACAAGGACCGGGATCGTGTCCTGTAGCCTTTTTGTCCAAAAAACTTGACCTTACTGTTTTAAGCTGGCCATTATGTCTCCGTGCAGTGGCTGCTGCCACTCAAATACTTTTAGAGGCCCTTAAAATCACAAACTATGCTCAACTCACTCTCTACAGCTCTCATAATTTCCAAAATCTATTTTCTTCCTCACACCTGACACATATACTTTCTGCTCCCCGGCTCCTTCAGCTGGACTCACTCTTTGTTGAGTCTCCCACAGTTACCACTGTTCCCGGCCCGGACTTCAATCCGGCCTCCCACATTATTCCTGATACCACACCTGACCCTCATGACTGCATCTCTCTGATCCACCTGACTTTCACCCCCTTGCCCCACATTTCCTTCTTCCGTGTTTCTTACCCTGATCACACTTGATTTTTTGATGGCAGTTCCACCAGGCCTAATCGCCACACACCAGCAAAGGCAGGCTATGCTATAGTACAAGCCACTAGCCCGCCTCTTAGGACCTCTCATTTCCTTTCCGTCGTAGAAATCTATCCTCAAGAAAATAACTTCTCAGTGTTGCATCTGCTATTCTACTACTTCCCAGGGATTATTCAGGCCCCCTCCCTTCCCTACACATCAAGCTCGGGGATTTGCCCCCGCCCAGGACTGGCAAATTAGCTTTACTCAACATGCCCCAAGTCACAAAAACTAAAATACCTCTTAGTCTAAGTAGACACTTTCACTGGATAGGTAGAGGCCTTTCCTACAGGGTCTGAGAAGGCCACCGCAGTCATTTCTTCCCTTCTGTCAGACATAATTCCTCAGTTTAGCCTTCCCACCTCTATACAGTCTGATAACAAACCAGCCTTTATTAGTCAAATCAGCCAAGCAGTTTTTCAGGCTCTTGGTATTCAGTGAAACCTTTATATCCCTTACAGTCCTCAGTCTTCAGGAAAAGTAGAACAGACTGAAGGTCTTTTAAAAACACACTTCACCAAGCTCAGCCACCAACTTAAAAAGGAATGGACAATACTTTTACCACTTTCCCTTCTCAGAATTCAGGCCTGTCCTCAGAATGCTACAAGGTACAGCCCATTTGAGCTCCCATATAGATGCTCCTTTTTATTAGGCCCCAGTCTCATTCCAGACACCAGACCAACTTGGACTGTGCCCCAAAAAACTTGTCATCCCTACTGTCTTCTGTCTAGTCATACTCCTATTCACCATTCTCAACTACTCATACATGCCCTGCTCTTGTTTACACTGCCAGTTTACACTGTTTCTCCAAGCCATCACAGCTGATATCTCCTGGTGCTAACCCCAAACTGCCACTCTTAACTCTAAGAGTAAATAAATAATCTTTGCTGGCAAGGCTATGCTGAACCTCCTTAGGCATTCTCTAATTAGATGTCCTAGGTCCTCCCAATTCTTAGTCCTTTAATACCTATTTTTCTCCTTCTCTTATTCCATTTAGTTTTTCAATTCATACAAAACTGTATCCAGGCCATCACCAATAATTCTAAATGACAAATATTTCTTCTAACAACCCCACAATATCACCCCTTACCACAAAATCTTCCTTCAGCTTAATCTCTCCCACTCTAGGTTCCCACGCCGCCCCTAATCCCACTCGAAGCAGCCCTGAGAAACATCGCCCATTATCTCTCCATACCATCCCCAAAAATTTTCGCCGTCTGAACACTTTACCACTTTTTCACTTTATTTTTCTTATTAATATAAGAAGACAGGAATGTCAGGCCTCTGAGCCCAAGCTAAGCCATCATATCCCCTGTGACCTGCACGTACACATCCAGATGGCTGGTTCCTGCCTTAACTGATGGCATTCCACCACAAAAGAAGTGAAAATGGCCTGTTCCTGCATTAACTGATGACATTGTCTTGTGAAATTCCTTCTCCTGGCTCATCCTGGCTCAAAAGCTCCCCCACTGAGTACCTTGTGACCCCCACTCCTGCCCGCCAGAGAACAACCCCCCTTTTTCCTTTACCTACCCAAATCCTATAAAACGGCCCCACCCCTATCTCCCTTCGCTGACTCTTTTCGGACTCAGCCCGCCTGCACCCAGGTGATTAAAAGCTTTATTGCTCACACAAAGCCTGTTTGGTGGTCTCTTCACACGGACGCACATGAAAGTGGCCCCAAGTCTCCGATTCCCACTGCCCCCGTGGCTCTGCTCACTTTCAGATTTTGCTGCTGACCCTTCTGCAGTCCCCAGTGGAAGTTACAAAGGAACAATTTTGGGTTTCCTGGACCACAGCTTTTGGATCCCTCTGAAAGACAGGTCCTAGACTCCTCCTCTTGTCTGGTGTCACTTAGGGACAAACCCTAAGTGTCCTCTTACAGGCCACCCTCTCTGTCAGAATGACTCCTTACTCCAGGGAGGAGTCATTAGGATGTAACTACCCCATTGTCTCCAGTGGGTGTCTGTCCTGGGAGGTTCCACAGAGCCATTCCCCAGGGACACTGCTTCATGCAACCTCTAAAGTGGGCATGTCCTAGTTTTGGCCATAGCTACTCTTATTGTCCATTTGTCCATAGCTACTCCTCATTCTCTGGATGGTGACAATATCACCCAGATATTAGTGGATTCACCGTGCTGCACTGCACCCCCTTTGGAGAGCTTGCCTTAAATCCACCTTCAGCAATTGGGCACACAGCATGTCCCTCTGCCATGCCAACTGCTGCCAACACACACACACACACACACACACACACACACACACACACACACACCTGGAACGATTTGGATGCAAACGGAGCTGGATTCGAATCCTAGCTCTACCACTGGGGTGGCCCTGGCCCTTCTCCCTCTGGTCCTCAGTTTTCCCACTTATAAAACAGAGAAAAGGCCCCAGCTCTCTGAGTTGGCATGTCTGGGCCCACAAGAGGGATCTGAGCCCAGAATTATGCCCATTCCCCACCCACCAGAGGGCAGCCCCAGTAGCCAGTGAAACAAAAGGGTCAAGAGCCATACAGAGTACTGGGGCGGGGGGCCCCTGCCTTCACCAAGCCCCCACCTCTTCAGAGCTTCTTTTCTCCACAAGTTTTACTGGGCCGAGTAAAAGGCAAAATAGTTTGGGGATGAAATGCAAGGATTTGGAATCAGATATAGCTGGGTTCAAGACTCAACTCTGCTTCTCACTGGCAAGTTGCCATATCTCATGGAGCCTCTGTATTCTCCGTTATAAAACGGGGTGACCAAGTCGTTCCACATTGAATTCCTCTGGGGATTGGGTAAGATCACAAATGGGAAGCCTCTGACCAGAGTGGGGCACAGGTCATCATCACCATGTTCTTGGGGGTAAATGGTGAGAAGAGTCGTGGGCTCAGAGAGCCCTAACAAGGGTCCCAGCACACGAGGCTGCTCATGAATCAGCGGGATCCTTGGGTCCTCCCCCACCAGTACACCATGGCCAAGGGGAGTCCATTGGAAAACAGTTCCTGAGAAGTTGAAACAGAGTTACCATGCTACCCAGCAACTCCATTCCTAGTGTGTCTAGAGGATTGGAAACACTGGTGTATTTGTACACAGTACAAGTATAGATAGAATGTTCCTAGCAGAGTTGGTCGCAGCAGCCAACAAATGAAAACAACCCCAAAGTCCATGGACCAGTGAATGGATAAACAAACAGTGGTGTACCTGTGCCGTGGGTTATTACTGGGCAATAAAAAGACTGAGGCACCGGTGCCTGCTGCAGCACAGATTTGCCTCGAGAGCACTGTGCTAAGTGAAAGAAGCCAGACACAACAGACCACGTTGGAGGATTCCATTGACACGAAATGTCCAGAAAAGACAAATCCACAGAAACAGAAAAGAGATTACCAGGGGCTACCAGTGGTTGCCAGAGGCTGAAGGAGGGGAAATGGGGAGAAACTGCTTCATGGATATGGGAGGTTCCTTTTTAGGGTAATGGAAATGTCTAGAATTAGATAGTGGTGATGGGTGCACAACCTTGTGACGATACTAAGAATTGTGAAGATACCAACGAATTGCACACTTTAAAGGAATGACTTTTTTTTTTTTTTTTTTTTTGAGACAAAGTCTTGCTCTGTCACCCAGGCTGGAGTCCAATGGCGTGATCTCGGCTCACTGCAACCTCCGCCTCCCAGGTTCAAGCAATTCTCCTGCCTCAGCCTCCCGAGTAGCTGGGATTACAGGTGCCTGACACCACGCCCAGATAATTTTTTGTATTTTTAGTAGAGATGGGGTTTTGCCATGTTGGCGAGGCTGGTCCCGAACTCCTGACCTCAGGTGATCCACCCTTCTGGGCCTACCAAAGTGCTGGGATTACAGGCGTGAGCTACCGGGCCCAGCTAAAGGGATGAATTTTATGGTGGGTGAGAGTTTGAGCACTGGTCCAGGCCCTGAAGTTCTTTCTCACAAACCCAGGAAACTCTGCCAAGCCCACAGATGGCCTTGGACCTCAGAGGAAAAGTGGTCACAGGCCCTGAGCCACTGCTAAGGGCCAGGTTCTGGGCCAGCCCTGGAAGGGGCGTCTCCTGGGGCAGCACAGACAGTAGTTAAGGGTGGGGCCCTGGAGCCAAACAGACCCACATTTCTATCTTAGCTCAACCCCTTCCAGTCCTGTGACCTTGGGCATGTCGTTTGACTCTGAGTGTTAGTTCCCACATGTGTGAAATTGGAGATAGTGACATAACCTGCTCCACCAAGCTGTGGTGAAAATCAAGCAAGTCCATCAGGTAAGTTGCCTGGCATGGAGCTAGACCCAGAGCAAGTGCTAAATATAGGTCAGCCCTAATAGCATTGAGCTCTCACTAAGCCCTGCTAGCATACCTCCCTAACGCGCAAGAATTACCATTCCCATTTCACAGGTTTTGCCTGCACCAACCCCCGCCCCACTCCAAGGTTCAGGATTGCTGAGATGCAGCAGGAGAGTTATAGGGGATGCACTTGAGGCTGAGGGGCCAGCTGGGAGGTGGCACAGACAAGCCATGAGAGAAGCCGGTGGCCTGGCCCAGGCAGTGACCAAAGGAGTGGAGAGAGCCGACGTGCCAAGTGTCTCTGAGAGGAGAGCTGCACGGGCCCAGTGACATCCTGGCTGGGGGTGAAGGAGGACTCGTCAATGAGGACTGACCCCTCCCAGATTCCAGCTTGGTAAGCCAGTGTTGGGGGGCTGGCTGGCCCCTAAGTTCAGGGGCATAGTGGGGAGAAGAGCCCCAAAAACCCAGGATCCTGAAGAGCTCTGGGCTGGAAGCAGAGACATGGGATATAGGAATCGCTAGGATGACAGAGGAGGCACGGGAAGTATGACTTGCTAGGATGGAGAACGGAGGAGGAGGGAAGAGGGAGGAGTGAGGAGGGCGGTGTTGCAGAACTGGGCCCGGGGAACAGCCGCAGGTGAGAAGCCAGCAGAGGAAGAGGTAGCTGGAAGGAGCTGGGAAGACACGATCAGGGAGCATGGAACCCTCCCACAATCAAGGAGCTGAGAAGACACAATCTGGAGACCACAGCATCAGGGAAGGTGCAAAAAGAGAAAATCAACAGGAGAAGGGAGTCTGACTGTGCCTGCCAGGCCTGAGGGATGGGGAGGATGTGTGCCCATAATAGCATTGGATTTTGCCTCAAGGGGGCAACTGGTTGTGCTGGGTGTCAGAAGGGGCGTCAAGGGCCCATGTAGGTGGGTTAAGACCTAAATGGTGGGGAGACAGGGTGGGTGCCAAGGGAGGGCCCTGCGGAAGGATGCTTAAAAGCCAAAGAAAAAAGAGCAGGTGGCTATTGGTCAGGACCCCTGGAACGTCCTTTCTTAACCTTTTGGGCAAGGTTGGCCCTGCCCTCCTGGGAGATCCCACAGCGTTCTCTCCATCCATCCCTCTGTCGCAGCAGCGACCTCCTAGAATTAGAGTCATCTGTCTCTCTAAGTAGACCATGAGCGACTTGAGGATTCAGGGTCTTCCAATTTCTGCAGCTCCAAAGTCTGCTATGGAGGAAGAACAGGTACCAGGTGGGCAGACTAGCAAGAAGTCAGACAGGCGGATGGATGCATATAGACAGACAAGCAGGCCAGCAGACAGACAGGCCAGGGAAAGGAACAGGCAGGCAAGGCCACTGAGATGGCTGCCCCTCCCACTCAGGGTACCCCCACCCCCACCGCTGACACTACCAGGCCTGGAGCACAGATTTATCTCCAAATGCTGCCACAATCCAGATATTGGATTTGTAATCACAGGCTCCAATGTTCACGGGATAAATATACTAACAAACTAATTGTTAGCTCTGAGGTTGTAACAATCAACACGTCCAGCGTGAGATATGGGCCGCTCGCCGGCCCGAGTCTAGGTCGTCTCAAGGCCCCCAGGCCTGGCGCCATGGGCACCCCACCAGCCCCCAGCCTGAACGTCCACACAGGGGGTGGCATGGGCAGGAGGGCTTCCAGAGCGCGCTGGCACAGAGCGGTCCTCACTGCCCCTGCCTGAGCCTCATCAGTGGCAGACATAAACTAACTCAGTTCCTGGGGACCCAGAGGAGAAGCAGGAACTGTTTGGAAGAGAATTATAGCTGTGGGTGAAATTAGATGTACTCTGAGCCCCAAGGCTGAGAGAAATAAAAAGCATTTTAAATGGAGTGTAGAATTCATATTCCTCAGTCACCTTCCAATAAATAAATCTTGTACCATTTTTTTCTGTAAACAGTGGTTACACTCAGCTTCCATTGTCTCCACATCCCCATCCCATATGCCAATCGGCAGGGAGGGGCAGGGCCATGCCGGGGTGGCAAGGAAGAAAATGGGGCATCTTTGAGGTTTGGGGGCACTGGAGCCCTGGCTTCCCTGGAGGTGTGCCCAGCTCCAGCTCTAAGGAGGCGTTGGGCAGATCCCAGGGTCATAGCCCAGCCCTGGACATCCCTCAGGGATCCCAGGGATAAGACACTTCAGATGGAACTCCCAAACCCCAAGGTTTGAGACCTAGGGGTCCTGGACAGCTCCGCCTCTCTGGGACCCCCTTCCCCCAGGAAATGAAGCATTGCATGGGCGCTGACAGCTGGGGGCGGAGGGGAGCCGGCAGGCCTGGCCACAGCAGCTTCTGTTGTTTTCGGTTTTCTTTTTAAAGGCTTTGCCTTCCAGTTGCAAAAAATGGTATCTTCTTACCACTAAAGAGGTGGAAAATGCAGGAAATCACAAAGAAGAAAAACATCGCCAGCAACCCTGGAGCCCTGAAAGAAAAATCACTGTGGCTATTTTCACATTTTCTCTTCCAGATTTTCTTCAGTATGTATAATATATGCACACCAATAAATAAGTGTTTTACAAAACAGAAATAATCCCTACATTTACTAAGTAACCAATACGTACCAGGTACTGTTCTAGGCATTTTGAATATATTATCTCTGAATCTCAGCTCACATTTTGGGGACCCTGAGCGTGCACCTGGCACATTTGTGAGCACAAACCTTCACGATGCGTTCCCCTCCACACCCAAGAGGCAGGGCCCGCTGTTGTCCTTCGGGGAGGGAGGCGACTTGTCCAAGGCCACAAAGATGGCAAATGGCAGAACCAGGTCTGTCTGCCTCCCAGTATGTGTGCCCAGCCACCCTACCGCTGCCCCCAAAGCTGGAACACAGTGGACACCCCCGCACTGGGCCCTGCTCCAGCTCCAGCAGTGAGTCCACACCCACTCCTCCACAACAGTCCCTCTTCTGTCCCGCGGGCCCCAGCCATTCTTCTTCGACCTGCAGGTGCTGTCCGCTTCCTGCGGCCTAAGACTGAGGTTTCCATGGCTGCCCTGATCCTGCCCTGCTGGCTCATGAACAGGGAGGCAGCGAAGAGAACAGGCAAACAGTGTGGGTTTGGGTTCAGACAGACATGGCTTCAGCTTCAGCGTGGCCTCTCACTAGCTGTGTGTCCTTGGGGCAGTCGCTGACCCTCTCTGGGCCTTAGCTTGAAAATGAAGAGAATAAGAATACTCACTCCACAGGGCTATTGTGAAAACCAAATGAGATCATCACCACAGCACTTAGCACAGTCTCTGGCACACGCCAAGGGCTCTACAACATTGGCTCTTTTAAATACAGAATGAGACATCAGAAAAAGTTTCAAAGAAAAACAAAAAAAGAGGCCAGGCATGGTGGCTCCCACCTGTAATCCCAGCACTTTGGGAGGCCAAGGTGGGAGGATCACTTGAGGTTAGGAGTTTGTGACCAGCCTGGCCAACATGGTGAAACCCTGTCTCTACCAAAAAATACAAAAATTAGCTGGGCTTGGTGGTGCGCACCTGGAATCCCAGCTACTCAGGAGGCTGGGGCAGGAGAATTGCTTGAACCCAGGAGGTGGAGGTTGCAGTGAGCCAAGATCGCGCCACGGCACTCCAGGCTGGGCGAGAGAGGGAGACTCCATCTCAAAAAGAAAAGAAAAAAAGAAAGAGAGAAAAAAAGAAGAAAGAAAAGAGAGAGAGAGAAAGAAAAGAAAAAGAAAGAAAAAAGAGAAAGAAAGGAAGGAAGGAAGGCAAGAAGGAAGGAAGGAAGGGAAAGAAAGGAAAGAAAGAAAAGAGGGAGGGAGGGGAGGGGAAGGGAGGAGAGGGGAGGGGCCACAATGACAAAACACACCACTGGCCACATACCCTGGCTCTCCCTCCCCTCCGCCCCTGCTCCCCTCTCCTTGCTCTGTTTAATTGGCTGGCATGTACCCGTTTTACAGAATGCCAAGGAGCTGTGATTAAACGTCAGTAATTGTCTCCTGAAAAACAAGGAAAAGAAAGGGAGAAGCTGGCTCCTCCATAGAGCTCCTGAGCAAACAGGAGTGACACTGTCCTGTTTGTCCCTGGGGTCCATCGGCTCTTTGACCTGTGAATCTATCATTCCCAGAGGAGGAGTCAGTGGAGATGGGAACATTAGTTCAGCATATGCCAGTCGATACCTTCTTTAAAATGGAAAGATTCACCCCACCACCACCACCACCATCCCCCAAGCGGAGTGAGGAGAGGTACAGGAGGTGGAACTGTGCTTGTGACTCAGTTCTGAACTGACTGCCCAAGACCAGGCTCACTCAGAGGGGCTACTGGGGCTGCAGCATCCCAGGAGGCCTTCCTGGAGGAGGAGGGCAATAGGAGGACTTGGGGGATGGACAGAAAGAAGGTCTCAGTCTGGGTGGGAAGGAGGATTGTGGGCTGCAGCCCTGGATTCAGGGGCCACAGGATTGGGTCCCAGGTCACCTACTGAATCCTGTGGGACTCTGGGCTGTTACTTTGCCCTCTCTGGGCCTCAGCTTCCCCCTCTGTGAAATAGGGATGACAACACCCCATTGGAACTACAAGGGTTGTGCCAATGGGAATGAATGGGTGATGTACAAGTGAGTGGTTCCACTCCGAGCCCACAGCAGCAGCTGACTCCAGGGTGGCCAGGACTCCCTTCTTCCCAGGGCCCTTGGTCATTTATTTTTGGTTAATTAAATGGTAAGATTTTCATGTCTGATTATTTACTGCCAGCCAGCTTCATTACCAGCTCCCCCATAAGTCACAACAGGGAGCCTGGCTCCAGCTCCCCCGCCTCCATGCCCACTCCCAGGCTGAAGCCCCCAGCCCCCAGCAGAGCTCAGTCTTTGAGGGATCCCAAGAGAGATGGGAGTTGTGACCCTTCCTGTCCTGGAGTGCTGCACGCAGACTTCTCCTGACTCCCACCCCCACCCCCAAATGCCTCGCTGTCTAGACCTGCGGTGGCCTCCTACCCACTGGAGTCTCAGAAAGGACTCGTTCATTGCAAGCAGCTGGTCCAGGTCCTCCCCAGCCTCCCCATTCCTCAGGATCACCCGCTGCATGCCCGGCTCTTTCCCAGCCCAAGCTCCAGGATTGGATCCCCCTACAGACAAGGATACCATGGCTCAGAATGGTCAGGTAACTGGCCCGAGGTCTCACAGCTGGTCAGCAGGGAGTGAGGATTAGAACCCAAGCCATCTGGCTCCAGGGTCCATGCTCCCAACTACCCCCTGCCTCAATGATGGGGAAAGTGCAGGCTTCGGGGTCAGACAGAGCCAGATTCAAGTCCCACTTATGATATCCACAAGCTGCACGACCTTGAGGAAGAAGCTTCACTCCTCTGCGCCTCTGTTTCCTTGGCTGTCAGGTGGGGACAGTAATGCCTCCCTCCCTTGAGAAGTGCTGTGGGCATTACAAGTGATGTGCCTGGACCAACACCAGACTCAGACTTTGCTTCACGCTGAGGGCTTGCCATGCTCCTGTTCCAGCACTGGGGTGGGGTGGATCCCAGAGTTGGAGGCGTGGAAGCCATCCCCGTGTGGGGCACAAGCAGAGGCAGCAGCATGTGGAGGCTGGGGGGTCTCGGGGGGCCCCCCACTGGCAGTGCCTGAAAAGCCACTAGTTGGACCCAGATGGTGCCCCCTGGCTGGCAGTGATCCCTGCAGAGCTACCCCCAGCCCCAAGCTGACACCTGGATGCCTCAGCCCCAGGTACCCACCGCGGGGAAGAGGGGAGCTCCAGAAGTACCCAGTACAGGGAAACCCCAAGGGACAAGGGTACAACAGTGCATCCTCGGCTCAAATCTTCGCCACTGGACAGAGGACAGACAGAACGGGGGTGGGACAAGCCACTCAAGGCAGCAAAGAGAAGCAGCTCTCCCATCTGACCAGGACTCCAGGAGGCAGGCAGGGACCATGCACCTGGTCCCCAGCACCCAACCTGACACAGAGTGAGTGCTTAGTTCAAATCCGCTGGATGATTGAATGAATAAACAAACGACGAATGAACAAATCGACAAACTAAAGACTAAGGAAATGAATGAATGGATAAATAAATGAACAAGTGGCCAAGTGATTGAGCAAACGACTGAATGGATGAGCAATTGCATGATTGAATGAATGAATGAGCAAAAGAACAAACTATTGAATGAATGAACTAGTGAACAAACAACTGGATGAATGAATGAATTGGAAAATATAAGAACAAATGATTGGATAAAGAAGTAAAAATGAATACACAAAGAGGGATGATAGAATGGAAGAGGAAGGAAAGGAGGGAGGGAGGGAGGGGGGAAGGAGGGAGGGAGGAGGAGGGAAAGGAGGGAGGGGGAGGGAAAGGAGGAAGGGAGGAGAGAGAAGCAGGGAAGAGGATGGGCTTCTCCCAACGGGCAACGTGGCCCCTCAAGTGAGACTGTCTGGTCCCCCAGCCTCAGCCCCTCCATCAAAGGTGGGTGGGAGCCTCCATGCACATCCCCTGCAGAGCAGGAACCCAGGGAGCCTCCTCACTGGCAGCCTTGAAAGCAAGGCTGGGGGAGGCCGGTTGGCTTTGCCAAGCACCCGACTGAGTCTTTAACTATTACATTAAGCATCTGCTTTGCCATTCACGGATCGGATAGCATTTTGCCCCTGAGATATTTGATTTTATTACCTTCCAGGGAGAGGGCCAAGCAAGTGTTCTTATTGATTTGCACATTAAATATATTAGTAATAAAACAACATCTCCGTAAACCAATTGTAAAATCAATATTAATTGGTACCAAAATATCACAAGTAGTTGAATTACAATTAAGGGAGGGGTAAGTCCTGCCTCAGGGCACAGTGTGCCGAGGTCCCAGAAGCAGAGGGGTTAAGGACCAGATTTCAGAGTCAGGTGGACCTGGGTTCCCCTCTCTAAGCCTCAGTTTCCTCATCTGCTCAATGGGAGTAATCATGCTAACAGGCAACATTTGATGAGGATTCACGAGGTATATATGTGTCGTGGCTGGCAGTGGCACGTCCCCAAGAAGTGTTCTCTTCCTCCCTTGGTTTTAGTCCCAGCTGTAGGCCGAGTGTAAGTCATTCCCACTATAGTAAGAAAAGTGGCTATTGGCAATGGGGCAAAGAGGCATGGGCGGGGTGCGGGAGAGAACAGCAGGAAAGACAGGGAGCTAAGGCGGGTGTAATAGGCTGGGGGATCTGGGAGGACTTCCGAGGGAAATGTCTCAAAGCTAAGACCTGAAAGTTGAAGAAAGAGCCCAAGAAGGGGGTTTGGTGTGCTCAAAGAAGGCCAGGGGCCACAGCGCCCTTTTCGTTTCTCAAATAAGAAAAAACAAATCCATCAGGAAACTTGAGGGTGCCTGCAAGGGCTGGGCTGGTGTGTTGGCATGAGAGTCCCAGGTAAGCAGGGGCCCCTGGCATCAGGCGGACCAGGAGCTTCAAGTGACCCTGTCTGGTCAGGCAGCCTGGGCCATGTGGGCTGCTTCGGGAGCAGGATGACCAGTGTGCCTGTGAGGACCACTCAGCCTGTCTGCTGGGCCAAACTCAGCAGCATGGGCCAGCTCCCCGGTACCTGGAGCAGACCATCATCCCAAGGACTACCATGGGGGTCACTACAACAGCCACAGAAGAGCCAGTCTCCCCAGCTCCACTTTGCACCACTCATGGTCCCCGGTCCTCCCCCTCCCAGCTCTCCCAGAGCACTCTGGAGGAATTTCACACAGGCCCTGGCCCTGGAGACTCTGTTCATGGGTATATGTGTGTGTATATGTTTCATTGGTCACTAACACTCCCCAGTAGCAATCACAATTTTTTTTTTTTTTTGAGACAGAGTCTTGCTCTGTTGCCCAGGCTGGAGTGCAGTGACTCGATCTCAGCTCACTGCAACCTCCGCTTCCCAGGTTCAAGCCATTCCCGTGCCTCAGCCTCCCAAATAGCTGGAACTACAGGTGCACACCACAACGCCAGGCTAATTTTTGTATTTTTAGTAGAGACGGGGTTTCACCCTGTTGGCCAGGCTGGTCTTGAACTCCTGCCCTCAACTGATCCACCCACCTCGGCCTCCCAAAGTGCTGGGATTACAGGCGTCAGCCACCACACCCAACCAACAATCACATCTGATCCTACAACAAATAACTTTATAAGGCAGCTTTGACTGTCACCCCCAGTTTACAGATGAGAAGACTGAGGCTTAGAGAGAAGGCACCGGTCTAGACAAACAGCCAGCAGGTGGAAGGCTGAGACTTGAACCAAGATCTGTCTGACTCCAGAACTTGTGCTTCTCTGTTGCTTCCAGGCCCAGCAGGGATGCTGACAGGGGTGGCACAAGCTCACGGCAGCTCAGCCACAGACAGGTCACTCTGGCCCTGCTGTTACACCTGGTGTATCCCAGCTGCAGATTCCAGATGGAAGCAGCGCCCCCGCCCCCATGCCAAGGACACCTCTTCCCAGTTCTGACCACTGCATTTCTAGCACCCCCTGGACGTTCTGGTTTTCCTTTGCTCTTTAGAGATGACTATAATGACAGGATGAGTGTGAATAATAGTACACATCACATGTTGATAAAGGGCCTTTCTCCATGCCCAAAACTCCACCCACATATTCTTATTTGACAGACTACAGAGCATAAGGATTAAGTTTGCAGGCTTTGGTCAGAATCACCTCACTTTAAATCCCAGCTCTCCTGGGATTAATAGCACACCTGGTTGTGCAGCTGTATCCGTCAGCTACAGCCACAGTAATGCTGCGTAACAACACTTTGAAACTCAGTAACTTAACAGCAATAAACATTTATTGTCCCACCCATGGGTCTGCAGGTTGGCTGTGGTTTGGCTGCTGTAGGCAGGGCAGGGCTAAGGGGCTGTACTTCAGGCTGAGGGTCAGGGTCAGGGCTGCTTCACAGGTCTCTTCTCACACCAGGATCATGTCTACCCAGAGCAGTTGCCCACAGAAATGACAGAAGATCAAGAGCCAAGAGAAACCACACAGGCAGATCGAGGGCCACTACCCATGTTACTAGCATTCCACTGGCCAAAACAAGTTCCATTGCCAAACTCAGTATCAGTGGAAAATACACTTCACCTGGGGTGGGAGTGGGAAGAAAGATTTGCTGAACAATTATCCAGACTACTGTGGTACCCTTGGGCCTCTGTTTTCTCATCTGTAAAATGGGAACCAAGTGCTGAGTCAGCAGCAGAGGCTTCGGTCTGACGCAGCACCTCCCAGGGTCCAAGCCTTTGCCTCCCCAAGGCTTTCTGATTTTACCCTGCTTTATTCTGTGGCCTTGGCACGTTGGCAACCTCTGGGGTGGAAAAAGCTGATGTCCTGGGCCCCCATGTCATCTGGGTCATTTACTCAATGACTGGTCATGCCACAAACTCTCTCTCATATCCGGAGTTCACCCCAGAAGACTTTCAAGAACCCCTTCCCTGACCAGCACCCATGGGCCAGGTGAGGCCCGTTCAGCCTCTTACAGCACACAGCCTCCCCTCTTTTGTGCTCTTAGCACAACCATGACTCACTAGCTACTGAACACCTGCATGAATTCTGCCTCCCAGGTCTGCAGGCGAGAGCCCCGAGGGCAGGGACTGGGTCCGTTGTGTGCCGCGTAGTGCTAGTGCCTGGCACACAGCAGAGCCTGAACGACCATGTGGCCTGCATGAGACCCTGTGGCTCAAATTCATTCTTTCATTGACTTCTTTATCCAATCATTTGTTCTTATATTTTCCAATTCATTCATTCATCCAGTTGTTCACAATTCCAGCAGGCTCCGGTTGCCGATGGTGACACCATCGTTTCAGGAACTGCCCTTGGAGTCAAGGAGACAAATTTCAAAGAGAGGGTGAGCTTGACAGATACCCAAAGGGCAGCACTCCCTCCCTCAGCTCCTGTCCCCCACTTTGTGAAGAGGGATTAACAATAGCACCTCCTGTGGTTGTCGTGAATGTCAAATGATCTAGTAGATCATCATTTTTATTATTGTCTCAGAAGCCACCATGCACTGGGCTCGCTCTGTGCCAGGGACTGTGCCAGGCACTTTCCCTGTGTGATCTGATGGAATCCTCAGAATAAGTCCTTGGGGGTGATGCCCCAGTGGCTGCCACTCTCAGAGGAGGAAGCTGGGAACAGAGGGTTAGCAACAGTCCAAGGCCACACAGGGCTGGGATTCCACAGCAAGTCTCCCCCTCCCCCAGGCTGCCTAGGCACACGCTGCTCTGCTCCCTCTTTTGCCAGGAACATCCTGGAGGTCGGAGCTGCCCCTGGAGGAGGGTAGATGAGAAAGCACCTCACAAATCCCAAGGACACAGGGCCACATGTTATCGAATCTTGCTGAAGACCCTCATTACGGACATGAAATAACCCCTGGGGGGCTCCCCGGGGATATGGAGATTATACCCTGGCTCTTTCCTGGCTTTTTAGGGTCCTTTCCATCCCCCTCTGGTGGCTGCCTCCCCAGGGAGTCATCAGACCATGTTGCTCTGAGAGTCCTCTGGTCCCACCCTTGGACCAGTCTCAGGGCCCTCCACTGACCCTCCTGGCTGGAGAACAGCCCAACCCAGCCAAGGATCAGGGGTCACCAAGCAGCCACTTCCCCCACTCCCACTGATATGAAAGGCCCAAGGGTGACCTCAGCCACAGAGCTGAGATTGTCTAGAAAAGAAAGTGAGCGGTGGGAGGGTGGACAAAATGCATCCCCAGCCAGTGTGCCCACAATTCCACCTGTGTCTGCCTGTGTGTGTATGTGTTAACACTTGTGCATATGTGTGCCTCCAATGTGCTTGCACCATGCTTGGTTACACGTTTAAGCATGTGCACAGATATGAGTGTGTGTGCATGCATGTACACAAGCATGGTACACATACATGCGTGGTGTGTCACACAGGATGGCCTTCATATGTTTATCTTCTCATGCGCTTTGGGCACATGCGTCTAACAAAGAACACGGCTGTCTGCCCCGGGGTATGCGTGGATGTGGGTACCTATGTGTGCATCTGGGAGGGAGGCTGGAATTTGATGCCTACTTGCCTTTCTCCAGCTAATCCTCCCTGTGCTCAATCCCAAGCTTTCTCTAAGTTGAAAAGGTTGAATGCAGTGATTTGCTATTAATCATTGGTTTTAGTGGTTTTTTTTGTTTTGAGAATTGCCACCACCTCTGTAGCAGTGACTGGCTGAGTTTTGATAAATAATTCCAGCCACTGGGATTCAAGTACTCCCCAAAAAAGAGGCACGTGGGACTCCCCACTCCCTTCCACCACCCTCCCACCTCCCTGGCTCAGCCCTAGTACCCTATAACCAGCAAGACCCATGGAAGATCAAGAAAGGTGATGATGTGGCCGGGCGCAGTGGCTCACGCCTGTAATCCCAGCACTTTGGGAGGCCAAGGCGGGTGGATCACGAGGTCAGGGGTTCGAGACAAGCCTGGCCAACATAGTGAAACCTCGTCTCTACTAAAATACAAAAAATTAGCCAGGCATGGTGGTGGGTGCCTGTAATCCTAGCTACTCGGGAGGCTGAGGCAGGATAATTGATTGAACCCAGGAGGTGGAGGTTGCAGTGAGCTGAGATCACGCCACTGCACTCCAACCCAGGCGACAGAGTGAGACTCCATCTCAACAAAATAAATAAATAAATAAATAAATAAATAAATAAATGAAAGGTGGTGATGTGTCTGTGGTCCCACACAGGTCCCCCTAACCCTGCAGCTTCTCCCTGGGGCCTTGGGATCCGGAGCTCACTCATCCGTCAGGAAGACAGTAACTGCCGGAGTGGCCCAGCCAAGAATGGGGAGACTCCAGGCCTCTCCCTGGGGACAGCAGTAGGCACCTCCCACCTGCCATCCCCCCCACATTGTAAATAATGCCAAAAATGAGCCGTTTTTAAAGAGTGTCCAGTGGGATTGTGGAGGCTTGTTTTAATTATACAAAAACAGCATGGGTGCTTGGGCAGATGTTGGCGCTAATTGTTTTGAAAGCAAGCCCTCTTGGCTCTGCCAAATCCTACGCTTGGGCACATCGTGATGTAATTCCCCAGCCAGGCAGGTGAGGTCACTCCCTCTGCTGGGCAGGCGGTGGCTGCTCCCCATGCACGCTTCATCCTAGACGCCCCCCGCCAACCCTGAGCAGACCTGCAGCAGGAGCAGAGTGGGGGTCCGGATAAAAGGGAAGGTGGAGTGGAGCAGACCAGGACTTCGCCTTCGGGGTCCTCTCCTCTCCTCTCCTGACCTCACCCCTACCCGCTCCAAGCACTGGCCTCCACTGACCCTCAGGCAGCCAGATGAGGGGACACTTCAAAGCCGAGAAAAGGGCTGGGAGGAGAATCAGTGGATACAGACGGAAGAAGCAAGAAAGAACAGGATCCACTGTTACTCCATCCTTGCTACATGCCTGGCCCTCCGCACAGATTATCCAATCTAATTGTGCCCAGCAAATTCTGTAATACCGGCCTTATTATCCCTATTTAACAGGTGAGGACATGAAGGCTCAGTGAAATAGCAAGCCAAGGTCACATAGCTGGAAGGCTACCAAGCCGGGCCCCTAATCTCAGCTCTTCCTCCTGCATGTGGAGGCTGGGAGGGCCACGAGGAACAGAGATGGGCCAAGGAATGCAGAGAGAAGAGATGAGAGGATGAGGTGCTGGAGGGATGTACAGAGGGCTGGGTAGGAGGGACAGAGGGTTGTCCATGGCGTGTGCCCGGGAAAGGGATGGTGAACTCAGGGGGGCAATTTTGCCTTTAACCCATCGCCCACCAGATGGGCTTCTACAAAGCTAATGGACCCCTTTCGAGACAGCCAGACTGGGAGCTGGGAGGCGGCAGTGAGGGTCCCACTCCCAAAGAACCAAACAGGAACCTAGCAGGGCTGGTGTGGTAGGAGCTCGGAAATAAATACAAGAGGAAAGACACAGAGAAATCCGGACAAAAACACGGAGTGAGAGGCCAAGTCAAAAAGGGACAGAGAGACAGCACAGCACCGGGAGCGAGGCGGGGCGCAGGGGGCCGGAGAGCCTGCGGAGGGACAGGCCGGGATGGGAGGAGGTGATGGATGGTGCGCCCATCAATTTCTGAAGGCCGAGGCTGGGAGAGCAGCAGAGTCAGTGAAATTTACATTATTAATCTCTTGTAATAATCTATGACTCAAGCAGGCTGAGAAAATAGCAGCGGCTACGCAGTGACCAGCCTATATAAATAACGGCTCTGCGCTCAATTTAATTGCACTCTAGTGAAAGTGCTCCTCTTGTATCTTTCTAATTACTTTAGTTTCATTAGGTCTAGCAGAGAAAGAGAGAGAGAGAGAGAACCAGAGAAAGGGCGGGAGGGAGCGACTCCATTGAGCGCCGCAACAATGAAAAATTCATATTCCGATTTTTTTTTTGTTCTGTGAAATATTTAAATGTTAATAGCCATTCAGTCCCTGACATGCTATCTCACCAGTGTGGAGTTAAACAGAAAATCTATTTAATCTAAGGAATCTCATTAAATGGTCGTGGCAAGGCAGTGGCTCGAAGGTAGTCAATAGCGGGGAGAGAGGGGAGAGAGAGGGAGAGAGAGAGAGGGAAAAAAGAGCTCGCTAAGATTCTTTAATTTAATTTATTGTCGTGCATGAGACACCAGGAGAGGCGGGGAGATGCTGGCTCCTGCGCCTCCATTTGAGTGGATAATGATTAAATGTTTTCTATTGTGCTACAGCTGGTATGTATTATCACAGAGAGAGTGAAAAACACAAACTCTCAGCAATTTTGACTGCTTTCCAAATATTAGCTCCTTTTAAAGCCATTAAAAGATTATCACTGATTTAACCAAATGTCTGTTTGGAGCATTAGCAACAGTCTGTTCTCCGAATCCCCAGAATGCCATTCCTCTCTTCTCTCCTCCGATTATCTCATCCACCCAGCAGTATTTAATTTCATTCCCATGAATATGCAATGAATTTAATTTTGAACACTATTTTCATCTGCTCCTGTAATCACAAAAAATGCTGGTGTAATTAGTTTCTAATTACTTGCTTTAATTGTTGTAGTAATCATTTTAATTACCCAAATGCACAGACATCAAATGCTAAAAGGAAAATAATCCTCTTGTACCTCCTACCTTGTCTTTTTACACTTGGTGTTTGATATCTCGATTTTGACACGGGCAACCTTCACCGAGCCGGGGGGTGCTCAGGGGCTTCTGGGGAAAGGGCCGCCGGGCCCAGGGAGGCCGCTCCAAGCCCGGGCCTCGGTGCAATCTGCTCACTGAAATTTGCATGCCCCCCAAAAAACCATTAAGTTAAAATATACAGTTATTGTACCTTTCTGGGCCGGGCGCCACATACGAGCCTATTGCTGAAGCCCAAACCGGCGCGAGCAGATGGTAAATCATGAAATTTTATGAAATTATTACGCCGGCGAGGTGTTTTGAATAGGAGCAGCTGTGAAGGAGATGGGACGTTATAAACACTCACAGGTGTTACCATCTCCCCCACTGCCAGCCGCAACATAAAAAAAAAAATTAAATTATAAACAAACCGGCAAATGTTGTAATCTCTCTCCTCAACACACTCCTTACAGGGAAATTGCTTAAACTAAGCAAAGAATTCAATTTTAATTTGCATAAAATATTTATCAAGGCTTACGCAAATTTCCGCGCAGCTCTCTTCCTGCCAAGTTTAAAATTGCTCAGACGTACAGAGGTGCAATATCGGCCTGCGAGGAGGCCATTCGGCTGGCCCTCCCGGCCACTTGAACCTGCACAGACGGACATGCGCCCAGATTAGCAGCTGGTCAGGCCCTGCCAATTTTCCCCCCACTTTTTTTTTTTCCTTTTTAATTCTTCTTCTTTTTTTTTTTTTTTTTTTTTTTTTGCAAGCAGATTGTTTTTCTCATTATGTTTTTATATCTACCTCAACTGTTAATTAGGCACTTAGAAGATTTTTTACTGGGGCCTGAGTGTAACAAGCCACTTTGTTTGCAGGCAGATACCTTGCTGCTGTTCTGTAAACACGGGCTCTTTGCTCCAAAAGCCTCATTTTCAGCCTATCACAGCGATGGTGTTATGTGCCAGGAGGGGGTGGCCCTGGCTGAGGGAGAGAGGTCTCGGTTCTCTAAGCTGGCTGAGGTCTATGACCCCAGATTGGGTCCTGGCCTGGACACCAGCAAGAGGAAAAGGAGGAGAAGGCAGACAAGAGGTTTAGGAAGATAACAAGACAACTCATCAGAGGGCCGATGGGGCCTTGCTGGACCCCGGGCCTCTTCCAAGACCTCAGAAGCCCCTTAAAGCCTGACTCCAGAATGCCAACCTTAGCGCCTGCATTCCTGCTTTGTTCCTGTGAACAGGGCTCCCACCATGCAACACTGGCCTTTCTGTTCCTTGAACTCAGCCAGGCTCCTTTCTGCCTCAGGGCCTTTGCACTAGCTGTTTCTTCCTCCTGGAATGCTTGCCCGAAACTCTCCACAGAGCTGGCTGAGTCCTCAGCTCAAAGCACACCTCCTCAAGGAAGCCATCCCTGACTGCCCAGTCACTCACGGACGACCTTAGATAATTGTCTTCACAGCATTTTTCACAACTGGAATGGACCTTGTTAAGGTGTGTGTCTATCTCCCCCACCGGGAGGAAGGGAAACCCAAGAGCGCAGAGATCTATTTGGTCCACTGCATTAACCCTTCAATAGGAGCAGCGCCTGGCACACAGTAGGTGCTCCACAGATGAGCAAATGAACATTACTTCTGCACACAGACATAGGCACAAATCTTCAGGCTTTTCTGGCTTTGTTTGTTTTTGAGTCAGAGTCTTGCTCTGTTGCCCAGGCTGAAGTACAGTGGTACGATCATAGCTCATGGCAGCCTTGACTTCCTGGGCTCAAACAATCCTCCTGCCTCAACCTCCCCCACTGCTATGATTCCAGGTGCACACTACCACGACCTGCTAGTTTTTTGTGGGGTTTTTTGTTGTTGTTGTTTTGTAGGGACAAGGTTTCACTTATGTTGCCTAGGCTGGTCTCAAACTCCTGGCTTCAAGCAATCCTCCCCTCCAGGCCAGCCTTTCCTTAGAGTAGTGCACTGGGCAAGGCCTGGCACCCATGCCCAATCGCTATTTATTAAAGAATAGACTCCTTGGGGACGTTTCCTTAGGCTCTGCCAGATGGGTCAACTACACGCCAAGAACAAGTCAAACGATGATGCCCCACGTGCCAGGCCCCGCTGTGCCATTGCCTTTACCACCCACACGGCCCACCATGCTATGACTGGACATCTGATTGAATCTCAAACTCACCCTCAGCGCCCAGCACCGCCAGATTCCCGCAGGCACCTCCAGAGGGGCCTGTGTCCACCTCCGTCGGCACCAGGTGGCTGCTTTAGAGGGAGGGGGGAGGGCCTTTCAGAAGGAGCTGGAATCAATGGGAAGAGTGAATTAGCTGTGGTGAGTGACTAATCAGGAAATAATCAGGTTTTACACGTCGCAAAAATGTCTGCACGCCAGATAGAGAATTGGGATAGAGGTTTCCAGCGAAGACAGAGGCAACAGCTTTGGGGGAGGTTTAGCTTAGCGGTGCAAGAAGGGAGAGCCTGCCCAGTCTCTGAGCCCCCCGCCCCCACTTTAGTGATGGTGTCTGTGGGTCTCACAGGGTTGCTAGAGGGTATAAAACCAGCAGTGGGAAATCCCCGGTGCTCCATAAATGTTAGCTCTGTATTAATAGAGTTATTAAGACACCTTGCCCCAAGGACCTGCTCCTGGGGTCCCCAGTTGCTGTGGCAATCCCTCTGCTGAGCATCCTGCCCCACCCTCGTCCACCTTCCCCAGGCCTGGGGTGTAAGCCAGGTAGGTACTATCATTCCCATTTAACAGATGGGAAAACTGAGGCTTAGCAATTGTTCCAAAGTCCCACAGGGGCGGAGGTCCTGGAATCCTGAGCTATCCATGAAACAATGGGAGGGACAGGGGACAATTCTAACAAAGTCCAGTTCAGAACTTCCAGGGTCACAGTGGGTCTAGGCAGAGGTCAGCCCAAGGTGGAGAGAATTTGAGTCCAAGGTTGGCCCAGTCAAGGGGTAAGTCCTGAAGTTCCAGGCTTCCAGGAGGTCAGTCCACTGGTAGCCAGGACTCGGTGGTTAGTGGGAGCAGGTCAGGATCTGGGGAGCACCAGGAAAAGAGGGAAAAACAACAGCTATTCCGTATTGAGCTCTTATTGCATGCAAGGTGGCAGTGCTGGGAGGTTTGTTTACAAGCGGAATCTCATTGGATTCTTGCCACAGCCGGGAGAGGCATTTGCTAGGATCACGTCTGTTTTTACAGTTGAGGACACGGGCTCAGAGAAGTGCAGTCACTTACCCAAGTCACACAGCGGATATCTAGGAAGCAGCAGAGTGGGTTTTGATCCCAGAGCTATTGCCTCCAGCATTGCATGACGTTGCATGATGCCATACCCCAGCCCAGGAGATGACTTTCCATATGGTCTTGGGCATGTCAGTTCCTAGGTCTGAAGGTCCAAGTTGACCTTGTGGGTTCAGGAGCCCTTACTCTGTGGGATGTTCATCACAATAACAGTTGTCAAACATCAAACATAGCAGGCACTCAAAAATGTCTTTATTTCCATTCTCTTTTTTTCTTTCCTTTTACCCCCAACCAATCTAAGCCAGAGTCAGTTCCAGGTTCTAATCCCAGTGGAAGGAGGCCAGGCAGGGAAACTGAGATAAGTGGCAGCTGCTGCGTGTGCAGAGTCTGCCCATCCTAGATTAAGAGGTGGGCTGGGCATGGAGCCGACTGACATTTCCTCTGTCGTTCCTCCACCGCTGACCCTGTGTGGTCAGGGAGGTCTGTGTGCCTGCTGCTCTATCAGACCTTGCCTCTCAAATTCATTCATCCTCCTGCTACCTTAGTGCCTGGCCCTGGGCTGGACACTGGGGACACAGGAGAGTCAGACCCAGATCTCTACCTGGAGGAGACCGCAGCCTGGGGGAGAGGCAGCCTGAGACCTGGGCAGTTCTAATCCAGACTGGCCCAGGGAGAATCGAGGTATCTGCCTGATCCCAGAGAGGGCTTCGTCACTGCCATCACTGCCAAGGGGCATGGTGGGTACAGGGGCAGACTCAAATTCCAGCTCTTCCACTGAGAAGCTGTGTGATCTTTGATATGTTCCTTTGCCTCTCTGTGCCTCATCTGCTTCAGAGGCAAAATGAGGACAGTATTAATGCCTCCTCATGGGGATGTCAAGGGCATTCAGCAAGCTGGTCCCAGCCAAACACTGGGCTTGGTCCTGCTCCCCAAGGGCAGGTGTTGCCAGGCATTTTCCAGACCCACTGTCCGGAAAAGTAACTGAAGTCTCCAGGAGTCCGATGACTTGCCACAGGTCACCCATCTGCTGGAGTGACACAGCTGGCTCTGAGGCATGTCCCCCGGCTGTAAGGTCTCTAAGGATAGGGACCTAGACAGGTCTGCCTTCTGGATTGTTGAACTCCCATGCCCTGCCCAGGGGATAAGGAGGGAAGAGAAGGAGAAGGAAATTGAGATGGGTCCTGGAGGATTTCACCGGAAAGAAAAGATGCTGAGGACACCCCAGGCAGAGGGAACAGCATGGGCAAAAGCAAGGAGGTGTGCGAAAGGTCACTGGGTGCAGAAAACTGGAGCCATCCGGGACTCCTGGAATGAGAGGTGGGCAACAGAATAGGAGAGGCAAATCTGAGCTAGTGGTGTGCAGGTAAATGCTTAACAACTAGCTCTCTTTAACACTGAAACGGGGAGGGGAGAGAGGCCCTGATGTGCAGCATTTGCCAATTCACGTGGTGTGAATACTCCCACCATGACTGATTTTTAAGCAACCAACATGACATCAACCAGCTCACAAAATTCTGAAAGGTTAACAATCAGCTTTTGTGATCAAATGTGAGCAGGGGAGCCCGGGCAGGTGGGGGCCCTCCTTCAGGGACTGCCCAGCTGGACCTCGCCTCTGCTCACATGCGAAATCTGTTTCCTGCCAGCGATGGCTCTGTGGGCCTCAATTCCCCACCTGAGCAATGAGCTAATGGTTCCTAGGCAGAGGCAGAGGCAGGACCAATGAGGTGGACCCAAGTCCAAGTACAGTGACATCTTTATCTTCATTTCCCGGCCTCATCTCCACCTGGGGCAAAAATGAAGTGGGGTGATGGGCAGGCAGAGGGAATCCAGGACCCACCCAGGCCCAACTCCCAGCCCACTGTCTCCCACCCCAGCTGGGGAAGCTACAGGGCCCAGCCAAGCAGGTGGTGGCAGGGTCACCTTGGGAAGAGGTATTGGGGCCTGGGAAGAAGGGGGAAGATATTATGCACCGAAGGCTGCAGCTGAGGACACTAATCTGAACAGACAAGGAATCAATGGGAATTTCTATTTAGGGAGGAAATCAATAGGAATTTCAAGGTAGGAAAAAAGGGAATTACCTTTAATTGGAGTTCTGGTCCAGCCAGTTCTCTAGTGAGGCCAGGGCTCACCTGGTCCTCAAGGGATGGCCAGAAGGGACCCTCAACCTGCCCCAGCCCTGCCTGGAGTGCCTCCCACCAGGTAAGAGACACCTTCTCTCAAGGAACCATTTAATCTCTGGCTAGGAAGCCAGGATTGAGTCGGCGAACAGAGATCTCCAGAACCAGGCATAGAGAGCTCCGTCTCCTCATCCGTTAGGTGGGGACAACAGGGACCTCATCAGTGAGAAGCGAATCCCAGGTGCGTAAGAGGCACCTTACGCGTATGGCACCTTAATGGTGCCAGGCACTGTCCCAAGTACTTTGCTTGTGTTAATAAGGGTTAGAAAATCTAATCCATACTAAGCCCCACTATTACTATTACTATCTCCATTTTATAGAGGAGGAAACTGAGGCACCGAGGCGTTAAACAACTCGTGCGAGGTCACACAGCTAGGAAACACAAGCCCTGGCACCAGAGCCTGGGCTCGAACCCTGTGCTCTGCTGCCCTATGGTAGGTGTTCAGCCCTGCGAGATGTGTCCCAGGTGGTCCACGTCCCGTCCAAGGGAAATCAGATGGGTGGGGGTGACTGCCTGGAGTACGGGGGCCCTGCCCAGGAAATGGCAGGATAAGTTCAAGCCACATGGAGAGGGGCCTGAGACAGCTGCCCCCATTGTCGTGCCCTCAAGTGCACACAGACATCCCCCTGGATCCTGCCCCCCAGGAAAAGGACACCCTCAGAAGGAGGCTCAGGACCACCCAGATGCCTACATAGACCCCACTGGAGGCCAAATGTGGCTGCTGAACAGTGCCTGGCAAACAAGCTCCGGTGTAAAATGGGAGCGGGAGACACCCCTGCCTCAAGAACGGCAGGTGCCACCCCCACTGGGAGCCGTCTGGGGGCCAGAGCCTGGGCCAGGATCACAGGAGGGGAACTCCCCTGGGCTGGGAGCTGGGGGCTTTTCTGTGGTGTCTCCCCAGATCCTCCTACAAACCCTGTGCAGATGAAGGACCGTGCCCCAGAGTCAGAGCTGGGAGGAGCAGAAAGAGCAGAAGGCCAGCCCCCATTCACGTTCCCCCAAAGTGGTTTTTTTGTTTGTTTGTTTTTAGACAGGGTATCACTCTGTCGCCCAGGCTGAGTGTAGTGGTGTGATCACAGCTCACTGCAGCCTCTATCTCCCAGGCTCAGGCAATCCACCTGCCTCAGCCTCCCAAGTAGCTGAGACCACAGGCATGCACCACCATACCCGGCTAATTTTTTTTAAATTTTTTTATAGAGATGGGGGGGGTCTCACTACGTTGCCCAGGTTGGTCTCAAACTCCTGGACTCAAGCGATCCTCCTGCCTTGGCTTCCCAAAGTGCTGGAACTACAAGCTTGAGCCACCGCACCTGGCCAAAATGGGATCTTTTACAGCAGCACATTGGTCTGATGACTGTTGAGACTTTGATTAAAAAGGCTGAGAGGAAGCTGAGGGGAACCTATGGCTGACACCACAGGGACGGGGAGAAGGAGTCAGAGGGAGAGGTCTGCCATGTGTTTGTCCCCCAACCCAGGCCCGCATGCTTCCTGAAGGGGGACACTCTTGTGCCTCTGTGAGGCCCGTTTTACAGATGAGAAAACTGAGGACAGGGGAAAGTGTCCCCCCAGGATCACACGTGACTGGGAGGATGCAGCAGCTTGGAGCCCCGCCGTCCTCCATCTCCACACCCCTTCTGTGGATCCCGAGGGTGCAGCCAGCCACGCTGTGAAGGTCTCCAGGGGTCCACAGAAGGCAGGGGAGGGGAGGGGAGAGGGCTGGAGAGCGGGAGAAAGTTAAGAGCCATCACATGGCTGTTCAGAACTGGATCTGGTGGTGGGAGCTGAGGGGTACGGGAGGGGAGAGGGTGCAGGTCCCTAGCCGGGACCTCTCAGACCAACTTTTGACTTAGGTCTCTGACGCCCATGGAGTCCTGGATGCTCAGCAGGGAAACTGAGGCAAGTTGCCGGTTGTAAGGACAGACAGCACAGGTCTCTGGGGCTTCCAGAGTCCCCGGTGATTCTGCCTCCAACACCACCCTCCCCACTTCCCTAGTTCCAGCCCGAGCCTTGAGGGGGCACCCAGGACAAAGGAGCGGTGAAGGCTGGGGGCGGAAGGACTGGAGTTCCCCTTCGGAACTCATGGCGAGGCCGGGGCGGGGGCTTGACTCCTCTGAACGTCAGTCTCCTCCTCTGTGGAAAAGGGGAATCAGGTTGTACTAAGGATTGGAAAAAACATGAACTGTAGAGTGCTGACCCCAAGGAAGCGCCTAAGGGATGTTTGCTGAGGGAGGAAACAGGTCCCTGGACGGACGGACAGACAGACGAGCGTGGCTGAGTGGATGAAGGAATGACTGCGCCCCGCCCTGACCAGCCAGCCTGGCAGAGAGGACCCCTGCTGGTGACTCAAATCCAAGACACGCAGTCCCCAGAGTGTGTGGTCCCCCCCACCCCCGTCCCAGGGGACGCCTCCACCTAGGCAGTGGGGCCATTGTCTAAGAATGGCCACGTGTGTCCCCGGGCCTGGATCTGGACCATGGTGGGCCACTGGCCACCATCCCCGCCCTTCCGAGAGGGCAACTGCCCCCTAATGTCCCTCGCCATCTTTTACGACCCAAGCAGTATGCACAGCCCTACTTCATGAAAACAAAACGAGCTGCATCAACAGCAGAGAGCAGACTTTCCAGGCCACCAGTTCTGGGGACCAATTCAAGGGAGAAAGAAGGCCTGGCCTCCAAGCCCGCCTTGTACCCTCGCTGGGGGATCCTGGGACCGCTCCCTCTTGGGAAGCAGAGACCCAAACCCACAACAAACTTAGGCTGAGTGATGGAGCAGAGGCTGCCACAGCTGAGCCCAGGTTCTGTCTCTGCCCTGGGGGTCCTGACCCATCGCCACCCCACTAAGGCACTCGTACTGGGCTCTTTGAGGACATTCTCCCTCTCCAACCTCGGGACAACCTACCAGGTGTGGATCATGACCCCTGCCTCACAGACAGGGGAGGAAAGCGAGGCTGGGAGCAGGCAGGAAGCAGCTCGTCCAAGACCCTGTAGGCCCTGGTCTGTCTGATTCTGCTCCCTGGTCACAGATGTCCTGGGGCTGGTGTCCAGCGCCCCCTGCACTCTGGGATGTAGGAAGTCAGCCTCCTTCCTCCCTCCTCCAGACCCCTCAGCTGAGACTGCCAGGGTCTCAAGCAGAGATGAGACCCATCCCTGTCCCCTCTCAGGTCACCGGGCTCAGCCAGGCTCAGCTGGAGCTGAAGGTTATTGCAAACTGCCAGGGCCCTGCTCACCTCGTTAAGTCCAGGGAGCAGGGTCAGCGGCTTTTACAAGCCCCATAAAGCATTGCTCGTGGCCACTACAGCACACAGCTGGTCCTGGCGACCAGTCCCTCCCTGGGCCCAGGACAGGAGGGGGACAAGTTTCTTCCTTAAGGAACTCATCTCCCAGATTCATAAAATCACCGGAAGTGTCATGGGTGGTCTGTGCCCCAACAGATAATTACAGTGTGACACCCCTGCCCTAGAGGCTGGTGTCGGGGAGGTAGATTCCCCTCCACAGAGGCCCTGCAGCTTGTCCTGCCTTGCTGGGCCAGCACTGTGTTAATAAATGCTTTGAGCCTATTATCTCACTGAGTCCTTGAAACAGCCCTATAGAGTAACACAGCCAGCCGCATTTTACAGATGTGGAAACAGAGGCCCAGACGGGTGGCCAAGGTGGAGACTGCAGAGCTGGGATTTGAACCCAGAGCTGCCAGGGCCCGAGCCACGCTCCAAAGAGCCCGTTCGCTGACTATGAGCACCACTCTGTGGTTTGAGCAGGGCTCTCCCGCTTTAGTGAGGAACCCCAAATGCCCCAGCGCCCCATGTTTGGGTGCGTACATGAGGCAACAATAGCAGGAATTAACAGCCACAATGCAAGCTTCTTGCTGGTCCCCAGGCCTGCCTGCATGATGCAGAATCTCAGCAACCCCCAGGGACACCCCAGGCACTTCTGAGAATCCTGGAGGGTGTCTCCAATAGGCTTGGAAGCCTGTCCACCCGGGTCTGTCCTACTGGCCCCAGTGAGGAAGTCCCTGGTTGGCTGTGGTCACCAGGACAAGGCAGCTGCCCTCCCCTCTGTGCCTCTGCAGCTCTGCATCTCTAAGACTGAACACCCCTCTGCCCACTCAGGAGGTCCCACGCCCCCTCCCCGGCCTCCCAGGCCCCAAGACCTTCTCGTCTGAGCATGAGTCAAGCCCCGTCCCCTCGGCAGGGAGGGAGTGGTCAAGCCCCTGGATCCATGGCCTGGCAATTCCAGGTCTGGGTTGGGAAGTGGCTCCCTGACTCACCAGCCATGTGAACCTCAGGGGCCTTCCTTGCCTCATCAGTGAAATGGAGGCCACTGGGAGGAACAGGCGGGAGACCCCAGCCCCACCCTGCACAGGGCCCAGTGCACAGCACCCCTCAAAGGCAGTGTTTGCTGTTCTCCCACATAATCCTCCTTGCCCACCCCGTCTATACCAACCGCCTCCCTCCTGTTCAACTCACCCACCTGGAAACCTAAGAAATGGGGGGGTCCCCTGCCCTGATGCCAGTCTGGACACTGCTCCACAGACAACATCCTCTGGCCTTTTCTTGGGCCCCACAGCGGCCACCCCATCCTGCTGGATGGGTCCTGTGCACCCCACAATATTCACACAACCCCCACCACACTTCACCCCAGAGCAGGCTTGGTGGGAGGGGAGGAGGAAGAGGACCCCTGTCCTGGGAGTCACCCCTGAGGCGTTGAAGTCCCCTATGGGTGCGGAGGGGTATTGGGCGTGAGGGGGTGTCCCACCCACTTCCTCAGTGCAGAAATCTTGCTGGGAGACACTAGCTGACTGATGCTGCCACAGGTGAGGGGTGGGGAAGAGGGCAGGGACTGTAGAATTTCAAAACCTCCTTTACGCCACAAAAGTGCAAGCATGCACACTCACGCATGCACACTCATGCATGCACACACACCCACACCCACACAGAAGGGGTCCAGCATCCTCCAAGGTCCGGCTTTTCTCCACAGTGTAACCAGCAATCTCAGTCACTCCCTGTTACCAGGAGAGTCTGACCTTGAGTATCCTAAAAGCTCAGCTATTACATGTGTGCTTTCTGATGCCTGGGTGCTGACACATTTGCGCATGAGCAAACATCCATGTACAAGACTGTGGACAAACAGGTCTGTATCCATGCAGCCACAGATGCACACTTGCATTCTGTCATAGGCACAGACACTCGTGCACACAAACACAGACACACACTCTGATTCAGAGGCCTGAGACCCCTGCACCAGTGTGCTTAGGTATACACTCCACGTGCATGGAGTGCAGAATGAGGCAGGTGTCCCAGCCCGCCTGCTGTACTCTAGCATCAGGTGAGCTACGGGGGTGCTGCTGCTCTGGCCCTCACCCCATGCCCTCAGAATGCCCTTGAGGGAGGGGCAGGGCTCTTCCAAGGCCTTGAAAGCCCCCTGAGAAGCCCTCGGGCACATGGCACAGATTATCTCCATCACCACAGATACTCACCACAGATACTCCGTCATCACAGATACTCTATCACCATCACCACGGGGCCCACCTACAACCATGAGAGCCGGGAGCCCCCAGGGCAGGAGTGACCCTTGCAGGGTTAAGTGGGCAACCTCAGTGGGCACCCAGGAGATGGACTTCCTGGAAGGCAGAGGAAGTCTCCCCAGGAGAGGGGAGGAGGAGGGGCGATAGGGAAGAGGGGCAGGAAGAAGGGGAAGGAAGAGGGAGATAGGAGGAAGAAGAAGAGGAGGGGAGGGGGCCCAGGGGAGAGAGGTTGGTAGCCATCATGGAACAGGAATCCCTACCACACCTAAGGGACCATGAAATTCACTTGTTCATTGTCTATCATTCATCATCTAGCTGCCGCCCCCTCCTGCTTAGAACCTAGGTTGGGGCAGCACATTTTAGATCCTCAATAAGTGTTTGTTGAATGAATGCAGGAAAGCCTAGTTCTGGGTCCTCATCTGCAACCTAGCCCTCTGACCCTCTTTATCAGCCACCCTGGCTGCAGGGCCAGCCTCCCTGTGGTGTCAGGCCTAAAAATAAGATTCAGCACTATGTGCCACCCTGACATCTGGTGAAATCTGGAGAGCCTGACCCCAAGTTTTCCACCCCTCTCAGCTCCTGTGGATAAGGTCCAGCTTAACCACCTTCCCTATCAAATGGAGCAGGCACAGCTCCTGCTGATCCCCACACAGCCAATCACACCCTCCTGCGGGAATGAGGGCACCCCAACTTTTTGATACCCCAAAACCTGTCTCTCACAGCCCCTGGTTGTTCACACTCTTCCCAAGTGCAGCCCTGGGTGGCCCTGTGTAACATGTGGTGTCCTCCTCCCCCAGTCTGTTAGTCTATGTGACAAATACACAGCTGCCATTCTCATCTGTCCTGTGGCAGGTGTTGTGTTCTCAGCCATTCTATGACACTAGTGGGGAGTTCCTCCCTCACCAATGGGTTGAGTAGAAGGGGGTTAAAAAAACTCCTCTCCCATTGGGGAAATGGTTGGCTACCATCAGCTGATCCTCTAGCTGATCACAGATAGAAAAATGAGCCCAGCCAAGACCAGAAGAACCACCTAGCTGAGCCCAGCCCAAATTGTCAACCCACAGAACAGAAAGATGAGCTAAATAAATGACTGTTTTTTGTTTTTTTGTTTGTTTGTTTTGAGACAGAGTCTCGCTCTGTTGCCCAGGCTGGAGTGCAGTGGTACGATCTTGACTCACTGCAAGCTCCGCCTCCCAGGTTCATGCCATTCTCCTGCCTCAGCCTCCCAAGTAGCTGGGACTACAGGTGCCCACCACCACGCCCGGCTAATTTTTTGTATTTTTAGTAGAGACGGGGTTTCACTGTGTTAGCTAGGATGGTCTTGATCTCCTGACCTCAAGATCCACCCGCCTCGGCCTCCCAAAGTGCTGGGATTACAGGTGTGAGCCACCGTGCCTGGCCACAGATGGTTTTGTTTTAAGCCACTAAGTTCTGGGGTGGTTTCTACACAGCCAAGGCTAACTGATACACCACCTCACAGGGCTGTTGTGAGGGATTAAATGACAGACCGCAGGTCAAGTCCTCACAACAGTACCCAGAACAGTAAGACCTCAGGAAACAACAGCTATTTTTATTTGAAAGCCACTCTTTGAGGCCTGCATGGAATACAGATGTAATAGAAAGTATAAAGATGCTACTAGAGAAAGACATAGCAACGGTTGCCAAATTGTCTTTAACACAAATGGCACCTTTGCTTGTGGAGGGGTTTTATCAGTTAGATAAACAGAGACCTACTGTGGTCTGGCATGGAGAGCCACAGTAGGTCTGAATCATAAAGAACAGGAATCCTGGAGTGTTCTCCCATCCCTTAGGGGCAGGGAGATGCGGGCTGTATAAGGGAGGTGGGCTCAAGCAAAATGGTGGTAACCTAGGTCCTGAATGTGAAAAGTTCTGAGAAGGGGGAAATGTTCTGGGGAATAGAGATTAAGGGTGGTGAAATGTCCTCTAACTTCAGGTTGCTTCTATGTATATTGCACAGTAGTTCACACTCTGCTAGCCCCAGACCTTGAAGCAGTGCCTGAAACCCACAGTGGACTTGTGTCCATGGAGCTTCATACAGCAGGGTGTCCATGGGGTAGGTAGAGCAGGGTGGAGGCGAGGCCAGGGCATCAGCTGGTAAGATGGGTGGAGACAGAGAATCCACCTGGCAGGGCATGGCCAGACCTAGCCCCGACCCCATCCCCACCACTGATTCCAGAGGTCCCAGGGAGGGGAGGTTGCTGACTCTCCAAGGACAAGTCTGTGGGCCCAAATCATTTTCTTTGTCTGTGATAGGAAATGGAAGGTCCAGGAGGCTGGAGGGCTGGACCACACTGAAGGGACATAAAACAGAGGAAAGTTCAGTTCCTGCCCATGGGGACTTCTCAGTCTAGAGAAGGCAAGATGAAGCAAGAACAGAAATAATCATACCCTTGGGACCATAAGAAGTGTAAAAAGTGACAGGCAGGTTCAGAAGAAAGTGAGGTCACATCTATTTGGGAAAGGGAGAGATAAGAAACAAAGGGAGCATTGGAGAGGAGCATCAGAGGAGAGGCAGAATTCATAGAACCCGCACGTTTGTGTGTCACACACAGACACCCTAACTGCCTTTCAGCAGCCAGGTGGGGGCCTCAGAGCCCCCACTGATGAGCAAACCCTTGGGACCGTGCTTGGGGTGCCGCCTGAGAACCCACAACTTGCTTCTGACAACATGGACATCTTTGTGCCTGAGTGTCAGGCAATGATTTTGATACTTTATTGCACATCTCCTTTATTGTTTAATAAGGACAAGGAGAAAATGGAAAAACGATGAAAGGTCCAATGTTAGTAACAAAATTGATCGTTCCTCTAAGAAACAAATGGGCAAAGATGGAAATCATTGGTCATGCCGAAAGGTGTAACACTTTAGCCTCAGTTAGATGTTCACTGGATGTAAGCCAGTCAACCATGCGCTGACTGATTGTGAAGGGAAAGGACAGAATTAAAGAATGCTTGGAATCCTGGAAATTTGTTGTTGAGAATTGGGTCAAAGTGTTATGGCAGAATTAAGGATTTTGTAATAGCTTTATCTCTCTGAGAGGAAGCACTCAATTCTTGTACACACTTCAGGAACACATTATAAAACACATAAAAACAGGCACATCGCCAAAACCAGATAAAGAAATCACAATGAAAGAAAACTATAGACTAATTACTCTTGTGAGTATAGAGGCAAAAATCCTCAACAAAATGCTAGAAAACTGAATTCAGCAATATATAAAAAGGATTATACACCATGACCAAGAGAGACTTATCCCAGTAATGCTGGGGTGGTTTAACACCCAAAAACCAATTAATGTAATATGCCATATCAATAGAATAAAGAACAAAAATCACATGATCATCTCAAGAGACACAGAAAACATGTCTGACAAAATTCAACACCCCTTCTTGATAAAAACCACTAAACTAAACTAGGAATGGAAGGTAACTTCCTCAACCTGATAAAGGCATCTATAAAAACCCACAGCTAACATCATACTTAAGGGTGAAAGACTGACTACTTTCCTTCTAACATCAGGACAAGATAAGAATGTCTGCTATTCCCACTGTTTGTTATTTTCACTTTTTTTCTTTGTTTTTTGTGGGTTTTTTTTTCTCTTCCCACTTCCATTCAACATTGGATTAGAAGTCCTAGGCAGGGGGCAATTAATTAGGAAGAAAAAGAAATAAAAGACTTCTAGACTGGAAAGGAAGAAGTAAAACTATCTCTATTTGCAGATGAAATGATCTTGTGTATAGAAAATCCTAAGAAATACACACACACACACACACACTCATTGGAGCTAATAAATAAGGTAGATTTCAGGACACAAAATCAATATTCAAAAATCAATTATGTTTCTATATAGTACCAATGAACAAGCCAAAACTGAAATTAAGGAAACAATTCCATTTACAATAGTATCATAAAGAATAAAATACTTAAGACAAATTTAACAAAAGAAGTACAAAAACTTATACTCTAAAAACTATAAAACATTGTTGAAAGAAATTAAAGAAGACCTAAATGGAAAGATAGCCTATGTTCATGGATTGGAAGACTTAATATGGTTTTAGACAGCAATACTCTTCAAATTGATCTACATATTCAGTGCAACTTCTATCAAAATCCCAGCTGCCTTTTTAAAAATTTTGCTAAAATAGGCAAATTGATCCTAAAATTCATATGGAAATGCAAGACAGCAGGAATAGCCAGAACAATCTTGGAAAGAACCAAGTTGGAAGGCTCACACTTTCTGCTTTCAAAACTTATTACAAAGCTGCAGTAACCAACACAGCATGGTACTGGCATAAAGGTAGACATGCAGATCTGTGAAATACAATTGAGAGTCCAGAAATAAACTCTCACATTTATAGTCAGTTAATCTTTGACAATGAATAGGCATAGCAGTATTATTCATAAAAGTGGGAAATCCAAATGTCCATCAAATGATGAGTGATCAACAAAATGTGGTATATCCATATAATTGAATAGTATATGACAATAAAAAGAAACAAAGTACTGATAGATGCTACAACATGGATGAACCTTGAAAACATTGTGCTGAGTGAAAGGACCCAGACAGAGAAGGCCACATATTGCATGATTCCATTTTTATGAAACATTCACAATAGGCAATTCAATTCAGAGACAGAGAGTAGATTCATGGTTGTCAGGGGCTGAGGGAGTTAGAGGGAAATGGGGAATGACTGTTAATGGGCACAAGATCTGTTTGGGGGCTTATGAAAATGTTCTAAAATGCATTATCATGTTGATTACCCAACTCTTTGAATATACTCAAAACTACTGAATTTTACATGGGTGAATTGCATGGTATGTGAATTATACATCAACAAAGCTCTTAATTAAAAAAAAAAAAAATAGAGCACTACTGGGTGGAAGACAGCTGATGAGAGAGCTCCAGGCTGAGGGATGTCAGACTGGTGGCACGCATGACAATAATTCTCCCACATGTGCCCACAGCAGGCATTGTTAATTATTGCAGCACTCTGCTCCCTGAGCTTGTACCTTTTCCTTTAGACTTCATTAAAATTAAGAGCTTCTAGTCATCAAAAGGTACCATTAAGAGGGAGAGAAAGCAAGCCTCAGAATACATTTTTTAAACTTCTAGAAATTAATAAGAAAAAACTGGACAATTCAATTTTTTAAAAATTGTCAAAAGACTTGAACAGGCATGTCTTAGTCCATTCAGGGTGTTACAACAAAATACTTCAGACTGGGTAACTTATACACAACAGAAATGTATTGCTTATGGTTCTGGAGGCTGGGAAGTCCAAGATCAGGATGCCAGCAGACTCAGTGTCTGGTGACGGCTTGCTCTGCTTCATAGAGGGATGGTGCCTCCCTTCTGCATCCTCATATGGTGGAAGGAGTGAACAAGCTCCTTTGGGCCTTTTTATAAGAGCACTAATCCCCTTCATAAGAACAGAGCCCTCATGACCTAATTATCTCCCAAAGATACCACCACATAGGGGGTTAGATTTCAACATATGAGTTTTGGGGATCTCATAAACATTCAGACCATTGTAAGGCACTTCACAAAAAAAAAGTCTATCCAAATAACTAAGCCTAGAAAATTTCTTCAACATCATTAACATCATTCATCATCAGGAAAATTCAAAGTACAACCTGAATGTGAAATACTCTCCCCACTCAGATGGCTAAAATTTAAAGACCTGGTAATACCAAGTGTTACAAAAATATGAAGAAGCCAGAACTCTCCTCATTTGCTGAGAGCAATACAGATCAGTACAGCCAGTTTGGAAAACCATTTGGTAACATTACTAGAGAGAGAGAGAACCAAGAAATTCCACTCCTGGCATATATACCCAAGAGGAAAAAGTATTTATACCCACCAAAAGATAGACCCTGGAATATTCATAACAAACGTTCATAACGGACCCGAACTGGAGACAACACACATGCCTATTGACAAGAGAAGGAATAAGTAAATTATGACAGATTTGTACATTAGAATTCGGCATAGCAATGAAAAGGAACAAGATACTATGATATCCAACAATTTGGATAACTTTGCAAGCATAAGGTAAGTGCAAGTAAGTAAGGTCGTTGAATGAAGGAAGCCAGACATCAAAGAATATGTGCTCTTTGATTCTTACACAAAGTCTAAAAAAAGCGAACCTGACCTATGGTGATAGACACCACACACCGTTATTTGGGGAGGTATTGCCTGGGAAGAGGAAAAAGGACACCTGCTCGGTGCTCAATCTGAGTGACAGTGACATGCATGTGAACATATGTAAAATTCCATCCAGCTGTTCACTTCTGATTTATGCCCCTTACGGAACTGAACATAAGTTAAATTAGATAAGAGAGAAAAGTAAATCTTATCCTTCAGGCATGAAAAGGTCTCTGCCTGACTCGTGCCCAAGTTCAAAAATCCCAGAGAAGGGAGTCATTGGCCCAACCCAATGATACTATGGTCAGGACCATGGAACAACATGGCAGCCCCATACGATGGTGAAGGCAGGGAGTAGGATAGGTGGCGAGTGCTCTTTCCAGAACAGGGAGGGGAGGGGGAGAAAGAACAGGACAAAAGCTAGGGTCTACTCCTTCCTTTCTCTGAGCCTTCCTTTCCCCGTCTGTAAATGGGAACAATAGTACTTCCTACCACAAAGGGTCAAGGTGAAGATTGAAGAGGTACTGGGCCTTGGGTGCCCATCATGGGGCCTGGATCCCCTTCCCTTCACCCACCTTTCCTCACTGGGCACCCCTACCCTCAGCTCCCCTACTCTGCCCTCTGTGATCCCCAACGTGAGGCCCCATCACCATATAATTTCAAATTACTTGTAGCTTTAGTTAATTAAATGTAAAATCATTGGAATAAAATTATACCTTCATTAGAAATTAACTCGCATTTCGGGCCCAGGATAATGACGGGGCTCTCTCTCCCCTCTTCTTCCAAACCACACACAAAATGGTCAGTTAAACTGAATGGGAAAAAAAGTGTAACGACTGCATGGCAATCAAGCTTATTATTATTTAAGCACAAGCTATTACCATGTGCAATGAGGTATCAGCCAATAAATTATCTTTGAAAGAGTCAGTCCTTGTCTGAACACACACAGGCCATTAAAGGCTGCCACCGGGGAGGTTGTGCCAATCGCTTTCCTGGCCAGGTGAGCTGCCCCAGCCCGGGGAGCTGAGGCTGGGCCTTCCTGGTCCTGTCCCTCTGGCTGGCCTTGAACCTGCCCGTAAGACCCTGGCCTGGTCTCAGGCCCCCAGGTCAGGATCTCGGGGTCGCGGTGAAGGGATCGTGGGTGTCTCCACTGGCCATTCCCCCTCCATCCCTCAATCCAGCCCATGCTAAGGGGAGGAAACTCAGCCCCAAGACACAGACTGGGGACAAAAAGGTGTCCCTGATAATTAGGAAGCAGAACAGAGAAAGGAGAAACAGGGTGTTCAGGGTAGGGAGCGGGCTGAGATGGGGCAGAGGGAGAGAGACAGAGGGAGAGGAGGGGAGAATCCTCAAGAGACATGGGGAGAAGGAGTTAGAGACAGAGGCTAGGAGGCAAGGGACAATCCGAGGAGCAGAGAGCAAGATTCACAGCAGACAAGACGGAAACAACAAAAGAGAGGGCAACAGAACCCAGAAGGCCAAAGAGAAGTAAGGAGGGAGGCAGACCAGACAGGCCCCCTCAGAGCCACTGTGCGCCAAGGGCTGGGAACCACAAGCCACTGGCTCCCGGAGAGACCAACCTGCCCTGTTTGTCAGGGACTGAGGAATTTGCCAGGTTAGGGGACTGTCCATGCTAAAATCAGGACAATCCCAGATAAACCAGAACAGTTGGTCACCTTCTTTGCAGAGTCCTCACGGAAAGCAGCACTGTTATCTCCACTTGACAGGCAAGGAGGCTGAGGCCGGGGAGGTAAGGTCCTTTGTTTGAGGCTATGCAACTGCAAGGTTGGGAGCCACGGAAGGTCAGAAGTCAAAGGAGCCAGAGGCAAAGAAACACAGAGACAGAGAAGGCAGGAAAGGGCCTGAAAGCACAAAGCCAGGGGATGAGACTGGTAAGGGCTCTTATCTCCTGCTGCGTCTCAAGCTCAGCCTTCTCGTATCTCCCGAAGCTTTGCCTCACCTTTCTGCCTTCTTCTGTCTCTCTGACTCTCAGCCGCTGGCCCCCACCCCCTGCCCTATACACCTTATTTCTCCTTTCTCTGCCCCTCTTCCTATGCTTTTCACATTTATTATTATTATTATTATTATTTGGTAGAGACAGGGTCTCACCGCATTGGCCAGGCTGGTCTCAAACTCCTGAGCTCAAGTGATCCTCCAGCCTTGGCCTCCCAGAGTGCTGGGATTACAGGGGTGAGCCACCGCTCCTGGCCTTTTTTGTTTTTTGTTTTGTTTTGTTTGGAGATATGGGGTCTCGCTCTGTCACCCAGGCTGGAGTGCAGTAGTACAATCACAGCTCACTGAAGCCTCAACCTCCTGGGCCCAAATGGTCCTCCCACCTCAGCTTCCTGATTAGCTGGGACCACAGGCACATGCCACCATGCCTGGCTAATTTTTTTTATGTTTCATAGAGACGGGGTCTCACTATATTGCCCAGGCTGGTCTTGAACTCCTGGGCTTAAGTGATCCTTCAGCCCCCCGAAGAGCTGGGATTACAGGTGTGAGCTGCTGCACCCCACCCCTCTTCCTAATTTTTAAGGCCCCCTTTGTGTCTCCAGTCTCCGGCCTGTGCTAGCTTCCCCTGCTTTCCATGGGCTGGAGTAGGTGGAGACACCATGCTCAGATGTCAGCAGCATTAGGACAGGACACTTGTCAACAAGAAGCTCTCAGGATCCTCAGAGCCACCAAGACTGCAGACAGCAGCCAGAACCCTCCTCCCACGGGGCTTCGGGGCTGACCGACCTGGGTTCGAGTCTGAGTTCTAGCATGGACGCACTGAGTGATCTGAGGCAATTCTTAACCTGCCACACTTCTCTCCCCATCTGGAAAATGGAGTGATCATTTTACAGATGGAGTACGGCATGGGCTTATTGTAAGGATTTGTTGACCTCGGTGGATATGTCCCCAGTGCAGAGGCTAACCCCAGGCAGCTATCTTGGGACAGAAACTTCCCCCAGACCAGGGCAGCTGCCCTGTCTCCTGGACACAAACCCTCAGTGAGTCTCTCAGCCCCAGACAGAGCGAGAGGGTGGACCCACAGGGGCCTTGAGCTGGGACAAGATGACCAGGGAACACAGAGAGGGGACAACAGGAGCCTGACTTCAGAGCCCCTTTTCCTCCCTAAAATAAAGACTTTCATTTGGCATCTCCCAAGAAACTCAAAATGTACATCCTCTTCTCATATCTGAGGCTGAATCATAATTTTTTGTTGAGTAAAAGTCTAAAAGGATGAATAAATTCATTAACCAGAAGGTCAGTGTTTTCCAGCTGGCCTCTCGGCACCAGGAGCCTTCCCTGCTGGGCAGGGAAACGCAGCCTGCCATAAACTTCTGTCCAAGTTCCCTGCAGACCGACTCCCTTGAAAGTCACCTCCATCTCTCTCACAGGTCAGGCCAAGATTTAGAGATAGGGGCCACGTGTGTGCCTAGATCTGCTATCTGCCCGTGAGTGATGGGGGACACATTCCGGGGACATGTTTACTGTCACCCCGCGCCCCCTGGCCCGAGTTCCCCGCCGAGCCATCCCCTGATAATTCACGGCCCGGCTCCTATTGGCAAATGACTGATACGGCCTTCACAGCGGGGCCTGCTGGTCACTTTCTCAAGGAGACTGGGAAGGAAACTCAGGCACAATATAAATGGGGCCCGTGGCAGCCTCAAACACCTTGGAAAATTCCCCAGCCCGGACGCTGCGCCGTTTTTAAGTAATAAAACCACAGAGAGATTACATGGCTGCCTGACAGCCTGCGACGGATGGCCGCCTGCATGAACTTTTTACCTTCGGGATGGGGACCAGAGGAGAGGAAGGAAAAAAAAGAGAAAACAACAACTGCCCAGCAAGCAGGCTCCTTCCTCACTGTGGCTCAAAAGTCACTGCCATGGCAGCGGCCAGAGTTGCACTCTGAGTCCCCAACTCAGTCATCTGGAGGGACTCCAGCCTCTCTGGGGACCTTGGGCTTGGTTTCCCCACCTGGAAAATGGGGATATGGATGGCTGGTTTGTTAGATTTCCAGAATTCAGAAGCGGCCCTGAAATAAATGTTTACAGGATTAGGAGTGTAATCCTTGCTTTCATTCATTTATTCACTTTTCTTTTTTTTTTTTTAAGATGGAATCTCGCTCTGTCGCCTAGGCTGGAGTGCAGTGGTGTGATCTCAGCTCACTGCAGCCTCGACCTCCTGGGTTCAAGCAATTCTCCCGCCTCAGCCTCCTGAGTAGCTGGGGTTACAGGTGCACGCCACCACGCCTGGCTAATTTTTTTTATTTTTGGTAGAGATGGGATTTCACCATGTTGGCCAGGCTGGTTTCAAACTCCTGACCTCAGGTGATCCGCCCTCCTCAGCCTCCCAAAGTGCTGAGATTACAGGCATGAGCCCGCACCTGGCCATCTATTCATTTATTCTTTGATTCAACAAGAATTTGTCATCGTGCCCGTTTAGCAGTGGAGGTGGGGACAAGAGGGTGACAGGGTGAGGAGGTATGGGCAATCTCTGGGAAACAACTGAGAGATACTCAGTGTAGGACTTACCAGCCAGGTGACCGTGGGCAGGTCACACCAGCCCTCAGAGCCTCAGTTCCCTCATCTGTCAAATAGGATCATAGTGGTACCTCCTTCAAAGTGCTGTGATGAGGAGGCAGGGGATCCCACCTGACAACCCCTTAGCACAGTGCTTGGCACATAGTAGGTGCATGCCAGGCCCGGCCATCAGCCCCTAAGTCATTTGATTAGGTTGGTGCAAAAGTAATTTCGGTTTTTGCTGTTAAAATTGCAAAAACAGCCTTTACTTTTGCACCAACCTAATATCTTTTTGTTTTGTTTTGTTTTTTGAGACAGTCTCACTCTGTCACCCAGGCTAGAGTGCAGTGGCACCATCTTGGCTCACCGCAACCTCCGCCTCCCGGGTTCAAGCGATTCTTCTGCCTCAGCCTCCCAAGTAGCTGGGATTACAGACACCCACCACCACACCTTGCTAATTTTTGTATTTTTAGTAGAGATGAGGTTTCACCATGTTGGCCAGGCTGGTCTCGAACTCCTGACCTCAGGTGATCCACCCACCTCGGCCTCCCAAAGTGCTGGGATTACAGGCGTGAGCCACCGTGCCCAGCCGCGCCAACCTAATATCTTTGAGGTTGGAGAGTCATTGTGCAAATCTGGCCTCTCAGAGTCCACCCTAAAGACCTGTACTTCCCAAGCTGGGTATAAAACCATGAACCTATCTGGACAGCACAATCTAATGCTCCATGGTCCAGCAAGATTTTCACTTCTTTGCAGAACAGTATTTCCCTGGCCCGGGATGCTGAGCTCTTAGTGTGATAGATTCTTCTTCTTGCTCTTCATGGATAAATAGTAATCATAGGATCTACCGCTTATGGAGCAGCTGCTGAATCCCAGTCATAGCTCCGATGCTTCACATATATTTTTTGTCAGGACCTCAGTTCACCCCAGACGATACCAGGCGTGTGTTGGTATGTGCCTAAAGGAGTTAGCAGTGGTGTTTGGACTAGTGCATCAGTAAGGCTACCCAAAGAGAAAAAGGAAGATGATCCAACAGTAGACCAAGAGGCTGATCTCTGTCTCACCCACAAGCAGCTTTATCTTGCCATCTTAGGATGCTCTATGCGTGCAGGAAGGAAGGAGGGTGTTGGAGTGGCAGGAAATCTGAGCCTGAGGCTAGCAGGGAACCGCTCCCTAAGGAGACCCCCTTGGCATTGGTGGCTCTGAGCCTCCTAAGCTGGCTGCCCTCCATCACCCCTCAAGAGCCACTCTCTTTTCTGCCCTGCTCTATGGGCCTTCATGGATGGCATCCAGCTGTCTTGCCCTCTGGCTGTCAGTTCAGCCTATGGGAAGCACTGGCAGGAGATGCGGACAGGCACTGGGGACAAGGATTGGGGCATTTATTCCCCCAGCTCTATTCCTGCTGGGCTCTGGGTTGGCAGTGCCTCATTCCTCTGCAAGAGACACAAGACCCACCAGGAAAACCCTTCCCTTCAGCTACTGCTAAGGGACAGCCCTCTGCTCTTTTCCCATGTCCCTCAGCCTAGAGAGGAATGTCACTTCCCACGGTTGGGATCTCAGACCATCCACATTGGTCTCCTCTGAGCCTGCCCATGCCTTTCTAAGTAAAGCCTCATTAAAACCTCTTCAACTGCTAGGTGTGGTGCTCGTGCCTGTAATCCCAGCACTTTGGGAGGCCGAGGTGGGAGGATCACTTGAGCCTAGGAGTTCAAGATCAGCCTGATAATATAGTGATACCTCAATCTCTACAAAAAATAAAGCAATTAGCTGGGTGTGGTGGCATGCACCTGTAGTCTCCGCTACTTGGGGGGCTGAGGCGGGAGGATCACTTGACCTCCTCCAGGAGGTCAAGGCTGCAGCAAGCTGTGATCACACCACTGCACTCCAGCCTAGGCAACAGAGCAAGATCCTATTTCAAAAAAAACCCCACAAAGCCAAAAACCTCTTCACCTGCCATCAGCTTCCTGCCAGGGTGTTGGCTGCTTCACCTGGGAGGTGCAGAACTGAGCCCAAGGCAAGGTGGGAGCTGTGCCTCTGATGGGAGACCTGGAGGGTTCACCATCTCCCCAGGCCTGCAAATCCCCGAGGGCCCTCCAGGGTGGGGTTGTTCCCAAACCGTGGTCAGTAGGGCCTGAGGCTGAGGCCGCAGTGAGACTCCCACCCATCACATTGGCACAGGACCAAGGTTTTGTCCCACCCCAGCCCTCTGCAGTGACACCCATGCTGTCACCGAGGAACCCCCAGTCCTTTGGAATTTCAAGGGAGCAAGGGGTGGTGGAGAAGCTGACATAATCCTGCAAGACAGAACCTGAGCAGACCCCTGGACTGCAATTAAGAGAAGCATATACACACGAAAGTCAGGGGAAGTAAGGAATTCACTGGAAGCATAAAGGGGAATCTTCTAGAACCTAAAGATGGGAAGCGCAGCCAGGCCTGGTAAGGGACTGGAACTGGGTCTGAGAGCTGTGGGGAGCCCCGGAAGCCACGTCCTGTCTCTCCCCGCCTCTCTCAGTCTCCGTCGCTGTCTCTCTCTCCTCCCCTCTCTGCCCTCTGCACCCTGGGTGTTTCTGCTCCTCTGTGCCCATGTGCCAACTCAGCACCCTCGGGATCTGCCTGGAGGGTGTTCTGAACCCCAACTCCAAACCAGGACTGTGTCACGTGCCTGCCTCTGATCCAATCTGCTGTGGCAAGGCCAGGGTGAGCAAGCCCAGGGTGGCCTGTGGGTGTGACTGGTCCTCCGTGCCTGCCCCTGCAGGCTCTTGGGGAGATGCAGGAAGGGGCTGGATGAGGAACCATGGTGAACACCCATCCCCAGGGAGCCTCAACCCTTCAAGTCAGGCATTTCCCAGAAAGGCCGAGTCCTCCCAAGGGCCTGGCAACTGGGATGCAGGCTTCTCTAAGACAAAGGTGGCAGTAGTGGCAGGCAGCTAATGGCTCTGCAGGAAATGCAACCTGCGGAGTTAAACCCAAGAAAAGAGCCATCAAGGAGGATCAGGCCAGGAAGTCGGGCACAGGCATTAGAGGGACTGCCATACGCCACTTGTGAAGACTTATTGGCAGATGGGAAAAGATGTCCAAGGTTGGCCTGGCACGGTGGCTCACACCTGTAATCCCAGCACTTTGGGAGGCCAAGGCAGGCAGATCACCTGAGGTCAGGAGTTCGAGACCAGCCTAGTCAACACGGTGAAACCCCGTCTCTACAAAAACACAAAAAATAGCCAGGCATGATTGTAGGTGCCTGTAGTTCCAGCTACTCAGGAGGCTGAGGCAGGAGAATTGCCTGAACCCGGCGGGGAGGAGGTTGCAGTGAGCCGAGATCATGCCACTGCACTCCAGCCTGGGCAACAAAGCGAGACTCTGTCTCAAAAAAAAAAAAAAAAAAAAATGATGTCCAAGTTTAAGTAGAGAAACCAGTAACACCATCTAGGGGTTCAAAGGGGGCTCAGGCCATTCTTCCTCGCCTCTCTGTGTGACATCAGCAAATTTTTAACTTATCTGGGCCTCAGTTTACTCATCTGGAGGAATGGAGATAATTCAAGTATTCAGTAATTATTAGTAGAGATGATGAGGAAAATGGCAAACATATCATGTTCTAATACAATTATCTAGCATTCCCTAGGCTATTATCTGCAGAACATTGTTCTCAGAGAGTCTATGTGATCAAATAAGTATGGGAAACTACATGTGATATGGTTTGGCTGTGTCCCCACCCAAATCTCAAACTATAGCTCCCATAATTCCCACGTGTTGAGGGAGGGACCCAGTGGGAGGTAACTGAATCATGGGGTGGATCTTTCCCATGCCATTCTCATGATAGTGAATACTCTCACGAGATCTGATGGTTTTATAAAAGGGAGTTCCCCTGCCCATGCCCTCTTGTCTGCCGCCATGTAAGACGTCCCTTTGCTCTTCCTTCGTCTTCTGCCACAATTTTGAGGCCTCCCCAGCCATGAGGAACTTTGAGTCCATTAAACCTCTTTCCTTTATAAATTACCCAGTGTTGGGTATGTCTTTATTAGCAGCATGAGAACGGAATAATACAACACGCATACTCACAAATGCACACTGACGTGTTAAAGGCTCTGAGAAGTCCTGCGGTAACGAAATCTGACTTATTTCAGTCAACCAATGTTTTCCAAACTTACTTGAGTATAGAACCATTTTTTCACAGGATCCTTATTAACATCAATAAACCATTAGGGAAATGTTGGAACTATGATCCCATTTTAATCATATGTAATAAAACATGGTGCATAGACTTTCACGTGCATTTGGGTACTGGTTAGAACTCTTGTTTCAAACAACAGACCCTCTCTAACTGACCTGGCACAAGGAGGATTTTTCCCCCGGGACATGGGGATATCAAGGCACCCCGGAGAGACAAGAGCTGCAAGCTAGACAGCCTTCAGAACTGGCTCTTTCCCTCTTCCCCCTCCTCTTTCTGAGGTCCAGCTCTCAGGGAGACGCAAAGGCCCTACTCCCAAGGTCTCCAGCTTTGGTCCTGGCCCCTGAAGAGACCTCTTGTCCCAGGCCCGTTTGGGGTCTGATATTCATCTCTGATCCAATCCGCCTGGAGGGTGGGGAAAGCAGCACATGGGATAAACTGGACTGCCAAGGATTCCCCCAGGGATGGGAAGAAGGTTTCTGGAGACAGAGGAGGACCACCACTCACTGCTGGGTGGTCACCCCCTAGATGGACTCTGCCAAGTGAAAGGACTTGGGCCAGGGCACCAGAAGAGACTCCTTGGGAGATGGAGGCATCAGAGACCCCAGAACCGCCTGCTGCCAGGAGCGCACTTCAGCGTGCCTGCAGCCCCTTCTTTAGACACAGGTAACAGAAGCGCGAGAGGGAGGCACAGTCCTTCCCTTCCGTCTCCTCCACTTGGAGATGGAGAGTTTGGCTACTTCCTCCCCAAGTCCAAGGGCATCTCCCCTCCAGCCCAGGTGCCTGCAAGAAGGGGAGACCAGTTTTCCTGGCCAAGTGCCTGACCACCAGCCTGGCTTCCCCTGCACGCATGGAGTCCAGGAAAAGGGCTTACGGCTGAGAGGGTAGGGCTTGCCCAGGGGGTGGGTACGAGGACTACCTCCAAGTGCCCAGGCCTAAGCTCTGCGCCTAGCTGCAGCAGGTGCCCCCAGGCCCAATAGCTGAGGACCACCAAGGCAGAGCAGTTTTAGGGCCACGGGATTGAGGGGGCTACCGCAGCCTGGGGAAGAGGGACTACACAAAAGGACTCAGCAGGAAGCTGCAGCTGGGAGCCAACCACAAGGTGTGGCTGAATCATGAGGGGCCAGCAAGGCCTGAGAGGGAGGCCAGCGGGAGTCCCTGGCTCACCCGGGAGACCCTGTGGAACGGCCGTCCACCCAGGGACAAGTTGCAAGTTGCATCAGCAGCCAAAAGCCCCAAAGAGGCTGCACCAGCCCTGTCTCCCCAGTGCCAGAGCCAGACACTTCCAGGAAGGAGTGGGGAGAAAGGGGGCATCTCCCCCCCCAGGCTGCTAGACTGTGGACCAGCCTGCCCCCCAAGGCAAAAGTGTTGCGGGGGTCGAAGGGACAGGAGGACAAACTTTGAATAGAATGTGGGGTTGGAGTTTTAAAATACATGGGACTGAGTCTTCGATGCCAGAATGAGCCAGTATTAATAACCCAAAGTGGAAAATTATGGAATCGGACTGAGATGTCATTTATGGACTCACCACCCAGCAGGAAGGGAGAGAGGGTGGTTTAGAGAGAGCAGAGTGTGGCAGTTATTGGGAAAAATAAAATCATTTCATGTTTATACCCCTAATGAGTGCAGACGCCTCTAAACTGGTTACACTTGATTTTTTTTTCCTTTATGCTTTTCTGTATTTTCTAATTTTCCTGCAATGAACACGTATTACTTGGGTAATCGAGAATAAAAAGCTTTAAAAGGAGTCAGGTGGGGAGAGTCTGTGAGTCCCTGAGCATCGCACAGCTGCGTGTTTCTGGGCACAGATTCTACTGGCCAGGTTCCTGGGGACCCCAGGGGAGGGACCAGGACACCGAGGGTAACATATGCCCCAGATGTGCCCCCAAAGGAGGCTGGGAGGCAGGAAACCCAGGCAGCAGACCATTCTGCCATCAGGCAGGCGCCATGGTCCCACAGCAGGCTGGAAAGTTGGGAGGAGGTTATTAAGAGTCTCAGGTTGACAGCCCTGTGCAGGGCTGAGCTAGGAGCAAGGCTTCCGTTCTACATGTGGGGTCGTGGTACCGGGGAAGTTCTGAGGGGCTTGATTTGCATCCTGCCCCACCCTTTACCAGTTGGGGACACCAGGCCTCCCCTCAGAGGGCAGAGTGAAAACTGAACAAGGGAGTGTCCATTCCTGGTCTAATGAGAATTGGGGCCGGACACAATGGCTCACGCCTGTAATCCCAGCAGTTTGGGAGGCCAAGGCGGGTGGATCACCTGAGGTCAGGAGTTCGAGACCAGCCTGGCTAACATGGTGAAACCCCGTCTCTACTAAAAATACAAAAATTAGCTGGCGTGGTGGCAGATGCCTGTAATCCCAACTATTCGGGAGGCTGAGGCAAAAGAATCACTTGAACCCGGGAGGCAGAGTTTGCAGTGAGCCAAGATCGAGCCACTGCACTCCAGCTTCGGTGACAAAGCAAGACTCCATCTCAAAAAAAAAAAAAAAAAGAATTGGGTGGGGTGGGGCAGGATATCAGGGGCACTCGGAGCCTCAGCTGCTGGTAGGACCAGGCCATGTGTCTGGCTCCCAAATGGGCTGGTTTCTGACAAACTCCCCTGGTCAGGGTGGGCTCAAGCACAGATGGAAAAGGGGTCACTAGGACCACAGACTCAGGAAGCACAAAGGCCTAGCTCTGAATCCCAGCTCCACCGTGGCCCTGTGACCCTGCATGAGAAGCTTTCCCTCCCAGAGCCTCATTTTCCTCATCTGTAAAATGGGTATAATAGTGGTAACCTACCTGTGGTAGATTGCATTCGTGGGCCCAGTTCTTCACCTCTCCTGGTAGCCGCACTCATTGCATGTGACTTTGCCATGTCTCTCGCTAAAGATTAGGCAAGGAATTGTTTCCACATTTCACTTTAAACTTAGGGTCTGACTTGCTTTGGCAACAGAATGAGGAAGAACAGAGGAGAACCACTTTGGGGCTTAGGTCTCAAGAGGCCTCGGGTGTTTCCATGTGCTCTCTGGTGCCTCCGCCATCTACCTGAGAAGAATGTGCCCCTGCTGGTGCTGGTCCCAGGAAGAGGATGGAACCCGTGGATCAGAGCCTAACTGCCCCAGCTGGGCCCAGACAAGAACAGCTAACTTGGCCGGGCACAGTGGCTCACGCCTGTGATCCCAGCACTTTGGGAGGCCGAGGCAAGCAGATCACTTGAGGTCGGAGTTCGAGACCAGCCTGGCCAACGTGGTGAAATCTCGTCTCTACTAAAAATACAAAAAAAAAAAAAAAATTAGGAGGGCATGGTGGTGGGCACCTGTAATCCCAGCTACTCAGGAGGCTGAGGCAAGAGAATTGCTTGAACCGGGGAGACAGAGGTTGCAGTGAGGCGAGATCACACCATTGCACTGCAGCCTGGGTGACAAGAGCAAAACTCTTTCTCAAAAAAAAAAAAATTACAAAAATTAGCCGGGCATGGTGGCATGTGCCTATAACCTCAGCTACTCAGGAGGCTAAGGCAGGAGAATCACTTGAACTTGGGAGGTGGAGGTTGCAGTGAGCCGAGATCATGTCACTGCACTCCAGCCTGGATGACAGAGTGAGACTCTGTCTCAAAAAAAAAAAAAAAAAAAAAAAAGATCAGCTAACTCCCAGGCAACCTGGGAAATAAATGATCACTATTTTAAGCAGCTGCTTTTCGGGGTTGCCTGTTATGCAGCAGTCTGTGGTCATAGCTGACTAATACATTTCCTCGTGGGGTCACAGTGCCTACAAAGGCTGAGCTCAGTGTAGGGTGAGTGCTCACTAAATGTTCAGCTGCTTTTATTGTGATTATTATCATTGTTATTACTATCAACTCTTGGAGGGGAGGAAGGCCTGGGGGGCAGAGATCGGGAGATGAGAGCTCTGTACAATTCCCACATTCATCAAGTCTGCCCAGAGACAGCTCCAAGCGACAGGTTCCTACATCTAGGTGGTTGCTTTTATTGCACTTTTGAAATCCATTCCAATTAGAGAGTGAGATTGTGGTTCCTGCTATCCCAGACAGGGCTGAGACAAGCAGGGCTCAGGACCCCCAGGCAGAGGCTTAAGTATTTTATAATAATCATATTTCTTATGAAGCTTTAGTTTCACTTTCTTCAAATTAAGTCTCAGCAATAAAGCAATCGATTCCCTCTCCTGGAAAACGGTGCTGAATTCCACCTGGCACCTGCCGGAGCTCCCCTCCTCTCCCCTCCCTGCAAGACCTTCGCCCTCTGATCCTGGGTGGCTGCAATTTGGAGGCCCTGTATGTGTGGTTGGCTGACCTCAAGGACCTTGGGGAGTGGTCTCCCCAGCCACGACTGGCTGGAGGGAAGGCTCTGTCCTCAAGCCACCTCCAGGGCAGCTGAAGGAGTTTCCAGCCAGGCCCCAGGTGCCAGGGGAAGTGGGATGCTGTGGGGGAAGGGGCTGGAGCCCATGCTGCCTGTTTCCTGCTGGCTGTCCCTCATCAAGGCACCCAGCCAGGAGGGCCCTACTTGGCTTTAGGAATCATCCATGGAGAAACCAAAGAAGTAAGATGCCACAGTCCTAGCTTTGGTGTCAAACCTCGGTGCAAGAACTCAGCAGGGGTGATTGGAAGGCAAAAGAGAGAAGGCAAAACACCTCTCCAGCTTGCTCCCCACCCATCTATCCCCTGACCCCACTCGTGCCCCCAGTGGAGGCAGACAGCAGGCAAGAGCAACCTGGAGGAAAGAGGAGAGGGGTTGGTTGTCCTCCACACGCTGCTTCCCCTACCCACTCTTCTCCAAGAAGATTCCTGGGTGAAGTGGAGAAAAGTGACCCAAGACCTCAAAAGATGGGTTTGGGGTCCCAAAGAAGAGAAATTTGGCGCCTCCTGGGTCCCACCGGGATGCCCACTCCTAGCAGCCTCTTGTGAGAACTGGAGATCAGAGGAGGTCACAAGGACATTGGGGGAGGTAGGTGAGGAAGGGAGTAGGGGAGGGGAGGAAGAGGGAAGCAGCTGAGGAAGGACCTTGGAGGCGAGGATTAGAGTGAGACAAAATTTAAGGGGTGTCAAAAACTCAGCAATTTTTTTTTTTTTTTTTTGAGATGGAGTCTTGCTCTGTTGCCCAGGCTGGAGTGCAATGGTGTGATCTCGGCTCACTGCAACCTCTGCTGCCCGGGTTCAAGAGATTCTCCTGCCTCAGCCTCCCGAGTAGCTGGGATTACAGGCGAGCAGCACGCCTAGCTAATTTTTGTATTTTTAGTAGAGACGGGGTTTCACCATGTTGGCCAGACTGATCTCGAACTCCTGACCTTGGGTGATCCACCCGCCTTGGCCCAAAGTGCTGGGATTACAGGGGTGAGACACCACGTCCCATCCAAAACTCAGCAATATTTTTAAAAATCAAAATGAAGCCAAAAACCCATGACACCAGCATCAAAAACACATAAAGTCCGGCGTGATCTGAGTCCCTACCCTGACGCACACCAGGAGGAGCGGTTTCTAGTCCGCCCTGGTGCACACAGTCAGGTTTTCTGATTGCAGTGTTTTAATCAACCTTGTCTGCTTGGTTCCACATATGGAAGCTTTTGATAAGAAGCTTAGCACCCGCCCCAAGAAGAGGACGGGGGACAAGCAAACCTATTCCTATGATGAACATTTCCACCAGACGGAGAAATCCTGAATTTGACCAGCTTTACCTGGATTATATTTTTGGCATCAGGAAGAATAAGGTCTTGTTCAAAATGAAAGTAGTAGGGAAAATGAAGAAAGTAGAGAAGCTAAATGATTGGGCACTGCGTCTGCCAGGCCCAGTCCATGCACTCTGCACAGTGTCTGACTTGAAGCCCACAACACCTGCAAGAAAGGAGCACTCACTGAGGCCCAGAGAGGTTAAGACACTCACATAAGGTCACACAGCCTGGAAGTGGTGAAGTCAGTGTTCAACGCCGAGACCCCACCCATAACCTCTTCTCCACATGGCCTCAAGTGACATCGTTATTCATCTGAGTGTGTGACTATGAAGTTCAGCCCTACTTCACAGGTCCTGAGCAAGGACCCAGAGATAAATGGTTTTAATAATATGGTACCGGCTGGCCGGGCGTGGTGGCTCACGCCTGTAATCCCAGCACTTTGGGAGGCCGAGGTGGGTGGATCATGAGGTCAGGAAATCGAGACCATCCTGGCTAACACAGTGAAACCCCATCTCTGCTAAAAATACAAAAAATTATCCAGGTGTGGTGATGGGCACCTGTAGTCCCAGTTACTCGGGAGGCTGAGGCAGGAGAATGGCATGAACCCAGGAGGCGCAGCTTGCAGTGAGCCGAGATCGCGCCACTGCCCTCCAGACTGGGCAACAGAGCGAGACTCGTTCTAAAAAATAAGAAGAAGAAGAAGAAGGATATGGTACTGGCTGTGACGGTGTTGGTAGGTAGCGGGAGCAGGGTTTGGTGACAAAGCCCCTCATGCCACAGACTCTGACATTCACGGGTGATTTCTTCTCCAAACAGCTCGTGAGTGCCTACTGCATGCCAGGCTCCGAGCTAGGTCCTAGGGGTTCAGCAAGGAGTTAGATCCTCTGTGGACTCTGCAGGGCCCAGGAGGTTGTTGGGGAGAGAGAAACAGAATGGATTACGCGTAATCCTACCATTGCAAACGGTGCCAAGGACTGTGAACGCACAAAAAAACAGGGTTCTGGGAGGGCCTATTAGGGTTTCTGACTCAAAGACAGACTGGAGGCTGAGATCTTAAGGTTGAGGAAGAGGAGCAAAGGGAGGCAGAGAACAGGAGTTGGGGCTGCTCACGGGCACAGCCCACCACGCAGGCCGTGGGGAAGGCATGGTGAGGAGCTAGTCTGTGTCCTGTGAGCCATGGTCAACCCTTCTGTGGTCACAGCAAATCAGGGGCCAAGCTGCCAACAGCTTCCAGGCCTCTGCTACCCTGCTCTTATCCACAGGGGTCTAGATACCAGGTGGTCCCTCAAGGACAGAAGGGGCTCCTGGACCGTCCCAGCCACAGGCTCGTCCCACTCTCCTGGGCAACATGTCCTTCCGTCTGTGGGTCTTGCAGCCACCTGAGCTGTCCCCATTGGACGGACCCGCCCACTGTCTCTCCGTGGGGCTCTCCCCATCCACACCACCTCCTCCGGGATGGGAGGCCACCAAGAAGTCACCAGGAGGCTCCTGGGGAAAACAGACCCAGGCCCAGCTCTGCCCACCAGCCCCTTCCCAGACTCTTGTAAACTGCAGACTGTAAGGGAGCAGCCCCCAGGGGCTCAGAACGGGGAGTATCCAAGGAGGAGCAGCTGAGGCACCCCTGGCAGCCCAGCTTCTGTGGCCCCCGCCCAGGAGGGCAACCCAACCCCTGGCCCCCAGGCAGGGCCCCTCCTCCCCAGCTGGAACCGAACCAACCCACCGGCCACCATGAAGGGGCTCTCCAAGCCAAGGATGTGAGTGCGTTAATTAATGAATTAGCCGTTTAATTAACATAATTAGGCCTCATTATTTTCCTTGCATCTATCGTCAATTTTCGGGCAATTAAAGTAAATGCTGGTGGAGACGGGAGGATCTGTGTTGTCACCACCGGCACGGGGTGGAACTGCCAGGCCTGACCCCACCCTCCGGGCACCAGCCCAGCCTTGGGGAAGAAAGGCAACAGGAAAAGGAGACTGCACACCTGCACGCACACACACACACATACACGGATGCATGCACATATGCACACACTCACACACACATGAATGCACGCACACATGCATACACACATGCATGCACGCACACACATGCATGCACACACACATGCATGCACAAGGCTTGCACACACACATGGATGCGCGCACACACACATACATGGATGCATGCACACACGCATACACACATACATGCATGCACACACGCATACACACATGCATGCACACATGCACGCATGCACACACAGGCGTGCACACACATACACACAAATGCATGCACACATGCTTACATGCATGCATACACGCATGCATGCACATGCGCATATACACATGCATGCACGCACACAGGCGTGCACACACACACGAATGCACACACACGCATACACAAATGCATGCACACACATCCATGCATGCACACATACACATGCATGCGCACACACACATATAAAAATGCATGCACGCACACATGCATACACACATGGATGCATGCAGGCACATACACCACACCCCGAGATGGAGGGCCCCCAAGTTTACGGATCACTTTCCATTCACCCATTGAGCTCCTGTGATGGGCCAGGCACCTGCAGTTGTAACCAAGGCAGGCAGGGACATTGAGGGCTTTTAAGGTAGACCCGCCTAGGAAACCACAGCCATCAACTTCACCAAGGAGAGACCCCAGCCCTGCTTCAGGCCAGGGAGTACTAACAAGCACACCTTGAGCCACCCTCGTCCTTGCAGGAGTATGTCTCAGCGTCCCCTCTCCTGTCTACGCAAACTCGCAACTCAACCAGCCTGTCCAGGAAAAGTTTATCCGAAAGCTTGTTTTTTACAACATGGTGGTCTATCCTAGAGCCCTGTGGCATTCCAAGAGAGACCTGCCTTCATGGAAATATGTATTCCAAAAGTCAACCTGTTTGGGAAGTTGTTCAATAGTCTGAGTACTCATCCCCTTGACTCTCTTCTCATTGAATTTCACCACCCTCATCCTGCTCACAAGGGGAGAGGAGGGTAAAGACTTTGCTCAGATCGAGGGGCATCTGCCTGGGCACTTGGGCACTACAGGGTTTGCCCACCTGTCTCTCAGGTGTGCAGTTGGGTTCAGGGACCTGGGTGCAGGGTTCTGTGTTTCTCACTGTTTAATTTTATCTGAGTCCACCCAGCCCATCACCCAATATGCTCAGTATTTTTTATTTAGATTTGACTTAGAGCTAATCAATTCTACTTTCTCCCCTCCAACAAGTTCCTGAAACCTGTTCCTACACAGACACACAGAGGTTCTTGACATAGCTTCTATGTTCTCATTCAAATCACTGATGCAATTGTTGAATGAGGTAGAGCCCTGTGGCCTCCCACTAGAGACTGCCCCTAGATCTGCAGTACCTCAACTGAGGATGTATCCAAATCTGGGTAGGGTGAGGGTTGACTTTTTTTTTTTTTTTTTTTTTAGATGGAATCTCACTCTGTCTCCCAGTCTGGAGTGCAATAGTGTGATCTCAGCTCACTACAACCTCCGCCTCCTGGATTCCAGCAATTCTCCTGCCTCAGCCTCCCGAGTAGCTGGGATTACAGGTGCCTGCCAACACACCCAGCTAATTTTTGTATTTTTAGTAGAGATGGGGTTTTGCCATTTGGCCAGACTGGTCTTGAACTCCTGACTTCAGGTGATCCACCTGCCTCAGCTTCTCAAAGTGCTGGGATTACAGGCATGATACACCATGGCGGCCAGGGTTGACTTTTTCAAACTGCCTCCCCTCTTCCTATTCCACGTCACCAGCCCATGACAATCATATCCTCAGAACCAGGTGGCTGATGTGAGCAGAGAAGAGGTTGTGACCCACAAGTCTACACTAAACCCATGGCCGTAATTAGCATCCCTGGGCCCAGCTGCCCAACCACCACTGAAGCCCCAGGCTGGGGGCTCATCTCTAGCTCTCCCCAGCTGTGTGGCCTAAGACAAGTTCCTTCACTTCTCTGAGCTGTTTCCTTACCTGTAAGATGGTGTCTACCTCATGCATTGTCGTGAGGATCCCCAGAGATGCTGCATATCACAACCAGCACTCAATTGAGTTTGTCTCAATCCCTTTCCCTCCCTCAGATCCATCAGCTGCCAACCCACGGATCATTCTCGGCCCACTCATTTATTCCATGGCCACTCGCAGTGTTGGTGAGTTTCTTCCCTGTCTCAGGATCTCTCCATCATGAGTACATCTCGCCTCATCTCCCCTGGTAGGTCTTATTATTAACCCATTTTGCAGATGAGGAATTGAGGCTGAGAGAAGTGAGGTCACATGCCCAGGAGCACAGTCTGTGAGTGGCAGATCGGGACCCAAAGCCAGCTCTGTCTGCCTCCAGAGTAGGGCGGGCAGGACCTCCTACACCCAGGCTCTGTTCCAGGACAAGACTGGCAAAGCCTTCTGCCTTGGAGGTGTGTATTCTAGCGAGAGAGATCCAAACACATATAAAATATGATGTGATGATGGACTTGGGGCTTCCAAGAGAAAGAAAGCAAATAATCATAGCAGTGGGAAAAGGAGATTAAGGGTGCTGGGAGGAACCTCCAGGACCAGTGTTCAGGGACGGTTCTAAGGAGATGCTACTGAGCACGGGAAGGGATCAGAGAGGGAAGGGTGTATCTGCAGGTGCAAAGGCCCTGAGCCTGCTGGAGGAAGAAGATGGGTGGGAGAGACCCACAGGCCCAGTCATGAGAGGCTAGTGGGGTATGGCCGGGATTTGGATCTTGTTGGGATCAGGAGGTTGGAGCTGAAAAGTGCCTGCCTTATCTGATGAACACTTAGAAAGAACCTTGATGATGGCCAGACGCGGTGGCTCACACCTGTAATCCCAACCCTTTGGGAGGCTGAGGAAGGCGGATCACCTGAGGTCAGGAGTTTGAGACCAGCCTGGCCGACATGGTGAAACATTGTGTCTACTAAAAAAAAAACCCAAAAATTAGCCATGCGTGGTGGCACATGCCTGTAATTCCAGCTACTTGGGAGGCTGAGGCAGGAGAATCGCTTGAACCCGGGAGGCAGAAGTTGCAGTAAGCCAAGATCACACCACTGCACTCCAGCCTGGATGACAGAGTGAGACTCCGTCAAGAAAGAAAAGAAAAGAAAAAGAAAGGGAAGGAAGGAGAAAAGAGAAGAGAAAAAAAGAAAAGATGCCTGCTGCTGAGTGCGGACTAGACCGTGGGCTGGGGGCGTGTGGAAGCAAGGTCCAGCTGCCAGGCCATTGCAGTCGTCCACACAGACGCGAGGGTGGCGGCTGTGAGGTGTACATGGATTCTGGATATATTCTGAAGGTAACCCTCGCAGGACTTGCGGACTGAGCCAAGAATGACCCCGCTTCAGGGGAGAGCAAGGACAGCCTGAGTGGAGAGGGTAGAACTGGAGTGGAGGCAGCAGGAAGGGAGGACAACTCTCTGGGGAGCAGAGAAGTGGTCACAACAGGAGGAGGTCAAAGGCCCCAGGGCGGGTTTTGCTTACAGCATGAGAGTTGTCCCATGTTTGGGGCCGATAGAAGTGATCCAGTCCCCTGCAGGGCGCGGTGGCTCACGCCTGCAATCCCAGCACTTCAGGAGGCCGAGGCAGGTGGATCACTTGAGAGCTGGAGAGCAGCCTGGCCAACATGGTGAAACTCCATCTCTACTAAAAAAAGAAATACAAAAATTAGCCTGGTGTGGTGACAGGCGCCTGTAATCCCAGCTACTCAGGAGGCTGAGGCAGGAGAATTGCTTGAACCTGGGAGGCAGAGGTTGCAGTGAGCCAAGATGGTGCCACTGTACTCCAGCCTGAGTGACAGAGCAAGACTCTGTCTCAAAAAAAAAAAAAAAAGATGAAATAAAAAAAAGAAAGAAATGAAACGATCCAGCCCCCTGTAAATAAGACCCACGATTTGAATGATGTACATCATTCAATTTATCTAATTTACATTTCAAACCGTCCCTTCATCTGTCATCCCAAAAAATAATCTTGCTTTTTACCCAACTGATAATTCCAGCGTTTATGCATCAGCTAGTGGCACCAGCTTGTTCCAACGGTGTCCCTTGCAGTCCTCCCTGCATTTCACGAGGACAACATGCAAAAAACTGTTCTAAACCTTTGTAAGTTCATGAGTCTTTTCATGTTGACTTCATAATTTTTTTAGCATATAAATGCTAATATTTTTAATAAGCTTGCCAACCTAGGGGTAAGAAACATATGATCACACATTTGAGATGCAGATGAAGATCCCAGGCTGTAAAAGCGGTCCATCAGCCCCTCCACAGCTGGAGTCAGGCATCAGGCATCAATCATGAAAGCAAAAAAACAAAGTTAAAGGATGAGAAGAAAAATGCTGGAAGTAGAGCATCAGAAACTGTGTATAAAAGGGAAGTAAAATTTAGGAATTCACATATTTGTTCGTTTTCAGCTAGCCAAACTCTCTCATTTATAATGTGATAGTTTAACTTTTGCACAAAAGATGTTCGTTTTTAAGGTGATTTTTTTTTTTTTTTTTTTTTTGAGACAGGATCTCCTTCTGTCACCCAGGCTGGAGTACAGCGGCATGATCACGGCTCACTGCAGCTTCAACCTCCAAGGCTCAAGCCATCCTCCTTCCTCAGCCTCCCTAGTATCTGGGACCACAGGCACATGCCACCATACCCAGCTAATTTTTGTATTTTTTGTAGAGATGGGGTCTCCCCCGTGTTGCCCAGGCTGCTCTTGAACTCCTAGGCTCAAGCAATCCTCCCACCTCAGCCTCCCAAAATGCTGGGATTATAAGCGTGAGTCACCGCACTGGGCCAGTATTATTAGTATTATTTTTTAAGCATACTTTTTATTGAAGCATAACACATATACAGAAAAAAATGTCAACCTTAAGTGTTCAGCCCAAAGAATTCTAACAAAATGAACACATCCCTGAAGCCAGCATCCAGACCAAGAAGTTTACCACCACCCGCTGGACCCCGGAACCCTCTTTCAGTCACCATCCCCAGACACAGCAGTCACCCGACTTCTACCATCATAGAACCCTCCATAATGAAGCCAGCCAGGGCACAATGGTTGGGGCGGCCACTTTCTCTTCTGTTGTGAGGCTCATCCATGGTGTGTCCCATGTGCGCGGAGCCGGTCGTTCACGCTTACGGCTGCAGCATTCCCCTGAGTAAACATCTACATTGTTTTTTGTTGTTGTTGAGACAGAGTCTCGCTCTGTCACCCAGGCTGGAGTGCAGTGGTGCGATCTCGGCTCACCGCAACCTCTGCCTCCTAGGTTCAAGCGATTCTCCTGCCTCAGCCTCCCAAGTAGCTGGGACTACAGGTGCCCACCACCACACCCAGCTAATTTTTATGTTTTTAGTAAAGATGGGGTTTCACCGTGTTGGCCAGGCTGGTCTCGAACTCCTGACCTCAGGTGATCCGCCTTCCTCCGTCTCCCAAAGTGCTGGGATTATAGGTGTGAGCCACCGTGCCTGGCCTACATGTCGTTTTCATCCATGCTACTGCAGAGGGGACTTGGCCCAGTGTGGGGCTCACTTGGATAGCGTCGCTGAGTCTCCTCTCGGTGTGTGTATGTGCTTTTAGGGCCATGTGCACATAACAACAGCTGAGAACCTCTGTATTTAGGAAGCACTGAAGGTTCATATTCTCAAAATCCACACCCCAAAGCAGCATCGGGCCTGTCAGGTTTTGGGGTGCTCATGTCCCACTTGCTTTTCTCGTATCTTATCAAGTTTTCAACAGGGGATAATTTTGCCCCCCAGGGGACACTTGGTAATGCCTGGAGACATTTTGTTTGACACAACTCGGGGGTGCTAGTGGCATCTAGTGAGTAGAGAGCAGGATGCTGTTAGACATCCTACAATGCCAGGACCCCTCCACAACAAAGAGCCACCCGGCTCCGATCGTCAATAGTAATGCGGTTGAAAAACCCTGCTTTAAAGGGATAAATGGGCCGGGTGCGGTGGCTCACGCCTGTAATCCCAGCACTTTGGGAGGCTGAGGTGAGTGGATTACTTGAGCTCAGGAGTTCAAGACCAGCCTGAGCAACATAGACAGACCCCCATCTCTACAAGAAAATATAAAAATTAGCCAGGCATGGCGGCGTGCACCTGTAATCCCAGCTATTAGGGAGGCTGAGGTGGGAGGATTGCTTGAACCTGGGAGGTGGAGGTTGCAGGGAACTGAGATCAAGCTACTGCACTCCAGACTGGGTGACAGAGTGAGGCCGTCTCAAAAAAAAAAAAAAAAGAATATACAGTTTATGATACCTATATAAAGATTAAGCAATACGATAAGTTGGCAATTTCGATTACCAAGCTTATTCCAAAAGTAACTTTAAGGTGACAGACATGTGGTTGCCAGAGTCATACAAAGTGTAATGGAGGCTCCAAGGAAGAAGCTACTGGAACCCAGACAAATGAAGAGGAAGAGATGAGATTAGCCCTGGGTGTTCACGGTTGCGTAGGAGCTCACCTGGTTTCAGGGAGGGAAGGGCATTTATGAGCAAAGGCACAAAGGTCTGGTGGGATCTCAGAAGAGGTAGGCCCATGCTCCCTTGGAGCAGGGAAGGCTTCTTGGCAAGGGAAGCTTAGAACAGATTGAGAGGAGCAGTTCTCTGGAGGCAGCACCAGCCAGCCAGGACCAGGGCATGGGTGGACTGCAGTGTCCCAGAGCCCGACAAGTTGGGAAACAGGAAGAGGGGGAGCTGGGACAAGACAGCAGTGACAGAGTCTAAAAGGCAGTTGAGATTGTGATCCAGAACCAAAACTCATCTTCTTGCCTTTCTAACCCACTCCACGCTCCCCATCCCAGGAGCAGAACCTCCTGGAAATGCAGCAATCACCCTGACCTCTGCCCCTCATCCACCGTATCTAGTCCGTCCAAAAGTTCCAGTTTCCCACCCAAGAGGCGCCTCTCCACCTCCACTGCCACTGCCCAAGTCCAAGCCACCCGCCTGCCTGGGCTGCAGCCAAAGCCTCCTCACTGGGGCCCCTGCCTCTGTCAGGCATCTTCCAAATTCTCCTCATCGTGGAAGCTGCTAGAGAGTTTAGGAATCAGAAAGTGGCCACAGCACTCGCCGGCAGGAATCCCGCTGAGCCCTTCTGTGGTTTAGGAAGGGCCTCTCTCAGGGCATCTTAGCCCCTGATACAGGTGCCTTCCCAGGCCCTCTGCGGCAGCAGGCGACCTGCTCTCGGGTGTAGGGAAAGAGCTCCAGTGCCTGACCCTACCTGCCACTCTGTGCAGTGGCCCCTGGCAGCCTGGGGCTTCCTTTCTCATGGGCCACAGATGGAACTCGTGGTTCCACCAGGCTGGGGCCTGGCGGCGGGGACGAGGGAGACTCTGCCTGCCAGCCTGCCATAGCGGGCCCGGGACACCCCAGTAGGGTGGGGTCCCTGGGGCCACTGCCTGGTGCAGTTCACTGCAGAGCGAGCCCAGGGCTCCCCTGGGCAGGGCCAGGCCCCCTGGGCTTCCAGAGAGCTCGTTATCCCGTCAGCCCCGAAGCCGCACCTGCTCTCCTGGTCTCCTGTGATCTCAATTAATCCGTCCTGCCCTGATTAATTAGCAGGGTTAATTATGACGGCTGCTGCCGCTGAAGCCTTGGGAGGAAAGCCTGGCCAAGTGGCGGAGCTGAGACCTAGCCTGGGGTGGCGCGGGGGCGCCTCTCTCTGCCTCTCCCCGCAGGCTGCCCTGCCCTGCCCAGGGCCAAGGCCAAGGATCTCAGGAAGCCACTAGGGCTGTGACTCCCAGGGCCAGGCCTAGCAGGGCCAGGGCGACGCCCCCAGGCAGCACCTGAGGCAAGGAGACAGGGCCATGACCCTGGGGTTGGGCTCCCCTGGCCAGGCTTGTCATGTCACACCTTAGCCCTTGACCCTGCTGTCATCATGACCACACACCAGATGACCCCAGCACTCCATCCTGGCAGGGACCCCTTGGCCCCCTGGCCCAGCTGACTCTGAAATGAGTTCACCCACCCGCAACCCCTTCCTCATCTGCCGTCTCCTCCAGCCCCAAAGACCACTGTGCCTGGGAGACAGGCCCAGAGAGGGAGCTGGAGTCAGGAGTGGGACTGCTGTGGCCAGGCCCTTGGCCGGGGCTGTTGCAGGTCCTGTCCTGCTGCTGTTCATCAATTTCCTCATGGGCTCAGAGACTCCCCCATCCTGTACCCTTCCCCCAAAACCCATCTGATCCTGGCTCAGGGCAAACCAGGTGTTGTGCTGACCCTGTGTCAACCTCAGTAGGGTGGGCACCAGGTTCTAGAGGCTGAAGAAGACACCTAGAGCCAGCAAACCAGCCTTGGGGTTACCAGGGGCTTACATACAAGGTGGAGAGTCTAGGTGCGGCAGGCCGGACAGGAGAACCACAACCACGGCAGAGAGCGTGCAGTTTATACGTCGTTTTCAATTAGTGTCATCCACTTAACAACCTCCACGTGGCAACATTCACAGCCTCAATCCTCTTTTCCACAGGATGGGCGGGGGTCTCAGATGTTCCTATAGACAAGGAATGAACCTCCGGGTTGGCCACTCCCGGATTCCCTAGCTCAGAACCCACCTTCAGGTGTGTCTGCCTTACAGGGGCATTCTAAGGGCATGCTTAAGCTACTGCTATCAGGGGCGTTTACCCCACACCAGGCAACTCCAGCCTCTCCCTACAGCTGAGCCTACAGACCCCTCCCCACTGGCCCAAGACCCCTGAGCCCTTCCCCATCTCAGCTCCCACGTCCCCGGTCCCCCGCCTCGTCCTCTCCTTTTCTGGCCTCCACGCCTTCCTCGCCAGCCTGGAGCTGGAGTCCGGAGAGTCACCAAGCAAGGACAGGAACCTGACTCAGCACAGGCCCCCATCGGGGCTGGACGGACACCGCCCACTCCTGCACGCACCTCCGCTGGGCACCCATCCATTATCCTCCTCGCCAAAACGTGATCCATTATCACCGCCTGCGCCTGGCAAAATGTATCATTACCTGCACCTTGGGCACTTCCCAGATCAATCCACTTCTTAAATGTAGTAATAGAGAAGAGGATTAGGTACTAGAAAACTCATTATGAAAATGGCGTACTCAAATTCTTTAAAGGTGATATTTCATAAAATATACCCGGCCTGCCGTGTGCCTCAATCATTCTTTTTAATAGCTCTGTAGCAGCCAGAAAATAAAGTATTCATGAAGATTGAAGAAGATGATCCCATGAACTTCAATATAATTGGTGCAAATTAAAACGATCCATCTTTTCGTACTGTCCGTCTATCTCCAATCAGCCCCACACCGCACGTCCGGCACCCTGATTACAATTATCTTTTAATAGGAAAACTTGTCAGTTTTTGTGTGATTTACATAAGCTTGAGCAAACTTATGAGTATCAGATAGGGCCTCGGTGTGTGGTTTCCTCTCCCCAGCTCCCTGGCTCGGGGGACGGCCAGGTGGGGGCAGGGGCGGCAAGGTCCAGGTGGTGGGGGAGGGGCTGGGGATGGGTTTGAGGCATCACTGAGCCTGCAGTTCTGCCAGAGATGGGGCCGGGTGAGACATCTGCGTGCGCCACATCAGGCCGCAGCCCCTGGCCACTCCCTCCGGGACCACAGCAGCTGGACGTAGAGCCAGACAGGGCCTCTTCAAAGAGGCCACAGAATCCACCTTGACCTCCCATTTTTGGAGGCCGCACTCTCTCCTCACCATCCACTCCCCACTCACGCCCCCTCCCTAAAGAGGTTACTTGCCTCCCTAAAGAGCCTGTGGGGACAGACAAATGAGATTTTCCGGTGATGAGAAGCCTGGACACAAAGTCAGCAGGAAACTGAGCATAACAAGAGAGGCGTGAACAGGGAGGAAAGACGGCTGCTTGCGTCCCCTAAGGAGCATGGGACTGGGAGGAGGTGGATTTTAATTCAATGGAAACCATCCTACCTGCACTCAAGCAAGACGCAGCCACCAGTAAGCAAGTGGTGTCTTAGACTGCATCAATGGAGACATCATGGCTGGAAAGAGGGAGGTGATCCTTCCACCCACATCTGTGCTACTTGGATCACATCTGACATGTTCATGTACTCATCCACCCATTCATTCACCGCTTCATTCACTCCATACACATTTACTGAGATGTACTCATCCACCCATTCACTCATCCCTTCATTCCCTCCATACACATTTACTGAGCTGTACTCATCCACCCATTCACTCATCCCTTCATTCCCTCCATACACATTTACTGAGCTGTACTCATCCACCCATTCACTCACCTCTTCATTCCCTCCATACACATTTACTGAGATGTACTCATCCACCCATTCACTCATCCCTTCATTCCCTCCATACACATTTACTGAGATGCACTCATCCACCCATTCATTCACCCCTTCATTCCCTCCATACACATTTACTGAGATGCACTCATCCACCCATTCATTCACCTCTTCATTCACTCCATACACATTTACTGAGATGTACTCATCCACCCATTCATTCACCCCTTCATTCCCTCCATACACATTTACTGAGATGCACTCATCCACCCATTCATTCACCTCTTCATTCACTCCATACACATTTACTGAGATGTACTCATCCACCCATTCACTCATCCCTTCATTCCCTCCATACACATTTACTGAGATGCACTCATCCACCCATTCATTCACCTCTTCATTCCCTCCATACACATTTACTGAGATGCACTCATCCACCCATTCATTCACCTCTTCATTCACTCCATACACATTTACTGAGATGTACTCATCCACCCATTCACTCATCCCTTCATTCCCTCCATACACATTTACTGAGATGCACTCATCCACCCATTCATTCACCTCTTCATTCACTCCATACACATTTACTGAGATGTACTCATCCACCCATTCATTCACCCCTTCATTCCCTCCATACACATTTACTGAGATGCACTCATCCACCCATTCATTCACCTCTTCATTCACTCCATACACATTTACTGAGATGTACTCATCCACCCATTCACTCATCCCTTCATTCCCTCCATACACATTTACTGAGATGCACTCATCCACCCATTCATTCACCTCTTCATTCCCTCCATACACATTTACTGAGATGCACTCATCCACCCATTCATTCACCTCTTCATTCACTCCATACACATTTACTGAGATGCACTCATCCACCCATTCATTCACCTCTTCATTCACTCCATACACATTTACTGAGATGTACTCATCCACCCATTCACCTCTTCATTCCCTCCATACACATTTACTGAGATGCACTCATCCACCCATTCATTCACCTCTTCATTCATTCCATACACATTTACTGAGTTCCTACTAAGTGTCAGGTGCTGGAGACCAAGCAGTGAACTCAGCGAGGGGCAGGTGAACATGGCAGAAAAGCAGCCCAAAGCTGCAGCTCTCCTACAACAGCTGGCTTATTTGTTTGTTATTGCCCTTTTAAAATTTGTAAATGAATTCTTAATTACACAGGTGATATATGAATGCATTGTCATTGTCAAAACAAAAACAAAACAAAAAAAAACCTAAGCATCACAGATAGTGTCCCCAGCCACCTCCACCCTCTACTCTGTCCCTCTCTGGAGCTAACTGTTACCCGTCAGCTGTGTATCCTTCCAGATTTTTCTCTATGCCTTCATATACATATGGATCTATGGAAACATATAGATGCTTTTGGTTTCATTTCTTTTAAAAAATGGTCTTCGTCCAGGAGTGGTGGCTCACACCTGTAATCCCAGCACTTTCAAAGGCTGAGGCAGAGGGATGGCTTGAGCCCAGTTCAAGATCAGCCTGGACAATATAGCAAGACTCCATCTTTACAAAAAATTTAAAAATTAGTGGGCGTGGTGGCACGCACCTGTAGTCCCAGCTACTCAGGAGGCTAAGGCAGGAGGAACAGTCGAGCCCAGAAGTTCGAGGCCGCAATGCCTGGGCAATGCAGCAAGACCCCATCTCCAAAAAATAAAACAAAACAAAACAAGAACACAAAGAAACAACAACAACACACACACACACACACACACACACACACACACACACACACACAAATGGTATTGCCCTATTGATGTTTTTCTGAAGTTCGCTTCTTCCACTCAGCCTTCCCTGGATTTTTTCCATCGCCCTTCAAGGGGGCTGTCCAGGGAAGGGGAGGCGGTGCTGATTTGACAGGTAGTAAGGGCCCCATCCGGAGCTTGGCACCTTCTGGGGAGCAGCAGAGCAGCACGTGGTGAACAAAAGCAGGAGTCTCTGCAGTCAACTCCAGCTCTGCCTCCTCAGCCATACCCCTTCCTGTCTCAGAGCCTGGGATTCCTTGTTCTTAAGACTGGGAACATGGGAGCCTGACAACTGGGATGCTGGGAGAACTAAGTTAAGGCTCAGAAAGTTATCGGCTTGGGACTTGGCACATGGATGGTTCTGTACATGAGCTGACGATGATGATGATGCCTGCATCATCCAAGTCTAGACCCCCAACAGAAACTTCATGTGGCTCCAGGCCCCACACTCTGCAAACAGACTCCTCCCCTGCCCTCATGGTCAGGATTGGGGTGGGGGTGAGCAACCATTATCAGCCTGATCCTACAGGCCTCTCCCCTTGCTGCCCTCCCCTCCCCTGGGAACTTGGCCCTCTCAGGCTCCATTTGCCACATCTCAGCAGCCCTCAGCCACCGGGAACACATCATTGATACAATAAATTGTTAATTTTTGCTAAAGTCACCCTTACATGGGAGGTAAAACCTTTACCAAGAGGGTCTGGAAGTTAAACTTACTAGAAATTTTGTCTCCTTAAGGAATGATAAGAATAATTTCTTGAGCATTTTCACAAAATGCACCCACCAGCTATCTCTTGCCCCAGCTCCGAATCCTCAGGAAGCCCAGGAAGCAGCCTCCACAGGCATCCCCACAGACGCATCAACTCCTGAGGTCCTGGTGCCCGTCACCACTCACCGGGAGTGAGCATGATCACCATTACTTAGGATCCGATGGGCTTTGCTGCAACAACAAACCAACCTCAAGTGTCAGTGGCTTTTCATGGTAAGAGTATATTTCACACTCACACAAAGCCCCCTGTGGGGTGCTGGCCTTTCTCTATGTTGTGGTCAGGCCCTGTAGAACAGGTGCTTCTGGGGTCACTAAGGTGGGAAAGGAAAGTGATGAAGAAAACCCCATGGGTCTGAACTGCCTCAGCCCAAAAGTGACAAGTGCCACACTGTGCTCCCAGCCCATTGGCCAAAACTCGCCACATGGCCCCAGCCTAACTGCCGGGGAGGCTGGGAAATGTGGGAGATCACATTTGTATTTGATGAGCCCAGAATACCCTGCCACTCTGCATTTATAAACTGAGAAACCCAGGCACAGAAAGGAGAAGTCATTTGCCCAAAGTCACCCAGCCCGTGAGAGTGAGAGTCCCTTTTCACACGGGTGGACATTGACGCTTGCTGATAAGCATGACAGTGCCCGCACACATCCACAGCTGTGTTTCCTCGAATGGCCTGCCCCTCTTGATGGATGAACGCATCAGACCAATTTCTGGCTGAGGGTGTGAGAAACTTGGCCAGAGAGTCAGGGGGCAGGCTCTCTCCTCTGTCCACCCTTGGCAATGAGGCCTCACCTGCTGTATTATTTTGTTCTTGAATTGCTGTAAAGAACCACCTGAGACTGGGTAATTTATAAAGAAAAGAGGTTTAGTTGGCTCACAGTTCTGCAGGCTGTACACGAAGCATGGCTGGGGAGGCCTCAGGAAACTTACCATCTGGCGGAAGGTGAAGCAAGCATTGCTTACGTGGCCAGAGAAGGTGGAAGAGAGAGTAAAGCGGGGGGAGTGCCACACACCTTGACACAACCAAATCTCATGAGAATCACTCACTATCACAAGAACAGCAAGGGGGAATTCCGCCCCCTTGACCCAATCATCTCCCACCAAGCCCCTCCCGCAACACTGGAGATTACAATTCGACATGAGATTTGAGTGGGAACACAGATCCAAACCATATCACCTGCCATCCTGGGGGAACACCAGTGCAGCCCATGCCTAAACGAGCACAGCCCCAGGCATCATCCTTCCTGTGATGTACCAACCCCAGCCCATTCCAGAACCCCTCGCCTGCCCCTTCCAGAATAAGAACTTGCTTCAGAATCTGCGACTGCCAATGAAGCAGGAATCTAAAAATATAAAAATTATAACAAATATGCACAGTGAACATTCTCATGTCCAAATATTTACATACACCCACACACACAAATACACTCAAAAGACATAGATATGTGGAGGTGTGTTTGCATCTATAAATCTGAATTTATTCACAGAAATGGTGGTATCATATGCTTGCTTACAGGACTAGAATTGGAACTGACATAAAAATAAAGGGTGAACTACTCTTCAAAAGTGTCAAGATCATGAAAGATAAAGAAAGACCGAGAGACTGTCACCAATTTTAGATGGCTAAGGAGACACGATGACTAAATGCAATGTGGTATCCTGGACTGGATCCTGGAACAAAAAAGGGCATCCATGGAAAAACTGGAAAAATCCAAATAAAGTCTGTAGTTTGGTTAATAGCATTTGATATGGTTTGGCTCTGTGTCTTTGCCCAAATCTCATTTTGAATTGTAATCCCCATAATCCCCACGTGTGGAGGGAGAGACCTGGTGGGAGGTGATTGGATCAGCTTCCTCCATGCTATTCTCATGATAGTGAGTGAGTTCTCACGAGATCTGATGGTTTTATAAGCCTCTGGCATTTCCCCTGTTTGTACTTCTCTCTCCTGCCACCATGTGAAGAAGGTCCTTGCTTTCTCTTCGCCTTCAGCCATGATTGTTAGTTTCCTGAGCCATGTGGAACTGTGAGTCAACTAAACCTCTTTCCTTTATAAATTACCCAGTCTTCGGTGCTTCTTTACAGCAGTGTGAGAATGAACTAATGCAGTATCATACCAATGTTAATTTCTTAGTTTTAATAAAATGCAAATTCGGTCAAACCTCTTTTTTGTTCTTCATATTACTAATTTGAGTTTCCACAGGCCCTATTAGTATTCAGTATCTTCCTCTTGAAGAATTTTCTCTCCTCACCCCTCATCCCCCATTGCCACCCCCAATTATCTAACAACCCTATGGAATATCTCCATCTCAGGAAAGGGAGACCAACCTGACAATGCCAGGTGCTAGTGCTTCTCTCGGCCACACGGTGCCACTGTTGAAGACTGGACCTGCACAGCTTGGTAACCATGCTGGCCCTTGCTGCTTCAAGTGCCAGGCTTAGGCCAAGCAAGCACCCAGATGGAAGCTCTCCCTTCTCACTCCTAGGCTCATCCACTGTCCCCCAAAGCCTGACACCATGTCATGTTGGCTGGAACCAGAGGAGCTTCTAGCATAGCCACAAGCTGTGCTCAAACTAGCTCTCCCACAAGGCCTTTGTATGCCCCAGTGTGAGCTGGAGTCTGAGGCTAGATCCTCCCTTTCCATAGTCCACACACTCATTACCTAAGAACCATATTCACACACATAGGGTTTTAGGGCCCAGACTGTCTGTTTTTTAGTTGAGGGAGACAATGAAAAAAAGGAGGAAAGGCTCCTGGCTCTGGCTCCCAAAAGGGTGAAAGTGTGGAGTGGCTGCTGCTGGTGCCCTGCCCAGGCCCCCTTCCATGGGCTGTGTACTTATTCTCCAGCTGCAGGGAACACTGCTCCTTCCTCTGGGCAATTGTCCTCAGCCAAGTTGCTCTCACCCCAGGAGTGGCTGATGGACATAGGAGCTCAAAAGCCCAGGCCCCCCTGCCTCAAGAAGAGACAACTCTCGTGGTGCAGCTCATACTCCAGAACCCACCATGGGGCCAGGCTGAGGCCAGGCTCCAGCCAAGACCATTCCTGCTCAGCCCCTTCACCTGCCTATCCTGCTTTCCTCCCTCCCTCTCTCCTGATAGCTCTTCCTCAATAAATCATACATATTAGTCCCTTCTCACGTTACTAAAAAGAACTGCCTGAGATGGGATAATTTATAAAGAAAAGAGGTTTAATTGACTCACAGTTCCACAGGGTATACAGGAACATGGCTGGGAAGCCTCAGGAAACTTACAATCACAGTGGAAGGGAAAGGGGAAGCAAGCATGGCTTACCATGGCAGAGCAGGAGAGAGAGAGAAGGGGGAAGTGCCACACACTTTCAAAAGACCAGATTTCATGAGAACTCACTCACTATCTCAACAAGAAGAAAATCTACCCCCATGATCTAATCACCTCCTACCAAGTCCCTCCCCCAACACTGGATATTACAATTCAACATGAGACTTGTGTGGGGACCCAGAGCCAAACTATATTACCATGTGACCCTGAATCTCTCTCAACCTCTGCATCTGTGGAATCCAACCCTAAGGTGGCAGCACAGTGGAGAAGCTCAGGTGGTGGAGGAGTTTTGGGGGCAGTGCTAGTGGTCAACTTTAAAGACGGATTCTTGTGTCCCATCACTCACTGGCAGCCTGGTGAGGACTCCATCACTGTTGGTAGGTAGAGAATCCATGGTCCCTAGCACACTTTAGTGTGTAGCTTTCATTATCTCCCACCCAGAGTGAGCCAGGACAGAGTCCAGGGAAGCGTGGATATGCTGGCTTGAGCAATAACTCCAGTGTTCGTGAAGTTCGGGAGAATAGCAACTAGAAGGATTGTAGGACTGGTGGCAGCTGCTGAATGCCATGGACGCCCTAAGGAGAGAAAATGACGACCTCAAAGTGATCAATCACCAATTCCAAGTGAACGCGAAAGCTGCAGGGGCTTCTAGGCAGGGTTTAAAGAGATGCTCATGCCCTAGAGCTGGAGGGAGACAGAGCTGGGGACAAGGCTCAGGACCTAATCAGAAGAGCAGCAGAATTTCAGAGAAGGTCAAACCATCAGTCCTGGTAATTATCCTACACCAAAAGTGGGGCCTTGACAGGGAAGGAGTGGGACTCAGCAACATGTGCTGGAGCCACTGGGGTAGATGCACCTGAGAACCTTGAACTCCAGGTTCTCCTGAACTATGTGGGTTCAGAGAAGTGGGCCACAACCGGGGCAGGAGATGTCCTAAGACTTGCTGGCCCTGCTCAAGATCTGCCCTCCTGGCCACCAGAGCTATAACTAGGATCAAATTAAAGTGTGTCCCAACTTAGCAAGTGTAGGCCTGCTAAGGGAAGGGAGGAACACCCACCAAAGAGCTGCACGTCCTGGCCAAGATGCATGGGAGGGACAGATTCTAATGCTGCTGGTTCATAGAGGGTGGGATGGACAACTGGATAAGCAAGAGCCTGTCACTACTGAGACTCCCCGACAACCCAGGATTTGCCACTCGGCAAGAGCCCCAAGAGCTGCTGGGAGGGCTCTTGGATGCTTGGACAAAGCAATGGGTCTCATTAAACGAAGATGCCAGAGCTGTCATGACTGGCTGGCGGAGGGGATCAGAGGCTCGGAGGAGGAGGTGTGCTGGAGTGGCCCTCCCACACCTGATCCAAGCCCACCCCTGACTGTGGTCCTTAGAAGGCTCCAGATGCACCATTTATTGAAGTGACAGGAATGAGCTGATGAGGGAGGCACCAACATGGTTGAGATCAGTGGTGGCTGTTGTTGTAGCCCAGGGCTGTTGATGGGAGGTGCTGTTGCAGAACTGGGATCCCTGGTGAAAAGTATAGATTCTTAAATACCAGAGCACTGTGGCAGTGCTTGGCTGTCAGAAGCAGGTGGACATAATCCCCTAGTGGGCAGCCAGGTCAGCATGGCACCCAGTAGGTCCAGATGTTTCCAGGGTCAGGGTAGATGACACCGATACGGTGTCACTTCCTCTATAGAATGAAGAAAGAACAGGAATGGAGGAGCAGAAGGCTGAGGCCAGCTACTCCCGTGGGAAATCAGAATCCTTTGCCCAGTTTCCAGACCCAGAACCTGAAGGAGAGGCTGGTCCCCAGGAGGAAGGAGGCTGCAACACCACAGAGATTGTTTACCGCATTGATTCCCCAGTCCTTCCCCCAAAGGAACTTACAGCCCTTTGCCCAGGTAACTGTAAAGCAACGAGGGCAAATGGAAATCCTCAGAGCTTTTGGATGTGGGAACCACGTTGACGTTGGCACCCAGGAATCCAAACAGCCTTCATGGCCTCCCTGTTAAAGTAGGGGCACATGCCCGGGCGCAGTGGCTCATGCCTGTAATCCCAGCACTTTGGGAGGCTGAGGCGGGCAGGTCACGAGGTCAGGAGTTCAAGACCAGCCTGACCAACATGGTGAAACCCCGTCTCTACTAAAAATACAAAAATATTAGCCGGGAGTGGTGGCGCACTACTCAGGAGGCTGAGGCGGGAGAGTCACTCGAACCAGGGAGGTGGAGGTTGCAGTGAGCCGAGATCACACCACTGCACTTCAACCTGGGTGACAGGGTGAGACTCCACCTCAAAAAAAATAAAAATAAAAATAAATAAAATAAAATACAAAACAAAGTAGGGGCACATGGAGAATGAATCCTAGGTGGAATCCCAGCCCCGATCATTTCAGAGTGTGTCCCCTGGGCTCTCAGGCCACTCGGGTCTTTTTATGAGTTCTCAAATGTATCATTGGAATGGGCAGATTACACAGGTGGAAGAACATTCACCTGGGCGCCTTGATCTGAGGAGTAAACTCTAGGAAACCAGCAAAGGCCAAGTGAAGTCCCTGGCTTCACTTGACCAGCCTGGCCAACATGGTGAAACTCCATCTCTACTAAAAATACAAAAATTAGCCGGGCATGGTGGCACACACTTGTAATCCCAGCTACCCGGGAAGCTGAGACATGAGAATCACTTGAACCCAGAAGGTGGAGGTTGCAGTGAGCCGAGATCACTCCAGCTTGGGGAACAGAGAGAGACTCTGGCAAAAAAAATAAATAAACAAATAAATAAACAAACAAACAAACACAGTGGAAGGAATCAAAGCAGAGCCCCCCACCCCCCACCCCCCATGACCAAGACTGATCTAGCCACTGCCACTACTGAAGATCAGATCTGCCGGCAACAGGGACCAACAGGAAGCACTCGGTGTAGCACCATCCTCTGATATTGCAACGGGATTGGATGAGCTCCCCCTTGGGATGGGACAGGTGGAACTAGCTGGGGTGCCATCTTGCATGGACCACCACTGAGGGTGGAGGAAAGGCCTGCTATCCTTCGGGATGCAGTGTATACCTTCAACCAATAGCCGTGATTTGTGCAGTGTCCCCAACAGGTAGAATACCTGGGTCAGGGAGCTGAAGGGTGGACGCAGGAGTGGCCCCTCGCCATCACTGCTTTTGGTCCACTTGGCCTGTCTGTCCCCGCCATGGGCTCCAAGGCTGTAGAGGTCCGGGCACATTAATGAATTGTTTGAGCCTGCGTTTTTCCACGTACTAAACGGAAGTTAAAACATCTTGCTGTGGGGATTAAATGAGACTGTACTTGTCAAGCTCATGCCCTGTGCCACGAAGACACATGGCAAGTAGTTTTGAAATGACAATGCTGTCATCGCCGTCATCGGCATCATTATTTTGGAATGAGGTCAGGGTCAAGACAGCCTGGCAGCAGGGGGATTTCCCAAGTTTTAGCCCATTTCTGGCACCTTCCTCACGAGAACATCAGAAAGTACTTCCGCACGTCTGCCTTGACTTCTTCATGCTGCAGGCAAACCTGTTTTTATTCTCAAGGAAGAGATGTTCTCATTCTTCTCCAGAAAGCCCCTCATGAGGCCTGAAGCACATTTTTAGGTTCCCCTACCCTGGGGACATTCTCCTCGACCCACCTCTGAGAAGCCAGGAGACCCCAAAGCGACATCCCTTTTCCCAGCCTGGGGAAGGTTTTTCTACCCTGGCCTCCATTTTATATCAGCAAAAGATTTCACTAGCACTGCCAAGAACTGATATTCAGAAATAAGTATGTAAATCCTTTGTAAATGTATGCTAATTACTTATTATTAATTATAATGTAAATAAGTAATTACCGAATAATTTTAAAGTATTTACATGGGGGTGTGTGATTTAGACACTAACTTGTTATAAGATATAAAAACTATAAATTATACAGTAATTATAGCCCAATTTACATGCTAAGGCCAAACACAATTACGTAGCAAGAAAAATATAAACAATCAGGTAATTCGGTGGTAGTTACAGTGTAATAAACAAGCTGTTTTCTTCTCCCAGTCGACAAAGTGTGTCTGTGCATTCAGCCTGGGCTCAGGGATACCAAGGGAAGGGTACACTCAGAAAGTTGAAACCATTTTTAAGAAAAAAAAATTAATCACAGGATAAGAAAAAAAAGTGCAATCAAAAGCTCTTGAGTTTTGGCTGGGCGTAGTGGCTCACACCTGTAATCCCAACACTTTGAGAGGCTAAGGTAGGAGGATCGCTTGAGCCCAGGAGTTCAAGACCAGCCTGGGCAACAAAATGAGACCCCATCTTTACAAAAATAAAATAAAATTAAAAACTACATTTAAAAAAAAAAAACACTCCTGCCTCGCCTACAGTGACCCCTCCCCTGCCCCCACCATACTCCAACTCAGGCAACAGAATCCCTCAAACTCTTCCCTTCAGGCCTTCACACTGCTGTGCCCTCAGCCTTAACCCTCCTCTTTACTTTGTTGCCTGGTTAACTCCATCCCACCCTTCAAGTCTTACCTTCAATGACTCTTCCTCCAGGAAGGCTTCCTTGACCACTCCCCACTTCTGAGATCTGGCCGGGGGGCCCTCCTGGGCTCCCACAGCCTCCTGGGCTTTCCCATCACTGCTAACCTCTGTTTTGAGACGGTCTGTTTGACAACAAAGTCCACCTCCCCAACCAGACTGGGAGCCCCAGGAGGACAGGGCCCAGGCCTGCTTTGTCCATTTCTGGGTCCCAAGTTGGAGGCACTTGGGCTTGAGAACAGGGAATCAGTGAGACCTGGATTCAAGGCTGGTTCAGACACTTTCTGCCATCCTCCCAGAGTTATCTGAGAGGCCTGGGCCTCACCCTAGGGAGGGAAGTCGTAGGTGCGTCAAGAGCCCCGGGTTCTCAGTCCTTGGCTGAAACAGGCCTTTGAAGGGGGTATTATTCTCCCCATTTTGCAGACAAAGCAACTGAGGCCCAGAGAGGCCAAGTAACTTTATGAGGTCACACAGCTGGGCTGTGAAATCAGGCCTCCTCCAGGTTCAAACCTAGAGCTCATAAGCCCTCTCCTCCTCCTACTCCAGGCTTAGGGGACCTCAACTCCCCGGGATGTCATCAAGTCTCAAAGGAGGGTGAGGGACCCAACAGACCCCGTGCAGGAAGAGCAACACTGTCAAGGCAACTTGCCCCGCCCCTGCACCTCCTGAAAAGTCGGGGGTCATAGAACTATTGCCCTGGGAGCCCCTAGGATCGCGTCTTTTTAACCTCCTACCTGAGACCTTGGGGTCAGAATCTCCTGGAGCAATGATCAAATGAAGACTCCTGAATCCCTGGACCGGCGGCCAACTCTGGAGGGGGCACCCAGAACATTCATTTGGGCCCGTCGATGCCCACTGGAGTCTCAGAGCCGCTTGCAGGAGGGGAGGGTGTGGGCTAGCGGTGTGGCCTTCAGCTAGTCCCTTCTCGCTGACCCTGCACCTCGCCTGTGAAAGGGGCCTCTATACATTGCCGGCTGATCACGTCAAAGAAATGATGCCTCCCACAGAGCAGGGTGGAGCCACAGGAGGAGCTCATCGGACCAATGCACCCTCTAGTCACCGCCACACTTTCACTGAGCACCTACTATGTGCCAGGCAGGCCCTCTTGCCTACTACCCCCTCCCCTGGCCTCCTCCCCATGGGGCAGGTGCTCTGAGGTCCAGGGTGCTAGGACGGCTGGGAGGACATCTCCCCTGCTCAATGTCCAGCCCAGCAATCAAAAGAGAAGCCCTGTATCCTCACCCCTGGGAGGCCCCGCTGAGAGCACCCAGGCTCCACTCCAGCCACCCTTCCTCCATACACACCACCCCCACCACCAGCAGTTGTCACACGATTTAGAGCCGGGGAGATGGGGGAATCCATATATAGGTTCAGGACATTTTCTCCTTCCCCTGAAGCGTTGCTGTTCATTAAGCACGGTCATTAGTGAGGATTTAAGGGAGCCGAGTGGGACTCAGGGGATGGAGGGCCCTGCTGACCAGGCTCGGGCCATTGGTTCTACAGGAGAGGAGGTCATCTCAGTCTTCCCACTGCCTCTGAACCAGTGGGCTGAGCACTCAGAAAGTCATGTGGGAGGCCTTTCTTCTCTAACAATCACGAGCATGACAAGCCTGCTACCGTTTATAGGCGATTATAGCTCAATGAGGCCAGGACAGGGCCTGCTCCAATCCTCACGGGAAGGCAGGCACAGAGAGAGACAGCAGTTTGAGAAGGGTCACGCGGCCCGAGCAGGTGGACGTGAATCCAGTCTCTCTGACTCTGGGGTCTTGCTTCTAATCACCCCATTCACGCCTCCCACAGCCCGAATGTGAAAGGACTCAGCTAGTGATGGCCAGCACAGCCTGGCGTGGTTGGGGCCAAGGCCAGTACCGGGCAGGAGGAGGCCTCAGCCCCGGCCAAAGCCACAGAAATGGAAATTGCCATCATTCCAGCGCTACGACCCCTCACGCAGCTACTTCACAGCCCAGGAAATTCCCCAGTCCCCTGGGTAATATTTGTTTTATGGCCATTGCCGGGTGCTATTCATTTTATGACACTTTTGCCTGTGATTTTTGTTGTGGGCGCATAAGCAATGTGGCCAATTCCATTTTACGTGCCCTGGCGTTTCAGATTCATCGCCAGCCAGTGTGGCGCTGAATGGTTACACGGTAAAGTGTTTGGCTAATAAAATGCATAAAGCAGAGATAGGAAAATCAATGCCTTTGTTAATAACACTTCGACATCTTTCACACAGTCTGCCAGGCAGGGCTGCCCGCCGGAGCTGGCACCAGAGGCACCTCGTGGGATGTCTGCTGCTGGGGCCGGGCGCCAGCTGGTCCTGGAGCCTGTGCCCTTTGCCCTCCTGGAGTGGGTGCTAGGCAGAGAAGCCCGGGCAGAGCCTCTCCAGAGTGCTGATTTCCTCCCTGTGCCAGAGTTGGATGCAGAGGGTTGGAGGGAGGGATCATCTTGAGCAAGCCACTGTACTACCCTGGCCCTCAGTTTCCTCATCTATGAAATGGAGATATTAATAGTCCCTCCCTCCAAGGACTTTTGTGAGCATGCAAGGAGAGAGCCCATGTAATGCACATGGCCCTGTGCGCGTGGCATGTTCAGGCTGGGTAAGCCAACACCGTTCTCTCTCCTCCCCAGGTTACCCTGGCCACTCGGGGCTTCCCCGTGATCCTCAACCCCCGGGGATGAGAAAGACCTCTTTCTGGAAGCACGCATTCCAAGGCACTGGGGCCACCTCTGCTCAGACCCCAGGGACGGCTGTGTTTCCTAGTCCATCTTGTTCTTGACCAAACCTTTACCTCGATTCCCATAATCCTTCAGCTTCCCGCCTGGCACAACCTGAGTCCACATCACTCCCTTCCTCAAAAGCCTCCGGCAGTTCCCCTCCCCTCCAGGGCAGGCATAGCCCCGTGACTTGGTCACTTCCCTCCAGCCGTACCCACTGTGCTTCTGGCTATCAACCCTGCTCCTGCCAAATACATCATTTCCTGCCTCCGATCTTCGTCCCTACAGGACTCTCCTCCTGGCACATGCTTCTCTCCACCGCCACCCCATCCCACAAGTCAAAGCTTACACAGACCATGCGTTACTGCCTCCAGGAAGTTCCCCATGATTCCTCCCGGCTCCTAGGAAGCTCTGGGACTCTCTAGCTGTCCCTCCCCTGTTCTCTGCCATTTGTGAGGCCATTTGATTCTAGCCGCAGGATTCTTGTTCTTTGATGGTTCTGTTGAATGTCCACATTTGGAGCTGAGCTTGTCTGCCCCAAGCCAGGCACCTGCAGCTTCATGCTCCACCCTTGACCAACCCATGAGGCCATGATGCCCATTTCACAGACGACATCACGGAGAGGTGACAGCCGGGCCCCGGGTGAAACAGCAAGCAAATGGCAGAGCCCAAGTCCTGGTGCAGGGGTCCCTGCCATGGGCATTTATATCACTGAATCCCCTCAGGAGCCCTGGAAGGATGAAGACCTTGGAGGACATCACATCCTTCTCAAATGCTCCCCACCCCCAGCTCTGGGCCTTGGAAGCGTGACTTCACCTCTCTGAGCCTCAATTTCCTCATCTCCAAAATGGGAGTGATTTTTTTTTTTTTTTTTTTGAGACAGAGTCTTGTTCTGTTACCCAGGCTAGAGTGCAATGGCAGGATCTCAGCTCTCTGCAACCTCTGCCTGCCGGGTTCAAGTGATTCTCCTGCCTCAGCCTCCTGAGTAACTGGGATTACAGGCACCCACCACCAGGCCCAGCTAATTTTTGTATTTTTAGTAGAGATGGGGTTTCACCATGTTGGCCAGGCTGGTCTTGAACTCCTGACCTCAAATGATCCACCCGCCTCGGCCTCCCAAAGTGCTCAGATTACAGTTGTGAGCCAATGTACCCCACCGGGAGTGATAATATTATAATAGACCTTCCTCCCTGGGATGTTGAGAGGATTGGATGAAATACCCACATAAAGCCAGAGCCCTCTCCTGGAAATGTTGGGGGGGCCCAGGACACACTGGGAGGAAAGAGAGCAGGGCCAGGCAAGGACCTTGTAGGCCAGGAAACAAAGACAGGAAGAATCAGCACTGCTTGTGCCCAATCCCAGTGCTTGCCAGAGATAATGGGAGGTCCTTCACCCCCACAGGCCTCAGTTTCTGCCTCTATAAAATGGGTACAGTATTGCTCACCTCTCCAGGCTGTGGAGCCAGAAGAGGGATTAAAGGAAATAATCTATGCAGATCTCAGGACCTGCCAGCGCTTAGTGGACTTTGAAGGTCTTGAGTGCCAGATTTAGGTGCTTTGAAGGGGGACATTCGGGGCTTGGGAGGAGCCTGGGCCCCGTGGGGGCAGCATCTCAGACCTGCGCCTTTCCTCTCTCCCCAGCACCCCAAGACCGGTCAGGGTTGGGAGTCCCCATGTCCCCAGGAGCCAGCCTGTCTCCCCCCATACCCCTTGCTGCCGCCAGCCCCAGCCCCAGTGCCCTTCCCCCCTCACCTTCCTCCCCCACCCGGGAGCACAAACCCAGAGCTTAATCCCCAACGCCTCCCAGCACACCCAGGCCTGACGCATGGCTGGGCAAATATTGGACTTTATTAATTTAATTTAATTAAACTTTATTAACCTTTATTAAAAATAAACCCTCATTAAAATTCTCATTCCCGTCTCTGCCGAAGGCAAAGGCGGGGCACGGCCTCCTCTCCAGGCTCGTTAAATGTCACCCAAAGAGACACAGTGGCCTCCAGAGCCAGAGTCCGGGACACGAAGCCAAGGCTGGAGATGAAGGGGCCGGGTGGGGTGAGGTGTGTGCATGTTCAGAGGTGTTGGCAGCCGAAATCCAAGCCCCAGAGGGCCCACAGAGTCCAGCCACCAGCAGGGGGGCAGATTTAGGCAGCCTCCGGAGTTCCAGGCCTCATGCTATGGCCAGCAGGACCACCCAGCAGACTGGGAGGAGGAAAAGGTTTGTTTCTATCACATGCATGGTTTTGCCCAGATCCTAAAAGCAGTGCTCCTATTAGAAAAATTGGAAAATAGAGAAAAGCACCAAAGAACATAAAATTCTCTATGATGCCAAATAGACTCTTGAAGCTTAGAGCTGAGGAAAGCATATTTATCATCCAATCTGAAACATTCTTTTTTTTTTTGACAGTGTCTCACTCTGTCACCCCGGCAGGAGTACAGTGGCATGATCATAGCTCACTTCAAAGTCCGCTGAGTGCTGGCCCATCCTGAAGCTACACAGATTATTTCCTTTAATCCCTTTTCTGCCTCAACCTCCCAGGCTCAAGCAATCCTCCCACCTCATAGCTGGGACCACAGATGCATGCCACTATGCCCAGCTAATTTTTTTAAATTTTTTGTAGAGATGGGGTTTCACCATGTTGCCTAGGCTGGTCTTGAACTCCTGAGCTCAAGTGAGCCCCCCACCTCAGCTTCCCAAAGTGCTGGGATCACAGGTGTGAGCCACCTTGCCCAGCCTCAATCTGAAGCATTTTAAAGAGTGAAAGTGCTACCTATAACCATGCATTCAGTCACAAACAGGCCCAGCAAGTGGGGACACCTCCTTGCTGCTCAGAGCAACACTGGTGAGCTGGGCACAGTTTCCTTCCAGTGGAAACTGAAACCCATTTCAACATACAAGGGAGTTAGTCCTACTCTTAGGAACCACTGGGGTCCCCACCACCCAAGTCCCCAGTCTAGACCTGGTGCATGGGCTGTGTTTTTTGTTTTTGTTATTTGGGCTAATTCAGAGCTGGCAGCCACCAGGCACCTACGATGTGCTGGCCCTACCCTGAGCTCTGTGTGGATTATTTCACTTCATCCCCCTAAGTCTCCTGGGGATGAGGATACTGTGACTATTTTACAGAGGAGGAAGCTGAGGCCCAGCAGGCGAGGGGCTAAGAGGAAGAGCCAGGAGAGAAACCTGAAGCCCTAGCTCTCGTCCACCTCCCAGAGCTTGTCCTTGCCAGAGCCGAGGAAAATGGGTCCATAACCTGGGGAAGGGCAGATTCCAGAGGGGCAGGCCAGCCAGCCCTGGGTAAGCTCAAGGTCTGCCACCGGGCACAGGGCTCAGATTTGCCTCAAGAGCCTCTTGGGCAGAGTCTGGGAGGAGAGGGAGGTGGCACTGGGCCAGCAGGTAGAGGTGGCAGGTGTGATTCCTTCCGATCCTGGAGGGACTGAGCCGCAGGTGCTGCTGGGCAGGCCAGCACCGGGGGCCTCCATTCTGGACGGTGGCCAGGCCACCTTTGGGGCAGCGCCTCCCTGGCAGAGCAGGCTTACGGAAAGGCGAAAAGCCCCTGGGCCACTCCAGTTCAAGTATCTCCAAAGAACGCTCGTTGACAGCTTATGTGCTGAAAACAACTACACGACACATGGCAGGGAAGGCAGCTGAGCCCGAGCTAGTGGCAGCAACAATGACTCTGAGCAGAGAGGGGCCTGGGTGCAGATGCTGGCACACCACTTAGAGGTTTGGTGACTTCAGACAACTTCACTCTGTCATTCAGCACGTGTTCCATGAGGGCCTGGCATGGGGGCGTGAAGGGCAAACATCACAGCCCGGGCTCCCAGGACCTTGCAGGCCAGCGAGGGAGACAAAACCCAGCAGTGACACCCAATAGCCAGTCATTGCGAATGGGGGAAGTGGCATGAGAGGAAAGAAGAGAAAAGCACATGAGCCCTAGTAAGGTGACATTGGAACCCATTCCTGAAGGCTGGAGGGTGCCAGAGGGACCCAGAGGAGGGCTGAGCCAGCTGCGAGGGGGGTCGCAGAGGGGTTCAGGTTTTAACCTCAGCGTCCCACATCCCAGAAAGAGCAGTAGAAAGGAGGTACGGGCTGGCGGCTGTAACGGGGGCAGGCAGTGCAGAGAGCAAGAAGGGGGAAGGTGCCGCTTAGAAGTGGGGAGCTGCTGGGCTCGGGCAGGGGTAGGCAGAAGGGATTCATGGTCAGGCACAGTGGCTCACGCCTGCAACTCCAGGACTTTAGGAGGCTGAAGCAGGCGGATCACTTGAGCCCAGGAGTCTGAGACCAGCCTGGGCAACACAGGGAGACCCCAACTCTACAAACAATTAGCTGGGTGTGGTGGTGCGTGCCTGTGGTCCCAGGCACTCAGGGGGCTGAGGTGGGAGGATTGCTTGAGCCCAGGAGGTCAAGGCTGCAGTGAGCCATGATCGTTCCACTGCACTCCAGCCTGGGTGACAGAACACGACCCTGTCTCAAAAAAAGTAAAAAGAGGCTGGGCTCGGTGGCTCATGCCTGTAATCCCAGCACTTTGGGAGGCCGTGGTGGGTGGATCGCCTGAGGTCAGGAGTTCAAGACCAGCCTGGCCAACATGGTGACACCCCGTCTCTACTAAAAATACAAAAAAAAATTAGCTGGGCATGGTGGCACATGCCTGTAATCCCAGTTACTCAAGAGGCTGAAGCAGGAAAATCGCTTGAAACCAGGAGGTGGAGGTTGCAGTGAGCTGAGATCGCTCGCGCCATTGCACTCCAGTCTGGGTGACAGAGCGAGACTCTGTCTCAAAAAAAAGGGAGGGGAATTTGCAGTCAACACCTACAGTAGAAGTGCATTCAAGAGGATCCACCGGACAATCTGCCCGTTCACTCATTCATTCACCCCTTGACTCATTCATCCAGCAAGGTCACTGCCAGGCCCTAGGGCAGAACTCTCCCAAGACCCATGGGGTCCTGCCTCAAGGAACTTGCAGCCCAGGGTGGGAAGCAGCTCACAAAGGACGAAATAAAAATAACTGGACTTGATCAGACTAGCCCCAGGAAAGGAAATCTATGGAGCGATGGGGCAGGCAGCAGTGAAGGGGCCAGGATTCCTCCCACGACAGGAGGGAGCCCAGGGCTTCTCGGAGGGAGAGTTAAACCGAGACCTGGAGTTCTAGAAAGGTCCCACCGTGGCAAAGACCTGAAGCGGATGCTGGAGGCTCCACCCAGGCTCCTACTCAGGACCCAGGCTGTCCTTGCTGTCATCCTGCCGAGAGGCTGGGCCCCCAACCCATAGTCAGTCCTCCTAGTTACAAACAGCCGTGTTTGAAGATTTTGTTAACCGAGAGAAACAAGGAGCTGGAGGATGAACACATGGGTTGTATGTGGGGCTGGGGTCGGATTCCACAAATCCCTGGCAGAGAAAAGGGTGCCCCAGGGGAAAGGGGCCACTGTCCAGGCTACCTCCAAGGTGGGGTGAGGGTGCTTTGCTGGCCAACAGCAGGCTGATTGGTTCTCAGCACACAGCATCTTCCTGCATCCTCCAGCACTGGGAGCCTCCATCTTCCAGACAAGAGCCCCCGGGGCACCCAGAACTGTCTCCATGGCTCCAGGCAGGGTAGAGACAGGCTCCTCTCCACCATCTTAGAGAAAGCCTCTTTGGGGCCACATACCCAGCCTGTTCCCAGAAAATGCCAGGGCCCCTGCAGCTCTGAGGTACAGCCAGCCTGGCCTGGCCAGGCCAGGATGGATGGAGGCAGCGGCCCCCTCTCCCCAGGCACCCCCTCACCCCTGGCACCTCCCCCTCCCCCGGCACCCTTTCTCCCCGACTCAGGGCCTCAAGGGCCCCTCTGCTGCTGTCTCCCATGAGTTTTCTCTCTCCTTGTCTCCAGACTTCCCTCTGCTTCTCCGTGGCCACCCACGGATGGCAGCCTCAGTACACCCACCAGCAGGGACTGCCTGGCCTCTGGGCCCTGGTCCAAGTGCCCAAGAGACCAGCAGGTTGGCCTAGGTGGGATGAGATGCCCAGCCCTGGTCCAAACAGCTCAGACCAGGGATTGAGTCCCATGGAACACACCTGGGTGACTGGATCCCCCAGGGAAACAGGGATGGTTTCCTGAGGGCTCCTGGGGGCATCTCAAGCATGGTCCCTGTGGCCACAATTCCCTAAGTGTGTTTCTAAGGTTTAACAGTGAATGCCCTGCCTGAAAAGGAGCGGACGCCCTGTCCCTGGAGAAGCGTCCGTGCTATAGAACGGCCTGGGTGGAATTGGATCTGAGCAGCTCTCACCCAGAGATGCCTTCCCCTTGTTCTCACTGGGTCCCACCTCGGGGCACCAGGGAAAGGAGCCATGGCAGTGGAGGGAGCAGTACTCGCTGTTGACTCCGGGAAACCCTCTCCGCACACCAGCAGGGTGGCATCTCCTGCCCAGCTTCCTGAAACCTGAGGCCCCCTAGAAAGCCAAGTCCTGAGACACAGCGTGGAGAGGCCGGGCCACTCACATCTGGGCAGGAGCACCACCCCGCACCCTGCAGGCCCAGGTACAAACCCTCAGCCACAAACAGAGACCCTGTCTTGCGCATGTGGCCAAATGCAGGCATCCAGGCCACATGTGTGTGCCTGAATGTGTGGCACAGGCCTGCCCAGGAGCACAGCCAGGCACACACATGGACAGTGTCCTGGGGTAGCTTCTTCCGCCGGCCCCCCATTCCTGGGCCAGCGGGGCTCTTCTCTCTGGAGAGAATTTCCCTATTCTCAAGGTAGGAAGACTCCTTCCTTCTCCAGCGCCAGCAGGAGCAGATGGGACAGACGGGGGATGTGGCCGGACAAGCATGGACTGTGCCATCTTTGAGGGGACAACCCCTCTGGGCCTGTTCCCTCCTCTGCCCCTGGCAACACCAGCTCCCAGAGCTAAGAGCAGGATGGAGGCCAGGGCATGCCTTGGAGTGGGGGGTCCCACTTCCCCCTTCCCTTGCTGGGGAGCAGCACTAGCCACCCCAGGGAAGGCTGCTGGGCCAGGCCAAGGGCAGGGGTCAGAGTGCTCCAGGTCAGGAGCCCCCCTGAAGATCCCAGCTTTCCAAAGCCCAGGCTCCAGAATCTCCCATGTCGCTGGCTGCAACATAAAATAGGTCATTGGCATAATCCTGGCCAAATTGGCCTCTTGCAGATCAGCCAGGCCACGCTCCCCAGGCCTAATTATCCCATATTTGGTCAATAAGCCATTAACACAGCGCCATGGATGTTAATAACCGTTTCATGAAAAAGTCGGTGTAATTTATGAGATCAACACTAGTTAACAAAATTAATAAATATTTCATTCGGGGAGATTTATCCCGATGTGCTCTCAGCAGGTGGACCAAGAGCCCTTGGGCAGCCCTGGGGAGCCGGCGGTTGGGAGAGAGGAAGTCCTGGCTCTCACTTGGGCCAATAAACATTTACCTCAAATCCTATCGCCATAAATCCACGGGCTGGACGAGGGAGTCCAGTAAAACCTGACTTAACATTATGTTCGGGCCATTAACAATATTTATATCGATGTCACTTCGGGGAGGGTTAGAGTCGCCAGGCAGGGCCCAGCGGCCATGACGGGAGCAAGCTGGGATCCTGTAGGAAGATGCATGCCCAGGGAGGCCCAGGGCATCGGGAAGAGTCCCAGAGTGGCTCTCAGACCCCTTGGGATTAGTGGTTCCCAGTTATGTGACCCAGGATGAGTTTCTCCACTGCCCAGAGCCACAGTCTCCTCATCTGTAAATCGGGAATATTAAAAATAACCATCCGGGCTGGGCGTGGTGGCTCACGCCTATAATTCTAACACTTTGGGAGGCTGAGGCAGGTGGATCATTTGAGGTCAGAAGTTCGAGACCAGTCTGGACAACATGGTGAAGCCCGGTCTCTACTAAAAATACAAAAATTAGCCGGGCATGGTGGCACACGCCTGTAATCCCACCTACTCGGGAGTCTGAGGCAGGAGAATCGCTTGAACCCAGGAGGTGGAGATTGCAGTGAGCTGAGATCGCACCATTGCACTCCAGACAGAGCAAGACTCCATCTCAAAAAAATAAAAATAAAAATAAAATAAATAACCATCCAGTGGGCTGCTGGGCAGATTAAGTCTCACGACACAAAGTAATCCCCAGGCACCAAGGGAGGACTCAGTCCATGGAAACGGCTGTAAGAACCATTATCCACAGAGAGAGCCAGGGGATGCAGCCCTCTGCCCAGACGAGAACCCTGGGAAGTGCACTCTGCCTCCTCCATTGGCAGCCTGTCGTCCACTGGGTGTTGTGCACACGTGACCTACCATCCCACAACAGTCCTGCAGGGTGAACACTCCTGAGAGCCCCATTTTCCGAAAGTGGAAACCAGGGCTCAGAAGGATGATGTGACTTGCCCAGGGGCAGCCAGAAGGAAGTGGTGGACCTGGACTTGAACCCAGGTCTGTGACTCCAAGCCTCCCCCTTCTCCCGCTCTGTCCCCCAGCCTGGGAGAGCCCTGGCCGGGGTTGGGTCCCTGCTGGGCCGGCCTCTGTTCCTCTCTGCCCTCCTGGCAACCACCTGGAGCCCTGGGCAAACGGACCTGTGCCCGGGGGAATGCCAGAGCCTGTTGTGGTTAAGGAAGTTTCCAGAATAACTAATCTGTTTTCTGTGGGGAACTTTCCACCAGGCATTGATTTTCACTCTCCCTGCCTGGGGTCGATTTGATTTGTGAGGAGAAGCTCTATCAAGAGGCAGAAGCAATTGTGTGAGATAAAAGTCCCTAGTATGACAGGCTCATCCACTGCTGAGGCCCAGGCTGGTGCTGCGGGGTGGGCGAGCGGGCAGTGGGATGGGCGGGGGGAGAAGGAAGGGGATGGGGGCTCTCTGCGTCTATCTCCTTTGTGACCTTGGCACAGAGTCACCCCTCCAAGCATGTGGCTTTGAGGCAGCAGCACCACCTAGAACACCAAAGACCGGGCTTCTGCTGCTCCTCCTGGAGGCAGGCGGGCTGGTGAAGTTTCTCCCTTACCTGCAAGGCTTCATTAAGCTGCACACTCCGCATGGGGCCCAGAGAAGTGAGATGCCCCGGGGGAGGCTGCACCCTGTCATTCTTAAGCATCCTGACCCCCATTCATTTCTCTTCACTGAGCCCCTGCCCTGACCTCACATTATCCTTTTAACAAACCTGGAAAGAAGGCCCGGGGCCTGGCTCATAGAGAATGCTCAATAAATGTTGGTGAAGGTATCATAATCCACATTTTACAGACCAAGAAACTGAGGCTCCTAAGGGTTGAGTGACTGCTTTGAAAGAGACAGAGCCAGGACTCAAATCCAGATCTGCCCCCGCTCCTTTATCCCGGAGCTGATGGGTGCTGGGATCAGTCAGGGGCTAAAAGGGAAAACGGGGACTACCAAGGGTCTCATACTCACCTGGGCCCTGAACTTGGGGTGGTGGATGCAGAGGAAAGAAATCATGAAGACTTTGTCTCCCTGCTTTTTCAGAATCATTCATCATTCATTCCTTCATTTAGGTATTCAACAACTTCATTCAATAGACAAATCTGGCTGGGTGTGGTGGCTTACGCCTATAATCCCAGCACTTTGAGAAGCCAAGGTGGGCGGATCACCTGAGGTCAGGAGTTTGACACCAGCCTGACCAACATGGTGAAACTTCGTCTCTACTAAAAAAAAAAAAAAAAAAAAAAAAAAAAAAAAACACCACCACCAACAACAACGAAAAATAACTTACCTGGGCATGGCGGTGGGCACCTGTAGCCCAGCTACTCAGGAGGCTGAGGCATAAGAAACACTGGAACCTGAAGGGCAGAGGTTTCAGTGAGCCAAGATCAGGCCATTGCACTCCAGCCTAGATGACAGAGTGAGACAACATCTCAAAAAAAAAAAAAAAAAAAGCAAATCTTTATGGTGTCCCCGCTGTGTGCCAGGAACTCCTCCAGGCGCTGGGGACACAGTGGTCAACAAAGCTGACATTCTCGTGGCAGAGACAGACTTTAAACAAAACAGATAAAAATGTGGCGCGTGCCAGATGGTGATGCCGTGGAGATGGGGGAGGGAGCTGCAGGGGTGGGGATGTTTAACAGGGAGTCGTGTGGGAGTGTGAGAGCCTGGGGGCAGCTCTGGGCAGAGGGATCTGCAAGCACAAAGATGAGGTGGCCAGTGTGGTCTCAGAGGGGACAGGGAGGTCAGAGAGGGACCAGAGACGCAGAGGGCATTGCAGGGTGTGACGGAGGGGCGGGACCTGGCTCGGGCCTTGGAGAGGAGCCCCCTGGCAGCTGGGTGCAGAATGGTGAATGGGTGAAGGCCACCTGGGTAGACGAACTTGGGAAGCTTTTGCGACAATCCTGGCTTGATCCAGGGTGGATCAAGAGGGAGGAGGTGAGAAGAGGTTTATTTCGGATGTGGAGTTTGAGAACAGCGAAGCACAGGATGAAGGCCCAGGCCCTCTGGCCCAAGGGCTGAGCACCTACTTAGCACCAGGTCTGGGAGACACCAGGAACAAGTGGTGGGACCACCCCAGGCTGCCGCCCTCTCGGTGCCTGTAAGTTAGTGGGAGGTGGTGGGGCAAGACCCCAAACAAACAACCACGAAAGGAGGTGCAAGGAAAGGCTCGGGGACAGAGGGTGGCGGGCTCTGTCGAGAAGGTCAGCTTCATTCCCTGCTGTGTCGCCAGCCCCCAGAAGAGTTCCCCCAGCTGATCCTGCCATGTGGCATGTCTACCAGGGTGCCCGCCCTGCTCCGCGACCATCCCTAGTCCCAGGATCCCAGAGGGTGATCAACTGAAGCGGGGATGGGTCAGGGTGGTTGCAGAGAGGGCAGCCACAGGGTGGGTTATGTTGCCTGGAGCGTTGGGGTTGGAGCTCTGGAAGGCCACATGGAGGGTAGGCCAGGCGGTAGGAAACGAACCCTGAGGGGCAGGCAGCTAAGGAGTCCTGCCTTTGTCCCACAGGCACGAGCAGCCATGGAAAGCTTTGGAGCCAGGGAGTGAAGGTTAGGCCAGCATTTCCTAGAGATCCCACTGGCAGCTGTGGGGGGACTGAGGGCTAGGCCCGCATGGGTGTTGCCGGTGGAGGGCATTTCAGGAGGCCTCGGCTGACAACGGTGGTGCATGACCCAGCGGGGCAGCCTGGCACCTATGGATTGCAACGTGGCCCTTGACTTTCCACTCCCACCTGCTTCCCAGGGGCCCCCGGACATCCCTGCTCCAGCCTCTAGCCTCCTGACCAGGCCGTGCCAGCTCCCAGGGACCCCTCTGAGTATCAGCCCACCAAGGTTTTTCCTGTGGTGACTGAGAGTTGTTGGCAGCCAAGGCAGAGAGAGCTGCAGGGTCTCCAAACCCATGTGCAAGGGGCTGAGGGTCACTTCCAACTCAGTGGGTGGGGTGGGGCATCTGGAGAGAGACTGCACCACTGGGGCCCCCAAGGATGCTCCCAGGATGTGCTGGGCATCCACGGGAGAGCCGCTGTCCCTCTCTGGGCCCAGGCTTAGGCTGTTCTGCTGCACAGCAAGGGAGTTGGAGAAAACATGAGCAAGGACTATGTTTTGAGCACTCACTGATGCGGGGGGCTCTGACTGCTTCATCTCATTGCCTCCCCTCCCAATCCTGAGGGGCGGAGAGGAATCCCACCCCCGCTCCTCAGGGGAGAAAGTACAGGGCAAGACAAACAGGCCCCACCCGAGGCCACACAGCAGAAGGTGGCAGAGCCAGGATGGAAACTGGGTTTGGGGGCTCCAGGGGCTGCCACACACCCTGCGCTGGGCCACCCCGGGAGGTGCAGGCAGATAGGACTCTGCTCCAGGCCCCAGACAGCACAGGGCTGACTGCAGGGCCCTTCTGTCTGTCCCTCCTGACCTGGAATCACAGCCTGGTGACTCTGAGCAGGTGAGGTCACCCCTCTGCCCTCTAGGGTGCCCCTGGGCTGGTGAACACCCATCAGGATGGGGCACGGAACGGTCACTGAACAGGGGCCCTCCCTGCCCTCAGCCCGGATCTGCACAGTCCTGGGCGGTCCCTGAGCACCCCCTCCCGGACTTGGCACCCCATGGTGCAGCGAGGGGGCCACCTTTCAGGGGATGCAGTCCTGAGGGGAAGCCTTGCTCTGCTTCTCTCCCACTGTGTGGCTTTGGACCGGTGACTGCCCCATTCTGAGCCTCAGTTTCCTCTCTGTAAGATGGACTTTCAACTGTTCAACTGTTCATTGACTAAGTGCCTGCCATGGGTAGTTTGAGAAGCTTTCAACACAGCAACGAGCAGAACAGACAAGGCTCCCAGCCCTCCCTGAGCAGACCTTCTAGCAGAGGAGAGAGAGACCCCACATGAACATAGGAGGTGTCAGACAAGCCATGCGGGGACAGGAGGGACAGGAGAGCAGGACGCCGGGGCAGCTACAGGATTGAACAAGGTGCCCGGGCAGGCCTCCTCTGAGAGGTGAGACTCCTGCAAAGACTTGAAGCAGTGGGGGAGGGAGCCACATGGCTACCTGGGGAAGAGTGTTCCAGACAGAGGGCAAGCCCGTGCAAAGGCCCTGAGGCCAGACGTGCCCCAGCAGGGGTTCAAGGAGCAGGAAGAGGACCCATGTGCCTGGAGAGGCTGGCTAGGGAGACCAGGACAGAGAGGTGGGGGTGGGCAGGGCACCCCGGACTTTGGGCCTGTAAAGAAATGAGAAGCAGGGAGGAATCTGTGAACGAATGCACATCAGGCGTTACATAGCCTGCACATGGTAAGTGCTTAATTAATAGGAGTTATGATCACTGCTACTTATAATTAGGTGATTTCTGACCTGTTTTCGGGGAGTGTGAGGGGTGTCTTAGGGTCTCCGCCTATGGGCAGGAGCTGTATTTGAGCAACCCAGCCTATCCCCCATGGGAATGGGGGTCTGCAGCCCTATCTCAGCCTCTCCAGAATTTTCCAGGGCCACACAGGGCCTCGGGAAGTTTGGGGAGTGACGAGGCGGAGCCACTGTCAAAATGGCATTAAATCAGACCCCCAGCTCTGGAAGAAATCGCACCAAGAAGTTGTTAATACCTTTATTATGGGCTGAAATGTATTCACGATATTAAAAGACATCCCATTTCTGCCCCCTGTGTCACATCTGAGATGTAGCGTAGATAAATGATATATCACCGCACGAGATCTACCGAAACCATTAGTAACCATGACATTTTGACGTCAGATTTTTTAAAATTCCTAAGTAATCTTTTTGATTTATGAAATGCTGTCTGGGTTCATCGAGAGAGATCTCAGATTTATCACCGCCTGGTTAGAATTATTAATGATTTTCAATTTGTAAATCTGAAGTCGAGAAAGTCTGTGGGCTCAGGGTGAAAACTCCCACCGTCGAAGGCCCAGCCTCTCCTCCAGCCTGAGTTCCAGCACAGAGAGATGGTCCTCAGCCCCAACATTCTGTACACTTGACATTGTCTCCCAGCAAATTCTCTTTGTCTGCAGCATGCAAGACTGTGGGGGGATCAGCTGCAGGACCTGCCCTGGGTAGAGGTGTCAGCCCCACTCAAATAGGGGATGTCCACTCCTTCCCCCCGACACAGAGCCCTGCAAAGCTGCCCCAGGAGATTTGGGCAGAGGCAGTCAGTAGCAGACAGCCCTGCCCTTGAGCCTGGTTCAGGCTTCAACGCAGCTGTAGCCTCTCACACCACTGAAAAGCCTAGAGCAGCCTGCCCTTGCCCACGGCAGCAGCCACAGAGCCCACACTGTTTGCAGAGCCCCACACTGCCACTTCTCCATCTCATCCCTGTACCTGCCTCTCAGCCTTACTGCTGTCCCCTTCAAACCTTCCATCTGCCTCCCTGTTCTGGAAGCCACCCCAGCCTGGGCAGGGGGCAGGGAGCAACACTGCTGGACCCCCAGGCCTGAGTCTGACTCCACTGGGGTCCTGCACAGACCCAAAGGGTCTCATGACTCTAGCTTGTGCCCTAGGCCACCTCAAGCTGTGTCAGAATCCCCCAGGGGAGATTTCAAACCTGCCAATGCCCAGGCTGCCCCCCAACCAACTGAATCAGAATTGCCAGAAGGGGCTGGGCACCGTGGCTCACGCCTGTAATCCTAGCATTTTGAGAGGCTGAGGTGGGTGGATCCCCTGAGGTCAGGAATTTGAGACCAGCCTGACCAACATGGTGAAACCCCATCTCTACTAAAAATCCAAAAATCAGCCGGGCACCGTGGTGCACGCCTGTAATCCCAGCTACTTGGGTGGCTGAGGCAGGAGAATCGCTTAAACCCAGGAGGCAGATGTTGCAGTGAGCCGAGATGGCGCCACTTCACTCCAGCCTGGGTGATAAAAGTGAAACTCTGTCTCAAAAAAAAAAAATTGCCAGAAGGTTCCAGTGTGCAGCCAAGGCCGAGACCCAAACCCCTATATCACCACCATCCCATTCCTCCCTCCCTGTAGCCACCGCCTAACTTATACCTCACCCTTTCTGTCCGGGACCAAGAAAGTCACTCAGTCTCAAGTCTGACCCACTCTGGCCCATCCAACTTATGACAGTCCGAGCCCACCTGACCATGGCACTCTCCTGCCTACACATTCGATGGCTCCCAAGGCCCTCAGGGGGAAGGCGATCTTCCTGCCCTGCTCCCACCGAGGCAGGAGAGGGCCACAGGTAGCATGATGCCCTGCGGGGAGCCACCTGCAGGACAGAGCCAGACCCAGAATCCTCCTCCCGGCCCGATCCACGGGAACCCCACCAGCCAGCTTCCCTGACCAGAGTGAGGGCTTAGTTCCAGGGCCGCCCTCCTACCTGGGCAGAAGGAAGGCCCATGGCAGGGGTCCCTGGGGAGTGAGTTTCACCTGCCACTCACCACTCAACAGGGTGATGGGACTCTGCTCACTCACGCCTGCACCTCAGGTGTGGGTGACATCATTGTTCCCATTTCACAGATAAGGAAGCTGAGGCTCAGAGGGGCACACGTCTGGCCTGAGGTCACACAGCTGGGCAGCAGAGGAGCCCGGGGACATCTCTGGCTCCAGATACCATGCTAAGGGCTCAGACTGTGGCCTCACACCAGAGGCGGGTGCAGCCTCCTGGGCTCCCAGCAGCTAGGCATGGAGAACACAGACGGCAGGAGCCATCCAGGCTCGGGGACCTGCCGGTGGAAGACGGAGCAGGGAAGCTGTGGGAGGCAGAATGTCTTTCGGCAGCAATAGAAAACCAACACAGGCCTGGGTACCTGGAAGCAGGGCGCCGCTGTAGCAAATGCCTAAAAGTGTGCAAGCGGCCTCGGAATTGACCAGTGAACAGAGGCTAAAAAAATCTGGAGACGCATGATAGAAAAGGCCTAGGTTGCCTGGAACAGGCTTTGGGTAGAAATGTAGCTGTTAAGTAGACGCTCCTCGCTCTCCTCAACCTCAACCCTCACTGGCAGAGGAGGATGGGGGTCAGGGGCCAGGCAGAGGAGGGAGGTGTGGAGGTCTCAGTAGTGGAGAAGTTTCAGGGGTGAGTGCAGAGATGGACAACACCTGGAGAACTGAGACTGCTAAGGATCCGGTTTGAACGGGAGTTCACATGGGCACTGGAGTATTTATTACATTGTGATGGGGGAGCCACAATGAGAGACCGACAGTGAACCAGGGGCCTGAAAAAAATCAGTGATGATGATGGTGGAGATGGTGATGATGCTGATAGCGATTCTACTGCTGCTGATGGCTATAAAGATAACGAGGGTAAGGATGGTGATGGTGATGGTGATGGTTGTGGTGGTGATTGTGGTTACAGTGATAATTATAATGATGGTGATGATGATTAAGATGATAGTGAAGCTAGTGAGGATGGTGATGATGATGATAGTAGTGAGAATAATGATAGTGATGGTGATGACGGTGATGGTGGTGGTGATGGTGATGGTGATGGTGGTGGTGATAGTGATGGTGGTAGTGAGGATAATGATGATGATAATAGTAGTGAGGATAATGATGATAGTGATGGTGGTAGTGGTGATGATGGTGATGGTGGTGGTGGTGATGGTGGTGGTGGCAGTGGTATGAGTGGTAGTGGTGGTGATGATGGTGGTGATGTTGGTGGTGGTGGTAGCAATGTGGTGATGGTGGTGATGATGATGGTGATAAGGTAACCTGCTTGAAAGTACCCAACTCAGTACACCAAAAAAGGTGAATTGTTCCCTCTTCATGACAACCAGAAGTTTTGATTCTAAGCCCAGACTGCAGGGGCCTTGTCTCACCTCCCTGGGGAAGTCAATACCTTCTTGGCATTTCCAGAGCTACCCTGAGCCCCACCTCCTCCCTACTCTTTGTTGGAGCATCAGGCCAAACAAGGGATGAAGCAGGAACTTCCTCTGGGGAGGAGAGAGAGTTTGGAGCTCAGCTCAAGACTAGCTGGAGCCTGAGGGAGGGAAGTGCTCTGGGGAAGCAGGAGCTGCTCCCAGGTTCCTGGACATCTGTGGTGATGGAACCTTGAGTCTCTGCCTTGAGCGCTGCAGAGAGGGCCCTGTAGTAGGCTCTGGAGCCAGTGGAGGGGCTTCCCAGTGGGAGGCATGTCCAGGACCCGTGGTAGAACAGCCTGACCTGATGACAGGGTGCAGGCTTGGGGACAGTGTCATGCCACACAGCAGCAGGCCAGAGAACCAAGGAGACCTGTGCCTGGAGCATCACACCCACCTGGGACTCTGGAGGGAAGGAGGGAGGCCCTGAATCCCTGGGAAGTGGATGTCCAGGGACCAGGCCCAGATTCCTTTTTTTTTTTTTTTTTGGGTTGGAGTTTCGCTCTGTCACCCAGGCGGGAGTGCAGTGGCGCGATCTCAACTCACTGCAACTTCCGCCTCCCTGGTTCAATTGATTCTCCTGCCTCAGCCTCCCAAGTAGCTGGGATTACAGGTGCCCGCCACCATGTCTGGCTAATTTTTTGAGACAGGGTTTCACCATGTTGCCCAGGCTGGTCTCGAACTCCTGAGCTCAGACAATCCGCCTGCCTCAGCCTCCCAAAGTGCTGGGATTACAAGCGTGAGCCACCGCGCCCAGCCCAGACTCCATTTAATTTAGAATAGTAAAAGACACACACACCACGTAACATGACCACACGCAGACAAGACATGTCTCACACAGTGGGCCACCCCCTTGCATTCACACCTGCACAACATTGTGTCACAGGCCCACATGACACTGCTCAGAAACACACAGAAGTCCACAGTGCACACAGGGACATGCATGTGACACGTAACATAGTGTGCTCACAGGCCTAATGATGACCTTCTGAGACTCATTCCCCACAGTGGCAGGGGCCAGGTATTGTCAGGGTGCCAGACATCTGTGCTGCTTCTGTGGCCGCCAGGGTTAAGGAGGCAATATTGTGGGAGTCCTTATTTATTGTTATACATCGCCGAGTGCTTTGAAACTCTCATTTTTTTATAATGCACAAATTAAGCAACTGTTTGGAGTTGAGCAGACGCCAGGGGACCAGACAGATGCAGTGGGAGGGGAGAAGCCTGCTAAGCATGGTGGGGACTGGGGGCTCAGGGGCAGCCTGTGGCCTCCCGAATAGCAGTTGGCTCATCTGTTCATTTGGACAATAAACGTGGGTTAAACAGCTCCTGGTGGTGCTTCCCCAAAGGAGGTTCCTGGCTTGGGTGCCCCAGACACCCTGACTCAGTAGTGCTCATTAATAAGCACCTACCGTATATAAGAGGGTGAGTTTCATGATGTGTAAGCAAGACCTTGTTCAGTCCTCACTCAGCCCTAGGAGGGATGAACCCATTTTACAGAGAGGGAAGCTGAGGCTCCGAGAGAGGACACATGCCCAGATTACTGCAGTGGAGGCTGGACTCCAGAGGCCAAGCCCCTCCCATTCATTCACCACCACCGTCACCCGGCTTGACACACCTGTCTCAGACTGCAGTGATGTGAGGGGCAGCCTGGCTTCCTGGGATGGGCCCCACAAGCTTGCAATAGAATTGCCCCTTTACACAGCCAGTGTTTTCTGAGCCCTGGACCACCCACTCTAGGCATTGTGTAGGTGAAGCCGGGAAACTCCAGGCTGAGCTTGAACACTTGCCTCAGACCAGTCCATGACACTGACCCTGGATACAGTCACACACATCTTAGAGTTCCAAAGACCCTGGCTCCCTTGGTCCTCATCCCCGTGGGAGGAGGGCAGGTTCGGCATCCTTGGCCCCTGCCATAACTGAGGCTCAGAGATGTGATAGTGTGTGGTCAAGCTCACAAGCGTGGAGTCAGCACAGCAGGACTGATCCTGGCTCTGGGCACTTAGGCAAGAAGCTCCCTTCTCTGAGCACGGTTTTCCCATTTGTAAAATAGGGCAACTAAATCTGAAGAAGATGATATTCAACAAGGGCTTAGCCTAGGACCTGGTCACAAGAAATCATCATGGGTCACTAGTGGCTGCTATTCCTCTTCTTATTATCATCATAGAAAATTTCCCAGAATCTTCCTGCAAATCAGCATCAAGAGAGATATTCTCATCCCACTCAGGTTGAGGCCAAGAAAGACCCAGCAATTGATGTTTGATAATTTGGGCAAAATGTGCTCCAGTGATGTAGAAGTGCTCTGAACTGAGCCCACGAGGACAGTGTGGGGCTCACAGCTCTAACAGCTTTGCCTCCACCCATACTCTGCCATGCTGAACAGCCAGGGTGTGGAAAAACACACAATACAGACTGGAACAGCCTTTTAGGGGAGATTTGGGTTTTTCAAAAATTTTAATGCATACACCCTCTGTATTAGTCCATTTTCATATTGCTATAAAGAACTGCCCAAGACTGGGTAATTTATAAGGGAAGAGGTTTAATTGACTCACAGTTCCACATGACTAAGGAGCCCTCAGGAAACTTACAATCATGGCAGATGGTGAAAGGGAAGTAAGCACCTTCTTCACAAGGCGGCGGAAGAGAGTGTGTGTGAAGGAGGAATCGTCAAACACTTGTAAAACCATCAGGTCTCGTGAGCACTCACTCACTATCATGAAAACAGCATGAGGGAAACTGCCCCCGTGATTCAATCACCTCCCACTGGGTCCCTCCCTTGACAAATGGGGATTATGGGGAATACAATTCAAGATGAGATTTGGGTGGGGATGCAGCCAAACCCCATCACCCCCTTGACTGAGCAACTCCATTTTTACAAATTTGTCCTCTAGAAATGTTCAGATGTGTCCTCAGTGATTGATGTTCAAGATATTTATGAAGCACTGTGGGCCAGAGCGATAAGCTGTCAACATAAGTGTCCACCAGTGGGAGAATAGTGACATGAGGACACATGTCTACCACAGAGCACCATAAAGTCAATACCAAAGACTGCAGTAAGTACCTGGGTAGAAATGTGAAAAGACAGCCGGGAGTGATGGCTCGTGCCTGTAATCCCAGCACTTTGGGAGGCCGAGGTGGGCACATTGCCTAAGGTCAGGAGTTCAAGACCAGTCTGGCCAACATGGTGAAACCCCATCTCTACTAAAAATACAAAAAAATTAGCCAGGCGTGGTAGTGTGTGCCTGTAATCCCAGCTACTCGGGAGGCTGAGGCAGGGGAATTGCTTGAACCAGGGAGGTGGAGGTTGCAGTGAGCCAAGATCGCGTCACTGCACTCCAGCCTGGGAAATAGAGCAAGACTCCATCTCAAAAAAAAAAAAAAAAAAGGGACATTCAGGATGTATTTCTTAAAAAAAAAAGGAAGGTTGAAAACTGTATAAAATAGTGACATATATATGTATGTGTGTGTGTGTGTGTCATATATATAATTGTGTATGTGTAATGGGAGGTAAGAAAGATAGGAGGGACTTCAAGTTTCTGGTCCAGCATGTAAGAAGTGTAGAAGTTGACACTCTATCCTTACAACAGGTAAAATGCTGAACACACTGAAAAATCAACAACTCTTCTTAGATTTGCCAGAGAAGTAAGGTCACAAAACAAACAGCTGTCCCAAAATTAAAGAGACAGACAGGGCAGATTCAGAGAATCACAACTTACTGGAGCAGAAAACCATGAGCAGAAACATCCGCAAGAACCAGCACCAGGGTAGGAAAACCTTAAATGTAAGAAATAACTTACTAGGAGGTCAAGATGGACAAGTCTGAGAGTTGAAAACTCCAGGGGACCCAATCATGAGAGGCACACACATTTTTGTGAGTTTTTCCTCTAGAGCTGTACAAGATTCTCACAGTAAATATTGGAGAAGAATCCCCTCATGCTTCCAGTGAGGGAGGGGGAAACAACCCATTTTAAAATACACCAGATCATTCTTTTCTTCTTCCTTTTTTTTTCTTTCTTCTTAGATGGAGTCTTCCTTTGTCACCTAGGCTGGAGTGCAGTGGCATGATCTCAGCTCACTGCAACCTCCACTTCCTGGGTTCAAGCAATTCTCCTGCCTCTGCCTCCCGAGTAGCTGGGATTACAGGCACCTGCCACCATGCCTGGATAATTTTTGTATTTTTAGTAGAGACGGGGTTTCACCATGTTGGCTAGGCTGTTCTTGAACACCTGACCTCATGATCCACTGGCCTCGACCTCCCAAAGTGCTGGGATTACAGGCGTGAGCCACCATGCCCGGCCCATTTTTTTTCTTCTTAACAAGGACCGCTTGATATGGTTTGGCTGTGTCCTCAACCAAATCTCATCTTGAACTGTAGTTCCCACAATCCCCACATGTCATAGGAGGGACGTGGTGGGAGGTAATTAAATTAAGGGGGAAGTTCCCCCATGCTATCCTCATGACAGTGAGAAAGGAAACATCACTACAGATCCCATGGACACTAAAAGAATAGAGAAATATTATGAACAAGTCTATGCACACAAATGTAACCTAGATGAAATGGGCCAATTTCCTGAAAAATGAAATCTGCCAAAATTCACACAAGAAGAAATAGACATCGGAATAGGTCTATATCTATTAAAGAAATTGAATCAACAATTAATAACCTTCCAAAACAGAAAGCAGATGGAAAATGTTACCAAACATTTAAGAAGGAAATTATACCAACTCTCTACAATCTTTTCCAGAAGATAGAAGTACAGTGACTATATTCTAACTTATCCTATGAGGCCAGTATTATCCTAATATCAAAACCAAAGTCATTACAAGAAAAGATAACTACAGAAAATATTTCTCATGAATGTAAATGCAGACATCTTCAAAAAATACTAGCAAATTGGAATCAACAATGTATAAAAAGAATTATGCACTACCACCAAGTGGGAATTTTCCCAGGTATGCAAGGTTTGTTCAACATTTGGAAATCAATTAATGTAATCTATTACATCAACAGACTAAAGAAAAATCATGTGATCACATCAGTAGGTGCAGAAAAAGCACCTAACAAAGTCCAACACCCATTCACTATTAAGGCAAAACAAAACAGAACACCTCTCAGTAAACAGGAATTGAGGGGAGCTTCATCAGTTTGATACAGAATATCTACAAAAAACCTACAACTAACATCATCATCATACTTAGTGATGAGAACTAGAAGCTCGCCCACTAAGATCAGAAACAAAAGAAAGATATCTTCTCTCACCACTGCTTTTCAATATTGTACTGGCAATTCTAGCTAATGCAATAAGACAAGAAAAGGAAATAAAACATATTGAGATTGGGAAGGAAGAAATAAAACTGTCATTGCAGATAACATAATTATCTAGGTAGAAAAACTGAGTGAATTAAAAAAACTAAAGGAACTAACAAGTGATTGCAGCAAGGCTGCAGTATACAAGATTAATATTTAAAAGCCAACTGTTAATGAGAACACATGAACACAGGAAGGGGAACCTCATACACTGGGGCCTGTTGTGGGGTGGGGGTAGTGGGGAGGGATAGCATTAGGAGATATACCTAATGTTAAATGACGAGTTAATGGGTGCAGCACACCAACATGGCACATGTATACATATGTAACAAACCTGCACGTTGTGCACATGTACCCTAAAACTTAAAGTATAATAATAAATAAATAAATAAATAAGAATATTTTAAAAATAAATAAATAAATAAAAGCCAACTGTTTCCCTATATATTGGCAATGAACAAGTGGAATTTAAAATAAAAAACACATTACCATTTACATTAGCACTCAAAACTACTTAGGTATAAATATAACAAAATGTGTACAAGAGCTATATAAGGAAAACTGCAAAACTCTGACAAAAGATAACAAAGTAGAGTAAAATACATGGAGAGATAGTTCATGTTCATGGATAGGAAGAGTCAATATTGTCTAGATGTCAATTCTTCTCAACTTGATTTATATATTCAACACAACCCAGTCAAAATCCCAGCAAGTTATTTTGTAGACATAGACAAAATGATTCTAAAATTTATATGGAGAGGTAAAAGACCCAGAATAGTTGGTTCATGTTGAAGGAGAAGAACAAAGTCAGACTGACACTACCCAACTTCAAGACTTACTGCAAAGCTAAGGTAATTAAGATAGTATGGTATTGGTGAAAGAATAGAAAAATAGATCAGTGGAACAGAATAGAGAAACCAGAAACAGACCCACATAAGTATCGTAAGCTGACAGAAGAGCAAAGGTTATGAAACAAAGATAGTCTTTTCAAAAATAGTGCTGGAATAACTGGTCATCCATATACAAAAATATGATGTAGGCACAAAGCTTACCCCCTTTTCAAAAATTAACTCAAAATCAATTATAGACTCTATAAAGTATACAGTGCAAAACTTATTAAACTCTTAGAAAAAAATAAGAGAAAACGTAAATGACCTTGAGTATGGTGATGAATTTTTAGATTCAACCCCAAAGGCACAATCCATGAAATAGAGAATTCATAAGCTGGACTTTATTAAAATTTAAAACTTCTGGTCTCCAAAAGACAATGTCAAGAGAATGAGAAGACAAGCCATAGACTCAGAAAAAATATTTGCAAAAGACACATCTGATAAAAGACTGTTATCCAGAATATACAAAGAATTAAAATTCATCAAGAAGAAAACAAACAACCCAATTTAAAAATGGGCAAGGCTGGTCATGGTGGCTCACTTCCTGTAATTCCAGCACTTTGGGAGGCTGAGGCAGGTGGATCCCTTGAACTCAGGAGTTTGAGACAAGCCTGGGAAAAATGGTGAAACATTGTCTCTACAAAAAAATACAGAAATTAGCCAGGCGTGGTGGTGCACACTTGTAGTCCCAAGCTACTCAGGAGGCTGAGGTGGGAGGATGGCTTGAGTCTGGGAGGCAGAGGTTGCAGTAAGCCAAGATTGGGCCACTGCACTCCAGCCTGGATGACAGAGAGAGACTCTGTCTTAAAAAAAAATAAAATAAATGGCAAAAGAGTTGGACGCTTTACCAAAGAAGATGTACAGATGGCAAATAAGCAAATGAAAAGAACATCATACGTCACTAGATAACTGAAAATTAAAACAACAATGCAATACCACAACACACCTGCTAGAATGGCCAGAATCTCAAACACTGACAATGCCAGATGCTGGAGAGGATGTGGAGCAACAGGAACTCATATTCATTGTTGGAGGGAATGCAAAATGCTACAGTGACTTTGGAAGATAGTTTGGCAGTTTTTAAAAAAACTAAACATATTCTTACCATACAATCCAGCAGTTATACTCTTCTGTATTTTCCCACATGAACTAAAAACTTAGGTCCACAAAAAAACCTCACACAAATGTGTACAGTAGCTTTATTTATAATTGCCAAAACTTGGAAGGCACTAAGATGTCTTTCAGTAGGTGAGTAAATAAACTGTGACACATCCAGACAATGGAATGTTACTCAGCAATAAAAAGGAATGTGCCAGCAAGCCATGAAAAGACATGGAGGGAACTTACATGCATTTTGCTAAGTGAAATAAGCCAGTCTGAAAAGGCTGCATACTATCTGATTCCAACTATATAACATGCTAGAAAAGGCAAAGCTAAGGAGACAATAAAAGGATCAGTGGTTGACAGGGGTTAGGGGGAGGGAAAGATAAAAGGCAGCGTGCAGAGGATTTTTAGGGCATTGGAACCATTCTGTATGATACTACGATGGTGGATACATGTCATTGTACATTTGTCAAAATTCATAGAATGTACACCACCAAAGCAAACCCTAATGTAATCTCCAGATTTTGGATGATACTGACATGTCGACATAGTTTCATTGATTGTAACAGAAGTACCTCTGTTGTGGGGGATGTTGTGGAGGTTGTGTGTTAGGGGGGACAGGGGTGTGTAGGAACTCTGCACTTTCCACTCAGTACTGCTTTAAAAAATCAAGTTTATTAATTAATAACAAAAAAGAACAGAAGGAAGGGAGGGAGGGAGAGAGGGAGGAAGGAAGGGAGGAATAAAGGAGAGAGAGGAAAGAAGGGAGGGAGGGAGGAAGAAAGGAGAGACAGAAAGGAGGGAAGGAGAGGGAGGAAGGAGAAGAAGGGAGGGAAAAAGAAAGGAAGGGAGGGAAGAAGGAGACAGGGAGTGGGGAAGCAGAAGGGGAGAGTTGTCTGACTTCATAGTCCAAGAGAGAGGATCTTGCTTCTCAGAGAGTGGTGCCACACTTTGGATGGGACTTCATGTTGAGAAAGGCCAGACCCCTGGACATGGCCCAAACAGAGAAAGTTTAGACAAAGAGAAATTTGGAGTTTTATTATGGAGGGGCCTGGTACCAGGGTGTAAGGAGCCTGAGGATTTTGATGGAGAAAATTATAAAATTTTATTGTAAGACATTTTAAAAGATCTAAATAAATGAAGATAGATGTCTTGTTCATGGATTAAAAGACTCAATATTTTGAAGATGTCAATTCCCCTCCCTTCATCTATTTATTCAATGTGATCTCAATTAAAATTCCAACGATTTTTAAAAATGAAACTTGACAAGCTAATTCTAAAATTTCTACAGAAACGCAAAGGGCTAAGAATGGCCAATGTATTCTTAAAGAACAAAGTGAGAGAGCTTGCTGTATCAGGTATCAAGACTAATTATAAAACTCTGAGAGTGAAGCCAGTGTTACCACACTGGCTCAGAGATAGACACACAGTTCAACAGCCAGGACAGCCCAGGAGCAGATCAACACATGGAGACACTTGACGCATGATGGAGATGCTACTGCAGACCAGTGGGGCAAAGATGAACTTTCCAATAAATTGTGTGGGACAATCAGACCCCTACCTCAAACCATATGCAAAAAGGAGTAACTATAAAGGAACTTAAAAATTGTTTATTTTATTTTATTTTATTTTATTTTTGAGATGGCATCTTGCTCTGTTGCCCAGGCTGGAGTGCGGCAGCGTGATCTCAGCTCACTGCAACCTCTTCCTCCAGGGTTCAAGTGATTCTCCTGCCTCAGCCTCCCGAATAGATGGGATTACAGGCATGTGCTACCATACCTGGCTAATTTTTGCATTTTTAGTAGAGCCAGGGTTTCACCATGTTGACCAAGCTGGTCTCGAACCCCTGACCTCAGGCAATCCACCAGCCTCGGCCTCCCAAAGTGCTGGGATTACAGGCATGAGCCACCACAGCCAGCCAAAATTGCTTTCTTTAAAATTAAGTACTGAACTGTTCATTAAAACATCCTAGACATTGGCTGGGAACGGTGGCTCAACACCTGTAATCCCAGTGCTTTGGGAGGCCAAGGCAGGCAGATCACTTGAAACCAGGAGTTTGAGACCAGCCTGGCCAACATGGCAAAAACCCGTCTCTACTAAAAATACAAAAATTAGCTGGGCGTGGTGGTGTATGCCTGTAATCCCAGCTACTCAGGAGGCTGAGGCATGAGAATCACTTGAACCCGGGAGGCGGAGGTTGCAGTGAGCCGAGATCACACCACTGCACTCCAGCCTGGGCGACACAGATCGAGACTCTGTCTCAAACAAACAAACAAATAAATAAATAAATTTTTACAAATCGATAAGAAAAAGACAAAAGATGTAAGAAAAAATGGGTAAATGGCTCCAACATGCACTTAAAAGAAGAGAAAATGCAAATAATGAATAAACATGTGAAAAGATGCTCAACCTCTTTAATAATCATACAAATTCAAATTACAATCACATTGATATATCATTATCTAACCACCAGGTGGGAAGAAAATTGAAAATACCTCCTCCAGTGTCCCCCACCCAGGCCATGCCGTTCCCCTGCAGAAGTGTAAACTGGTACAACCACTTTGGAAAACAATTTGGTGTCCCTTAGTAAGGCTGAAGAGGGGTGCCTACACAAGGCCAGCAATTCCACTCTAGAGAAACGCTTGCATGTGTGTGTGTGACGGGGGGAGCAGGGCAGCACTATTCCTGGGGGCGCTGGTGACTTTCCTGGGCCTCTACTGTCCCCAGGCCATGTCCAAGTCCCCTTCCCCAAGACTCCTGCAAACCCCTGCCTCCCCACATAACTTGGGACAACACAACCCCACTGGCCTATTTTGCACACTGTCTTTCTGGGCCTGGCCTATTTAGAGACAGCATGGACCCCAGACCTAGACCCAAAGGCAAGCTACTTACTGACTCTGAGACCTTGTGTGCGAATCTTTACCCTCTCAAGCCTCTGCTGCCTCCACTGTAAAATGGGTTCATGACAGCACATGTCTCATAGGGAGTTTGGAAGGCAGCAGTAAGTTGGGATCAGCAGGGGCTGCGCAGGGTGTGAGCTGTCGGTGCGAAGGGTACTCCACAGATGGAAGTTCCTCCCTGTCCTCAGGACACACCCCTCTCTCCTGACTCCATTTCTTCCAACTGTTTTGGCTCACCTCAGTCTTGACCTCCCAGGCTCAGGTGATCCTCCCACTTCAGCCTCCTGAGTAGCTGGGACTACAGGCGTGCACCACCATGTCTGGTTACTTTTTGTATTTTTTGTAAATATGGGGTTTTACCATGATGCTCAGGCTCGTCTCAAACTCTTGGGCTCAAAAGATCTCCCACCTCGCCCTCTCAAAATGCTGGGATTACAGATGTGAGGCACCATGCCCAGCTCCGGCTGTGCCTTTGTCCTGGTCTAATTCAACTCATGTTTGCAGAAGCTCTTCTTTACCTCCAGCCTGTAAAGATCTCTCTCTTCCCTACGCTTCCAGTCTATTCGCTCAGCAAGAAATATTTCCCAATTGCTCACCAGAAAGAAGGCATTGTTTAAGGTGTTTCAAGGGACTGTGGGAAACTCAAGAGCCCCCAAGGTCCTGAAGGAGAGGTGGCTCCAGCAGCTGTGTGGGAGAAGGGCAAGGAGATCCTGCTGTCACCTGCTCATCCTCAGTAACCAGCATGGCTTGACACATAGTAGGTGCTCAATAAATAATGCTTGACCATTGAACCAAAAAACTGAGACGCATTCAGATTGCACACTCTCAAGCAGCTGGGGTGATGCGTGTGTGTTTCTGTGGAGCACTCAGGAGCACACACACATGTGCATGTGAGCGTCAATGCACCCTACCCACCTGCACACATAGACAGCCCCGATGCAGAGACCTACTCCAGCCGGCACCTCACGCGCATGAACGCTGCCTCCTGCACAAAGCTCATTTATTTTGATTTATGAATATTACAAAAATAAACCTGAGCATCTTCTTGGGGATTCTGTGATTCTGACACCAGTCCCTATGATATTGCTTTTCGCTCCTGGTTACCTGAAATTAGCAGAGTAATTCGGAATCTGCATCTTTATTTAAAAGAAAAAACTGTAGATGCAGAATTATAAAAATTTAATATGCTCCCAGGAAAATGAAAAATGAGAGGTTGTGATCTCGTCTAACACTTTCAAATGTGTTTATTAATTCATGTTTTAAATCATAAGTTTCATTCAGTGAGAGCCATGCACAGCAATAAGCCAGTTTTAAAATATTAATGAATAAACAATATTTCTCTATTGAAATATAACATGCTTCTTTGAACAATGGACCACCAGTAATAAATCAAAACCAGGAGAAAATTGCATTTCATATTTAATACAAGTTGAACTCTGCCTTTTTATAAATGATATCTTTTTTGTTTAATTGGCGTCAGTTCAGATCTAGCAGATTGCTAATAAAATTCTGGATTTCCATATTTAATGATGCATACACTTTCTGCTGAAATTTTACCAGGAAAAAAGAATCAGTCTTTTATTATCTCCTGAGATGGCGGTGAGAGGTGAGGCCTCGGCCTCAGGCCAGCCTTGAAGGTTGGGGGTGGCAGGCTGGAGTAGGTGGGCTGAGGAGGCTGCACCATCCCCAGGACCCTCACTCGGCCATTGACATGCCCTGGTAACCCTGTGGCTGACCAGAAGTAATCATTCCAGCCGGAGGGGCTGGAGACAGGCATCCCCTTCTGACCCGGGGCACAGTGTAGCAATAACAACGAGAAAATGCACCCCATCCCCGGCCAGGCACCAGTGCGTGCGGCAGCTCACTCAATCTTTACAACAGCCCTACAAGTTAGGTGAGAACAAAGTTCTCATTTTACAGATGAGAAAACTGAGGCTGCAGAGAGAAGAAATCCCATGGCCAAGATCACACAGCAGGTGAGTGGCAGGACTCGGCCTGACTCTGTGCTCAGGTTCTTCATGCTTGGAGGAAGATGCATCCACCAGGGTGTCAGAAGACCTGGGTTTTATCCACAGTGGGTGACCTGAGACTTGCAAGGGCCATGTGGCATCTGTGCAAGCTGGAATCCCAGTGCAAATCACCCCCACAGGGCAGGTTGTAGATAGAGAATAAGAGCAGCCAGCCTCGAAGGGCTTTATCTGGACCAACTTGCGTGATCTACCCTGCGATGCCAGGAGGCAGGTGCTTGACAGAGGAGGAGACTGAGGAACAGGGAGGTTACGTGACTTGCCCAAGGACACACAGCTGACAGGAGGCAGGGCCTGGATTCAACCCTGGGTAGTTTCACTCAAGAGCCCATATTCATCAGCGTTAAGCCACAGTGCTTCCTAGCTGTGAGGTCACACTGCCCCCGGGCATCCATTCTTTGTCTCTGTGAAGGGGCTGTACCCACTTGGCCGTGAGGTGTGGCTCCTGGCAGTACATTTGGTGGCGCCCAGACGGAAGCAGGCCACCTGCACATGGCTGAGTCTGCCACAGCCAAGTCATCAGGCTGGGAGTGGTTGTGCTAGTTGTCCACGGGCTGGGTTGCCGGGCTCAGCAGGGACCAGTTGCAGGTCTACTGTTGGCCAGAAGCATCTGTGGACACAGCAGCTTTCCTGAGGGTGTCTCTGGGATCCTCAGCTGCTGGGGAAAGGTGCCAATGGCTCTGATGGGGTGTTGGGAGGAGACCGGCATTCTTCCCCTTCTCCGCTCTGCCCTGCCTAAGGCTCATAGTGAACCTGCAGACCCAGCATGATGAGAAAGAGACACTGACAAGATAGCAAGGCACAAAGGAATAAGAATGTGAGTTGGCCACGCGCAGTGGTTCACGCCTGTAATCCCAGCACTTTGGGAGGCCAAGGCAGGTGGATCACCTGAGGTCAGGAGTTCAAGACCAGCCTGACCAACATGGTGAAACCCCGCCTCTACCAAAAAAAAAAAAAAAAAAAAAAAACTAGCCCGATGTGGTGGCACGTGCCTGTAATCCCAACTACTCAGGAGGCTGAGGCAGGAGAATCACTAGAACCCAAGAGGTGGAGGTTGCAGTGAGCTGAGATCACGCCATTGTACTCCAGCCTAGGAAACAAAAGCGAAACTCCATCTCAAAAGAAAAAAAAAGAGTGTGAGTTTAGGCTTCAGACTGACATTCTGGCTCTGTGTGTATTTGGCCAAGTGGCTTCAGTCTCCCTGTCTGTGAAATGGAGATGATAATTGCACCTTCCATGGGAGGCCGCTGTGAGCATTTCAAGAGGGAGTCTGGGACCAGCTAAAGAGCAAGCATCTCCTGCCTCCTGCCTCTGTAGCTTCTCTCGTGTACCCTTCCCCATGCCCCCTGCTCCCTCCCTCCCAGCTCCTCCCTTTCCCAACTCTGTAGGGCCTCTGCTGGGATGTCCAGTAGGGATAAAAAGTGCTGCACAAGGGGAATGGCAGGTCTGGGCTCTGCTGGAGGGCACAGTGATCTGGGATTGGCCTTGGCCTTGAAGGACAGGCATTCATCAGGGGAGATGGTGCAGAAGGACGTTCCAAGAACAGGGAATGAGGGGACAGGCTCCTTCTTTAAGTCTCTTGCCCAAGAGTACACAGCTGGTAGGAGGCAAAGCTAGGATTCAAATCCACATCTGGGCCGGCTGTGGTGGCTCACGCCTATAATCTCAGCACTTTGGGAGGCCTAGGAGGGTGGATTGCCTGAGGTCAGGAGTTCGAGACCAGCCTGGCCAACATGGTGAAACCCTGTCTCTACTAAAAATACAAAAAATTAGCCAGGTGTGGTGGCAGGAGCCTGTAGTCTCAGCTACTCAGGAGGCTGAGGGAGGAGAATCACTTGAACCTGGGAGGTGGAGGTTGCAATGAGTTGAGATTGCACCACTGCACTCCAGCCTAGACAAGAGCAAGACTCTGTCTCAAAAAAAATAAAAAATAAAAAAATAAAAAAAATAAAAACACATCTTTTGGGTTCCAGAACCTGGGGGTGAGATCTGTTCAAACCCAGAGCTGGTTGTCTGGCCAGGAGAGCTAAGGAGACTGGGGCCAGAGCTGAGCGGGGCAGAGCCTGGGACTTGGGAAGACACCCATGGGGACGTGGATACACACTGAAGCCCAGGCAGAATTCTACCCATGATAAAGTACACGTGGAGAACGTGCCCAGGCCTGCACTCAGAACTTCAGCTGGTAGGAGGCAGAGCCAGGATTCAAATCCATGCTGCTGGCTCCAGAACCTTCACTGTGACAGCTGCCCTCCCAGGGAGGTGCTCTGTTTGCCCCCATTAGTGCCAGGCCCAGCCCAGCACAGCCGGAGAAAAGGGGGTCTTCCTGTTTCTCACCTCCAATCCCATGATCCGTGGACACAGATAGCACCCCCCCACACATACACACAGTCTGTGACACATGCCACACACACACACACACACACACACACACACACACACACACACATACATACACACACACCACCCCCACCAGACACCCATACTCAGGTGGCCCAGGCAACTGAGGCATGGGCAGGAAAGCCACAAGCAGGGACGATTTCCCTGGTCACCTCCCCCCAAGACGGGACCTCATACTGGAGGCCTGATGGCCCAAGTTCACCAGAGCCTGTCTGATACTAGTGGCTGCTGAATGTGGCACATGGGGACTTCACAGGGCAAACCCCAGCTCTGGACAGGTGGTGTCGCTTCTTTGAGCCCCAGATTCCCATGGGAAAATGAGATAATAGCACCCCTCGTGGGACTCCACCGGCATTAAATGAGATACTGTGTGGGAGGTGCTTGGTGGGGGGCTGGCCCACAGGGGAGGACCCTTTCTTCTGGCACCAGCACTCATTTCACCCCACCTGGGAGACTCAGCCCAACGTTACTTCTTCACTTCTCTGGAATACTGCCACCTCCCACCCCCACTTCTGGCCAGGGAATGGCACACGGACATTGTTTGGTTTGGGGGCTACAGAACAGCCCTAACTTGGTTTGCAAGGCCACCTGGTCCAATAGATTTAAGAGACTCCCACACCACCCGTGCACCCCAAACAGAAGCCTGACACCCATCCCCACATGGACAGCTGCACAGGCCCTTGGGCTCCACATGCTTGTGAACACACATGGACTCTCAAGTAAGGACATGGGTTCTTGTGCATTGAGCGGTATGTGAACAGGCCCCTTCGCCTGTGACTGGGTATTTCTGGAAGTTTCCTGTTGTTATTCTCTGATCTTGTAATGGGTTTTTGGACCCCCACTTCTCCAGTCCCAGGGCTCAGAAGCCCACCAGGCTTTCCGATGCTCTCAGTAAGTGTTGGCTTCTTGAGCAAGAAGGGCTAGGTCAGGGGGTGGGGTCTGGTTTTACTCATCTCTGAGTCTAGCCTCTAACCCACTGCTTGATGCAGAAAAGGTACCTGGTGAAAATCTATTAAAATCAATGACTGATTTCACCCAATTTGGAGTGAGACATGCCTGCACAGTCTCAATGTCTGGAGAGCTTTACAAACCCCAGGGGACACCAGAGGCTGGGCCAGAGAGCCTGTGTGATGGCCCAGTTTCCTCACCTATGAAGTGAGGATGCTTCTACCCTCCCAGAGAGGTGGTGAGGAGTGAAGAGAGAAAACGTGCACATGCTTCCTAACACAGCACGTAGGAAGAGCATTGCTATTTTCATTTCGGCCTCCCTAGGATAACAGAGACACCCACAATTCCCTCAGGGGTTGCTAGTCAACGTGTGAATCTCCTACAAGCACTGGCGTGTGCTTCTCTCCACACACTGGTCCAAGGTGAGACTCAAGGCGGTTCTGAGGAAGTGTCTGCTTTGGAATGTTAAAGATGAATCTGGGTGTGCATATGTATTATGTTCCCACAGTATATTTTTGCAAAACCACATAGCATATATTGTTTTATTTACAAAGATGAGAAAGGCTGACCCACAAGCTAATTGAATCATGCAAATAACTATTTAGCCATGGGAGCAATTCCTACAGGCAGGCTGAGCACCAAGTGAGGGAGGACAGCTTTGGAGGGCAATCTATTTTATAAAGTTTACCCTCACAGTGTAACTGCCTGGAGATTAATGGGAATGGTGGCCCTAGACCTTGTTTTGCCTGGCTTTACCAACTGAAAGAGTCAAACAGTTATATCTATCATAGACAATTTGCTGCAACTAATTAACATTAATCTGATTTCCTGTGGGTCAGTTTCCTTGAGATATAGTAAACAGGCCAATTACCTGCCATTGACCTCTTTTATTATAAAGATTTAGATATTAGCGACAGATGTATATGTAAACATATGGAATTTCTAACAATTTGAAGAAAACATGTTAAATCCAGTTAAAAGATTTTTAATTGGTCTTAGAAGATTACAAATTTAGAGTTTAAAAAGGTATGTTGAATATTGCAGGGATTGTTTTTTCAACGGCATCTGAGGTCCATTCTTTCCAAACTTTTGTTAGTCTTTAACTGTAAAGAAGTTAAAGGTGAAGAAGCAAATGTATGCCAGACGCAGTGGCTCACACCGGTAATCCCAACACTTTGGGAAGCCAAGGCAGGAGAATTGCTCGAGCCCAGAAGTTCAAGACCAGCCTGGACAACACAGTCAGAATCCATCTCTAAAAAAGAAAAATAAGTGAACTTAAAAAAAAATCTTTTCAATCAGGTCCAGTGGCTCACACCTGTAATCCCAGAGCTCCAGGAGGCCAAGGTCGGAGGATTGCCTGAGGCCAGGAGTTTCAGACCAGCCTAGGCAACATAGCAAGCCACGTCTCTACAAAAAAGAAAAATTAGCCAGGCATGGTGGTGTACACCTGTAGTCCTAGCCACTCAGGAAGCTGAGGCAGGAAGACCGCTTGAGCCCAGGAGTTTTACGCTGCAGTGAGTGAGACTGCATCTCAAGAAAAAAAAAAAAAAAAAATCCATCTAACAAGTGCCAAAGGCATCACTAGGTCAGGAGAGTGTGAGCTGAGGGCAGAAAGACCTGGGTTCAAGGTGTGACCTCTTGCTGTCCTAGGTCTGTGACCTTTTGGCATTCACTTAAGTTTTCTGAGCTTCAGTTTCCTAATCTATGAAAATGGGGAGTTTTCCTTGCGGTGTTACTGAGCACATCAGGATCAAGTGAGGACTCCTAACAATGGTTCAGTAGGTGGCACGGTGCCTGCACACTCAACAGCAGCTGTTCCTTCCCTCCCAGCCTCACCGTCATCTCAGAGTGGTCTCTGACAGGAGGCAGTTACACTCCCAGGCCTGGTGCTGGGTGCACTTTCTCCTCTGCCTGCACTTGGCTGGCTCAAATAGTGAAGTAAGAAACTGCATCAAAATTTAATCATGAAAGCAAAAAGTTTATTCATGTTTGAAACTACATATAACTACCACGAGGAAGACTTTTTCAATCCAGGGTGTAATCCAGTTAGAAAGGAACACGAAACGTTTTTAATACATTAGAATCACCGCCACAAATTATTTTCATGACTCAATCAGTTTCAGAATCGCATACAATACAAAAAGAGAGAAAGGAGAGGGGGCCCCATTACACAGGGTGAAATATACAGTACTGAATACTGAAATCTGAATGCATCACAATTAGTCGCTGCTTTTTTTTTTTTTTTTGCATGGATTAGTAATAAGATGAAGAACATTCAAAATGTTTCTCAGTATTTACAACAGTTTTACCGATCCTGTGTTGAATTAAGACCCAATGTTTCCACACTCGGTTTTTTAAAAGTTGCAAGTGCAACCCTGATTTTTCTTTTAAAAGATTACAATGTACATTACATTTTATGAAGGGAAACAAAGAGTTAATTACAAGATGCAAAAAGATAAGAAAGAGACAAACTACAGCGTGAGTATTGTTCAGAGGTAGTAAGTGAGCACTCTAAGCTACAGAACATGTTGAAATTCTATTGGTTTGTATGAGTTCGCATGAGGTAATAAAGCTGTGTTTTGATTGGTGGGATGTATAAATACTCTTTTGCTACACTATATACAACACTCCAGAGAGCAGGGCCTTTTGCAGATGCCCAGAGGACGTAGCAAACCTTGACAAGTCTGTGCAGCACCCAGTGCACACCGTAAAACCCCAGACGGATCAATCTCGTTTTCACCTCTATCAGCAGCAAGTATCTTCGTCTCTCAGAACAATCTGGATCCATAATTTTATTACCGAGCAGACTCTGGGCACTGGTGCTTTCAGAGAGAGAAACGATGCTACCAGTCTCTGATCTAATTATAACATAAGAGATCTGAACACAAACGTGACGAGGAAGATTCTTAAACACAACCATCATTAACAGGGATAGGCAAACAGCTCTTTATTCCAACTCCATTAGTGATATGAAAGAAAGACAATCCAAGTCAGTAATGGAAATATGCAAGAAGTTCAATTTAGGTGAGGTGAATTTTTGCATCTGCTTTAACGGTTGAGGTTTAGTGTATATTGTACTTTTTACCCTTAAGGCCAAGTAATTGGCAACTGTGAAACCATTAATGTAAAATATTGATAATAAATTATGATAAAATAGCTACAGGACTGTCAACAATGTTAAATCTTGGCCTAATTGGATAAAGTGCTTTATTTTTTTTAACATTGTGTGTTTTTAAGTATAAATACAAATGATTATGATTCCTTAAAAAACAGATTTACCAAGTTCTCGAATAAGACAAGGTTTTACAGTAAAGCTGTAGATGGTGGGCTACAAAAACGCTTTCCTTTTCCTCCTATTGCTCTGAATGCACTTATCAAGGCATGTAGCTCAGGGAAAAGTGTGGCCAGAGATTAGTTAGAGGTATCCGAGTGCACACTTCCTGGGCCTTCTGTAGGAGAAGTCACAGAAGATGGAGTTGTTGCGTCCTGCCAGCCTCCATTAGCCTGAAAGGAGAAACACAGTTCAACGGGTGCACGTCTACATATTAATTCTACTCCCCAATTTAAAACACCCGGATGACAACATGAGAGCAGAGATGCATTAGCAAAATGTATTTTCTAAACCCACTGTGGCAGGAGTTGGCAGCATGTGTTAAAGTGGGATTAAATGCATGTAAAACAAATCCATCCCATCAAGTAAAGTCTTGGCAATAAATCAACACGCCGAAGAAGGGCTTCAGCGAGGCCCATGCTGGCATCGAGCTCGGCCTTTGATCTGCTGGTAAAACTAAAGTGACTCAAAAAGAAATCTCTTCAGAAGGGAGCAGTGGAGAAGCTCAATGCAATGCCTCAGCGAAACCCAGGGCTCCATGAAGTCTAAACTTCACCCCGGCTTAATCATCATTTCCATAGAGAAGCAGTTGCCCACCCTTTTTCCATACACGCCTGACAGCCAGCTACTGTAACCCTTGGAAAGTGAAGGCCAGAATTTCCCTCCAAATAGGATCTTCCAGAATGAAAATGCATGAGCCGCAGAGCAGCACACACTGTTAAAATCTGTATTCCAATTATCTGTGGCTGAGGCTCCTATTTGGGATGTTGCTCCCACCTTCCACATGCTGCTGGCCCTTCCTGCCTCAGACCTGCAGCAGCAATAACCGTACTCAGAAACAAATTTGCCTTATGTCTTGGCCTATAGTGGCAATTGCTGAAATCAATGTCTGATCAGATTTCTGCTGTGGCAGACAGCTTGTCGCTACATATTTTTATGTCAGTCAGGAAGAGGGAGGTGCCAGCCTCGTGAGTTGGGGAACACTGAGTGGAAGTGATGGGGCAGGCCTTTCTGGAGAGGAGGTGAGGGTGAGCAGGCTCCCCGTGCCTGCAGCACCAACCACCCTCTGCCGCCATGCTGCCCCCAGACCCGGACCTCCTACACCAATGTCAGGGTGGGTCATAAGGTGCCTCCTGCCTCCCTCACATCTATTTGCAACTTCCTCTGCAAGTCCATCCAAAATGCCCTCTTTCAGGCCTGGGCTGCCAGGCTGCTGAGAACTCTTGTCTAGATTCCCTGCCCAGCCTAGATACAGCTCCTAGATGAGCATGTGGCAGCCATTGTTTCTTCTTCTGTGATCACAGTTCCTGGAGAACTCCCTGTCTTCTAATTCACTGCAGAGTTGGCATGCAAAGCACCTTTTCTACCTCTATGACCTAAGAACCCCACAGAGATGACCAGACCCTAAGGGAAGAGGATTTTCCAGGCTTGAGGCATATCAAATTCAGGTTAGGAAAAACAAAAGGAAACAGTATTTAAAAAAAAAAAAAAGCTATGGTGGTATTGTTTTAAAGCCTCTGTTTTGCCAGGTTGGCTAATGACATGCCCATGTGTGTTCGGTGGACTCTCAGAAATCCTCTTCTCTAAAAGGTAAGCTGTTTCCCCCCTCAGGTATGAAAATCTACTTAGGAAAAGAAAAACTCTCACACAGATACAAGTCTAAAGATATTCCATCTGAAGTAAACATCATTCCTCTTTTATCCAAATTTATAAACAACAAATGTACAATATTTTTACCCAGCATGGCAGCTGGAGGAGAGGTTGTCAGCAAGCATTCTTTTTTTTCAAAATAAATTAATCCTTACTCTGGTGGTTTGAGATTATGCACTGTATTATACAACAGCGCCTTATCAAGCCTCATCAGTGAAGATGGAATTCATGTCTGTAAAATGCTGCAGGCAATCACAGTTTCATATTTTATCATGTTGATAAGGATATCGCACATTCTCTGAAGCATTTCAAAACACTTAAATGAAAAAGGAGAAATGCAACTAAAAGGCTTTTTATATGGTTTGTTGTGGGTTATTATGAGTTATTTATAAGCCCAAAAAGAAAGATTTGACATTTCAAATGTAAAAGATTTGAGTATTTAATGGTCCTTTTTTCCCTTTACAATTGAACATCCTCAATCACTTTTTAAATCATTAATATTTACTCTCGTAGCAAGCCAAGGCCCTAAAAAGGAAGAATTTTGCCCATTTTCTTCCTGAGTCTACTACCGTGAGCTGGGCAGTTAATTTCCTTCCTAAGTCTAGAACCCCAGACTCCATCCACCACACCCCGCAGCACCACCACGATGACCTGCTCCCCTGCCCCCTTCCCCCTTTTCCAGAGCTGTGTGTTTTGCCATTTTCCATCCATGTCAGTGGAGGGAAAGGTAAAGTTGTAGTGAAGTAGTTACAAAAGTTAAAATTATTTCCTCCATAATTAAAATTGTCAAATATGTTGTGCATCCCACATTGACAATACAGCAAGATGCTTTTAATAACACAATTATTTGTTTAGCTTGGTTTGCTGGTCTGCCTGGGATTCTCCAAACTTACCACCTTCACCTGAGTTCTGTTTGGGAATTTTTCCCGCTGCCTGGTTCTAAGATAAATGACCTGTTTTCTACCGTCTCCCTGGAGCACAGCACTGATGGTAGGAAATGGCGTCTTAATGGGCTGATGCTTAAGTCCCTGCTGATGACAGGACACCAGCCATTTCTGGGCATCTATGAGGACTTCTAAGGGTATCTAGACGGCATCAAGCATTTAGGTTCTTAAAATAAAAGTGCAGCAAAGACGCTGCCTTCCCTACCTGCCAAGAAGATGAGAAGCCAGGTCAAATGGCTATTAATTTCTTTATTAGTCACTGTTTACCTGACACTGTTCTCCTACAGCTGACTCCCCAGAGTACTCACATTTAAATTATGTGGACTGTACAGTGAATTTCCTCCAAGGCCATCACTGTAGCCTCCCGTCTGATTGATAACATGACGGAGGGTATCCACCTAGAAGTGAGACAAAACAAAATTCATCATCCCAAATCTATTAAAACGTCATCACTTACAAAAGGAAATAATTTGAATTATGTGTGCCACAAGGGTTTAACATCTTCAATGAAAGACAAATTTATCAATCAAATGTGACTGGCAGAATTTCAACCATTCTTTGCATATTTAAACTCACAAATCTTTGTTTTTCATGCCAGCCAAACAATAACATCTTCATGGCAATGCAACTTTCCATCTACAGCAACCAAATGGATGTGGCTGTGGGTGAAAGCCTACTTAGAATTGTGTATATGGAATTATCTCAACTCTCTTTCTCTCACTTTCTCTATGTCTCATACACATACATCTAGATGTATAAAAACTATATGAATAGTTCTGTTCTCAAATAAGAGGACAAGAAAAGAGTAGAAATTATAGAGTTATAATTTAAGAACTCAGGTTTTTGTACTCTGACTTGAGAAATGAAACAGCAACATGTTCTTAAACCATATACACACTGGCACACTCAATTTTTCTGTTCTATTTTGTGACAAAAGTAAGATGCACCCAACCCCTCTCCATGAGCTCAAGCCAGAGCCGAATGCATTCACAAAGTTTATCAGGTTTGAATCATCACAAGTCACTGTTCACTTGACTTCTCATTAAATTAAATGGTGGGGCAGATGGGTCCTGGTTGGAAGCACCCAGCACAGGTTCTGCATGGATGTGTAGACCACTTCCATGGGGTCAGAGGAAGGAGTTTTGAGCCCAAACCCTACCCTGCTAGAAAGGCCCCACTGGGGCATTTCTCCTACCTGTGATTGCACATTGGCTCCGACTTGGGACCCTTGGTAAGAATCCCCATTCAGACTCTGCATGTTCATGAACATGTCCCCAGAATTTGGGAGGTTAAAAGAACCAGAAGAACCTGGAAAGGAAAGAGTTAAGTAGCTGAATAACAGAGAGCTACACACATAATCCTCAAAGACCTAGAGGCAGGGAGATGAGAAAAAGTACAGAAGGGAAAGGCTGTGCACAACATAAAGCATTTCCAGATCTAAGAGGATGGAGAGTAACTCCAGAGAGTTGGGTCCTGTGAGTCACTCCACATCTAGGAGAAGTCCCATCAGTGGGGAAGCCCAAACTTAAAAAACAAAAGCAAAAACAAAGAGACAAATCAAAATAAATTAAAAAGAAAAAATAAACCAAAACACCCAGCAGCTGGCCTGGACCCTTCCCCTTGTTTCCACTCATCTCCAGGATTTAGTCATTACACGAGCTTGTCAACATGGCTGTCACAGTGGACAGCCACCCAGAGAAGAGACTTTTCCAGGAGCTCTTTCTTCGCTATGCATATACCTCCCTCTCCTTTCATCTGTTTTTATGTGCCATTAAAAAGAACTGGGGGGTGAGGAGACAAGACAAAACAAACAAAAACCCCCCTACTTTCTGAACTTCTAAAGATATAGCTAAGAGACCTTCTCAGAAACGCCCCTGGAATTGCTACTGAAGTCCATCTGTTTGGACTAGCTGCACATCTTTCATTGTTATTCAAGTTCCCTGAAATTTTAAAGTATTTCTAACCCCCTCACAAACGTCACATAAAATGCAGCCAAAATGTACCGGACGAGGATCCAAGAATCTTGCATGCATGTATTAAGCACCATAACCCTCACAGCTAGCCACCTGCTGAGCATGCCGTCAGCCCCGCTCAGACAGTGCTGCTGAAAGGCAGAGAAAGGACAGCGGTGCTGGGCAGAAAGCACTGCTGCACTTCCCTCCAGCATTCCAGCTTCCTCACACACAGCAACTGCTGCATTTCCCACTTCTGCTATTTCACTCTCCACAGACCACTACTGACCCTAAAGTGGTATCTGGAAAGAAATAGCTAAAATAGTCATGAGCGATAGCACTCTGCCTAATTACTGAACTGAAAGCCACTACTAATTGTAAAACTTCCATAATCTACTAGTGAGTGGCATTCACTGTGAAGAGTGGGTTTACAGGCTCTGACCTTCCACTCATTCACCCATCTCAAGAACAAGCCTGCATTTGAACATAAATCTTCCTTTTTAAGTCCACTCTGTCCTCAGTATGGCTCTTGTTTCCTGGCCTGTGGGACAGGGCATTGTGGCATAAGGCTGCCTGGGCCAGTTGGGGAGCGAGCCCCCAGTACGCACCGGAATTTGGTGTGGTGGGCGAATTGGTCTGGTTGTTCTGCACAGCTGCTGCTACTGCGTGTGCAGCTGTCACGGCCGTCTTTGCAGCATAGAGGTTGGCTTCTTCCTGAAACTTGCCAATGTTCTTCTTGTACCTGATTCGTTTGTTGCCAAACCAATTGGATACCTACAAATTGCAGGGACATGGAGGTGAAGGGGAAGAGAGGAAGAAGTAATCAAATTCCAATAATACCTGCTGGACACCAAGGCAATACCTTGGGAGACACACAATTCCTAGCCTGCAACCTCACATCCTATGGATCATGCATAATGGTTTTGGGGGTTATTTTCTCTTTTGGCAAAACTCTCACATTCTTTTGGAATAACGCTGCTTTCTTAGAGTTGGCCACAGTAATACCAAAACGGCAGGGAGCGCTGCTCATAAAAGATATCCAACTGCTATATACCGATTAGTATATAAATAGTCAGGCCCCCAAAATCAGGCTGAAAAGCTGAAGGAAATATTTGCTAAGTTAGGTAAATAATAAGAAATACTTGAACATGAACGACTTATTCTTCTTTTTTGGGTCTAGAACAATTTTGGCAGCTGTATAGTAGAATCATGTTTGGTCTGCTGAAAAGAGTAACATCAATTAATAATGGATGAAAAAACCCTTTGTCTTTTGCCTCAGAAAATACTGCATGTCTGCCAAGATGGCTGCTCAAGCTCTGCCAGTTAACATGTGGGAAGGTCACAACTTGAAAACTCAAGTAATTCCAACCAGGTCAAATGTAAACACAGAGGAGCAACTCTAATGTCATCAGGTGGAATATATTTCTTTCTTTTGCAAACTTCTTATGATGTCAGCCGGTGCAAATGGAAGAGAGATTTCTACAAAGGATCTTGGCAATAGGCAGATTTCATCACACGTCAAGGAGAGCAGAGCTCAGCCCCAGAATCATGGCTCAGAGTTACAATGTATTCAGGCACCTGTAATTGAGCTATATAAAGAAGCTAAAAGCCACATGGCAATTTATAAGAAAGTATACCCACACACTATATAAAAGGATCTGACCTCTCTTTTATTAAAGCAACAGTTTAAAAATACTTTTCAATAATTTCTTAATAATCCTGTCAAAGGGGCATATTGCTGTGATATCAGGCTGGGTGGGGTCACTGTTCTACCCTGAAGGTATTATACTTAACAGCTATTCATAGGGGCCCTGAAGAGACGTAAGGAGTAGTATGTAGTTTGAAGCCTTCCAACCCAATTTACACTGTGGGCACCCTTTTTGACCATCTCTGCCAAGTCTTTAATTGGTTTGGAAATAGAATTCCCATTCTTCAACCTATGGCACTCATCCTTCTGGAAGGAGCAGAGAGCCCTGGCAAGGGAGCCATGTGAGGAAGACAACATTGGCCTTGCTGCTGCCCATATGCTGTCCATCCTGGGGATTATGGAGTGCACACATGTGCACATATACACATGCAGGCATACTTGCCGAGGACCCATGCAGCAACCATGAGCATAGGTTCGTCAGACAGAAACAAGCCAAAGCCCATCAGGAAGTAAATGTGCTACAGATCAGCACTTCCTAGCTGTTTCTGTTCTACCATCATTTTTTCCCCCTAGAAGACTGTATGTATCCCTTCTTTTCTTCATATCAAATACAGTAGCTCTAATAACTATCATTTGGTGAATGACCATTATGCAGAGCACCTTGCAGACATTTTCTCATTTTAATGTGAACAATTTCAAGGGCTAGGTGGTAGATGGGAGTGGTTATACTGGCATGACACCAGTCCCAAATCCAATGGCCTTGTCTCTCTGACTAGTCTGACCTCTCAGCAGTGTCTGATACTTGTAATTACCACCCCTCTTGCCTAGAGCAGGCTCTTACATGGTGTATGTGACATTATACTCCTTCTCCTCCAACATCTGCTCTTCCCTGATACATGAGAGAGACAGACAGAGAGAGAGAGAGGAAGACAGTGAGTTTTCTCCAGGACTCAGCTCTTGGCCTTCTTCTCTCTTGCACCTAGAGCAACCTTATCCATATTCAAAATTTCAAATATCCTCTCTGTGTGGATGACTCCCAGATTTATAGTGAGTTCTCATTTTTAAAGAGATTTCCATATAAATGTTCTGCCACAACTTCCAATTCAATGGGTCTAAGAGGAAGTCGGGTGTCCTCTAAGCCTGTGCCACCTCCTCTATATTTTCTTTGTGGTCCTGATCTCTCCATCTCCAGAGATGTGGTACTCACTACCTCACAATATCCCCGCCTCCATTGTTGGATAGTCCTAATGGGTATATAGTTCTCTTTATTCTGAACTACAATCTGGTTCCCTTTCCCTTCCACATATTGGTCCTACTTCCAACATCTAGACTATCACAACATTAGGCCTTCAGGCTCAGCCCCAAGGGACCTCTCCATCCTACTATTAGCCTTCTTGGCCTTCCCTTCCTTGAGCCCCATATGCTCACAGCAGGTGTGCATTATAACTGCATAGGATGTGGCAACAGGAGGAAGTTAGGAGAGTATATAAGCGAGGAAGCCATGAGGGCCTGAGCCAGGCAGAGCAGTAGGAGTGGAGAGGGCACATATTATGGAGGAGGAACAGACAGAATCTGGCCACTGACTAGCTCTGGGGTCAGTGGAGAGGGACAAGCCAGAGACGATGCAGGTGTGGTGCCCAGGCCTTGAGCAGGATGGAGACAGATATTTGGGAGGAATTTCTGCACCAGGACAAATCCTCAGTGACCATTAGAATCCATACCAGAATTATGTGATTCTAAAAACAGAAAAGTTCTAAATCAAGATTGGAAAAGGACTATAAAGGTATGGGTTCTGATTACGCTTCTTAAAGCATGTTCTCTTTGACCTTACCTCATGTTTCCCAATGCATGCTCTCAGCTCAGGAGACAGACCTAGAGTTGGCTTGCAAAAAGCTCTTTTAATACATAATTATCACTCTAGCGTTTCTGACTAAGACTGTCAGGCCTTAGAAAGAGTTAAATATTGAACATATCTATAGTGCAAAGGAGGATAGTCTTGGTTGAGAGGGAATTTGGTATTTCTTAAGCATAATTAATGAAAATTCCCCAACTCTGAATTTAGCAACAAAGGCCCATCTTAGAATTCTCTTCTTCCAAACAATTCTCTGTTGGATTCAGTACTTTGTAGTTAATATTACCTTGACAATCAGAGAAGCTATAATACATTAATGAAACCTAGCCTGGAAAATCAGATTACAGCTTTATTAACAGTTTCATAATTGAGGAATCTCTGTACCATCGAAGGTCTCATCTCTAGATATGTAAGAATCCTCTGTTTATGCATACCCCTGGACCAATCAAACAACAGTCATCACTAATAAAGGTTTATTTAATTCTCACAGTAAAATTTTAATATCACCAGCAGCCTGGGGAAGCTTTAGCAAGTGGATTTGCTTGACATCAGATCGTTTTTATTCTGCTAGTCCCAATACTTCTTAATCTTTAATATCAAGGCAATTAAAATTAATGGCCACTCATCCGAAGCTACTGTGGGCACTGTTTCCTTGACATCAATTGTTTGATGGGATTACCTAGAGGTTAAACTAACAAGCAAGGTTTAATTGGAAGCAATGAAAGAAGCAGTGATCATTCGTTATGTTTAACCTGCATAACCACATCTAAATGAATATCTAAAAATGTTAAACTATTTCTCAAATTAAAATATGCACATCACATTCTGATATTACAGATTTGGGTATTGCAGCAATCAGCTATTAAGACCACACTGCTGCAACTGAGATGGGGTAATTAATGTATCAATCGACACCTAAATTCAGGATTTTTTTTTCACCTTTTAAAAACAGATGGATATAATTAGTTGCAAAAGAAGCCCTAAGCTCACCCAGTAGGAAGCCTCAAAGGCTGCAGGTCATGGGGCCCCTCCTGCACAGAGCTCACAGTGGGGCCAGGCTGCATGCGCAGTGCATGAAGGCGAGCAGAGCTTGCTCCATCTCTGAACTGGAATGGTCTGTACAGTGGTCCCAGAATAGAAAGGCAGGCAGGAAACTGGTGAAGGGAAAGGGACTACGCTGTCCTGTGCCTCTCTGTTGAGCCGCATATCAAGGATTCATGACTCTGGATTGTGCCCAAGGCAAAGGGCCATGGAAGAATTTTAAGATCAATTAAAAATGAGAATAAAAGCACAAGTACTCTCCCTCTTCTACTGATGTTCATTGTTATCAGCCACCAGACCAAGCCTCTGGTGATTAGGGGAATGAGTAGTGCACATTATGCAGTCCGCTGATTTTCTGGAACTTTTCTGCAAGGCCAAGGAGCAGCCTGAAAGGGATCTGGTCTCTCGCATACACTACAACCGTGTATTTCCCCCACGCAATTCAGCTATAGATTGACAATTGCTTTTAAAAGTAAAAATGCTTTCCACATAATACAATAACTAGATTCACCTTTTACCTAGCTTTTTTACCTTCTTCAAAAAGCTTTTACTCATTATCTCCTTAGAATCTCTGACTTGGAGGGAGTTGAGTCAGATGTGGGAAGTATCACATAATGGTTACGTGCTTTGGACTCAGAATCCGGTTTCAAATTCACGCTCTGCTATTTACTAAGCTGAGTGACTTTGGACAGATTGTTTTAGTTATTTTAGTGTTTCCTTTCCTATAAAATGAGAATAACAATATAAATAGTAGTATCTTCCTCACAGAACTGTTGGGTGCATTAATGGCTTTGGCACATACCATTTACCTGGTAACTATTAGCTATTACTATCACTCATGTTTTATCAAGGAAGAAACGAGAGATCCAGGCCACAGACAAGTTGCCCAAAGTGGGATGCAAAGTGGGATGGATCTAGAATTCAGCCCCAGGACGCCCCGTCAGCTTTTCTTTTTTAAATAACCAACTGCGAAATGCTTACCGAGCATCTGCTATAGTCAATACTGTACCAGGTGCTGTGGGGAAATGAAAAAATAAACACATGGCCCCTGCCTGCCTGGACTTTACAATCTGGTTATAAAAGCAATGCTATCCACTCAAAATAATTAGCAAAACTTGCAAGATGGTGATGATCTCATGCTGAACCGTAGAGCGGAGACTCTAAAAGCAACAGGATTTGGAGGAAGAGATATCCCAGCAGGTCTGAGAAATCAGAGGAGGCTTCTGAGGCAAGGTCAAACTTGAACGGGACCTCCGTTTCAATCCAATTCAATTCCATAGTGCTTTTATTGAAACTCCACAATTCAGAAGCAGAAAACTCCAATAGCTTGTGTGGCCACAAATAAGCCAAAAATGCAAGCCTGCCTCCCTCTCCCTGGACCACTCCGAGATCCCAGAAACTTTTGATCTCTTCTGTAACTTAATTCCCTTTTCCCTTCTTAACCTCTAAACCCCCTTTTTATAGTGACAGAGGGAAGAGAAACCTATTCTACAGAAAAAGGAGAGGAAAGGTAGCATCTGAGAGAACATTTCTGTTGGGGAAGGAGCGGGCAGTGAGATGGGGAAGGCATTGGTACCTGGGGAGGAGCAGGAGCAAGGCACCTGAAGGGCTGGTGGGTTCTGGCTGAGGAAGAGGAAGCGGGAGAAGCTCTGGGCAAGGGAAAGCCTGAAGGGGGGCTCGCAGGTTCTCCCCAGGTGTTGCTGCTGAGTGCAGGGGACAGAGCTGAAACGGAGCCTGAGATCTATAGCAGTGGAGTTCAGAAAGGGTTCCAGTGAGGCTGCCCTCCCATCCATGTGCCTGTCCAGGGTCATTGGTCTGCACATTTTTGCTGTGCAAAATTCCCCCTAAATTAATTTTAAAAAATCATGGACCCTCTCACACATTTTTCCTTCCTTGTACATTTTCTAAGTTGGCATCTACAATTTTTCATAAGTCTACATAGTTGTAAACAGTGTTATTCCAGTATGTCATAAATGTTGACATCTTAAAATAAAACTGTAACACTATTCTTTAAAATGTATCCAACCAAATATAAATAGCACAGCAGTTTGATACCCATTATCCATTTAAAAAATACATAGGCCAGGCATGGTGGCTCACCCCTGTAATCCCAGCACTTTGGGAGGCCGAGGCGGGCGGATCACGAGGTCAGGAGATTGAGACCATCCTGGCCAATATGGTGAAACCTTGTCTCTACTACTAAAATACAAAAAATTAGCCGGGCGTGGTGGTGCACGCCTGTAGTCCCAGCTACTCAGGAGGCTGGGGCAGGGGAATCGCTTGAACCCGGGAGGCAGAGACTGCAGTGAGCCAAGATTGCGCCACTGCACTCCAGCCTGTCAACAGAGTGAGACTCTGTCTCAAAACAAACAAACAAAAAAACATAAACTTGCTCTTCAAGTCTAAAATTTTATGCTCTTCTTTTTGTTCTTGAAAGTGTATTTCTAGTTCATTTCTCTCCCATATTAGCCTAATGCAATATACTTTTATGCTCTACAAAAGGAATATATGGAAATTGAAAATTTAAAATTGTTTTTATTTCCTGTAATTATAAGGCTCTACATATTTAATATTTCCTTCTGGACTAAACCATCATTATAGTTAGTTTAAAACTAATCAAAGCAATACAAATACTTATTTTGATAAATAAAAATATACTTATTTTGACCATCAAATGTAGGTTTCATCATACATGCATTTCTTAATTGGGAGTGGGGTGGTTGTACAGTGCTGATTAAAGGAGGTTTGGTTATCACCAATATTTCATAATGTCTCTTGTTGGGCACCCAAGAGGGTCTCATACTTCGGGGCAATGAACCAGGTGGGAGTATCCCTTTCTTTCATAAAGTAAGAAAAGGGCAGGAAGGGAAAAGAAAACCAACACAATGCTTCCATCACAGCCACTTTCTGGGGCAGGTGGATTTAGGAAGGCGTACACATATACGTAAGGAAAGCTGGCCAGTGAAAACCATGAAACCGTGCATACCTGAGTCCTCTTTGGAAAACCTTCAGCTCCTCTGTACAGTATGCGTCCCCCCAAGTTTGCAGAGTGCTGCCTTAAGTGTTCAGGCTAACTCTGGTTACATTTTAACTTCTCTATGTGAGCACAGCATGGGAACCCCTCATACTGGGTATGCGTAAAGACTTTTTTTGGGCTAAAAACAGGACTCATTCGGGTAACAACTTCCATGTGTCACAGTGACCTTTTGTAGCTACACAGACAACAAATCTGTCAGCTATAGAATCTTTTAAGTTCAGATTAAAGAAATAAACCTAAGGGAGGTAGATACAGTTTACTTATTATTTAGCATAACCTTTCTGGAGAGTAAGCCAGCAAACATTAGCATACCCTTTGCCCAGATTACTAAAACTTATCTTGAGAAAATATTTACAGATAAATGTACAAAGATATCCACCACAGTCCTACTTTTTTTTTTTTTGAGACAGGGTCTCGCTCTGTTGCGCAGGCTGAAGTGCAGTGGCACAATCACGGCTCACCACAGCCTCAACCTCCCAGGCTCAAGAGATCCTCCCACCTCAGCCTCCTGAGTAGCTGCGACTACAGGTGCCCATCACTACGGCCGGCTAATTTTTATGTATTTTGTAGAAACAGGGTTTTGCTATATTGCCCAGGGTATTCTTGAACTCCTGAGCTGAAGTGATCCACCTATCTCCCAAAGTGCTGGCCCCTCAGTCCTACTGCCCCACCATGCCTGGCCCCTTAGTCCTACTTATTAATAGAAAGAGAGAGAGAGAGATTAAATTTATAGCACATCTTTGTATAATGGAATATGATCATTTATTAAAGATCATGTTGAGGGGAAATATTCACTGACAAATCAAGGGGAAAATATTCATTATAGACTATAAAAAAGGAAGAAAGGGCATTTTTTTCTTTTCATACACCATGAGTCTTTTTTTTTTTATTTTGGTAAAAATACTCAAACACTGACATACATAGATGTAGGTATATACACAAGCACAGGAAAAATGTACTAACATGTGACTATCATGTACAGTGGGGTTTAGAAGTAATTTCTGTTTTTGTGTTTCTTGTGTTTTCAGGTATCATCCAAATTGTTTTCAGATCAGCAAGCATTAGGATTTTTTAAATTAGAAAAATATACATTTTAATGAATAAATTAAAAACAACAGAAAAAGCACTGGAGAGTCACTTAACAATCTTTATGAGTTTAAGTGCCAGGCCTTGTGCTGGGACCCAGAGCTATACGAGTGACCAATCCCATTCCTGTACTCTTATCTGAAGGGCATGGTTGATAGGTTTGAGAATTCTTAAAATAATTAAAATCAAACACTTTATAAATCTCAAGCCACTGAAATTTCCCAAGCAGCTTTGCATTTAAGAAAAACTCCATGTTCAAAATAAAAAGCTAAACCATCTATAATGTCTCTACAGTCACTGAAAGCCAATTTATTAATTAGCTTTAATTGTATCTTATGTTTCAAACTTTGTCACTACATTTATTGACCGTGTTAATAACAACATTAAATAAAAGAGAAAAATTATTACTTAAAGGCCGCCTCCAAGAGGCAGAAGTGCAGAACTTTGTAGTTCATCCTTGGTGTTGCTTCTGTGCATAAACTGCGTCAGGGAGAGGATCTGCACTTGTTTGGAAAGAAGCAGCTGACACTAAAACATCATTATTGAAATTAACAAACTGAAAATTTATGAAGCACAAATCTTAGAAAAATTTTCCATTGTGTTTCCCCATGTTTACTTGTGATGCATACTTTATGTACTGTGCCTAATTAAATGTAACAGATTATGAAATGTTGAAATGCTAAGTCATGTATAATGGAACATGGCAGCATATTTACATGGTAAACAATTTTACCTCTAACAAACAGTTTCTCCCTAATCAATGTTTTCATCCCCATTATGTGATTCAATTTGAAGTGAGGGATGGAAGCCAGATACTGTTCAATTTTTTAAAGTTAATGGTGTTAATAAATTCTAAATTTCACACCAGTCTTCTCCCTCCAGAAGGTATGGGTTTGATACAGTTTCTATAAGGACAGAAAGGCTGGGCACGCTGGATACACACACTGTGTGCATTCCTCTAAGAACTCAGAGGACAGCTGGATAAATGGGTTTGAGAGCCAAACGGACCTGTGTGTAAATCTTGGCTCTGCAATTTCCTGCCTATGTTACCTTACACAAGTCATGCCATCTAAGGTTCTCCTTTCCTGGTCTACAAGGTGGGATAATGATATCTCCTTCTCATGGGGCTGTTGTGAACATTAAATGAGATGGCATGTTAAATATATAGGACTGTGCCAGGGATGTACCAGGCACTCAGTAAATGTTAGTTTCCCCTTTTCTTAAAACAAATCAGCAACAACAAAACCCTCTGAAGGCCAATGGCATACACACCATGCTTGCTTCCTACAGTGCCTAAGGTCAGGACCCCTTTTCCCAGGAGCTTCAAGTTCTGGGCAAGCTGATCCCTGCTCCCAGTGCTGGTGAGACACTGGCAAGAGGGAACAGGCAGCAGCAAGAAGGGAAAAGGAGGTGAACTCCTGCATACCTGACCAGAATAAAATTCCTACCACAGAAGACCAAGAGCGCCTGTCTGCCACACTCCTGCTGGGCTATTGTTCTGCACAAGTACCTGACGGCACTACCTCTATCCCTTCTCATCCCTGCCCCAACTAAGCAGGACAATGCACTGGACCTAGAATTTGCAGGAAACTTGAATTCCAATGCCACTTGTGCCTGTATTTAAACAGTAGCCATTTGCAAAGGGCTCATTATGAGTCAGCTCTGTACTAGGAACTTTGCATGTATTATCTCATTTAACTGTTACAAAAACCCAATTCTACTGAAGCAAAAACTGAGGTCAGAAAGTTTATGTAACTTGCCTAAGGTTACAAAGCCCGTTTCATTATGTCTTACCTGATAAAACTTGTTTTCTCTTAATACTTAAAACAAGTTTCGAAAATTATTCTTTACTCAATTTCATTTCTTTTTCATTGTATTAAGTGGTGAGGTCTACAAACCTATATTCTACCTTTTCAATGCAAAATATTTCAGCTCCTTCATGGTTAAAATGTGGGCTAGCCCAAGAATCCACACAATTTTTTTTCTCTTCTAAGAAAATAAGTTGCAAATTTGGCCAGGCGCAGTGGCTCACACCTGTAATCCCAACACTTTGGGAAGCAGAAGTGGGTGGATCACCTGAGGTCAGGAGTTTGAGACCAGCCTGGCCAACATGGTGAAACCCCGTCTCTACTAAAAATACAAAAATTAGCCAGGCATGGTGGTGCATACCTGTAGTCCCAGCTACTCAGGAGGCTGAGGCAGGAGAACTGTGGGAGAACCTGGGAGGTGGAGGTTGCAGTGAGCCAAAATCAGGCCACTGCACCTCCAGCCTGGGCAACAGAGCAAGACTCAGTCTCAAAAAAAAAAAAAAGAAGTTGCAAATTTATAACAACTGACTTGAAAACCAACTTTTGGAAAACATCCCACTTTTAATGGGAGAACCGAACAAATAGAAATTCAGTTTCCATAGCATTTGAAATAATTTAAAACAGATTCACTTGTCAAGTACAGTATTTTTTTATCTGAGGCTGTGAAAAATTTTATTGCCATAATGTGCTGACGCCCTTACAGTTCAGCTTTGCCCTTTCTACTCTGCATGATAGACTGATAACTGCTCATGACATTCACAAAGAGGTTCATCTGCAAAAGTGTATAAAACGTCAGCCTTGCGGCCACAGTACATAGAAAATGGATGACACTGTTCAGCTCCCTAAAACACGTGCTGAGGGGTGCCTCTAAATTACCACAGACAACATTTACAGTTAAGAGTTTTTTTTTCTTTAAAATTATTTTTCTCATTAGAAAAAAAAATGTGGTAGGTATACAACTCAATAGTTTTCCTTCCTAGGCTCTATGGAGAGCCTCTTTGACAGATTTTGAAACACTGACATCACAACTGTGGAAATGCCTCCCATCAGCTACACTGAAAGGTGGAGCCATCTCCCAGGCAACACAGCCGCATCCCAGAATGAATGCACAGAGCACTCCAAATAATGATGGGCCAGACTTTTTGTCCTGACAAGTTTCACGTAAATCTAATCCCTGTAAATAAGAACATCAACATGCATTCAGTGTCCTATGAAAAGAAATCCTATAGTCACGCCTCTTGTTTAAGGGAAACGCTTATTTATTCAACCACTACTCCTTACCACATACCCACTGCAGTCTTCTTTTCTTTTCAAAAATCCAGAAAACTTTCATTTAATTGTTAAAGTGGGTATACCTATCCTCAAAAAGCATAGTAAGCTTTCAACATATATAATTAATTCTCATCAAAAATGAATCTCATGCATTTTTGGAGTAAAGAATACTATATATATATATACACAGTATAGGTCCATCAGAGACTAAGAACAGACACACCCTCATGCCCCTCCCTGGCTCATACCTTCAGGGAGCCTGTGAATACTTACCACGCTAGTTGGCTGGATGTCAGAACCTTTGCTCCCTCTTTCTTTTGGATCCTTTACAAGACTCTGTATGCCCGGCAAGAAAATGTAGGTTGAATGGATGACAACTGGCATTTAATGAACATTCCTGAGATGCCAGGCCCTGTACTAGGCACTCTTCATACATGATTTCATTAACCCCTGAATCCCCTGAGCAAATTATCATTATTCTCATTTTATAGATAAAAAATGGACTCATTAAATAATTTGCTCAAGGTCACACTGTTAATAAATAGTGCTGGAGCAGAGTCTGAGTGACTTCTCTGCCTTCCTACACAGAACGTACAGTCATCTGAAGTTAAAGTACCAGTTTATCAAAATACATGATAGGAAAGGACAGCACTGGATGGGTGCGGTGGCTCATGCCTGTAATTCCAGCACTTTGAGAGGCAGGAAGATTGCTTGAGCTTAGGAGTTTAAGACCAGCCAGGGCAATGTGGTGAAACCCCATCTCTACAAAAAATACAAAAATTAGCCAGGCATGGTGGCTCATGTCTGTAGTCCTAGCTACTTGGGAGGCTGAGTTGGGAGGATCACTTGAGCCCAGGAGGCAGAGATTGAATTGAATTTTCAGTCTTTTGCTATTATAAAGACTGGAGCAAGAAACATTGTACATAGATAATGTGTTTGTAGATTAAATTCTTAGAAATGGACTTACTGTGTGCATGTATATATATATATATACACACACACACACACGTATATACCTGCACATATATACAGATATGTACAGTATATACATACATACACATACCACATACACATTCATGTATATATTATATATAAAGCTATAAATTTCTTTCTAAACATGGCTTTAGCTGTATCCCATGAGTTTTGGTATGTTATCGTTTCACTGTCATTCAGTTATTTTCTAATTTCTATTGTGATTTCTTCATTAACCCAAGGGTTATATTGCTTAATTTCTAAACATATGGAATTTTATTTGGTTATCTGTTACTTTCTAGTTATCTGTTTGTCATTTCTAGTTTGATTCCACTGTAGTCAGAAAACATACTCTGTTTTAAACTGTTTAAAATTTATTTACTGAGAAGTACTTTATGTCCCAGAATATAGTCAACTTTCAAATTGTTCTATAAGTGCTTAAAATTAGAATGTGTATTCTGCAGTTGTTGGATGTAGTGTTCTATGTATGTCCATTAGGTCAAGTCTGCTAATTGTGGTGTTAAAATCTTCTATATCTGTGCTACTCCAAAGTGTAGTTCCAGAACCATCAGCATCAGCATTAATCTGGGAGCTGTAAATTGCCAGCCCCACTGCAGACACTTTGAATCAGAACCTCTGGGAATGGGGCCCAGAAATCTATATTCTAACAGCTCTCCAGATCATTCTTATTTATGTATGCTACAGTTTAAGAAGCACTGTTCTATGTCCTTACTGACTTATATGTATGTGTCTGCTTGTTCAGTTACAGAAAAGTGTGAAAATCTCTTATAATGATTTTGAATTTGTCTATTTTTCTTTGAAATTGTGTAAGTTTTGCTTTATGTTTTTTGAGCTTCCTTGAAGTGCTCTTAATCTGATATTATTAGATCAACACAAACTTTCTTTTGGCTATTGTTTAAATTTTTTCATACTGTTATACTTTCTATGTCCTTATATTTTACATATGTCTCTTAGAGAACACATAACTAAGTTTCATTTGTAAATCCTGACTCTATTACTTAGAGTATTAAATTCATTTACTTTAATGTGATTACTGACATATTTAGGTATAAACCTATCATCTTACTAAGTACTTCCTATTTACTTCCTATTTGTCCCACTTACTATGCATTTTCTCTTTTTTCCTTGCCATCTTTTAGACTGCTTATTTTAAAAAAAATTATTCTATGTCTCTGTCTCTCTTTATTAGTTTGAAAGCTATATATGCTTTACTTTTCTTTAAGTAACTACCCTAGAGATTTATACTTTCTCAACTATTCAATTCTAACATTAATTGGTACTTTTTCACTAATTGGTACTTTTGCCATCTTTCCCGGAAAACGTAAGAGTCTTAGAACACTTACTCTCCTCTCATAACTTATAAGGCATTATTGTTGTGTATTTTAATTCTATACATACTATAAGCAAAATAAGACATTATCTTTATTTTAAACAGTATTATTCACTTAGATTTACATACATATTTATCCTTTTCTTTGCTTTTCTACTCCTTCCTGTATCTCCTCCCCTGTATCTGTAATCTTTTTATTTCTGTCTGAAAACACATTTTTTGTATTTCCTTTAGAGAGAAAATGAGAAAAATTATTTCAATTTTTGACTGAAAATGTCTTTATTTCACCTCCACTATCAAAGGACATTTTTGGCAGGTACAGAATTCTAGGCGGACATTTAATTTGATTCATCACTTTAAAGATATCACTCCATTGTATTATGTCTTTATTGTTTCAGTTAAGAAATCAGTGGTCATTGAATTGTTGTTTTATTGGAGGCAGACTTACTTTTCCCTCTAGCTGCTTTTGTTTCAACCATGTTTAGTGTGGATTCCTATTTATTTATTCTGTTTGGGGACTGGTGTTCTTCATGAGTCTAGGGCTTGGAATTTGCTATGGGTTTTGGAAAGTTTTCAGCCATTACATTTAAAATACTGCTTCTGACCCATTCTCACATTTGCTTCTGGGGCTCAATCACATTTATATTAGACTTTCTTACTGTATCCTCTATGTCTCCTATTCTCTGTCTCCCAATTTTTCTATCCTATTGTCTCTGTATTCTTCAATATCATTATTTTCTTGGGACTCTTCTTCCAGTCCACTGATTTTCCTTTCAGCAATGTCTAATCTGCTTTTAACCCAATCCACTGGGTTCTTAATTTTGATTCTAACATTTTTATTTGACCCTTTTTTTATGGTTTCCAATTCCCTGACAGAATTGTCCAGTTTGTCTTTCCCCCATTATAGATATTAAGCATAGTTATTTTATAGTCCATATCAGATTCCTTTATTTCCTATACTGTTGTGAGTCTGTTTCTATTGTCTGTTGTTTCTGCTGGTTTCTGTACCAGAAACATTGTCATTTTGTCTTGTATATCTGTTTCTTTCTGTGATTGTGTGCCCAGTTTTTTGTTTGTTTTTGTTTTGTTTTGTTTATAGAAACAACTTGAAGCCTAGGATGCTGCTATCTTTCTCCAAAAAAAAATTTTGTATTTGATTTCTCCAAGCACCTATGAATAGCAGCAATCCAATGTCAAGGAATAAGGTATTCTAAGGCAGAATAGCAGATCTTCCATTAGGGTCTATTTCTGATGCACTCACTGCTAAGATGTAGCCCTAAGCAGTTTAAGTCCTAACCCAAAGCAAAGGGAAAGAGGAAGCATCCCTTAGCAGGTCTAGACACCAATTCATACCTTTTTACCCCTGAAAAGTAAAGGGGTCTAAAGCCCTGCTTAAATTCTCAGCCTCTTAACTATTACCTTAGAATTGGCAATGGAATCAGGGAAATGTCGTTTCCCCCAGCCTTATTTTCTTATTATCTGCAGGTTCCCTGGGCAACTTCATCCATTCCCAGGGCCTCAACTAGGAACTTAAGTGAATGACCTCCAAGCTGTATCTTTAACCTTGACCTTTCTTCTGAGTTATATTTCCAAACTGAACATTTCCCAACAGATCTGAAGGCAATGTGAACCTAGCATAACTGCTGCCAAGCTTTAATGTCCCCTCCATCAAAACAGCTTTTCCTTATGTGTTTCCTGTATCAGTTAATAATATCATCATCTTCAGTAAATGTCTATGTGCTGGACACACTGTGCTAGGCCTTGAGAATATAAGGGTGAATAAGATAGCAGTTCTGGCCAAAATCGAGTTTACCATCTATCAGGGGAACAGCATTTAACAAATCATTGTTCAGTTACAATCATGGGGAAAAGAAGTTATGAGAATATACAATGGAGGATAGGAACTAGAGGTATCAAGGAAAGCCTTCTTGAAGAGCTGACATTTGAAGTGAGCTTTGAAGGAGTAGAAATTAATAAGACATCTCTATGTGTTTGGCAGGGGGCAGGGATAAACAATTCCAAGCAGGAGAAACTGCGTAACAATAATTACTATTATATCTTCACTTACTCTGTGATAGGCACTCTGCTAGGTGCTTTACACGTGCTTTATCTTACTGAAACTCCCACAACCCTAGGAAGTACATGCTATTTTTTTTTTTTTCTTTTTGAGACAGAGCCTCACTCTTCTGCCCAGGCTGGAGTGCACTGGCATAATCTCGGCTCACTGCAAACTCCGCCTCCTGGATTCAAGCAATTCTCCTGCCTCAGCCTCCTGAGTAGCTAGAACCACCGGCATGCGCCACCATGCCCAGCTAATTTTTTGTATTTTTAGTAGAGAGAGGGTTTCACCATGTTGGCCAGACTGGTATTGAACTCCTGACCTCAAGCAATCCGCCCGCCTCAGCTTCCCAAAGTGCTGGGATTACAGGTGTGAGCCACCATGCCCAGCCAGTACATGCTATTTTTATCCCAACTACACACTTGAGAAAAGGAGGCACAGTGAGGTAAAATGACTTGCCCAAGGTCACTGAGCTAATAAACTGGGGAGGAGTTGGGGTTTTAGTTCAGGCTTGTCTGAGTCTTCACAGTCTGTAGCCTTAAGTCTTATAATAAAATCCCCCACCCCCCACATAATAACACAGGCTCCAGACTTATTAAACTGTTCTCCTAACATATCTGTTTTTTGCTTCTGAGTTTCCTCTGCTTAGAATATCCTTTCTCCCAAAGTCTTATTCATCCTTCTCCAGGTTCTACACATCATCTTCTCTAGAAGGTCTTTCCTGATCCTCTCAATAGAAAGTAAACCCCTCTTTGTACTATATTCCACACATGGCATCCATTTGTGCCTGTGTGCTTCTTCAGGTAACTTTTATATTCTGTCAGTAACACATCTGTCTGTTTCCCCCAACAAATTCAGTATTTCTTGGGGAGAAGAACCCTATCTTACTGACCTTTCTTTGCCACAGTTCCAGGCATAGTGCCTGACATATAGTAGGCACTAAGTACCTATTGAGCAAATTAAGAAAATAGCCAAAAATCCTGGTAAGTACCTTTGGCTAGATCAAATTAACTTATTTAAACTGTAGTTTCTACTCTCAAAACCCACACTTATTTTAGAAAAATGTGTTCTCCACATAGCTGACAGAAGAATTGGGAGAGAAATCAAAAGAGAAGAAACAAGGAAAGCCCAAGAGCATCTCTGGAGAAGGTTTCTGGATGCAAACATCACAGAATCAACAGAAGTGGGAAGCCAGGAGGCTTGAGCAAGGCGCCTGTTCTGACCAGGTATCTTCACCCTTTGGACTACATTGTCTATCTTCTGTTCACTCCTCCCTATCCACTCTCTACCCTGTCATGGGCCCCAGGAGGCTGCCCTGGGTGCCCTCAGGCTTCTGGCCAATAGTAGGCACTGGCGGCAGATGGGAAGGGAGAAGAGTGAGGTCACAGTATTTGTTCCCCTGACTCCTGCACTATAAGGCTGCCTTTTTTCAGGTCTCAGTCACTGGCCTTCTCCACACACCTCCTCTGTCTTGAGATCTACTGACCCTTCCCTCATCTCTTCAGGCCAAGTGGGTAACAGAACCAATCACTAGTATTATCCTTTGTGGTTTCCCTACACTCTGCCCACACTATTGTAAATAGTCACTTGCTTAGTGACCTTGAGCAAGTCATTTTACCTCACTTATAAAGTGTCCTCCAATTATTCCAGTTTGAGTGTGACATCTGTTTTCTGCTGGGACCCTGGCTTATATATTGGCCTATTAGCCTCAAACGCCTCATGGAAGCAAGGCAGCGGAAAGGTTAGACACAGTGCTGAGACTAGCATGAGAAAAACTGATAAGAATACTCAATTGGAAAGAAGAAGAGAAGGAATAGGTAAAAGAAGGCAAAGGGGACAAAAATGGAGGAACCACAGTTCTGATTATGACTTCTTCCAGGTATAGGGAAACTCAAAAACCCTAAATCTAAGCTGCAAATTCTCTCTCCTTTCTTTTTTTTTTTTTTTTTTTTTTTTTTTTTTTTTTTTTTTTTTTTTTTGAGACAGTCTCACTCTGCAGCCCAAGCTGGAGTGCAATGGCATGATCTTGGCTCACTGCAACCTCCACCTCTAGGCTCAAGTGATTCTCATCCCTCAGCCTCCCGAGTAGCTGGGACTACAGGCGTGTGCCACCACGCCCGGCTAATTTTTTGTATTTTAGTAGAGACGAGGTTGCCCAGGTGGTCTTGAACTCCTGAGCTCAGGCGATCCACCCGCCTCAGCCTCCCAAAGCACTGGGATTACAGGTGTGAGCCACTGTGCCCAGCCTGAAAATTGTCTCTTTATCCTTGTTTGGGTATCGTATCAACTGAGTGTTAGAGATTTCCTCAAAATAGTCAATTCTAAAATAAATATAATACCTGACATCACTGGAGCAAGCTTTAAGCACCACACCAATCATGGTACTGATTGTTTGTAGAGAACAACAGCAACAAAAAAATCAGAAGCTTCCCTGTTTTCTTTAAATCTTGCAGATATGCCTCATCTGTACTTCATGCTATAGCATCCTCAAAGCTCCCATTTTTTACAACCTGCTCTTTTATTCTCTGCGCACTGTTTAATGATGTCCCACCTCCACTGGGATACACAATCAGAGCTTTTAGAACAGAGGGTCTGTAGCCTTCTTTTAAGACATGTGAAAGAACCGTTTTAACAAAATAGCTGCCTTTTCCTTCAACTTGTTTCTGGTTTACCAACTGCATACTTGCAGTAGGAATCTACTTCTGCCTTCTGTCTACTGCCAAAGCAACTGAAAAGGCCTTTATGTATAGCTGAAAAAAAGTACTGTAATTTGATAGTCATCTTCTTTTTTCCTGCTCTAATTATTATTTTAACGGGCTTCTTCTTATTTTAATAGTTTTTTTAATAAGGAAATCTTACTTACAAATTTTAATTAGCTTACTGAATATTCACTGCTTTGGAATAAGTAGTTTAATGAGTAAAGAGACCTCAGACTACTAACTAGCCCAGAGTCTCTAAAGTAGCTTAGCGGGAAAATGATGCAGCCCTAGTGATATTATCCAAGGTCCGTGCCTCACAAACCAGCACTCTGCAGCCTGGGCCCTGGGGATGAATGAATCACACTGCCTCTTGCAAGAAAAAAAGTAAGACTTCAGTTTCTCCCCTTTTATTAAGAATATCTGTGTAAAAATCCCCAAGTCCCCTACTCACTAAGGCTTGTGACCCTTGTCAAATCACTTAACTTCTCTGAACTTCAGTTTCCTCATCTGTATGGGTTAGATTGTGATGTTATTTATATTAGACTATTATAAAAGCAGGTCTTATTTGCCTCTTTAAGAGCTCTAAAATATGTTGGTTGAGTGAATAAATACCATTTCTGGTTCTCATTTTTGTTTTTAAATCAATCCTTTCTTTACAGTACATTTCAACTACAGTAGAAATGAAGAATAAGTTAACATTTTTCATTCTAAAAACACCTAGCAGAGAAAATACAGCCAGTTACTCAAATTCAAAATTGGAATTAGGAGAACGATGAAGTTTTTTACAGCTTAGTAACTTGAATAATCAATGTAAATTAGCTCTATTCCAAAAAGTAAATTAATATCTGCTCTACTAATTAAGAGTATGTGACAATTTAAGTATGATTCTCAATGCATATGACATGTGAAATAGTTTCTTCTTTTGTCAATTTTCAGGGTGTTAGGTAAAAGAGGAACTCCCTTTTGCTTACTTAATCAAAGCAAGTCAAGAAATCAGAAATTTCAAATTCTGGTTTAGCAAATCTCTTTCTCACACATTCTACATCCAACCTATCAGGAAACCCTGTACCTTCACAATTTATCCAGAACCCAGTCACATCTCATCATTTCTATCACAAATACTCAATTAAGTGAACACTCAAGTGTACCCCAACTGATAGCTCTGCTTTCCCTTGCCTCCCAGGGTCTAATGTCAGTACAGCTGCCATGGTGATCCTATAAAACTTAAGTCAGATCCATGTCACTCCTCAGTTCCCCATCTCACAGTGAAAGCCCAAGTCATCACCATGGCCTAGAAGGCCCATGAACCATTTATTTGGTCCCCAGCATCTTTAACTTCATCTCCTACTACTTGCTCCCTTGCTCAGGGCACTTCTACCTCAGGGCCTCCGTACTTGCTGTTCCCTCTGCTAGAATGTTCCTCACTGATTATCCACATGACTTGTCCTTCATCTCCTTCAAACTAACCAAAAGATACTTCCTCAGGAGGGGCTTTCTTTACCACCCTATTAAAAATTGCATCCTCTAACCACTTCCCTCCTTCATTTGTCAAGAGCAACTATCACTTTGTAACTGACTGTCTTGTTTACTTATATGTATACTCCCACAAAAATGTAAGTTCCATGAAGGCAGGCTTGTTTTTGTTATGAAAGTAAACTTTTTAGTCAAATAAAATAAAAATATACAAAAAAGGGCCACACATCATAGGTATAGAGTTTAATGAATTTTCATAAAGTGAACATACCCATGGAACTAACACTTAGATCAAGAAATAGTTCTTCCTCCTTCCAATCACCATTCCCCCAAAAATAACTATTAATCTGATTTCTAACCCCCAAGGTTAATTTCTCTTGTTTTTCTATTTTTTATAAATGAAATCAAGTTTTTCCATTTTTTATAAATGAAATCAAGCACTTCTTTTACTTAGCATTATGTAGTTACATATAGTTATAGTTCATTCATTCTCATTGTTAAATAACATTCCAAATATACATAAATATACCATACTGGTTTACCTATTTTCCTCTTGATGGACGTTTGCATTGTTTCTAGTTTTGGCTATTACAAATACTGTTACTAAGGATATTCCTATACATATCTTTTGGTGAGTATGTGTACACATTTCTATCAGGTAGGACATGGGTCTGTCTGGTTAAGTTCACTGATGTCTCTTTCATCCCTAGCACAGTATTTGGCACATAATCAGCATTATTCAATAAATGTTTATTAAACGAATGGAAACAGTCTTTTTAAATTCTGTTACTTAGATTTAATAACTGACATGAGACTTCCTTGCCTTATATATGCAGGTTTGTAATGCATAATAATTAAATTAATCTCTGTAAACCTGCCACTAAAATTAAGAAAGACTGTTAGTAATACTGAAACTCCTTGATTGTTCCTTCTTGATCCCATCTCATTGGATTCTTTTTCTTCTTTTTTTTTTTTGAGACGGAGTTTTGCTCTTGTTGCCCAGGCTGGAGTGCAATGGCACGATCTTGGCTCACCCCACAACTTCCACCTCCTGGATTCAAGCAATTCTCCTGCCTCAGCCTCCCGAATAGGTGGGATTACATGCATGCACCATCACACTCGGCTACTTTTTGTATTTTTAGTAGAGACGGGGTTTCTCCATGTTGGTCAGGCTGGTCTCAAACTCCTGGCCTCCCAAAGTGCTGGGATTACAGGCGTGAGCCACCACACCCGGCCCTTTTTTAATTTTATCATTGCCTTTCTTTCCTTTATGTTTAACCACATATATGTCTCCCCTGACAATATGCTGTTTAGCTTGCTTGGTTTTAAACTTCCTAAAAATGTTATGTTACGTGTATTCTCCAATTTGCATTTTTCACTCAACATGAATTGATACTTGTAGATCATTCTTTTTCCATTGCTGAATAGTGCTCCATTGTGGGATTATAACACAGCATATTTATCCATTTCTCCAGTCCGTGGACAAATGGTTTGTTTCAAATTTTTTGCCATTTCAAACAATGTTACTATGAATGTTCTTACCAGTGTTTCCTGAAATACAGACAAGAGGTCTTCTAGAAATTGTGGGTTGAATGGTATATGCATGTTCAAATTTATAAAATAATGTCAGAAGTTTTCCAAAGTGGCTATATCAATTTACATCCCTACCACCAATATTATAAGGGCTCCTACTGCTACACATTCTTGGTAGCAGAATGTGCCAATCTAGGAAATATAAGTTTGAAATATAAAAATACTGCAATTTTTAATCATATTTTCCTGATTCCTAATAAGAATGGGGATCTTTTCATACAATTGACCATTTCTATTTTTTCTTCCATGAAATCCTTGTTTGACTCTTTTGCCTATTTTTGAAATCGGTTCTTTGTCTTTTCTTATTAATTTATAGGAGTTCCTTATATATTTTGGATTTTAATCCTCTGTTGCTTATACACTTGTAAATATCTTCTTGCAGTGCGTGGACTGTTTCTACAGTTTAGAAAATATTTTATTTGAAAATAATTTCAAATGTGAAAAAAGCTGCAACAATAAAAATAGCATAAAGAATATTTGTATATGCCCTTCCCCTATTATTATTTTTCCCCATTTGTTTTATCTTTGTGGGCACTCATGCTGTGTGTGTGTGTGTATGTGTGTTTATATACACACACACACACATATACATGCAAACACACATTTTTTTTTTCTGAACATCTGAGGCTAAGTTATACTCATCATGGTCCTTTACCCCTAAGTCAGTCAGTGTATATTTCCTAAGTCTAAAGAGATTCTCTCACATAACCATAGTACAATTATCAATTACAATTTATTTCAGTAAATTTAACCCAATAATATCTTTTATGGTATGGTTTTCCCCACAGTACAGAATCCAGTCTAGGGTAAAGTATTGCAATTACTTGTCCTATCTCTTTAGCTTCTTTTAATCTAGAACATTTCCCTGGCCTTTCTTGGACGTTTTTAAAGAACAATGCTCCTTCCCCGCTTTTGTCTTCAATAGAACATTCCTCATTTGGGATTTGGCTGGTGTTGTCTTGTGATTAGACTCAGGTTATGTTCTTGGATGAAATACTACACCCAATGTCCGTCTGCTCCTCCTTGGTGATGTTGATTCCAATCACTTGGTCAAGTTTTTGTCCCATTTCTCCACTCTACTATTACTTTTTTTTTAAATCTCTTGTAACTTTAAATGGTCTATGGAGAGACACTTTAAGACCATGTTCTTCATCTAAATTTTCCTCTAGATTTAATATCTATTGATAATTATATCTGATCCCATCTTTACTGAATAGTTGTATCATGTTGATGTTTTCAGTCTTTATTAAGTACTTTGATAAACAAAAGTTCTACCACTGAATCTATCAGTCTTCTCTTTTGTTCCTTACACATTTTATGTCCTGTTTAAGGAATTCTAGCCTGCCCTCACAGCACTAAAGATATTGCCTTACACTTCTTCTGAAGTTTCCCTATTATTATTATAAGCAGTTGCAGTAAATAATAGATCAGAGTTTCATATATTCTAAATCTAGTAAAAATAGTGTTATTCCAGTTGCCTGTTTTCAGGGGGCTTCAATATTTTTAAAGTTGGTTTTCTCTATGAACAATTTCTAGATTCTAAATTTAATTGTATTTCAGTATGATTTACATTTTAAACAATATTTTTTCTCTTTTGAAAGTAGTTAGCCAAGTGTAGTGGTTCATGCCTGTAATCCCAGCACTTTGGGAGGCTGAGGCTGGAGGATCACTTGAGGCCAGGAGTTCGAGACCAGCTTGGACAACAGGGTGAATCCCTGTCTGTACAAAAAATTTAAAAATCAGCTGGGTGTGGTGGCGTGCCTGTAGTCCTAGCTACTCAGGAGGCTGAGGCAGGAGGATTGCTTGAGCCCAGGAGTTCAAAGTTACAGTGAGCTGTGATAACATATCCCTGCACTCCAGCCTGTGTGACAGAGCGAGACCCTGTCTTTAAAAAAGAAAAAGCAAAAGCAGTTGACCTGTCAGGCCTAGAACAGAAATTCTTTGCTTTCACTTTTTAAAAACTTAAACAAAAGGCCATTAATTTATAAGCATAACTTATTTCTGAAATTCTGTGTTTGAAAGGCTGACCTGGAAGAAACAAGGTCAGAAAGTTTGCTTTTTAGACAGGGTAACAGAGCTATATCTATATTATTTCTACCTCTGTACCTTTTTCTCAGCAATTGCTAAAAAAAAAATTCAAAACATAATAAAGCTATTTTTCCATAGAAAACAAGTGAAATAAATTTAATAATTAACTGTTTTTTTTAAAAAAAACACACTGGTAAGTGGGTTCCTAGCCTATTTTAGAAGTTAAAACTCCCTAGTTCAGAACAGCCAGAAGGAAACCTTTTTATCACTTATTCCACAAGTGTGTATTGAGCACACTCTACACTACACACAAAGTGTGAAGTACTACAGCTAATGAAAACTCCAGATTCTATTGTTTTTGAAATAGATGATATTAATCTGTTTTATTCTCTAATGGTGCATATACTATAGAATTGTTTTTTAAAAAAGAGTGGCAGCAAGAAAATGCTTAAACTCATCCACAAACATTCAAATTCTAAGTCAGAGAGTGGTTGTGAGAACAGGAAAACCAGGCGTGGCATCATCATCCGGTGTTCGGCATGAACCTAATCCTTTCACTAATGTTCAGGGAAAAGGCATTCGTCATAAAATCCTACTTGAAACGATTCTTCTTTTAATTTTGTCTTCTCTGGCTAACCCGGCATATCATATTATTCCTCCATATTTCATATGGAAGTGAGTAACCCAGTTAGTAATGTTTTATATAATATATGTCTATGTAAGCTGGTAATCCAAATCAATTATATTCCATTTCTAACTGCGTAAAAAGAAATCAAGATATACCATTTCATAAGAGAAATGACAATAAACCTTGAATGAAACCTTAGTTATGAATCAAAGTTTGCTCTTGAGTTTCTACAGAAAATAATGCCAAAAGAGGAGCTGGAAATCATCTTACACCCAGGCCCTATTCCCTCAAATAACAATGACTTCATACACTGATATGAGACCCTCATTGGAACTTGAAAGGGATCTTTAGTATCTTGAACTTTATCTACAGTACAAGTATTTATTTAGAAACTACTTTTAAAAGTGGTTTCATGTGACCCCTAGTGAACACTGAAATTTTTGACAAGCGTCAGTTTTTCCTTAAGTTTCACTACAAAAACTGGTTGGTAAACTACTGCTTTTGCATGCTATAAAGAAATGCTCTTCAAATGTCAATCTATTAACAATAATATGAACATTTATACAAAATTGTATTTTAGAGGTAATGCTAATACGATATATTTATGTTCTAAAGAGGTACACTTGTTTGTTAATTTATTTGTTTCCAATCCTCAGTCCAAATACCAGTCTATCTGACTAAAACTAAATGTATTTTTGTTAGAAGATGACAACTAACTTCAGGGTCAGAAATTATTATAAATAAACATTTTTTTAAAAACCCCAAAATCAGAAACCCTGAAAGCATGAATTTAATTCTTGTGTTTAATGGATAATAAGGAAGCAAAGAAATCCTTGGGATTCAAACATTGTAGTATGTTACCAAGAAAGGGCCTGGTGAATTCCTCAAAGCTTTCACCAAAGAGTTATATTAAATTTCCTTTTGGCAACAAATAAATTGGTTTCTTGCTGGTAGAAGCTTAGGTCAGTCATCTAAATCAGGGAAACCAGGAATACATGCCATTTACTGGAGAGTCACTTAAGTGTAAACTGCGTCTCTCCCCATGGCATGTTTATGTCCTCTCTAGAGAAGATTTACACTGGGGAATGGGGGTGGTGGTGGTCTTGATTCTTCGCCACTTACAGTTTTTCAAAATTATCTAAGGTTTAAAATCTTGCCTAAAACTGTGGAAATATCTACATTTTCCTTATATCTTTTTTGATGATAGAACATTTGGATATGAAATTTGATAATAATGCCCTGAGGAAGGAATGAGGTTCCTGTCTCCACAGGGAACAAGACAGACCCATGGGTCCTTTCTCACCTGTGACACTGTGATGCTGCATTTCTTGGCCAGCTCCTCTTTGGCTTCTTCACTGGGGTAGGGGTTGCTGAGGTGTGAGTAAAAATATTCATTCAAGATTTCTGTGGCCTGTTTACTGAAGTTACGCCTTTTCCGTCTATGACAAGAGTGAAAGAAAATAATTGCAGTTACAATCAGCATTAACCTAAGAGGGATGGGTTAATTAGGATGATACCAAAAAAGTAGATTTCTCTTTTTAAACATCCTTAAGGTCTAATTTATTTCTGTGATATTATACGTTATGTTCTAGACATCCTCCAAGGCATTATCCAACTCATTTTAAGATGTAGGATCACTGAGAAAAATACCAGACTATGAAGCAGACTATTGTGCTTCATTCTTTGAAGACCTAATATTTTAGATATTCAATGAAGATCCAGTGAGAACAAACAAGGTCTATCAGAGAGCTTACAGGGAAGAGGACTGGGCAGAGGAAGAGTTCTGAAACAGAAATATCTTGTCTAAAGGGTTAGAGCAGGTTGGGGCACCGTAAAAGACAGGGAATGTGTGAGATGAGTCTGGAAGGATGGGCAGGGGGCAGATTACAGAAGCTCAGTGGAGCTACAAGAAGTTTTGGATTTTATGCTGAGTGCAATAGGAAACTATTAAAGGTTTTAAGTTTTATGTTTTTAAAAGATCATTCTGACTGCTGAGAATAGGTGGAGGAGCGCATGAAAGGAACTGCAAAGCCCATTTTAGGAGATGATTGCACTGGTCAAAATGAAGATGATAGTAACTTGGCACAAGGTGAGAGCAATGAAAACAAGACTCAAGATCTACTTGAAAGGTAAAAGCAATAGGACCTGATGATGTATTGAATGGGAGGAGTGAGTGAGGGAGATAGAGAAGGAAGTTTAGGAAAAAAAAAATGCATTGGGAAGGATTTCTAGGTTTTTCTGCTTAAGCAACTTCCTGGACTGAGGTATGATTTCCTTCACTAAGCAAAGAGGAGAGAACAAAAAGTTATCTTTTGTTTTTGTTGGGAAGGGGGTAACAGACTTTCAAAAGATCAAGCATTTATTAACAACATATTTCAAGTAGCAAAAATGTCATTTATATTTGGGTTTTGTTATTAAGATTTTAAAGAATTCCAGCCTGAAAATTATCATTTGTCAGAATTCACTTTCAATTAAGTACTCCAGTAATTAGAAAATACCTTCCCCAGATAATTTTCTTAATACTTTCTTCCAAATAATCTTAATTCTTCTCAATTGTGATATCCCACAGTCAGAAAACACAGAGTCAGTAGGCTGTTGTATAGGTATGCACTCTATGAGATTCTTCTAGTCAAAATGGTGTCATTCATATGGCAGGTTAAGTATGTGATCTACATTTCAACATTAAGGGAGAGTCAAGGGAGCAAGAAATCTAGGTCTGATCAAAACAACTCAGGTTTTAGTCCTGAAATGTCTTAATTTCAATAATTTTTAGGAGGGTTAAACTATTGTTTTCTAGAGGATGAAGATGAGATTCAAGATGTATTTGGGGATTAAAATCAACAGGATTTGATGATGAACTGGATGGGGAGGTGGTAAGGGAAGACAGGGAAGGAACGGAACGAAGACAAATGCACCAAAAAGAAGAACAGTTAGCATTTTTGCAGGAGTCATGTGTTGCTTGAAAAGAAAGACAAGGTCCCGAGGTGAGAGCACATTGAAGAGGTACACTCTGATGAGTAGGTGCATGGGTAATGTCTAGACTAGATACTGAAAATGTCAAATTTATGGACATTATCTGGCCCATAGACATTATTTATTGAGACCACACAGTAATTACCTGCTCATAAAAATCTAGGTTTCTGACTTCTTATGAAAAATTGGGATACCAACAGTACTGGGCCCATGTTCTCAGAAGGCAGCTCTAGGTTAAAGCTGAGTGATAGCTGCCCCCTTAGATATGCACCTGCCTGCTCCAACCCTCCTTGTCCCTCCCTGTATCCCTGCTTCAGCCACTCCACTCAATTCCACTATATGTAAGCAAGCTCCTGGTGCCCAGGAGCAAGGCCCAGGGTAGATGGGAATAGATGACACAAGTGCATTTCTTTGGGAAATAGCGACGTATGAAAGGAGGATCAAAAAGAAATATATCTAGAAAAGCAAAGAGAAGTTTGGCTCACATCACTTTTGCCCAGGGGTGGTTTTTAACAAACTTCAAAACACCTCAGAGAACAAACGGAATAGCTCACCGGACATTCTGGCTGTGTCCAAACTACAGCACTTCTACTGGAAGAGGAGACGGACCTACACAAATTTATTCTTAAATGTTTTGCATTGGTGCATGCTTCGTCTTGTCCAATTATGAAGCAAACATGAGCATGGGAAGTCAGAGTGAGCAAGGGAATCATATATCTGACTGAGCATGTTTGCCTAGAGCAGAGCCCCTTGCCTTCTCAGTGCAGAGGGCTTGCTGGGAGGCACTACAAGAATAGATGGAACCAAAGCTCAGTATTTGCATTCACTTGAAGGCACAGGAGAGAACTTGGTCTTATACGTTATTTATTTTTTAGAAAGCATCCTGTAGAAAATGCCCATTAAGCATTTCCCCTCAGTTTCACTCCCCCAGGGTTCACCACACTCTAAATGGCTATGCCTCAGGCCAGTGTGCAGTGGCACATCAGTCCAGGCCTGTGTTCCATCAGCATCACAACATTACTAACAGCAATCTCTATGGGAGAAGAGACTCTGCTCCAAGCTCTGCCACTCTCTCATTCTGGCCCTGCTCACTTTAGGCTGTTAATACACTTTCTCTTCATGGAAGAAAAATAAATCATTTAGGTGTATACATTATGAATGCAGTTATTTAAAAAATAAGCATGCATGTTGACAAGAATGGGAAAGTATCAGCAGAAATAAGGATAGCAATTATGTTAGAAAATATTTCTTTCTATCAGACATGTTTTACTATCTTTGTTACATAATGCTTTTTATTAAAATGCTCAAATTAGACAAATAATTTTAAAATGTTTTTTGTCGTCTGATGCTACCTCTCTAACCCTGATTTGAGCTGTTACAAAGTATTAAGTGGAATTATTCATTCATCTGGCCAGTCAATAAATTATTTTTGGTAGCCTCTAACATGTAAGTCATTTGCTAGAATTGTGGGGAATGCAAATGTGTAAGTCTTGGCTGTTGCTTTCAATGACACTGTGGCTTACTAAGGGAGAGAAGAAATGTTCATGAAAAACTACAAGAAAAAGGAGCCTACATGACTTTCAGTCTGAATAGTTGCGTAAACATAGTATAAGTGTTCAAGGGAAGGAAGGGCTAGTCCAGCAGGGTGATTAAGGTGGATTTTCTGAAAAGCGAGCATTTAGACCAGATCCGGAACGATGAGCAAGATCTCACTAGATCCAACAAGTACAAGCACTGGTTCCATTCCGGGCTCCATTCCAGATACCCTCACAGATGATGACTCATTACTGGTAACCAGCTTAGAGAGACAGTTTGTTGTGGGAGCCAGGGAAGTAAGTGGTTAGACTTAGGAAAAGAAGGAATTCTAAGCAGTAGAAACATAATTCCATGAAGCATTTCATTTTGGAAGAAACACAGGAAAGAACAATTTAGTGATATATAAATAAGAACACTGAAAATGTTCAAACTCAGATCTAATAATTCCATTTCTAAGAATTGATCCTTAGGAAATAATCCTAAAGACCAAAAAGGTTCAATCAATGAAGATTTTCATTAAAATGTTAGTTTAAATAAAAATCTATCTAAAATAGTACCCTCTCCATTTTCTCTCCCCTTGACTTGCTTTATTTTTCTGCATACCACTTATCACCCTATTACATTTAATTACATTATTAAATAGAATGTTATGGTATATTTGTTCACCTGTTTACTGTCTGTTTCCTCAAGTAGAATATAAGCTCAATTGGGGCAAGTATATTAATCTGTCTTGTTTACCAATATATCCTCAGTACCAATAAATATTTGTGGAAGGAAGGAAGAAAGGAAGAAATTATATGAAAATTAATAGTTGGCTGGGCATGGTGGCTCCTGCCTATAATCCCAGCACTTTGGGAGGCAGGATAGCTTGAGTTCAGGAGTTCAAGACCAGGCTGGGCAACATGGTGAAACACCATCTCTACAAAAAATACAAAAATTATCCGAGCATGGTGGCAAATGCCTCCCAGCTACTCGGGAGGCAGAAGCAGGAAGATCACTCGAGCATGGGATGTCGAGGCTGCAGTGAGCCATGATAGCATCATTTACTGCACTCCAGCCTGGGTGGAGTGCATAGGGAATGCATAAGGGAATGCTAAGGACATTATTTATTTTATATCCATTTGGTAACTTCAATTGTTAAAATGCTATTAATAATTAGAGCTTATACTACATGAAAATGTTCATGTATTCATGGTAAATTTTTTAAAAAGCAGACCAAATTATGCATATTGACCCATCACAGAAATATTTCTTTTAAAAAGCCCCCAAACAAACAAAAAGAGAGAGAATATTGTAAAACATTTATAGTGATTTTTTCTTTAGGTAATAAAAATGAGGTTAACTTTTATCCTTCATCCTTTTATTCCATATATTTTCCAAACTTTCCATAGTGAGCTTGGCATTTTTAAAATAGAAAAAAGAATAATAAAATCTTCACAACAACAAAGAAGTAATGCAGACAGGAACAGGCCTTAAATGTCAGGTTAAGGAGTGTATATGTGAAGTATGCATGTATCGAGCATTGGAAAGCTACTGTGGTTTTCAAGCAAAGCAATCATGGTAGCACGGTGATGTTATAGAAACAGACAAGGGATATGGAGGATGGGCTGGAGGGCAGTAGGACTGGAGACAGGGAGACTAGTAGGTACTGTGCTAGCCCATGTACAAAAGGATGGGCAGGAACTGAGATGAAAATAAAGAGCTAAAATGAAAAACACTGAAAATGCTCCACACACTTTGTTTTCCAGTTGAGAAGCTATCTTAGTTATTTCCTTTAATACTGTGAGATTTGGATGATAATTATCACCTCTGTCAGATTCCATGGGAGAAGAAAGAAAAACAAAATAGAAACTTCTTTCCAAAGCTGCAGATTCATCATAAGCTTTAGCAATGCCCCGAGAGGCATCCCTACAGGGGCAGCGTACACTATGACGTTGACAATTCTTCTGTTCTGTCACTCAGTAGGTCACTGTAGACAATTTATTACCATATACAATATATTACCTAACTCCTGTGAAACTTGGGGAAAGCTTCAGATAAAGGGAAATTTTCATCCTTACAGGAAAAATGGTAGGCTTTCTTTCTTGATTTGGAAATACAGATTCTGGAGTTTTGTGGTAACTGCTATTAACTGAAATGCCACTTCCTTCTTAGGAGTATCAGTATCTCCAAGTATTTTCCCATATTATGCACAACCCGTGTAACATTAAGAAATTCTTACAAAATACCCCTTGTTAAAACAGTTATATGCAGAAAACTATCCTTAAAAATACCTTTTAGCATCAGAATGGAAAGGCTACATATTCCTAAAGTCATTAGCAGAGACACTAATCCTATTCATTTCCTGAGTCACTAAACTGGCAGCTAACCCACATTACCATTCCCAGACAGGAAAGCTTGACAGCACAGGAACCATGAGTTGAATTACCTGTCCATTGTACAAAAGACTCATATGGCCAAAAGAATCTAAGACCAACTGGTCAGTTTTACAGAAAATAATACACAAGGAGTGACAGACGGGGGAAAGCCATGCAATAGATTTATGGCTTCACATACCTGGCATCAAGGAACCTTGATCTTAAAATCATAACTGCTTCACAAGTGCTTTGTTTGAGCTGCATCTGAATGGAACTAAATTTTCGATGGATGATGCCCACCATTCTTTCAATCTCTTTTGGAGAAATGGGACGTGTTCTACTCTGTTCTCGGAGAAGGTTCATCACATGTGTAGTAAATTCATTACATGCCTGTAATGGGAAAAAAAAATCACTCCTTTGGAAACTATCTACTATCACACGAAGACATTCACTCATCTGAATTTACACCTCATTTGCATTCACCAATAGCATTATACAGTGTGTAGGGTAAAATGAAAACTAAGACACTTGTAAAATGGTAGTAATAGTAGTTAAGGCAGCAAGAATTCTGAAACCGTGCATGGTCAGACGTGCAAGGAGACAGCATTCAACTACTCTTCCCACCCACCCCTGTCCAGTTCCAAAATGATGTTTTCCCATTCGAGGATGCTCCCTATCAATTCCCATATACAAGTAAAAATATATGTTAATTGTTAATACTAAGTACCACCTATTTTCTCTGGAGTTTTACATTTAATCAACAAATGCTTACTGAACAACTACAAAGTTCAAACTCTTGCCAGTGCTATAAGGAACACAGAAATGAGCAAGATGCAGGCCTGGCCTTTGGTGAGAAAAAATGTATAAAAAACTAATTCAGTGCAAAGACTAACAGGAAGATATTAAGTTCCAAGGAAGGAATATTTTCATCTGTAGGCTTCACGGATTGAGCTTTAAACAATAGGTAGCATCTTTGAAAGGTGGATAAAGATGGAAGTCAGGAGGAATTCCAGGTACTAGAAATAACAGTATGTTGCAAGTTCAGAGAATGGCAAATAGGAATACAGATAATATGTAAAGAAGCAAAAGGATTCAGGTTTGAATTAGCACATAAAGGGCCTTGCGTGCCAAGCATTCCAATGACCTATTATAATTTAGCTGTAGTGCAGGCCTTTAGTGGATATAAGCCATCTCTGTAAAGCAGCTCAACTCTTCAAGGGATGTCCAACAGAAAATAAGGATCAGATCTGGGTCTCAAACTTTTTAGTTAACAATCCTCAGGCCGGGCGCGGTGGCTCACGCCTGTAATCCCAGCACATTGGGAGGCTGAGGCGGGTGGATCACGAGGGCAGGAGATCGAGACCATCCTGGCTAACACAGTGAAACCCCATCTCTACTAAAAATACAAAAAATTAGCCCACCGTGGTGGCGGGTGCCTGTAGTCCCAGCTACTCGGGAGGCTGAGGCAGGAGAATGGCGTGAACCCAGGCGATGGAGCTTGCAGTGAGCCGAGATCGCGCCACTGCACTCCAGCCTGGGCAACAAAGCGAGATTCCAAGATTCTGTCTCAAAAAAAAAAAAAAAATCCTCAGACATTGTCTCTTTCAGTACATACACAAAAACACACACACACACACACACACACACACACATTTGTTTCCCCTAATATTCAGAGTCTCACTGTGTCACCCAGGCTAGAGTGCAGTGGTATGATCATAGTTCATTGCAGCCTCAAGCCCCTGGGCTCAAGCAATCCTCCCATCTCAGCTTCCCAAGTAGCTGTGACGACAGGCATGTGCCACCATACCCAGCTAATTTTTTATGTATTTTTTATTATTATTATTTTTTTTTGTAGAGACAGAGTCTTGCTCTGTCGCCCAGGATGGAGTGTTGGAGTGCAGTGGTGTGATCTCGGCTCACTGCAGCCTCCGCCTCCTGAGTTTAAGCAATTCTCCTGCCTCAGCCTCCCGAGTAGCTGGGACTACAGGTACACACCGCCACGCCCGGCTAATTTCTTTTGTATTTTAGTAGAGATGGGGTTTCACCATGTTGCCCAGGCTGATCTCAAACTCCTGAGTTCAGACAATCCACCTGCCTCAGCCTCCCGAAGTGCTAGGATTACAGGCATGAGCCACTGCGCCTGGCCCCCAGCTAATTTTTAAATCTTTTTTAGAGTCAGGGTCTTGCTATGTTGCCCAGACTTGTCTCAAACTCTTGGCCTAAAGAGATCCTCCCACCTCAGCCTCCTGAGCTGCTAGGATTACAGGTGTGTGCCACTGCATCCAACTTCATCTATATTCTCTTTGATTTATAAATCTGTATAACTGGGCCTACACTGAAATCCAGTACTGCCTGGTAAATAAAGCATCAGTTTATACTCCTGAAGAAAAAGAGTCTCTTCTGGCATTTTTCTTAAAAATGCAGGATGGGAAATTCTGCATCTTACTGCACGGGTGTCCCTGATGGAGTGAGAAGACAGAAAAATCACTGATCAATGCAAGACATGTTTGGAAGTTATAATAATGTCCACTTCCCTAGAGATATCCCAAACATTGCTCACATATAGCACATGATGGTTTTTCTAACTGCTCATTAGAGGACTAACCTTTCCTGAACCCTGTGTATTTCACTTACTCTAAAATTTTATAGAGCTTTCCATAAATATTTCTAAGGTAAGGTAAAATGAGTCTTATCATGTAAAGTTTTTTCAAAAATATGTTTTAAGCCATAGGAAATATTAAATTCCTTGTGAGTGGTGACACTATATTATACTTACGGGATTCTTCAGTGTAGAATTATGCAATATACATACCTAATAAACATCTACAGATTGGTGGGCTTTTTAATACTACAATTCAAGAGTGAGAGTTATGTTGGTTAATAGCCATAAATTCATTATCCCTGAATCATAAGAGAAGAATTCTTAATCTGCAGTCAATGGATAGGTTTAGAAGGTCAATGACCTCCTGAAATCCTACACAAGTTGTGTGCATATTAATAATTCTGATGAGAGAATCTGTGAAGCTTTTGTTTTCTTTTCAGAATCTCAGTCTATAATTTTAAAAGGTTAATAATCATTGTCCCAGGATATGACACAGTAAAACATTAAGCAATGTTGTAGACTAAAACCAGAAGTTGAAGGCAGAAACCAAGATTTAAAAAAATAAATTTAAGATCTTCCCCACTATATTATCAATTTATTTTATCTTATTACTATTTTTTTTGAGACGGAGTTTAGCTCTTGTTACCCAGGCTGTGGTGCAATGGCACGATCTTGGCTCACTGCAATCTCCGCCTCCCAAGTTCAAGCGATTCTCCTGCCTCAGCCTCCCAAGTAGCTGGGATTACAGGCGTGTGCCACCATGCCCGGGTAATTTTTTTTGTATTTTTAGTAGAGATGGGGTTTCACCATGTTGGTCAGGCTGGTCTCGAACTCCTGACCTCAAGTGATCTACCTGCCTCAGCCTCCCAAAGTGCTGGGATTATAGGCATGAGCCTGTAATAAATAGCACCTGGCCTATTATTTTGAGACAGTTTCATTCTGCTGCCCAGTCTGGAGTGCAGTGGCATGATCTTGGTTCACTGCAACCTCCGCCTTCTGAGTTTGAGTGATTCCCGTGCCTCAGCCTTCCAAGTAGCTGGGATTACAGGCATATGCCACTGCGCCCAGCTAATTTTTGTATTTTTAGTAGAGACAAGGTTTTACCATGTTGGCCAGGCTGGTCTCGAACTCCTGACCTCAAGTGATCCGCCCACCTTGGCCTCCCAAAGTGCTGGGATTACAGGCGTGAGCCACCATACCTGGCCTATATTATCAATTTAAATGATTTTATGCCAAATTAAAAACAAGTGGTCACCCTACCAATAAATATACGTATATATCTTTTTCTTGAACTTTCCCTAAGGAGATGTTTATATAATTTCCAAGTTATGTAATGTGACCAACTCTACCCTTCAGTTTTCTCATCAGTAAAACAAAGATAATTGAAGTAGAACTATTCCAAAACTGGGATTAACAAATTCTATAGTTCTACAGCTAGTTCCATAGAATGTTAACTAATAGTCCAACAATATGATATGTTTGGGAATTGCTGGGTTAACCAAAATCTTAAAAACTTTTTGTGGGTAAGACTCTTCAGTATTCCTATCCTAATATTTGTAATAAATCTTCAAGGAGAAATAGCATATCCAACTTTTTCCCAAATAAATTTGGCCACAAAATTTCTCTCTAGAGTAATCCTGTCCAATAGAAATACATTGTGAGCCACATATTAAATTTTTAAATTCTCAGTAGCCATATTAAAAAATAAAATACAAAGAATTAGGTGAAATTAATCAACAATATATTTCACTTAACCCAATATATAAAAAATATCCTGGCCTGGGCAACATGGTGAAACTCCGTCTCTACCAAAAATATAAAAAATTAGCTGGACATGGTGGCACGCCTGTGGTCCCAGCTACTTGGGAGGCTGAGGTAGGAGGATCACTTGAGCCCAGGAGGCAGAGGCTGCAGTGAGCTGAGATTGTGCCACTGCATCCAGCCTGGGTGACAGAGTGAGAGAAAGAAAAGAAAGAAAATTAAGAAAGAAAGAAACAAAGAAAGACAAAAAAACTGTTAATGAGGTATTTCATTCCTTTTTTGTACTCTTTGAAATCTAGTGTGTATTTTACATTGACAGCACATCTCAGTTCAGACTAGTCAGACTTCAAGTGCTCATTAGATACAAGTGGCTAGTGGCTGCCATATTCAACAGCACAGCTCTACGGCATCTTGTGGACCAATATGCTAGGAAAAACTCTTCGGGAAACGCTATGCTAGGTAATCTTTGATATATTTTAAAATTTTTCACCACCATACATTCACACAAACACAATAAAAGCCCATTTGACTTAGGAATGTCCTTGATGAAGCAATATCAATTATTCATCTTATTACATATCAACCTTTGAGTATGTCTTTAATATTGCGTGTGTCAAATGGGAAGCACACAAAAAAGCACTTGTATTTGCACATTGAAGGAGGACTGTCTTGAGAAAGAGCACTTTTATGGTTAAGTAATGAGCAGAAGTCACTTTCTTCATGGAACATCATTTTTACTTGAAAACAAATATGATAAATTATGATTATATGGAGTTGGGTATTTGGCAGATGTTCTCTCAGAAATGAAACAAGTAAGCCTTCCATGCCAAGGAAAACAGCTGACAGAATTATGCCAATTAAAAAATTTGAGTTTTCAAGTGAAAATCAGAATTTTGAAAAACTTGCATCCACCATTGTAAGCTTAACAGTTTCCCAGTAGACTTTCTGATGAGTTCAGAGTTGATATCCATAAATACGATATTTTGATATTATATAATGAAATGTGTCAAAATTTGGAAGATATGCATAATTCAGTAAACCTGTACTTTCCAAATTATCAACGCATGATGTTACAAAAGCACACATAGGTACAAGAGCCATTCAAAGTGAAAACCAGACCAGTGATCTTAAATAAACAGAGTACAAAAAGTTAACTGACACGGTTTCAGGCTTCTCATTGCAACATACCTTTACAAAACTATAACTTGTCAAGTTTTGGTGTAATATCAAAAAATAGTATTCACAATTATCTGAAAAGGCTATTAACGTCTTCTCTTTTGCAATGACATATCTGTGTGAGGTCAAATGCTTTTCATATATTTCAACCATATGACAACAGTTGACTGTAGAAGCAGATATGAGACTCAAGCTGACTTCTGTCAAGCCCATAGTGAGTTTGCAAAAATGAAAAAGTAAGGCCATTCTTCTCACTAAATTTTAAGGTTTTTTGTTTTTAAAAAAAGTTATTTAGGTTAACATATAATAGCTTGTTGTTATTTTTAAATTAATTAGGGCTGGCCATGGTGGCTCATGCCTATAATTCTAGTACTTTGTGGGGGCGAAGTGGGAGTACTGCTTGAGCCCAGGAGTTCAAGACCAGCCTGGGCAACACAGCAAGATCTCATCTCTATAATAAACAAATTTAAAAATTAAGCCGGGCATGGTAGCACACACCTGTGGTCCCAGCTACTAGGGGGGTTGGGGCAGGAGGATCACTTGAGCCCAGAAGATCAAGGCTGAAGTCAGCTATGATCATATCACTACACTCTAGCCTGAGCGACAGAGTGAGAATTTGTCTCTAAAATAAAACAAAATAGGCTGGGTGCAGTGGTTCACACCTGTAATCCCAGCCCTTCAAGAGGCCGAGGCAGGAGGAATGTTTGAGCCCAGGAGTACAAGACCAGCCTGGGCAACAGTGAGACCCCATCTCTACAGGAAATTATTAAAAATTAGCTGGGCACAATGATGCACACCTGTGGTCCCAGCTACTCAGGAGGCTGAGGTAGGAGAATCACTTGAGCCCAGGAGGTCGAGGCTTCAGTGAGCCATGTTCGCCCCACTGTACTCCAGCCTGGGTGACACAGCAAGACCCTGTCTCAAAAAATAAATAAAATAATTAGTAAATACTTTAAATTTTTCTAGTTTTAATTTCTATTATAATAAATATTTATAGACGTAAGCCACCAACCCAAACGCTTTTACGAAGTCTCCAATAATTGTTAAGAGTCTAAGTCCTAAGACTGAAAAGTTTGAAAACTGCTGTACCAGAGTATGGAAGCGTTTCTAATGCCACGTAACACTGTTAATTCCAACAAACCTAGCTCACTCATTATGGTAACATACATCTATGACACGGCATATATCTTAACAAATAATTCAAGACTTCTATGTGAATGACACCTGAGATATTAGCTGTCTTAGTTTTTGTCTAGCTGGGTTTTAACCTCTCCAGAATGAGTGTTTGTCTATGGATTCTAAAGAGCAGCCAAAGACTTATATAAGAAAAAAGGGTTAAAAGCAAAAAAGTGTCTGCATCTAAAAACTCATAATTTGCTAAAACATTTGCTGAATGTCTCACAACTTATTAAGTGAAGCCATCTATGAATGCAAATGCTGATGAGCAATTTGGCAATAGCCCAACATTCACAGAATTCACATAGCTTTTCTTTAAACCAGTAGTTCATACATGATTAATTAGAACAACTCATTTATGTAGTGTGCACTTTAGCTCATTACTCTAAGTAAAATTCGTTAACTATTTACATTTAGATAATTAAAATCTGGGTACACCCTTAAGAAAGATGCATACACTTAAAGCAAAGTGATTTTTTTCCTTTATCCCAGTGAAAGTAAATTACAGCCTCATTTCAGCATCATCTGTACCAGGTTCAGAGCAGAGCACAGTACTGTCTCATCACCTAGCTCCTTAAAAGGCATACATTTTTTAAACATATAAACACAGTAAGAATGATCAAATGATTGCAGTTGTTTGGAAGGGCCACCCAACCACATATTAACATTGATGCTATTTATAATATAGAATGCTCACTTCAAACATTTATCATATCTTACTTCATGTCTATAAGATATATTAAAATAGACATTTGGAGAAATTTTTCCTTGCCTTGTGTTTTCCAAGTGAAACTGTCAGTTACAAGCTTTCTGGTTAATGTCCATAATATAAATACAGATATACTGTGGTTAATTGCAATATTTGGGAAATAAAAGTATGCCTTGAATTTTCTGATTAGAAGTACTGGCAGAAGCCTTTTTCTTTTAATCCAGCTGTTGAAAACTACCTAGGATGCATTTTTGTTTATGTGTTTAAAACACACACTGCAATAACAGTTAACATAAGGCATGGAAGATTTCATCTGTTAAAACCATTTTCAATCAATTTTTATTATGAGTCTTTGTCTTTCCCATTTTTTCCTTTCTCCTTAAAAATCCAAACCAAGTAATAATTGAGGATTTAAAATATTTGGATTCTCAATAACTTTTTAATGATATTTTTGGCTGGCAAAACTGTCTCCTCAATATCTGTACATATTTGGTTTACACAGAAAATTAAAGTTTTCGGTGTTTTCTTTATTTTGTGGTGGGGCTTTTTTCATTGTGGATTCAAGATTCAACCTCGTTTTTGCCTTTAAGTTTATATTGTGGAAGTAAAACTGCAAAGTAGACAGTGGGCAAGCACTGATTTTGGGGGAAGTTTTATAATGATCAGTGATCAGATCTAAAAACTGAATTGGTCTTTTGTAACCATCAAGAAAAGCTAACTGTAAACAGATCATAATATTCTAAAGCCCACTTTTGACAAGAAAGAATAAATATCTTTTAAAAAGTAGATGCCCCTCAAATTTGTACTGCAACTATTTTCCAAATGTCTCGCCAGCCTCACAAGTAACTCTAGTCGAATACGGTAGATTTTGTATTTACTGAATGCTTATTAAATCAACAAATTTTTCTTGTTTTGGGATAAAAGTCTGCATTTAAAGATTCTAAGCCAACTAGAATGAGACCAATATGCCTAAGGAACAACCACAAAGATGAAATAGCTGTTGTACCTCAACACTTCTTACCTAATTACATGGTTTAGGGACCTATCTCATGAGGGTTTTATAAGGATTATATTATATAATGTATGTTAAGTTCTTTGCACAGAGTCTGCAGCATAATTAATACTCAGTAAATGACAGTTATTACTGATGACAATGAAAATGGTAATTTTATGAAATTCATACTATTTTTATGTCATTACTCTGCAAGCAAGTCCACACTTTATCTAATATAGTTCTGCCTTCTCATTGCCTGAATAAGTACAAAAACTGCTTCCAAAGAAGTTGAAAAAAAAAGAGTATTCAAATGTATTAAATAAAACAAATAATTTTATTAATCGAGCTTGTGGTCATAAATACAATTGGTACATAGAGCCAATAAACTAGTAACTCGAAGGAAAAAAAGGGAACAAACCAAACCCTCCTTCCAGGCAAGGAAAAGTCCAGGCATGAAAGCCAACAAGAAATAAAACTCTTCCCTTGGAACAATGAATGACAAATCCTTGCTTTGAAACATGAAATCAGGTAGTATCCTTTTGTCTGTCCTGCTTAACCATTAAGAAGAAATAGCAAAATGGAATTAGGAGTTTACAGGCTGCACAATCTCTAATGTGAAAACATCAGCATTTTTTAATCTGATAAAAATAAAATCCTTTACAAGCAAAAGCTATTTTGCCAGCAAACCTAAGCACATAATGTAGAGACCTCAAAAAGCACAAGGATATGCTTTTACAGTAGTTTAAATTTTCACCCATTCTCCATTCCCCCTGCAATCTGTAAGTCCTCTGGTAGCCAAACGCTACCTGATTGGTCCTGAGCACATTCAGTGTATTCCTTGGTTCCAGTGCTTTGCCTGATTTGGGGTGAGTTCAAATGACATCTGCGAACTCAGAAAGCAGGTTCCCAGATGCTTGGGAAGGGTTGGGACCCTTACAACACTTTTGCCTTCAGCAAAAAATGTATTTCAATATAATTATAGTAGATAGCTTTCAATATGTCATCTCTATTATAGCAGCTGTAAATTATGAGTGAATTGCCTGTGTACACGCATTTCTTCTGGCACAAGCAAAGTGGGAGAGCTGCACAGAGCATTATATATCTTTTCCTTTTTAACTGAGAACAAATGTTGAAGTCAAATTTCATTTGCAAAAGCCAATGTGTCCATTTCCTTTTGGTAGGGTGGTGGAGGAACCAAGAAAGACCAGCTCAATAGGAGGCCTTTACTTCTTAAAAATAAGGCTTCCCAGGAACCTTGGCTTAAGTTCTAGGAACTCACCTATTCTAACAGTGGTCCTTTAACCATAAGAAAGTATTTGCAAGGTACAGTAAAGGCATTTTTCAAAAGTTGTAGCTAATCAACAATAAGACAGAGAAGCAACTAGATTTGTCTCTTAGCTAAAAAGCGAGGCAATGTACCCAAGACGAAGTACTATAAGACAGTTTGCCGCAAGTTTTGGAAAATTATCATATTCCTGCTGGGTGTCAGAATCAACAAGAAGAAAATAAAATAGTTTTGTTTCCTTTTGGGTGGCAGTAATATTCAAGAACCTTACCCTAATATACATCCCATGCCTAATATTTCAAAAGTGTTTATAAGTGAATTTTTAGATGGTTATCATCAAGAATCATTAAATCTGAGCCTATGTAATAGAGACATATGATAAAAGAACAATTTTCTGGAGGGAAAAAAGACAGGATTTTAAAGACAATACCATCTCTAAAACATACACATAAAACTGAGCCTTGCAGCTTGGATTTAATTTTGCTCAAACTGTAGCTCTAGTCTGTCTGCTTAGCTTTGTAAATGTGGCTGTGCTTATAAGGTACTTTAATTTACTGCAGTGGTGATGTTTGTTAGTTTTATGGCAATCTAAATCTAAACAGTCTTCAGATACACTTTCATTACAGCTTCATTGTGAAACACAGTAGAGTGAATAACTCTAAGATTCTAATGTAGTTTATTTCTAAAAGACTCAACACAATTTTCTGTTGAAGCCTTTGCCTTAACATATATGTTCTTCCTATTTACTATTAAGCTTTCTGTCACTCAGAGTACCCATGTTCACTTTTAGGAGGAAAAATATAATTTCTGGAAAGTGTAAAATAGTTGTTTTTGGCCAGGCGCGGTGGCTCACACCTGTAATCCCGGCCCTTTGGGAGGCCAAGGCAGGTGGATCATGAGGTCAGGAGTTCAAGACCAGCCTGGCCAAGATAGTGAAACCCCGTCTCTACCAAAAATACAAAAAAAAAAAAAAAAAAAAAAATTAGACGGGCATGATGGCAGACGCCTGTAATCCCAGGAGAATTGCTTGAACCTGGGAAGCGGAGGTCGCAGTGAGCCGAGATTGCACCACTGCACTCCAGCCTGCGTGACAGAGTGAGATTCTGTCTTAAAAAAAAAAAAAAGTTAAAAAGTTGTTTTTCCATCTGCTCTATTCCCATTTCAAATGCAATCCAACATGGGAAAATCAGAGAAAACCAGAACGTACCTGAATTATTTTCCAGTTCTACATGGGTACCAGCACAATTCAATGAAAAAGGAAGACATTTTCAGAAACTGATTTCAACGTCTGATTCTGACACTAACTAGATGTGCGACATTGGACAAATCACTTACCCTCTCTGAGTCTCATTTTCTCCTCTATAAAATGGAAATTACAATACTATCTATTTCAGAAATCCTATCCCTTCTTAGCTCTGCCTAGTCCTTCTTGTAACGCCAAAGCATGTCTCTGAAAGGACCATCCAGATAAAGCCCTTGTACCCTAAAGAACTGAAAGGAAAAGTTGACTGTTTTGGGTCAAAATGCACCGATCCTAATAACTTTGGAGAACTACAGTCACAAGAGCTATAAAAGCCAGCCCCAAAGACAACTTAAAAGAATTAAGTGCTGCTACATCACTTCTAAAACAATTCCAAACCTACAGGAGAAAATGTGTAAATTAAAATTCTGCTGAATCTGCCAACTAGTCTTCATACCCCATCTATTCATTTGTCCCTACTGTACAGATTTTATATATCTATATTTTTCCATCTGAAAGTATTAAAATGAAAAAGGAACTATATATTTAGATCGTTATTAGGCTACTGATTATATCCACAAATAATTCATGAATATATTTTTAAACTCAGTGCTTCCCAATTTGATCTTCAATTTAAAAAAACAAACAAACAAAAAGAGATAAATGTATGAAGAACATGCATATACATGTATATTTTAAAAGCCAAAAACAAAACAAAACAATAAAAAAAAACCCTGGTGATTTGATGCTGGTATAAGCTGGGGCTAAAGTTACATAAAATCTCATGGAAAATTTTGTAGGATATTTCTAAAACAGTGAGACTCAGGACCTTGTCATTGACTGACACCAGCTTCACACAACTTCCACCAGAGTGTATGGAGAAAGTAAGGAGGCAGGTGTAAAGACACATGGCAAGAGGTAGTAAGGAATCACCTTAATTCCTCAGCCAAAAAACTCAGGCCATTTGGCCTCTAATATTATATCTCTTTCCATGCAAGGTGACTGGTAGTGTTTATCTAGTAAGTAGTTATAGTTATTTTAGCATAAAGTTATACAATTAGGATTATACTACAAATAAGAGTCATTTTCTACTGTTTATGCTCAGGGGCAACCTTTTCAACCATGACTTATTTTGTTTACTCTCAATTATTCATATGTCAAATCAGAAAGTGGGATTTTTACATACATACACACGATAATTTTTCCAAAATTCTTATTTGTACATTTTCCACAAGAAGTTATTCTTACAAATGAGACTAGACATACAATTTTAGATCTCAGAAAATCCTATTCCAAAAATAGAAAACACCTTATAATATTAATTTACACTACTTTTTAACTTAAAGCTATACAAATTTTTCTACTCTTCCTCAAAACACACTCACCTCTGGGATAGGATTCAGCATTTGCTTAATACCATTGTATCCAGAATATTAGAAAAGGCAATGTGAAAAAACAACGATATATATAATTGAAACTATACAGGGAATGTAGAGGGGAAAAAATCAGTATTAAAACTGATCAGGGGTTGCCAGGGATCAGTGGGAAGGAAAGAATAAAAGAAGAGAGGGATGAATAGCACAGAGGATCTTTAGGGCAGTGAAAATACTCTGCATGACCCTATAATGATGGGTACATGCCATCATAAATTTATCCAAATCCATAGAGTGCACAATACCAAGAGTGAACCCTAATGTAAACTATGGATTTTGGGTGATAATGATGTGTCAATGTAGGTTAATCAATTTTAACAAATGAACCCCTCTGGTGGGGGATGCTGATAATGGGAGAGACTATGCATGTGTGGGGACAGGAGGTATATGTGATATCTCTCTTCTTTCCTCTCAAATTGGTCTGTGAACTTAAAACTCCTCTTTAAAAGAGTCTTTAAAATACACACAAACACACACAAAACTCACCAGGACTCCCATTTCACACTAAAGTGTGTGGACTTTAAAAAGTACTTGCCTACATAGTGAAATACTCATGGGTGAAATTATAGGATGTCTAAGACTTGCTTTAAAATACTCTTACCAAATTGGGGCTGGGTACACAAAATAAGAGTGGCAAAATGTTGATAACTGTTTATCTGGGTAAAAAGTATCTAGCTGATTCTGATTCCTTATTTGGGGTTGAACTCTATGAAATTACCATATTCAACTGTTTTTGGCCTCAAAACTTAGCAATTTCATAGGGTTCAATCTAATACTATTCTCATTATTTTTGTGTACATGTATTATAAAATGTTTCATAATACGTTTTTAAAATTACCTTCCAAATGACAAATCTTATCAAATGAGAATTCCTCAAACTTGGCAGCTTTTCAGCATTAAACTAACAACTAAAATATATGTAAAAAGACCCACCAATATTTTACTTTATTACATTAAATCTAAGACTCTCTTGTTTTTCTCCACATTTTAACATCTCTGAAATGTGAAAGCATTTTATAATCAGTAATATTTTATAGTTAAACTAGCAGTATTAATTTTTTCTTGGTGTTACATAAAGATGCAACTTAAAGTTATCTGAGATTCAGTATGGTTAATATAATTGCTGAGAACCAGATTTTTAACCCATATTCTCTTTCTAATAAGGAATTTAGCACATAATGCCTTGCCTAGCATTCCCTGTCCTGGGGTACCCATAATTATCTTGGGAGGTCTCATACTCAGAGAAACAGGCCGGAACCTGCTTACTTGGTGAAGTTCCCTATAGTCTGGCACAATCCATAAGAATTAATTCCCAGGAGGATTCTGGAGCTCACAGCATAGGAGGGAAAAGCTCACTGTGCAATGCTTCCCTTCAAAAGTGATTAAAGCTTATGAACAAGGCTAGTGCATAAATGTTAATTATACAGAGCTTTGAAGAGCACCAAGTGGTGAGGTGAGAGGGAAGAATGACTGCAGGTGTGGTAATAAGGGCACGTGAATGTGCGGAATGAATAAAACTAAAACAAGTAGATGGGATAAAATAGGTAGCGCTCCTCCTCCAAAATCTCAAAGGGTCTTCCTTTCATGAATCCAACAATTCACTTGGATTTTTGCACTGACCTTATTTATTTTGTAATTTGTGTTAACACCTACCCCTCACAGCCCTCAGAATTGGTTAGCATGGTCTAATAGAAGAGCAACAGAGGGTTTGTGTAGGACTATGAGAGTGGCGGCTGCTGACCTGTTCATATTTCTCCAGTTCTGTGTGATAGATTTGTCTGATCTGGGTCAATTTGGCTCTGTAATCTGAGTGTTCAATAGAGTTATCTGAAGAACCTCCAGAGGCTGCCGCGGCTGCAGCTGCTGCCGCCGATCCCCCACCTTTCTCAGGACCTGAAACCCCTTCTGCCAAAAGCATATTGTCCAGTCTCATTAGCTGGGGATCGGGAGGGTCCTCCTCCTGGGCTCCTCTGATGCTGAGACCTTCAAGGAAAGAGAGAGAGAGACAGAGAGAGAAGAAGCGAGAAACAGAGGACAAATAGTGTGAGTATTTTGTTTATTCGAGAAAATGATCAAACAACATCAGTGTACTACAATTCATGCTGAGAACTTCATTGTTCACATTTGATCGGTAAGTTTGAATAAGTATGAAAATTATTTTTAAGATAGTGTTTACATGCACCCTAGAATTTTAAATACCCCCCCACCGCCTCAATTTACCACAGACTAGATCCTTAGAAAAAGGTAACCCTGGCTTCCTGGAATATTTTAATCATTCAAGCTTCCCAGATTTAGATAATTTAAGCATAAAATGGGAAGAGGGTAAAAAATTGAATGTTTTAAGAAAGAAAGAAAATAATTACAGGGATATAAAACAACTCATCCAAAGGTGGTTATTCTGTCTCTCTCTGTACAGTTGGAGAAACAGAATTAAAATTCCCATAAAATAGTTAATTCACAAGCTGTAATCAAAAATTGAAAAATAAACAACATTAGATGAGCTTTTCCATCGTGTGATTTCAGAAGAGGAATACACACATTATGAGGTAACTGGCTATACTTAAATATATATATATTATTAAATGAATATTGTTAAGCAATTGCCAGCAAACTATAAAACGAGGATACTAAATACAGTATTAAAAATGTGCCATTGACATGGCAATACAGTGCTGGGCACAGTAGTCTCAATCTAATTTTGCTTTTAAATCAAGAACTTCCTAAGTGATGCCCAGTCAGCAACCTCTTCTGAGTACTATAGATCATAGCTGACAATTCATAGGTTTAATCAGGTCACACAGGCTTTCTGCCAAAATGTTTTCAACAACACAGAAGACAAAGTTTTAAAATAATTATCATGGTATAAAAAGCATTGGAGTCATGACAGCTCAAAATCAGCATTTTCATTAATGTGTAACATAATCTAAAACATCCCAGCCCAATTAACCTCTGTAAATCTGCTTCAAAGCAGGTTCCCTACACTAGTTACAAGGCTTCTTGGGGAAGAGGGGAAAAGGAAGTTGGCACCTTGCTTGTTTGTATTTGGATTCTCTTTTGAGTCTGTGCCTGTTGTTGTTTATCCACAGTGGTACACACTTTGTGTCTAGTGTAACTTACATGACATAACATCTATAAGCTGCCAAGTACTCAACTGATCACCAACTCTGATTTTATATGCTAACCTAAAGCTACCGTCAATTCTTTTAAGAACAGATTTCATTCCTAGATGCCCTGAATTACATCCATGGCATGACAGAGCTCTTGGTTGCCTTAACACAAATGCAAAACTTTAATTTCTTCCCCAAAACACTTTAAAGCTGTCACTTTCATTTAAAATTATACTTCAGAATAATTTCAACTGGATAATAAAACTAACTCACCATAATTTAAAATTTTATCTGTTGTCTATTCAGAGGCAAATAAGGTTTGAAAACTATAATATACTAAGACAATATATTCATTTAGGAGAGCAAAAAGATAACTCATAAAATGCGTACCAACACACTGCTGATAATTAAAAATAGGCAAACGTATTTGCTGTTTCTTCTATAACTAAAAGGGACTGCCTAATATTGTTCTAGAACTGCCATGTATTGGTTAAGTTTGCATTTTTAATTTAAATCTTTAATTTTCCTCTCTTTTAATTCACTGTGTTAAATGTTAAAAATCTCACGACCTGTACATGCTTGTAGTTCACATAGCAAGTTTTTTGTGCATTTGGCATGCAATGAGAGCTTACTGAGCAATCTCTTATGCTGCACTTTGAATTGTTTAATTTTTTATTCTTGTTTGAGGACTTCTCAAGTTTCTCCATTTTCAACTGAATTTTTGCCCACAGTTTTGTGTGTTTGTTGATTTTTGTATTTACATAGACACTGGTGCCTCTCCTGAAATGTGTTTTTTTAATCTACCTTCAAGTTTCCTCCGGGTTTCTAGTTTTCCCCTTGTAGTTAAACACATTAATCTTTTCCCTATGGACATGTGGTGAAGTACTTTAATAGCAGATTAACTTCCATACCCAAAATGATTACACTTCCCTGCACATGTACGGCAAACAAGAGAAGAAGCTCAATGACAAACATACAAGGAAGTACACCATAAGAGAGACAGAAGGAAATTCATTAGGAACAAATGCAAAAGGCACAAAACTAATTAGCCATCTATGATACTTTTATACATATGTATATAAATACGTATATAAACCATCATTATTGTACCAATAAGAAGCAATCCATAAGCTCAAAAGCCGTGGACACAAATAAAAACAATTATAAGTATACAGTATCAATTACTATAACGTTTTACTCTTATAATGAAAAAATATCTTATTTCTAAAATTATCAGTAAATCAACACTAAGTGCTTGCCTCAAGAACAGGAAAATATGTTTTAATGCAATCCTTTGTATTTACTTTATAAATTATGTGCATCAAATTTCATCAGAAAAATCATTTCCTGACGGAAAACTCATAGTTCTTTAGATGAAAAGTACTAAAGTACTTTGCAAATAGGCAACAAGAAGAAGACTATCAATAATAAAGGAATTTTCATAACTAGTCTGAAAAGTGAATCGGTTTCTTTTCTTTATTAAGCAAAGTAATGATTATGGGATCTTTAAATACTAATACCTGGTTTCCAAAATTACTTTCAATTTGAATATTTCTATTTATTTTCTTACTTAAAAACATTTAGTTACCATTTTATTCCTCATCCTACCTACCTAGCCACTCACTATTACTTAGTTTACTAACTTTCTAGAGTTACACTGGCTTTTAGTCATAATACCTACTCCTCTGGGCACCTATAAACATTTTAATGGGTCTAAATTTGCAAGGGCCAGAATGAATCAGACTGTGTGGTTATCAAAATATCTTGATATCTTCAAATTGAAACATGGTAAAACAATCATTTAAAATTTGATTGTACTTGTTTTTAATCCAAAATGTATGTATAATGAAACATACAGAGGTTTATAAAGGTTTACATCTAGGTTCTTTGGTCATCACAACATTATAAAGTTTAAAAAATAAACCCTATTTGCAATCTACTTATAATCACAACATTCATTTCCGTATCCCTAAGATTTAGACAAATCATACAAACACAGTAAAACATTGTTTAACAATGAACTTGGCTTTGTTATAAGCCTACAGTTTTTGCATATCTTTCAGCAAATCCTAATTAGCTGTCTTTCAACATGCTGTGCACCTGCCCCACAGATAATGGGAGAGAGCATCTGCATAGACGACTGCATTTGGAGGGCAATAAATAAATTACGGGTCAAAATTATTACAAAGCTTTCTCCGAATAAACGCATACCCTTCACAATTCTAAGCTGCAGATGTGAAAAGTACCTAAAGCCCACTCAAATGGTATGATTACGGGGCTGTTTGAGTTTAATAATCTGACTGTAATTCAGGCATTTTCAACAGCTCATTAAGGGTTCATTAATATATAGGCAAGCTTTTGAATTATAAATAAGCAGATTAGAAATCTGCATTGGCTAGATTGTACAGTAGGAGCCTTTCTAACAGAAGAACACTGTAACACAATGAAGGCTTGACCTGAGTGAATGAGGTGCAAACAACACAGTGCACTAACTAAGCTTTGTGGCTCCCTCATTTCAAGGACCAAGCCCACTGGACCATGACTAACCTCTGTTCATCCAGCACTGAAGAGTATGGCTTCAGACCATAGCTATTTCAAATATGTTCTACACGTGGTCCTGAATTAGACGTAACTAAGATCTAGCCCTACAATATTTCCATAATCAGGGAAGATAGATAATATCCATAATAATGATAAAAGTTGTCATCACATCACTTTTACTTAGTAAAGAGTACATTATTCAGACCTGCTGAGAAACAAAAAGCTATTATGGAAACTTGAGTTGTTTGATTTTTTTTTCTCCTAATGAGCATACCATAAATTTAGGCCCCAAATTATTCATAAGCTTAGGCCTACGACGTCGCTGTAATTTTGTTTTCTGATGGACTTGTTTTTTGATTCATTCAACTACCACACCACAGTCTTAGCTCAGAGAAAAATGTTTTAGCAGAGTGCCATGTAAAACAAGGCCAGATGAGATATTTTCAGCAGGCCCTGAATTCTTGACTGCTTTGAAATAAGCGACAATTTTAATATTAATGTTTTCTGTTATTCTTATAATTTTTCATAGCTTTTCTTTTGTGTCTGTTATTTTAAAGTAACATGCAGGATAGTGGTCAGAAGTCACAAAGCTAATTAGTAAAAATACCTACTTTATTTTCTGTGCTTTCTTCATTTAAAAATCAAGTCAGCCACAGTTTGAGAAGTGTAACCCAAACTATAGATGAAGAAGAAAGATTAAGACAGACGTGTTGCTACTTTTCTCCCCAAACATAAAAAAGGTAAAATAATTTTCTATCTGAAATCCTTAAGTAAGATGCAGTCAAAATAGGAGGCAGGACATCTGGAAATGAAATGAAGGTCACAAGCCCCATGGTCATGAGATCTCATTTGAAACAATTACTTTTGGTTGTGAAAACTGGGATATAATTTGGAAACAGTGGTGAAAGACACTGAAAAACCCTCAAGGCATCACTGTCTAAACTAAAGTATTTGGGGTTGGGAGGGTAAGGTTCTCAGTTAAACAGTGGGTGGACTAGAGAGTGGGCTAAGAAGCCAAGTCCAGGAAAGGCAGACCCTTAAGTAAGGACTGACTGAAAATGAAAAAAAGGCCAACAGAATGATATCAACACTTCCAGAGAAAGATCTGGAATATTTGCACCTGAATTTCACACTCTCCTCCTTAGGTCTAAAGATGAAGCTTGTAATGAAAGAAATAGTCATGTTATTTTGTAGACATCAATAGAAAACAACTGTAAAATAACCAATTTTTAAAAGATTATGAGGAAATGGCAGGTGATCTAGTTGCCCATCACAACTCATGGCCCCAAAGCCCATCCCACTCCAGCTCCAAATCTCCTTTTAAGCCAATGTTAGTGTCTAATCCACTGAATATGGCAGTCATATTACAAGCTAATGTCACTTTCACTCCTATTTAAGGTGACTGTGTGGTGTGTGCACGTTTTTCATGTCAGGTATATTAAATATAACACGGCAATGCACTGCACATTTCCACGCCAACCTAGTTGTCACTTTCGCTTGACTCATTCTCTATTGAGGAAAAATGCAGCACTGGGAATTTACAAGGCTTTTCAGTTAAATGGACATAAATCACAGGTTTCATTCAAACCGAATAATCACTGGCCATAAAGAGCTACTTGTCTCTTACCATATATTACAGTGAAGTTCCTGTGAGCAATAATGCAGCCATTCATGGCAAAGAAAAACAGAGCGAGACATTAAGAACTGACATGTAATCCTGTTAGGGCCCTGACGTGGAGAGGGTGGCTGACATTTTTATCATATATGTCCATTTCTATTTGGAAAATCAGAGGAATAAAAATGATTACTTCACTGCCCAAATCTACCTTCCTAAAACAGCCCACTGAGATTTGTTTACATGCTGTGAAACTGCTTACTAGAAATTCATAAATCTAAGATTTTGAAGCATTTCCCCTGATGGTTAAATTGAAGATATGACTAGAAAGATTCCCCATAATGCTTCTCCACACCTCCATTTCCTTCACTTTCAACACATAAACTGTCAATCCATCGCTTTATTACATTTCACCTTCATTATAAAGCTGTTGGCAGAATGCCTATTTCTAACATACAGCACTGATAACTTTTCTCCAAGCACTTGCTGCAAAACCTTCTCACTCAAGAAGGCAGGCAGCTAATGACCTTTATTAGGGGTTCGATGGAAAGCAGCTAGATGCTATAATGACATTATTAGTATCTTGGTCTGTACAGGTACTAGACTCCTGGGCAGGACCGAGTTATTTTCTTGCAGTCCCACAGATGTACTTTAAATGAGAAGAGGAAAACCATTTAAAGGCATTTCTTGAATCACCAGTGTTTTTCTATGACAGTGTAATTCCCTAGGCTATGACTCTGACGTTTCTTCACGTTCCTAGCAATGCAAATGGCAACATAGAGAACACTTATGGATCACTTCTTCTCCCTGCTACACTGCCAACCCCAGCAATATCACAAGTTCACATGATTTATTTTACCAGAAATAGTAGAATACTTTACGCAGAAGAGCCAAGCCTGAAATAATGATTCAAGCTAAACATTTGCTGCTTGGAGCCATCAAAAAAGTATTGATTATACTTACTGTATTTACCCAGTAGTTCATTTATTTGAAAACATTTATTACATTCCTTGCTACCACAGGAAGGTGTGTTCATTCTGTGGGAAAAGACTTCTTAAAAATCCTTCAGTTTCATTATATTTTCTCTTTGCTCTTCAAACCTATTTTAGCCAACTGTTTACAGAAAAATCTGAAAGTACTGTTGGCTGGCAAAGGCAAATTTTGAAGACTTTCCACTTGCCAATTAGATCCTGCCTCAAGAGACAAGAAAAAGGAGTGAGCCTTGTCACTGTGAAGTGAAGAGCAGCCAAGATGAAGGAGCAGATGGACTGTGCAATAAAAATGCGGAAAGAAGAGTTACATTTTTAAGGCACTTTTTTGTTAAATGGAGCTGCATCTTGTTGGAGCGCTTGATATATAAGCACTGTCAGCTACACAAGAAGAGAACAGGGCTAGGGCAAGATATGAAGTATGCTATGCTTGCATGAGACAGTGAAAAAAGGATGAAGGAAAAAACGGGCCATGTTTCTCACACATATTAGCACAAAGGGTTACCTGTGCTCTGCTCCTAAAGGAAATTATTACAAGTAGTGGGAAAAAAGGAAACGGCCATTTTCTTTTTATCCAAAGGGATAGATGTTCAAACAAAACGCTCTATTGAAGAAATTTTTAGGACTGGTAAATATGACAACTAAATTTGAAAAGAAAAAAAACAGCACTATTTAAAGGGAAAGCAATGAGCTTCAGAATCTAAGTCGGGGGAAAGAATTAAAACCCTGGCTTTAATCCCTATGGGTCTTTGTGACCCCAGCTACTCTATGTGTTTATCAGTGACCTAATGATCTAATGGTGCTGATGATATTCTTTAAATTTTACCACATGCCTGGGATCTCACCAGAAAATGCTAGAAGTCTACATCTGGACTTCCATAGAAACCAATGACTCCTCTTCTATTATTAATACTCATATTATTAAGAGTGCATCTCCAGGACTCTTCAGCATTTGTTTACACAAACCATGCAATCCTTGTGTTCCCCCATTCCCACATTCTGCTCCCTTGCCTTTTCTCCCTGAAGAATGAGATCGCCATAGCACTTCCATTTCCTGTCTTGTCAGTTAAGATCACTGCCATGCTGTGAATGGGATAACACTACACTGTGCGCCTGCTCCCTCTAACACTGAGGGCATCGTGTGTGCCTCTCCACACAGCTGCTTCCCTCACTGCTCTATTTTCTGGAAGACCGATCTTCCAGACTTCAATAAGTTCCTCCCAGACCCAGTTCACAATACAAGATGTTTCTGCCAAAAAGCAAATGTTTTCTGTCTTTGTGTTTCTCACATAGGTGGCTTTAACTTTCTTACCTTACATTTGTTAATATGATAATCTGACACTGTTAGTACTTGGAATCATTCTATTACTTAGCCTAAAAATCCTCTATGTTCAAATTCAAACACATTGAGCATACATACTACATGCCAAGCAGCAACTGTATCTTTCACATGATCTCTCTCATTTGATTTTTAAAATAACCTTACAGGGTGGATGTCATTGGCCTCATTTGTAGATGAGAAAACCAAATTTCAAACAGGTTAAGTGACTTTAGAGCCCAAGATCACATGGTGAGTAAATGGGAAAATAATGATTTAAACACGGGTCTCTCTTTAAGTCCAGGATTAATTCCACTACACCTCAGATACCTAGAGAAATAAGTTATAATACTGGATTTTAAATTCACTTTGCAACTATAACACAAATAAATTACAATACTGGAGAACATGGCTTTGGAGTCAGAGTAGCCTAGACTCAAATTCTAACTATCACTTATTAACCATGTGACTGTAGAAGGTCCCCTGGTTCATTGTCTGTAAATAGGGATACCACGAACTCAAGAATCACTATGAAGTTCAAAGACATAAAATGCCTAAAATAGTTCCTGACATACAATTGTCACTTTAAAAAATAACAGTGGTATTCACTTTAAATCATATGAATTAAAGTCTTTTTTTAATTAAAATACTACATTTTCTAAAGTCAAATAAGTAGTTACTTCATATCATTGGTGAAAATGGAACATTATAATCTTGAAGTATAATCTGAAACATGTCTGTCCTACAATCAAAATGTTTATCTAATTTCTCATAATATTCATTAAATGGTCAAATCTGATCTTTTTAAAAATTCTGGCATTTTTATATATCAAAATTTATTTACCATACGTTGTGTTGACATTATTTTGCAACATATTTTAATGGTATATAGTTTTATTGCTTTTAGCCATCTCAATTATTATGACCTAAGTTTCTGGTTCCTTCTTTTGCTCTTTTGTGTTACTTTTACTCTCTTATCACTTCCAGAAATAGAATGCCATTTTGATGTGTGCTGATGATGAAACACTCATGATAGTTGCTCATTATTAGTGGTCTCTGGTCACACATTTCAAATAAGCACAGAAATGTAAAGAATAGCCATGTGTAGAAAAACACATAGAAAGTAAATGGTGCTGTTGATTTGTTCTGAAATAAGGACTCTTCTTCCTGCAAATGTACTCATTAAGATGTTGTAACTGGCTACACAGTGTTCTGGTTAAAATTGGTTAAATTTTCACCAAAGCTATGCATCCTCTCAATTAGTATTTCAGAAAACTTTATTCAAATAATCCACAGCTGAAATGAATGGTATTTTAAAAACCATACAGATATGATGATATATATCTATAGTACCATACACACATAATACAAAATTTTTGGTCAGAAACAACCAATGGGGAGAAATTTTTATTCATAATTTTTCTCAAATGAAAATACTAGACCCCACTTGAATTAAAATACCATATATACTTACTTTGTAGTTTAAGGTGATCAGTAAATGTCATTCATATGTCCCTCATGGGAGCAAGAACCCTGCCCCTATCAGATAATTAATCTCATGCTTATCTTTGTATTCATTTCCTTTCCTGTAGCCATCTTCTTTCCCTTTTCTCTAAAATGTTCAAAAGTGAATATATAAATTACAGTCACTTGACTTCATTATGAATAGCAGATACCCACTGGTTTTCTTTTTCCTCTTGCAGGAAGGAATGTCCATTTTATTGTTTTTGCAATGCCAAATTACCCTGATGCACAGGCACTGCTCAAAATAGCATGCTAGTAAATACGGCATGAGGGTCATTGGCATTCTCAGTACATTCCAATGTAACAGCACAGCATAAAGTTTTATCTGTATTATTATAAAGGACACAGACTCAGTTTTATTGAAAAGGCTTTGTGAAGCATGGCATGATTATAGGAAACATGAACTTTACTAGACTTTCCACATGATTTTAAAGTGTGCTGACTCTTTAATATAAATACAGCATCTAATTAATGACTAAAAATGGCTTCTATATTCCTATGTAACATTCGTCTGTATGCATCTCTCTTAAGTTTATACTTTGCTGTAAGTACTATAGATGTTTCAGTCAATGGTGAACTTCAAAAAGGATATTAGTGCTTCTCATGGTAGTATATCCATCACTCTCTTCCATTAAAAACCATGTAAGTGTCTAAAAAGCATAACCACCCACATGACATGCAAAGGACAATGGCAGAAGCTTCAGAGCATCTTCCCAGCAGCAAATAACACAAACAAGACTTCTATGTTAATAATGGAAAAATTTATTTACTTAGAAATATAATCAAAACAGCATATTCTTAAGTACAAATTACAAAAAGTGGCTGGTTTAACTAGGTAATAAAATGAAACATTCTAGTGCAAGTGTATTCACAATTTTCCACAATTGATAATTGATAAATTTTCACAAGTGTACTGATAAATTTTCATGGTGATGAATAAATAAAAGCATAACTAAAAAAGTCAATATATCTTTCATTAACCCTTTAGGAAACTAATCTACAGCAAAGAAATCAAAAGAAAAAAGAAAAAAAAATCCAAAGACATTTTTCACAAACATCTGACTTCTCAAAGCATAGTCCAGATCTCAAAACTACATAGATTTAATCTCCCTTTGATAAGAAATGAATGTGAGTCAAATTCACTATAAAGACATCAAAATCAAGGTGGAACTGAAAATAACAGCAATTAAATGCAGTATTCCTCATTAGAACAATTAAAAACATTTTCCCTCCAGGGATTAAAAGAATAGTTTTCCAGTTAGGAGGATGGATATTGGCGGCATAAAGGGTGAGATGGGGTACACACAAATGGGCAGATAAACAATTAATTAGGAAAGTCAATTTAAGGAGGATGAACATTAAGATTGCTGAAAATCACCATAACATAATCAGTTTTTTTCCCAGTTACTTAGAGGGCAATGTGTAAATTTACATCTTCCCTTGTTGCTTAGTTATGAAAAGAAATGCTCATTATTCAACCCACTTCTCTGAAGAGGAAATATGCATGCATTAAGATAAATATGATTATAGATTTATATTAACAATATACAGATTTCAAAATTACCTAAAGAGACCTGATTTTGAACTGGGTGTTTTAGTGGTAAACCATGGAAATGTCAACTTTGATTTGAGCTAACAAAAAGGAATTTAGAGGATGGATAAGCTCCAGGACCTTTGAATTAAATGAAAGACCAGAACACTCCACAGAATGTCTGCAATAACAGTCTCTACAGAAAATTATGAGGAACTACATAAATCCACCCTCTTCCTCTTCACACAGGCTCATTAAAGCTGTACTGACTCTCTGGGCAGCTATAATTCTGCTGACTGATACCCTGGAATCACCCTGTCAATACCCAGTGGTGTGCTGCCTCTCCAACTATCTCTGCCCCTAATATTCCTCTCTTTGATGGGATTTGCTGACCTTTAATCTGATGCTAGTTTACTCTCATCACTGAAGTGGAAGTCGGAGAGCAATAAAACGGCAACCTCACTGATTCAAAAGGGAGAGCTAAAGCCTGCTAACTGTGAATCTAACCTTTCATAATGGCTCGCTCTTAAAGGAGGAAGCATGAAGTGGAAGGCAGCTAAAACAAACAATGTGTAATGCTGAGCACAAGATTTATTAGAATCCCATTTTGCATGGGTTTTACAAGAGGACACTGGGGCTGTAAACAAGAGATACACAAATATTTGCAAGAGAAACCAAAATCCTGGTCAGAATATCCTTCCACACCAATATAAATCTTCAACAAGAGCTGTGCTATAGGAAATCAAGCAAGGTTAGACGAATGGAAAAATCTGGGATGACTCCAGGTGGATGTAAACAACACTGGAGTAATAAAACCATCATTAAAAATAAGGTGTTTTTCTATGATGAAGTACGAGACTATAATGACTGGAAACCAAAAACTCACATTCAAAATGGGTCCTAGGGAAATCAAAGAGTTTGTGAAAATTAAATGCTTCCAAATAATTTTTAGTATAATATCAAAGGCAGGTTAATAATAAGACCTCACATTTTTTGAGAGCTTTCTGTGTGCTAGGCACTACTCAAAGTACTTTACCTGTATTAACTAATCACCCCTAAGTAAGGCAGGTACTATTATTAAGCCCATTTTAATTATCATGAAACTGAGGCACACCACAGTTAGATCCATTGCTCATAGTCACACAGCTGGAAGGTGAAAAAGCTAGAACTGGATGCAGGACAGTCTGGCTTTACAGTCTGAACTAACTCTTTACCACCTCTTATACATATTATGTTAGAAGAATCTAAAAGACAGAGTAAATGCCTTACAGAAACACTCATTTCTATTTTATTTTTGTATTTTCAAGAGTTGGTTTTGGGTCATTTAAAAAACATCCTCACAAGACCCTCAGTAAATTTGGGAACTCTCATTTGTTAACTTACTTCTTTTGTTTAATATGAAACAAAGATTTTGAAGACATAAAAATAAGAAATACCATTGTATGAATAACATCGAATTCTATAATTTTGTATTTCTCCAAATTAGTCTCTTGAGGATTATCATCAGGTGTATTTTTCAAAAATACTGACAATTAGAAAGAAATGGGCAACCACTAATTCAAAAGTTAAAGTAATAAAATTCAAATATTTGACATTTTCAAGGCATCAAGATATACTGATGAAAAGGACAACAAATATATAATGCCATGTTCTCACAAACAGCAACAAATTCTGGCCTCTGTTGTAAATGATTTGAAACTGTCATTGAGTTTTTTGTTTTTATGTCTGGTCCCTTGAGATTTCAACTATTTGGCCAACTAAACTTGAAGAGCTATAACTGAATCACATGTGTATATACAGATTAGTTTAGTATCAACTAGTAGTCCTAATCAAACAAGGCCACTTTTCACCTGCTTACACAAAGACTAAGTGTGAGTGTCTTTCATTTCAAATCAAGCTGGTAAACAAAAAAAGAAAGATCTTTCAGGCTGCAAAACAAATGAATCTATATAAAATATACACTAAATGCCAGAGCGTAAACAAAGCGGAAGTTATTGCATAACAAATCTCTTTCAATCCTCTTGGGGAAAACAGAGTCTGACAGTATTGGGTTCTAACAGGTGCAGATAGCAGAAGAATTACTTATTCATTCTACCAGAAAGAAAAAGAATAATAAAAAGCATAATTTAATTTATAATTTATGTTTACAAGTGTTATTTTTAAGAGTTACAGTCTGCTTTGCAGATTACTTGGTCTAGTTCAAGTTGACATGCTGCATCATAGAACAAGCCTGAAGGGTCTTCACAACATGTACAGTAATTAACACGTCGTTAACACATTAACTAATATACATTCACCATCATCAATGTTAATAGCATAATAATTAACTTATTGCACATAGCACACAGCACCCCCTGGCACTTTTCAAAATAAATTTGGAAGTGCATACTTTCAAATATTTAAAAAGGTAGCTATTCATATTGAAATATTTTCATCAATAAACATTTTTATATGTGTATTGTGCGTGTTTTAAATGAGGCATATTTAGTGATACTACAAATTAAATCTGTATCTGATTCAAGCTATACTGGTACAAAAATACAAAGAACAAAGACAAGCCTTACTCTGTGAAAGAACTAGTAATACATTAAAAATTTAATACTTGGCAGGTCAAATCTGGATACTCTCTGCTGAAGACAACCAATATTAATGAATCACACTACAGAGTCATTGTCTACGATCCCAAAGGAAACAATAATGCGAGTACAACAAATTCTTCTTGCAAGAGAAAATCCTGCAAAACTACTTAACAGAATAACACTGGTCAATGCTCTAATCATACATTTGTTAAACCTTATATAATGTTTTCAAATATGCATGCAATCCAGGTGCAGCTTTAACTAAAAATTCAGTCTAATTTTATTTTCAGTTTAGGTTCTTGGAGCAAACATCTTTGCATAAATATTTGCCTCGCTACTAGCCTCTCTCCATATAAGAAACCATCATTTCTCTTAAAAAAAAAACCACAAGTTGTTTTATTTCCACAATAGGTATCTAAAAGATACATTTTTAAAAAAAGCAGCTTCTTCAAGAAACAGAAGATTTGGGTTTCTCTAACAAAGAAGGTGACACAATTAAAGAAAGGCAAAGAAAAGACAACATTGTGCGTCACGGTCTAGGCAAGGTCCTGTCAGATCAGGTAGCTACTTTTCACACTTGATCTGGAGAACTCTGAGTAGTAAACTGACAAGAAAAGAATGTAGAAGGATGAGACAACTAAAATAAACACATTATAAACAGTCCACCAGGTGGATTCAAATTGATTACTACCTGGTTTTTGTTGTTGCTGTTGTTGTTTGTTGTTGTTGTTTGGTAACATTCTTTGAAACTGTTACTGGAAGTAAGACCCTCTAGAAAACATGTAACTGGTTAGTTGGTTCAATTAACTACAGGACACACACTATGTTTCAAGCCAAATTATCTTCCTTTACATTCTTTTCAGCTCAATCTCCTTTTATTTATGCTCTCAGTCAACAAACCTTTACTGAGTACCCACTATATGCACAGTACTATACTAAAACCTATACATATATAGCCGTTCAGCAGAAACTATTGATCATAACAAAGTCTTAGTAACTTCAGGCTTCATTAAGAAAGTTATTTCAGAAATACAATTTTGAAGTAGAACTGCTATATATTTTCAATCAACTAATATATTATCTACTAAGATTATTGTATAAAAATACCTATACTCATTCAGTTTTTCATATAGCCAAGAAACTCAGATACACAGTTGAATGCTAGATAATAATCTATAAATGGCCTATAAGTGAAAAGCATTTATTTTAAAACATGAAATTTATCATTATCTTTACTTAAACCACTTTTGTTACCAGCCACCTTTGAGCTCCCTGGCATTACTGACGGAAGCGGGTAGATATCACATCAACTTGAGATAAGAAAACTAATTGAAATAGTAACTTACAAAAAGGGTGCTAAATTAAATTTTCTTTCAGTTTTCAAATTCTATAATTCTGGGATAGTGTCAAATAACCTTTAAAAACTAAATAAGCTTCTAAAAGGTATTTGAAGCCATTTTTTAGAAATGATTTGAGGATTCTCACTTGGCATCTACAATACTAACAGTTTTCTTATATTTTGTTAGAGAATAAATTATAATTTAATCATTGAACAACAAAGTATCTCCCTATACTTTGGCCTATGGGATGAACCTGAAAGAAGAAGACCCCCACATTTAAGCTTTTGGTTTCCAGGTATTACACTGAAAACAATGGTCAGTTATCTGATAAAATAAATTCCACATTCAGCACATTGCTTAGTGGATGTGTCTCTGTTTAAAAGGTATCAAGTTATATTTGGGGAATTAGTATTATGATATAAATAATACCATGAGTGTACGCAACTAGGACAAAACTCATTTGCTTTCGCTACATCTCTTTGTGGTTTGTTTAGGTGTAAAGCCACCTGCCTGTAGAGGCTACACTGTGAATGAGCTGAACGTCAGCAGTTTATCCTAGGGTCATCTGCACTACATACAATTATGCTGGGGTCACCTGGGTTATATAGGAAGCCTGAAGTTTTAAACTGTCATTAGAATATTGCGGCCTGATTTTAACAATACAGCAGTGCTTCTAATGATCTTAAAGGTAATTCACTATTCAGACCCCAAGCAAAAGATGCAAATGTAGCACTGAAAGCTCCTTATTAAATACCCACAGGCTACATCTCTGTACAATAAGTGGTCCAGGTCTTTTTAGAACATACTAATTAGATGAACAGAGAATCAGAAAAATGCAAAACCAGGTCATGCAGCAAAAATGGTAAAGTGTTAAAAAAAAAAAAAAAAGGGCGGGATGTGGGGGGAGGGGTGTTTAAGAATGAGAAAGGCATACCAAATAACTCCATCCTATCATTATTAAAAAATTATCTACAATAAAGAGGCAAAATAAATCATGTCGGGTCACTATTTGACTCACCCAAATTAGGGTGGATATTACTATTAAAGTTAAGTTTTAAGTTTATTGTCAGAGATATGCTTAACTGATGATACAATACTATGAATAATACATTAAGCAAAAGCCCAATCTAAAATTAAATTTGCCTTGGGTTATCTCCCATTACTATAAACATTCAGAATTACTCTGGTTTATAAATGAAATACTTTTGGGGGGCTCTTTTCTTTATTCGTTACATATACAGAGTTGCTAAACCAATATCAACACAGTTTTACAAAAAATAATGCCTCCAATTCTCAATTACTTCTAGACAAGCACATATAAATTTAATAGGAAATATTACCTTTGTCACTTAAGATGTACCAAAATTCAAATAATTTATTTTCACATGAAGTGTTTGGACAAATTATCTTTTCTTTTTAAAATGAAGTCTCCTTGCTCTAATCCTAACTTTGCAGAAACCGCAGAGTGAAGGAGAGTCTATATGATGTTCTGCCAACTGAGGTACTGAAATCTTCACCAGCTGACCAAAATGCTGTAAGACTATCAACTGCATTTTGAAGCTGTTTGATTTGTGCTCTACTCCCCTCTCTTCATGTACCTACCCTCTGACAATAACCTCCCCTGCCTGTGGGTGAGCTCTCTCTCTCTCTCTCTCTCTCTCTCTCTCTCTATATATATATATACACACATATATATAGACATACATATATATACATACATATATTTGTATATTTATATAAAAATATATACATATATGTATATATTTATATAAAAATATATACATATATGTATATATTTATATAAAAATATATACATATATGTATATTTATATATAAATATATATACATATGTATATTTATATATAAATATATATACATATGTATATTTATATATAAATATATATACATATGTATATTTATAAATATATATATCATCTAAAGAATGTGAAGTACACAATAAGGGAGAAAACAAACTAGCATATGACATAAAAGACTATCATCTCATAAGTTTTTTGGAAAACAATTTAGCTTCCTTAGAAGCACAGCAGCAGCATTCCTTTCAACACCACAGATGTTTCTTTTACCAAACGACTTATTGGAGAAAAACACCTCCTGATGTCAAAATGGGTTTCTGAGAGTTGTTTTTGTTTTTGTTTTCATACCCATCAGTTCCAAATTCAACCATTTCTATTTCATTACTTGTGTGTTCTTCCAAAAGATTTAATGTTTTACATGAATTTAGCCATCTACTTTAAACAATAAATTTGTACTCATTTAAAAAATTGTACTCATATGTTTAAACAACTTTAACATTCAATGTGAAATAACTGTAATAAAAACAATCATGAATATCCAAAAGAATGTACTAAATCAATCTGCTACAACTCGAATTTATAAAACAGAGGACTAGACTAGAGGTTCAGCATTCTGTATCTTCACTTCATATCTGCTCTGTTATTTGGTTGTATGGCCTTGGGCAAGTCATGCCTCCCCTGAGTTTAATTTCCCTCATCTATCAAATGAGAGGGCTGAGCTAGATGTTCCATACGTTCCTGAACCAGTTCAGAATTTAGTCAGGAATCTCTGACATTATAACCACAAACTATAATAAGAGGCCTAATGATTCTGAAATGGGCCCTAAAATTCAAAAGGCCCTTTTTTTTATTTTTTTTTTTCAGAAGATGGGGTCCTGCTACACTGCCCAGGCTGAACACAAAAAATGTATTTCATTTACTATCTAAAGCAAATGGGAATCATTATTATACTAAATTCCCTAAAACATAGGGTGCATCACAATCCAAAGGAGACTGTGAAAATTTCTGGGAAAAGTTTGCTCTTTTATCAGAATCAGGCTGTGCTAGGGAAGAGAGGTAGAGGTCGGGAGAGGTTGAGAAATGGCAACCTTACTGGTGAGAATAGTAGCTTCCAACTGATAAATTTTATTCTAAAAATGCAAAACCACTGCTTCATGAGCTCAAATCTGTTTTTTCTAGCTAAGAGACCACAGGTCCAAAGAACTAAAGGGCAAGCAGGGACCTCATTATTTATCAATTCCATCATAATTATTTACTGTTGACTTGAGGCTCAAGTTAGAATTCTTATGTGTAGATTACTATATTTAAATGGCCATATCCGTTAAAGAAGGATGTATTTTGTAGTATATTGGGTAATTCTTCAATTAAAGTAAGTCGCATTAGTATCTTAATTATTTTAAGAATGACTAAGTGAAATAAGTATACTTTAAATTTTATTAAAACACTCAGTCCTTAATTAGGGCTTAGTTAAGTCGGCTAGTGGTAAATATATATTCATGTAGTTACAGGACGCTATGAGAATGATAATTCTGGCCATGTCTAATACAGAGCAAACATGCACTTCTATGGAAAGCTCCCATAAACTTTAATGCTGTTTCTTACTGCAATCCAATACTTTTAAATCAGATGCCCTCAAATAGCAGTTTTCCCTATATAAACTAGAAGTACAATAAATTTTAGTATGTGGTTTTTTAGACATGTGAATACATTTTGCTGGTGTGTGTGACATTTTAGAATGGTTTAGTCTTCTAACTAATTTGTTGAGAATGATGCAAATATTTTAAAGAAAAATTGTAATTAACATTGGCCAGAATGAGATAATAGTGATAATTTTGAGAATCCAGAAAAGGCTTCATCACTTCACACTCAGATCATTTGCCAATCCAAAATGTACTCTATTCTTTCTGGTACTCTTAATAAGTTCTTCAGTTTGATTGGATGGCATAACAAGCAAACTGTCTTACGAATGTTTTTTGCCCTCAAGAAGCTATTCTAAATGAATTAGTCTTCCACAAATTAATGAATTCATATTTTAAGATACATTTGCAAAATGTCCTATCATTCCAATGCTAATCTGCAACCTAGTTAAGAAATGTTAGCCTAACAGGAAAAAAATTCTAATGCGAATGAATGTCATGTTTGCACAGGAAAAAAAAAAAAAAAAAAAAACCACAAATGAATATAAAGCCCACATGAAATGGCTTTGACAAGACACTGTATTTAAGTGATTTTACTATGCATATTATTTCCAAAAGTCAATAGCATTTAGATATATATTTAACTATTGAAACCTTTTAAACAATGATTAAATTTTTAAAATCACATTAAATTACATGTAATTTCTTGAAATCAATTATAGATGAACAGGAAAGGAAACAGTTAATATACTAATTACAGTAATTAAGAGTTGCCAATTTAATTATAGCTGGGGATATGAATGTTCTAACATTTGTTAGAGTGTAAAAAACAAACCTTTAATGCAGAGACTTTGTTCACAAACATCTAATGGAGACCTCCTCTACCTCACTCTGCTTCTCTGCTGACACAACAGCAATGGGTTCAGATTGAAGAACTTGTCAGCAATCAGGCAGGAGGAGGCTAATTAGCTTGCAGGTTAATGAGTGTGATGGCTCTTGACAGCATTTTGTTACAGCCTCTTCTGTATTTAAACAATAAATGATTACTTATATACAGTTGAGACATCCTAACCATAACAGCCAAGCACACATTTAGTTTTACGAGTATCAAATCAGTTCCTTTGTTTCTAAATCAAAAATATAAAAATTGCATTAGTTACAACCCTATCACATTATCACAATATGCGGGAAAGAAAATGGGCATTTTTAAAAAGGCAATAAATATACTTTATGTAGAGGTATGCCCTTTGAGTTGGAAATTTCCACTGTAAGGATGCCTGGTAGGCAACATAATTGGGCTGCTGAAGGATAATTTAAATATGGCAGTTTTTTTGAAATGTGCAAGAACTTTCCCTTAAAAAAATTCAAGGAAGATTTTTGTCTTAGTTTTTTTTATTCTAGGTTTCTCTCTGTGAAATAGGTACATAAGGCACACACAGAGGAATCTCTCTGCTTACCTTGTCGGTTACTAGGGATTTGAAAACAGGTGGTGAATTAAGGAAATAGCTCTATTGAGAGATTAACCCATTTCATCAGCCAGTGGAGAAGGAAATAAGAACATTTTTACAGCATCTCTATAATCCATATATTTAGTGGTAACAGAAATGCCTTAATAAAAGCACTAAGAAAGGGAATAAGTGAGTATTTTGCAGCAGTTTGATTTACTTTGTAAAGTAGCAAGTATTAAAATCTAAGTAGTGTGATTTTTATTTACATGAGAGGAAAATGATATGTGTCCAGGAAAACCTTATCTGAGAATTAAACTGAACTTTAACTGCATAATATCAAGGGAAGGTTATTTCAATTTAATATTCAGTGTTCCCTAGAAATTTGAACACAGACATGGAAGAAACACCTGCTGAGATTCACACTGCTTTCTAAATTATTTTGTATGCATGAAAATATTATTTGCGTACCTTCTTACTGCTGTATGATGAACATTTGAATAAAATAGAAAAGTAATAAAATTTCAAATAAGTACAGCTCTAATGCTCTTCTTTTTATGTTTAAGAATAAAAAGTATTATATCTATCACAATTATGGTAGCCAATAAATAACTTACATCAAAAAGCTTTAGTAGACCTGGACAGATTTAGTGGATGAAAAAGGAAACTAGTATAAAAACCAAAAGTTCGTTGTAGCGCTAAAAGCTCCAGGTGTACTGAGTACCTATAATTTCCAAGGGGTGAAAGAAAATGCAAGTTTAAATTCTGTGGTAGTTTGTCACTTCCTTTGGGTTATTTGGAATAATAAATCCTTAGGGTCAAAACACCAATACTTCAAAATTTGTATATCAATTGTGTGCTACTTACACATCTGAATTCTGTAAACTGTATACATAAACAGTATGTGAAAATAGGTTTCTCTATCATGTGTACATTCTTAAATAACATAGTATTAATTAGCTTACAGGTATGTCTTATCACACATACATGCAGGCTACTGCACATTTTATCATTTATATCCTTAAGCCAGTTAACACAAATCTGTAAGCCCCAAAGGTCACAATGCTGTGCCAAATCTAGGTGGATGTATAAACACAAACTTCTTAAGTTCTAACACAATTAAATCTTAGAGAATCAAAATTTTCTCTGAATTATATGATGAATCCCAACCCAGTGACTTTTTTGAGGAGACTGACACCTACCCAAAATCACGACCCATTCTGCCTGTTTAAATGAGAATATTCCTCAGTCTGAAAAATTATTTATAGAGATTTTTTACTACCCTTGTATACTGCAATGTTATTTCCTTTCCCACACACTAGCAAAGTCCATTTTCACAACTGCTATAAAGCGGCATGTTCACAGCTAGTAAAACAACTCAATAAATAGCCTCACGAAGCTATAGCTGTCTCATATCCTTTCCTCAATAAAAACAGAGGTGAACTGCTTATTTTCAGCAGCACACTATAAGAAGACAGAAGCATTATGACTGCTCATACATTCTGACTATCATTTGCCACAAGCTATATCTGTCAGCATTAAATAAAGCTGCATTATAAATGTAAACAAAACACCCACATCTACAAAATGAGCTGTCCGCCATGGCTGTAGGCATGAATTGAACCCACTTATTGACTCAGGTTGCTCTTTTTATTTATTCTTCTACAAAGACATGCATTTACTTTACCCTACAAGCACACTAGGTTTCAGAAAAGCAACTAGTCTTGTGCTAGAGCAAAAAAAACAGGCACATGTTAACAAATGCATATCTTAATAGGAATAACATTATGTGGGCAAACAGAGACCAACTGTTAAAAAATGGATTTATTTTAAAAGGTTATCCTAGATCAAAACATTAAATCATAAATCTATGGACTCAGTTCTCTAAGTATATATTTATAAACTACAACAAAGTAATTTACTGTCGAAAACAACAGAACTTTATTTTCAAATATTTAATGGAAGTGAGTATTTAATGAATGCTGCTCACACAGTTGTCCCACCTTCTATGGCTTGGGTATTCACTGACAAAGTAAATAAGTGAATATTCAGGATATCCAATCATGCAGGGTATAAAATTAATTCAAGCTGCCAACAAAAAATAGTTTCTGTAAAAAATATACTATTTACAAAATGCCTTTTGTACTTTTTCAAGTGTTTTATGCTTTGTGCAACTATATGTAGCCATGGTGATATATAATAGAAACAGGTAACAAAAACTGTGAGCTTAAAAACATTTTGCCAGCTTTACTTTTTTTTTTTAATCTGAGGAGTTAATAGATCACTCTGAACCTACTGCAGTAAGTTTGTATCTCACTTAGAATGTTTTGAAAAAGTAAGGAGGAGGCCCTTTCTCTTTATTATTGTTCTATGATAAGCCATAATGCTAGGGAAGTGCACATCTGAAATACAGATACACTGGATTCCTAAGCGTGAATGTTCTAACAGGTGTGCTGCACATCAAGATTTTCATCTATTTTCAGGCTTATTCTGAAAAGGACCATCAACATGCCAAATCATGACAAATGAAGGTATGTTTTGAAGACATTCATTACAGACAGAGCCAGAGTATACATATAAGCCACCAATGCACATGCATTACAATAAAAATGAAATACAGCATTCTTTCAAACAATCACATGGGGCTCTTCTGTGTATTTGATCAAATAATTTCTCAATTAGTTTTCTCCACTAAACACTGATTGCTTTGGCCTCGTGTAGCCTGGGCAGCCAGAAGCCACTGGATAGATTTCCAGATGACAGAAGATCTGAAGATATGCACAGCCCAGTAGTACTCCAAAGAGTTTAGCCTTTATTCATCACCTGTTGAGCAACTCAAGAACCCCTAAGAAGTCTGAAAGTTTATACCTTTGTCTCTAAGTGCAAAAGAGTCCACAGATTAAAGTCTCGATTTTAAAAGCAAGAAGTAAAATGCAACAGTTAAAATATTAACATATACTGTCACAACTTATTCTTATGTAGGACATCATTCCCTATGAAAGGGAAAGCATAAATGTTCTTTGCTTCTCACTATTGGTATAGACTGATATTAATTATTACTGCTTTTCCTCTCTAAAATAAGCTTGTTAACAAGAACTACAGGATTGCTTACAGCTGCTATCCATTGGGTAGGTTGCACCATTGTTTATGATGTTTACAGAAAAAAGGGAAATCAGTACAAAGAAATAGTATGGAGTAATTAATGTATTGTAGTGTAGTAATTTCCACTTTCTACCTCCATTTAAATAAAATAAAGCTCTGTAATGCTAGCGTAAATCAGGGGGAGCCACAGGGGAGCACAGCGAGGCAAAGACATTAAAGCCAAACCAAAGCCCTTCTTCACCCAAGCTACTATTATTATTACTTGTGCAAAGCAAATATTCAGCCTCCAAACCTAAATCATTTCAATTCCTATTTCCAAGTATAATTTAATCTCTTTCAGCGACACTTGATGCTTACTTCATCACAGCATAATGACAGATTAAAAAGTTGTTGAATTAAATATTAAAGAGGACTTCAGGCAGTTCTGCATTTTTAAGGAATAACACAGATTGGGGATGAAATGAGAAGCCCAAATGCATATTTTATACCAAAAGGAAAGAATACATATATTTTTCCTTCAGGCCACCTACTTTGTAATAAAACACAGGGCAGGTTTTATTTAGTGCATAAAAATGTGAAATAGTATCATAAGCTTCATATCACTATAATCTGGCACCATACAGTGATGTCAAAGCTAATGATACCATGTAAGAATATGATTTTTTTGGTGGGTATCTTATTTAAATATTTTTAAAATAAATATATTCATAATTTATCACTTCTGCTTTCTGATTTTAAAAATTAACTTATTTTGGAAATTTATCTCAGAGATAAAAATCTCACAGATGATAGCATCAAAAGCAAACCATTATGTAAATGATATTACGATACAAACTGTTCTGAATGGGTAGAAAAAAAGTTGAGCCATAGTTGTAAATACAGTTCCAATTAAAATGCTGATTGAGGCCAGGAGTGGTGGCTCATGCCTCTAATCCCAGCACTTTGGGAGGCCTTGGTGGGCAAATCACTTGAAGTCAGGAGTTGGAGATCAGCCTGACCAACATAGTGAAACCTCATCTCTACTAAAAAAAATACAAAAATTAGCCGGGCATGGTGGTAAGTGCCTGTAATCCCAGCTACTCGGGAGGCCGGGGCAGGAGAATTGCTTGAATCTGGGAGACAGAGGTTGCAGTGAGCCGAGATCACGCCAATGCATCCAGCCTTGGGGACAGAGTGAGACTCCGTCTCAAAAAAATTAATAAAATAAAATAAAATGCTGATTGAACAGGTAGGCCTAATTTCGGAAGCTCCCTTTACATACGGGTAAAATTAAAGATGAAATGCACATAATAGTAGTCCCTTAACTCTTAAATAGAATAGAAACAGAGTCAAAATACAAAATTCTGGGACTACATACTTAGGATATGTACAGATAATGATACATAGATACACATGGTTAAAATTCCAAGGGCTCATGGTTAAATGGCTAAATTTGGTATATGTTTTTAACTTTGTCATTTTTAAAGAATAGAGATGTTTTTCCTAAGGCTTAAAAGAAAACAAACTTTTGAATTTTTCTTTCATTGTGAGTTCAAGCAACGTAGTAGGAGAAAAAATTAACTCTATAAACATTTTATTCTATTTGTGTAACATCACATTGCAATCTTTTGTACATCCATACATTTTTACACAATGGCTGTAAGTACCTAAGTACTTTCCTCTCTGCTTTTTCATTTCATTTTCCTGTTACCAATACTGTCCATTTGACTGAACCTCACGGAACTGCCATTTTCTAAGTCACAAATGGTCAGATATCAACTTCTAATGATTTGGCATTCATTTTAGATAGTTGCATCTTTATATATTTCACTTGAGAAAATAAACGGTTATCTATAATAATAAATTGTAAGTACTTAAAAGTGACTTCTAAAATATGTATTATATGGGAAAGATCAATGTTTTCCTTATAGGCCAAGGAAGCAAATGTCATTTGTTTTTGAAAATAGTTCATTTTTGGAACCAGTGCATAGTACAAACGTCAGAAAAGAGTAAACATTTTTAAAGTAATACATGTTATCTATTTCATACATAGAAAGAAAGAAAAAGATAAAGGTACTAGACTGGTTTCTTCAGAAATTATGACTTTGGCTAGGACAGAGCTAAATGTTATCATGGTTGGCAACTACACATGGCCTTGAAAGGATGGCCTAGTTCCTTTTGGAAAAATTTTCAGTGTGATTGCTCCTGGCCAAATTTGACAGGATTTACTCATTAAATGCTGTGCACACAATCCTTTATTTTAAAGAAAAGCACAAAATATTACCATGGAACTGTTTTGTTAATCTAAAAAGGGGCAAGGCTTCTTTTTTTAATCTTTTCAAATCTCAGTGCTCTGTTGTTCTGCTGGCTCTGATATTTGGCTAGTCATTCCTTGCAAACATACAATTCTACTCCCACACAATTAGATGCATACACTACATTGTAGAAATACTGCACAATAATCTTTGCTGATATTCTTTAAAAGTATAAAAAGAATAGAGAAAGCACATTTATCCTCCCCACCATCCCCAATATTTCTTGACTAGAGCCAAGTCACTGGGGGTGGGATGGGGGAAGGCAGTGGTGACAACAGCAATCTTTCTATGGTGTCCGTATTTAAATCCTGGAAAGAGCAATAATTTTGGTTTTCTGGAATGTTTTCCAACCAGTAATAATGAGGTAATAATTTCCCATCACCTAGGACATAGTAGGTACTCAAAAAATGTTTGTACATTTAAATTCCCTGTGGAATTCCCTTTGGAATTCAGTCTCCCGTTGAAAAACACAACCATTAAGTTAGGATACTTCAGAGCCAATTACCGTGGGAAAACCTCCCAGATGATGTTTCATACTTATGGTGAAGGCTTAGTTATTTTTTTCTCAACCACCATTGTTTTGAAGCTGGTTGGGAATTTTTTCCTATCTGTTGAAAATGTTCACATGGTGGTTATGCAGTCCTCCTCTGAGAAACCGGAGTCGGCAGCAGCCCAGATGTTTGAAATCAAGAAAATGCATCCTCTACCATCGCCAGGCCTCAAATCAAGTTTCTGGTTTGGATTGGAAAAGCACTAACTTTGGGACCACGGAGAGGTTCTGACTTGCAGTGGGTGCTGACCCCAGGGCACAAGGTCGGCGGGCAACGCGCGTTCTCTCGGCCGCAGCCGGCTAAGGTCAGCTGCTACAGCGGGGCGCAGCCGGGGCCGCCGGCGCGGGGGACCGCTCAGGGCGCTCTGCCCCGCGGCTTTCGGGGCGCGCCGGGCAGCGCGAGCGCGGGCGGGCGTCGGGCGCGCCCATTGTTCTCGCAGCGCGGAGCCGCGGAGCGGCGGACGGCGATCCGGCTCCCCCTCCCGCGTTCGCGCCGGGAGGCCCCGCGGCCCGGCCCCGCTCCCCGCCGCGGCGCGCCCCCGCCCTGCTGGCTGACAGCGAATTCTCACCGCCCTGACTGCATAATTAATGTAAATGGAGCAGCCTCCGTGTCATGTGCGGGCTCTTTGGGTTTACTTTTGTGCGACACTTACACAGGAATATTAACTAGAGAAAGCAGCATCACAACAGGGGTGGAAAATCAGCCTGTCAGGGACTCATTGCAAATGCCACTGAGAGCGGAGCGGCTTCAAGATTGTTTCATCAAGGTGACTGAGAACAAAAACTACTGAGGAAAGAAAATTCGAGCTTAAACCGAGCTCCCATACATCCATTATTTATCGTTCTAGATCCTTTAGGAACGAGATTTCTAACACATCTTTATGCAGAACTCGGGACCGGAGGAAAGGGGCGAGGCCGCTGCGTGTGTGCACTGCCAAGCGAGCCGTGGCTCGGCCCGTGCGTGTGCAAGCGCCCCTGCTCCCCACGTGTGCAGACGCCCTTCAACAGCCCACAGCCAGAGAGGGAAAGGCCCGGACCAGGAGACAGCTCTCCACGGGTCAGTGAGTTATTCCAAGAAACCACGGGGATGTGGGCGAACCCACACTTAACTGAAATTAAGGCCTACGTTCCTGGGGATGCTAAGAGCCTTGCAATAAGGTGTCTGGTGTATAGGGCTGTTATCCACTTCCAAATTACGTTAAGGCCATTTTATTGTAATACGTGGTCACTGACTTTTCCCTTTCATAACCTGCTGTGGGTGAGAATACCTAAAAGTCAAAAGAGTAAATTCCCAAAGCATATTTTACACCCAAAAATGTACATTTTTGGAAAAACATTTTCACTTCATACTCATAATCATCCAGAATATTCCATATTGGATGTGTCCTCTTTTCCAAAGGAGCTGAAAAGGTGACTTCCCAAATCTGAATGCAGCCTGACCTAAATTAGCACCCAATCCTGCTTACACTTTCCAGTCCAGACTACTATATTGGCCTGCCATAAAAATTATTTTAAAAATTAAGAATTTATATCTCAAATATAAACAGTTACTAGAATTCATTTAGACTGAAACAGGGCATTATAAATTTATGAACAAATTAATTACCAGTTTCATTAATGCTGTTTTTATAATGAGTAAGTAATCAAGTCCAAAACTTTACTAAGTTTGTACCCAATCTAGGAGAGGAAATACATTAGAAAACAAACGGCCAAAAAAAAAAAAAGAAATATCAAATCGTATCCCTCCCAAAAAAATGCCATCAAGTGAGAGCATCTGTTTCTGGTAAAGCATGTATGCCGCCTCTCCTCTCCTACAGCAGAGTGACTTAATCCTGAATGTTCTCAAGGAATTCCTCCATACAAAGGGTCAATTGTATGCTACAGAATAACCTTACACGTATTTGTCTACTAAATGATTGAGAGCTAAATCCATCTGCATGTCTTTACTGGCTTAATTAAATATAGGTACAATAACTGAAAATAATTCAGTACACTACACGACAGAAGAGATCAAAATGGACATGCCGATCAAAAGGTTTACTTTAGACAGGAAGCAGCCCGTCAGACCATTATTACAAATTAAAGGTATTATATTCAAGTCATTTTTAATCTCTTAAAAATGAATAACCCACATTAAATCATTTTTCTCCACAGAGGTAACATTTCTTTTACGTCTAAATGCACATATTCCTCACCATGCTTCAGTTCTTTTACTAGTAGTAGAAGTCTATCTATTACACTTATCATGTAAGTCAACATTCACACCAAGTTTGGATTCCTCTCTCTTTACATGATATAACTGATTCATCACACATTTGCACTTAAGAAATGAGAATTCACAAGCTGATTATGCACAGTAATCTATCTCCTGAATCTCATTTTACTGCAGTAAAATTCTTATTGGCATTTTGTAGTTAATAACTTCTATATTAACAAATGCTGCTTTATGTCCAGACACTATGCTTGATAAACATGAGATAAATTTACCCTTACTTTCTAATAACAACTAAATTAGCTTTCTAATTCTGGAACTTTTTACTTTTAAGAACTTAAAATCTCATGTATATCAATTTTACTGTTTTTAAAAAGATACCAAATTTAGGATCAATACACAAAAAACAAAAATACACAGAAAAGTCCCTTGAGATACTGATGTGAAACCTGCAGCTCACTGATTCTGTTCTTGATAATATGTTGTTAAACTGGCAAACATGCTGACCTTGTGTGCAAAGGCAGAATTGTGCATACGCAACATAAAGTTAAAAAACAGCTTCAAAATGTCTGTTTAAAACTGTAGGCTACAAAACCTTAAAATACAGTCAGCATTCCATAGTTTATTTTAAATTGGCAACCACAATTTAACAAGCTATTCTAACAAATGATTAGCATAGCGTGTGCTTTTCTTTAGCCATCAATTATGACACAGGGTAATGCAGGGCACAACTTAAGTGTCAAATTACAATATGCTATACAAAACCACTTTGCAACACAGCTTTCTGTTTGCTTAGCAATTACTACAGAGCACACTGCTTTTCATGAAAGGAATTGGTCAGAACTGTTTATAAGAATTGCCACAAATGTTTATATATTTATATTATAAAGAATTAGTTGACAATTTCATAAAATTTCTCTTCAACAATTTAATAAAATGGCTGGGTTATTTATCTTGTGTTGGTTGAAAGCTGTGCATACAACCAAAATGGTCTGGGTTGTCTTCTTCTTAAAATGAGATTCTTCCATGATATGTGACAAAAGTAGAATAGTATTTTTCCAAGACCAAAGTATGAAAAGCCTTTTTACTAATTTGTCCACCAAAAAAATTAAAAACTTTTATTATATGAACTGCTGTATAGTGAAAATCTAAATTAGTGAAGTCTATAATCATTCTGAAGACAGAGTAATGTCTCTTTAAAATCTTCAATAAGGCAAACATGGATTTAAATGCAAAATAAAAAAATTTTTCAGAAATGTTGTTCAAGTTGTAATTTTCACACAGCAGTCACTATCTCAATACTTGATCTATCAGTGGTAAAAATGAATAAAGGTTATCTGTCTTAATTGTAGGACCATCCATTAATTCATAAAACTCTTATGTGAATAAATACTTAATGAGAAAAGGGAAAAAATACACAAAACAGTTTTTATGCTGGTTTTTTCCGTTCTGCTGCTGTCCTTTCTCCTGCATTTGCCTAAAGGCTCTCAGTAAATTACACTCCCAGTAAATGACTGTAATTTACCCGTTGAATTCCCTTGTTCAGGAAAAGCACAAAAACACATTCCAGCATTTCCACAGCTCAAATTTACCATTCGGGATGTCAAGAACAATCCATGGGCAGTAATTTGAAACTGTTTGAACCTTCAAATGAGGGAAATTAGAAATGTTTTGAGAACTAAGATTTTCAGTGAGGAGATAAAAACCTGATAAAAATCTCTTAACTGTTGTGTTCCTTTCTTCCCCCTCCCATATCAGAGGCAGAGGCCTATATAAACTATTCCACAGTGGGTTTTGAGACAGTGCTATAGAATATAGCATTAACAAAATAAGTCAAATTTACATTTTCTAGAATAGTTTTTAATGATAATATACACTACATTAATGTCACACTTAATATTAAAAACATAGATCCTGCTATACACTTTTTAATCACAACTGTTTCCCCATGCACTATCTACCCATCACTCAAAATAACTTCCTCCAGTACAACTTACATGAGCAAAGTTGCAAAGACTCAGGGCCCCAGGGATACCTAGCAGTCACTATTAACATTATTTTTATAAACAAGAACAAAGACTTTCTGTTTAGTTACATTTCAATACAGAGAAATCCCATGTACAAAGAAATGTAAACATTTACATGGGCCAAACCTAAATGGTATCATTTAATATTTTAATATTTAACACAGGCCAACATATAGAATAAACCAGCACAATCCCCAATGTAAACACTTATTGCTGTAAAACTAACACACACACACACACACACATCCCCTACAGTTAAGAACGTTCAATAACCAAAACAGCCTATTTCACTCTGTCTAAAGGCAGGTTTTCATATGGCAAAATGGTTATAAATCCTCATTATCCTAAATAAAATTACAGCACTTTAAACATTTCCAGGGAGAACATTCTCTCTTCTAAACAACTACCTTCGCGAGTAATAGGAAGCAATATGGTTGCACTTGTGTCACAGTTGGAAGCCTTTTTAAACTGTCGCCCTGCTAGCAAACTGATTCTACATATTAAAATGAATGTGTTGCTTATTTCAAGGGGAAAAATCATTTATAAAATCAAGACCATTATTAGGATATTGTGACTTACTTCCTCTTTAAAGTGAACCAGAAGTACAGACGGGAATAATCTATATATGTACATATAACTTCACTCTCTACCAATTTGGTCTTACAAGAAAAGATATTCTTGAAAAAAGAGGCTTTGCATATTTAGCATTTAATAACCTAAATAGCCTATTGCCCTAAATATTTATGATCACAAACCATAAAGGAAAGAAAAACTAAATTTCCTTTCTAGGACAAAAGGTGAAGTCATTACAAATATCTCCAACTATATGACAGACCTTTATAAAAACAATACTATGTATGTATTTTTATCTACTTTATCTGACAAATGCATCCTTTTCCCAAGAGTTGTGCTGGTATCAAGGAGCACCCTACTTATTATAATAGCTGTATGACTGTAACAGATTCATAATCTGGGTTACTTTAACAGTTGACCTAAGCTGAATTTGTGTGCCCAACTTCTTGTTGTGCCCTGAAGTTCAAAGAGAAAAATGAATGATAAACATTATCATTCAATGGGCAAATGAAGATATTTCTCATGCTCAAATTTGTAATTAATTATGAAAATACATTGAAAGTCATAATGATACTTCTCTCTACATGCTTTTATCTAGGTATACAATAGCCATATGATGTTTTTAATTCCCCATAGATGATGAAAGAAGTTATGCATCCCCAAATAAAGGATAAACATCTCTTACAAGGTACTTACAGGGAAGTGCTGCTCTCTATGGAGTGGTTGCTTTGCTTGTTTATAAAACACTCTTTTTAGATTCTTCAACACTAGTGTTTGTTGGCATTTAGTGTGAATGATTTAAAATTTTTACAGTCTCAGTCTTTCCTACATTTGGAGAATGTAGTCAATGAATATTTCCTGTATAATGTGTACTACCCATTGCTTAACTGGGAAAGGCAACTAGTAATAAAGTAATTAACTCCTCAACCAAGAGAGTATAGGTTTTGTTGTTCTTGATTGAAATTCTCTCAGTTTCTAGACAATCACATTATCTGCTTCATAATTGCAAACCTGGATGAATTGTTTCTAAAAGTTGCATCATGGCTCATGCCAACAGAACCTATGAATGCATAAAAGCTCCTGTTTCTAATGTCACTGTTATCAAGCCAAAAACAATTATACTCATTTGAGTTATGGCAACCAATAAACTTAGATAATCACCATATGCAACACAACATTTTGGCACTTGAACTTAAAACTCTTGTAGACAACTATAGATTGCTTCTAATGCAGAGCACTCTTGTCCTACCCAAGGCTGCCAATAGAAATGCCAAAGCTGCTGAATACTGCGCATCCTAGTAATGCTGTCAGTAAATGGCACATTCACACAGCCCCCAATCCTCTCTTTCCAGGCATGGTCTTCTCCAGCTGCAGCTTAATTTCCTGTGACTTGCCTAATTACTGTAATTAAGGATTAATTGCCATTAATTATTCACACATAAGCTCATCGCAAATCATGGGGTAAATGTCTTATGAAAGCTGCCATACAAGCCATGTATAAACACACTGGGATGCTTCAGGCAGGCGAATCTATCACTCAGCCCTCAAGCAAATCTCTGTGCTTCTCTTACAAAAACAGCTATAACTCTCAGAAACTCGACAGTCCTTTCAGGTAAGCATTAGGTTACAAAGCATGTTTTCCTGTGGAAGCCACATGGTTTTATTAGTACTATAAATGCTGTTTTATCTTTCCAACTGCTATTTTTATGTTTCCATTTTTATTCTACAGTGCTCAGTTTAGGACAACCACTTGCTTCAAGGAGGAATGTTTGCAGTTGCTACTTTCCCCATCACAGTTTGAAATAGTTCCATGTGGTTTACAACATATGACCATGCAACTGGGATCAGCGTGCCCAGAAAAAAAAAAAAAGTCAAGAGATTGGCTACGCAACTAGGATGGAAACCATTTGATTTTAATTCACAATTTCTGTCCTTGGTGTAAAAAAGTCATAGCACATATTTAGTTGTTGCTAGGGTGTTCCTTATAAAGAAGGTTACCAACTTGGCCATGAAAAAAAGTACCACTGACAAGAATGATTGAAAATGGCAAGAAAACAAAATAGCCTCGTATAGATTACTTTTGTATTACTTAGGTTCACTGTTTTCATGACAGTATCTGGTATTTTCACAATCACAAAATACAGACATCATTTCTTTGCCAAGCTAGAAAAGAAACTGTTTAAGTATTTCTGATAGACTCTGAGCTGATGAGAGAACTTACAAATCTCTAAAAATTGTAAGCCTAACACCTTTTTCTAGTTATCTAAGTTTACCGTGTTTGAATGTTTTAAAACACTAGAATTCATTTTAACAACAGAATAAATGATTGTATATATTAAAAGACTTAAACTACATCAACACTATGTATTATCGCTGCCCTAGGAAATTTAAATCTAAGTAGGCAGAATGTTATTCTAATTGTTATGTTAGTTCCTTCTGCAGCAAATTAATGTATGAAACATTTTCATTTTGTTACATGTTTGTGTGTCTTCAGTTAAACATTTATGTAAATGGACCTTCTGTCAGATTTCTAATGTTGCAAATACTTCTCTAAAACAACAACTTTTCAAATACATCATTTCAGAGTTCTTTTCCCCATTTTCTGCAGTATTTGAAACGGGGGGTATATAGCGACTAAAATAATTTCAGTTTAAAACCTAAGTTTAAAATACACTGCTTGAATAACTACAGACCATATCTACATGCAGGCAAAATACCAACTAGGCTTACAGAGCCATTGGCTATCCAAAATGAAGAAACTCAATATATAACTTCTACCATCTAATATCCAATTGACAACATGTATTTACAACACAATTTCAACCAAGTCTTAAGAGGAAAGAATAAACTCCTTCATTCTTTGGTTCTAAATTCAATTCTAAATCTGTTGAAGTATGCATGATTTCTGTAGTGATAAGAGAGCGTGTTTCCAATAACCTATAGCGCCTTCTTTACAAATACCCAACCACCCACTTAAAAAATAGAACCAATGTTAAATACCAGGCAGCTGAAACTACAAAACCAGAGAAGCAGCTCAGCTTTTATATATTTAACGTCTACTGCCGTCTCAAGTAATGAGAGATACACAAAGCCTGATAAAACTCTTCATTTGAGACACAAGTCTTTCTCTGTAACATTAGATTTCTAAAACTGAAATAATGTTTACAAAGTTCTAAACTTTTTCATTGCTGAATTACATCTGTAATCCAAAAACTGTAGTCTGGAATTTAGTAAAAAAAAAAAATTGTGAGACAGGGTCTCCCTGTCCCCCATGCTGCAATGCAGTGATCACAGCTCACTGCAGCCTCAAGCTCCTGGGTTCAAGCAACCCTCCCACCTCATCCTCCATAGTAGCTAGGATTACAAGCATGTGCCACCACACCTGGCTATTTTTTTATTTTTATTTTTATTTTATTATTTATTTATTTATTTTGCAGAGATGAAGTCTCATTATGTTGCCCAGCCTGGTCTCGAACTCCTGGCCTCAAATGATCCTCCTGTCTCAGCCTCCCTAAGTGCTGGGATTGCAGAGACTATAGGCATAAACCACTGCACCCAGCCCTTAGTAAATACTTAATGATAATGGATCCTCCCAAATCCACCCAATTGGACTACTCCTCCCCAAAAAAACATTAGAGCAGGAAATTATTAAGGCTCTTAAGGATTTGTAAGTCTAGACTCAAGGATTTCTATACATCTAAGTAATAATTTTAAAATTTGGCTTTGGGAGGCCAAGACAGGAGCATCACTTGAGGCCTGGAGTTCCAAGATGCAGGAGCTACTATTGTCCTACTGCTACACCCTAGCCTTGGACACAGAGCAAGACCCTGTCTCTATTTTTAATAATTAAAAATAATAATAATAAAATAGTAAAAAAATAAAAATTTGGAAACTAAATCAACAGGGAGATTCACAAAAATTGATTCTGGTAGAAATGTATAATTATATTGCCAGTGATAATGATGTAAAATTGAATTAAATTGGTGATGAGTTATTATTGTTTTTAAATTCTGCCAGAAGTTCAGTACTTTAACTTAGCTGTCAATTTACCAACTAATTCCTATACTCCTATCCTAGAGTCAGCAGCCAGTGACACAGAGAGCTGTTAAAATCTACCATCCCAACACACAGCTTTACAATCAATGTCATCTAATTGATACTTCCCTATTTTTGTCACCTTGCCTTGATGCCAGCTGCCAAGCTCTGCCATGTCACTTTCCATTTATGGACTCCCAAGTCCCTTGATCTGGCTAATTAGGGTTTATGTGTTAATTGGAGTAAATACAAAGATGAGAGTCACAGGCACAAATTTCAAAGCACAGCCATAAATTGAAGAGCTGATAAGCAAGGAAGAGATGCCTTCATGGAACAAGTGTCAAGTTTATTTTATCACTGGGAAAGATCCAGAATTTCCTGTCAAAGTGAAACCCTTAAGTTTTGAAAAGACTTAATGAGAAAAACATTAACTAACACATTGAGAACATTGCTCTATAGCAGTAAAATGCACAATACACCTAAATGCAGTTCAAGAAAGCATAACTCTGTTTTTAAAAAACTAGTTCTATTCAATAAGACAGTTTTTTATTTCTACTTTATTGCACAAAAAATGTACACCTTGCTTTTAATTTTTAGTAAGGAAACTCTAAAAGAAAATCCAGCATTTGAAAATCATGACACGATTTAAGTGAGAAAAATGACATTTTCATTAACATTTTGGATATATTAAAATTTTTTCTAAAAGATAACCGTTTGATTTTTAAATGATTACCACAAATTACAGCAAAAGATTTTTTGAATATACAGACTTAGAATACTAGATTTCAGATGCCTATCTTTAATGTCAGTTAAGACTGAAATTAATTTAGAAAAAGCATGATTTCTGTAGTAATCAGAGTGTTTCCAACACCCTCCAGAACTTTCTTTACAAGAACATTACTGTCAGCTGGAGACACTGCTATTTGCAGCACCAGGTGATGAAGAGAAAAGTCAGATAATTAATATTGAAAATAACTGGAAGTGCTGATCAAGCCTCCCTTTGCCATTTTGCTTAAGTGTAATGAGAGGAGTACTTTGTCTGTTGCACTGCTATGTCTGTTATAGCGACCTGAAATTAGTTAATAATAATGACGGTTGAGAACAGTGGCTCACGCCTGTAATCCCAACACTTTGGGAGGCCGAGGCAGGCGGATCACGAGGTCAGGAGTTCAAGACCAGCCTGGCCAACATGGTGAAACCCTGTCTCTACTGAAAATACAAAAATTAGTTGGGCGTGGTGGTGCACACCTGTAATCCCAGCTACTCAAGAGGCTGAGGCAGGAGAACTGCTTGAACCCGGGAGGCGGAGGGTGCAGTGAGCCGAGATTGCACCACTGTACTCCCGCCTGGGCAACAGAGTGAGACTCTGTCTCAATAATAAGAATAATAATGACAACAATGTCAACAACAGCTACTATTATTACTATTTACATTTTTATAGTTCTTTATAGCTTACAAAGAGCTTTTATGTATATTACCTGAAGTCTGGTAACTAACAGAAGTTAGGTAACATATAAAACATCTAAGGACTTTCCCAGAGAAAGTATTCAAACCATTTTCAGACTGATAATCATTTAGCTATACCAGAAAAACTCTATCTTCCAAAAGCATATTTGGAAATAATAAAAGGTATTAAATAATAAAAGGTATTAAAAATAAAAATAACTAGTGTTCACATCTATGTGGTGTTCCTCAAAGGATCTATTGAAGTAATAGCTTAATATTGGTGAAACTGGTACATCAATAATCCTCAATCTTCCCTTCCCTTTCTTAATGTCCTTTTAATCAACAAAATATGGCATTTATTCTTCTAATAATTTGTGATAACTTAGGTTCTACAATTTAAAGATTGTCCTGAAGTCAGCCCTATATTTCTGTTTTATGATTCTAACTTCTTTTAGTACTTTCAACCCACTTGCCACAAGTTTGAAATTAATCAACTTTTTCAGTAAACAGAAAAGATTTTGGAATGAAAAAAGACCTTTCCTATGGGCTATCATATTAAAAGCAAACTTATGTGTTCATATACCTTCTAATAAAGAATAGCATGTCTTTGGCCGGGCACGGTGGCTCACGCCTGTAATCCCAGAACTTTGGGAGGCCGAGGTGCGCTGATCACGAGGTCAGGAGTTCGATCGAGATCAGGTTGGCCAATATGGTGAAATCCCATCTCTACTACAAAATACAAAAATTAGCCGGGCGTGGTGGAGTGCACCTGTAGTCCCAGCTACTCAGGAGGCTGAGGCAGGAGAATCACTTGAACCCAGGAGGCAGAGGTTGCAGTGAGCTAAGATTGCACCACTGCACTCCAGCCTGGGCGACAGAGTGAGACTCCATCTCAAAAAAAAAAAAAAAAAAGAATAGCATGTCTTTGTAAAAGCAACATTCACTGGAAAAGTTTTGACAGCAGTGCTTAAGATTTCTGAAATATGTAAAATACACAAATAATTTCATTTAACTCCTTCCATGGGAAAAAAAAAATCACTCACTTTTAGTGATGTTGTCACTTAAAAGATATACACAAAAAAATACTTCAAGTTCCTACATAAGAAGGTGAAAATATCACATAACAACATCTGAGACCCACATCACCTCTTATATCACTAACGACTTTGTACAACTTTTTAAACAAAACTATCCTGTAACTTAGTGTGAGGTTTTAACTGAAAACCAAGCTAATTCCTACAAATTAACAGATGTCCCTGAGAAACAGTAAGAAACAAAGAAATGCATATGTGAACATCATCAGCATCCAAATGAGTTTATTGTAGTACTCTTTAAAGCACATCTGATCTTGGCTCCAGCCTGTAGTCTACCTTTCAACTTGCAAATGACAGTGTCACCAAACACTGTCCTTCCATCAATCAAGCTGGGTCATGAATATACAAAAGGCAGCAGAGAGGCTGGCTACCTCCTGCAGTTCAACTTGGCCTAATTATCTAGGCCTTTCTTTTGGTTACAGTCTGAAGGGTATACACCCAGTCAGCTGCTGGGCAGCCGGAGGCCTAATCAGGAGAGGTTATGCATACTGACCCTTATATGGACATCCAATGCAAGTTAAATGTGAGCACCAAATGTCATCTTTCTTATTCATCATTATGAAATTTCCCTCCCCTTTCGAAATACCAATCTGCTGCCATTTTCAGACACTCCTCTTACCCCCCTCCAAGCTGTCATTTCACTGTGCTTGCTGCCAGTTGAGTGAATTAGCATTCTAACTGATGTGCAGCTCTTCTCAGACAAATCCTTGAGCTGCGTTAACTAATGACTTCTCTCCAGAAAAAGGAACTGATAGTCAACCTTTGATAAAAGAGATTCCATTTCCACAAATCACAATTTACCATAATGGTGGCAAAATCAGTAAAGAGTACTATGGTTGTGCACTTTCCCTTGTGTTTTTTTCTCATTCCACTACCAAGAAACACCAACAACACTGAATGGAATATAAAGCTGCTAACTAGTCAGGTGCAGTCGGTATATGATGGTGAACTCTAAGCAAAACAATTTAATAACCAAAGGACTGGTGGGGTTGGGAAGAAGGCAAAAGATTAAGAGTAATTCTCATATCTCATCAAATTGAGGATGAATCTGGTAAGACAACAAACTGCCCCAGTGCCCAGCACGTGATAGGTACTCAGTAATTGTTGATGTTGTTGATGATGATATTAACGATGATACAGATGCCCAAATCTAAAGTAACAAGGGCCAGAAGTAGGACTGTAATGTGGAACTGAAGACAGGTTCAGATTCTGAAAATGTTATGGAGCATGATACGTAAAGTGGAAGTAAGATGAGAATAAAAGACTATATTGATAACTTGGGAAAAGGGGGATAAAAAAAGATTATATAGCGGTATAAAAAATAGAATATATTAGTAAAGAGAAAACTGAGAAAAGGAGAGATTTTATGGGTTAAGCATATCTCTTAATTTCTCTGTTTTTACACACTTACGTAGCTCTTTGATATACACAACAAAGAGCTAATGCCATCTGGTGTGACAGAAGATACTACAATGATTTATAATGCCACAAGTCCTAGAAGTACTAGAAAGCCATATCTAGCTGAAATTGCAAACCCAAATAGATTTGTCTAAAACAAGTGGGGTACAGGATGGAAATCGGAGAAGGCTTATTTTATGATGAGAAAAGACTCTTTCATGGTTAAGTAGGGAAGGTTTTATTATTACGGTATTCTGATTTTTTGGTTTATGAAGTCAATGTGCATTCATTCAACAAATGTTTATTTAAAACCTTCTATATGCCAATCCCAAAGGATCTGTGTGTGCCTCTAGGGGAGAGAGAAATTGTGCATGACACTGTTCCTGTCCTCAAGCTGTTTATAATCTCACTAGAAAGACATACATGTGCCCGGCACGGTGGCTCACGCCTGTAATCCCAACACTTTGGGAGGCCAAGGCAGGCAGATCACAAGGTCAGGAGTTCGAGACCAGCCTGGCCAATATGGTGAAACCCCGTCTCTACTAAAAAGACAAAAATTAGCTGGGTGTGGTGGCATGCCAGCTACCTGGGAGGCTGAGGCAGGAGAACTGCTTGAACCTGGGAGGTAGAGGTTGCAGTCAGCTGAGATCACTCCACTGCACTCCAGCCTTCGTCTCAAAAAAAAAAAAAAAAAAGAAAGAAAGAAAGACATACACATATAAAAAGTAAGATAACAACACAAGATTTAAATACAGCTGACCCTTAACGCAGGGGTTAGAGGCACCAGCCCCTACACAGTTGAAAATCTGAATATAACTTTGACTCCCCAAAAACTTTACTTCTAATAGCCTACTGTTGACTGGAAGCCTTACTGATAACAGAAACAGTCGATTAACACCTATTTTGGATGTTATATATATTATATACTGAGTTCTCCCAATAAAGTTACAGAAAATAAAATGTTATTAAGAAAATATCAAGGAAGAGAAAATATATTTACTGTTCATTTAGTGGAAGTAGATCATCACAAAGGTCTTCATCCTCATCTCCGCATTGAGTAGGCTGAAGGGGAGGAGGAGGAAGAGGAAAGGGGTTGGTCCTGCTGTCTCAAGAGTGGCAGAGGTGGAAGGAAATCAGAGTATAAGTGGACCCACACAATTCAAACCTGTGTTGTTCAGGGGCCAATTATTAAAACTATTTGTAATACAAACTAGAAAATAATATTGTTATATTCTTTAATTCCATTCTTAAATAACTGTCATTAAACAGTATAAGTGGGAAATAAGTAAAAGCCAAATGAGTGATACAAAAAATAAGTTTTATGATTTAGAGGAGGAAGGCATCCTAAAGGAAGCACACAGCATATTAGTTAAAGGGGAGCCATAAAACATGATATACATTTAAAGCATACTACAGAAAATGATATGAGGAATTTTTTTGTATTATTATTGAACTGTAAGGCAGAAATGAATTGTCCTTAAGGAAAGAAAGTAGACCAGTCTGACAAGGACAAAAGGACATAAGGGAGTGTGAGAAGCTATGCCTTCTCTGAATCTTGAAACTGGGTTGAGGTCTTCTTAGATGCTTTTCTTCAAAATCCTATAAGCATGCATCTTCTTGTTTCTAATTTGTAACTATCACCAGCATCTGGCATATAGTTAGTACACAATAAATGGTGGTTGAATGAACAAAAGAATAAAAAGCCAATTTATAAATAGCAAAAAATTCCAGACTAGAGAGTTTGAACTTCATCCTACAGGTGGGGGGGAATAATTAAATGTTTGAGTAGCATGATATAAGCAGTATCGTAGGAAGTTATATTAGAAAAGCGAGGTGGCGGCAGAAGGTCAGGAAGATTGAACCAAGAACTAGAACCAAGAATTCTAGTTGGTAGGTTATCAGAATAATCATTTACTGAGTGCCACCCAAATGCCAATTTTTTCAAATCTCTGCACTCGTTCTCTTAAAGTAGAACGTCCTTCCCTTCCCTACCTAGTTAGCCTTAATGAGCCTTCAAAAGACATACTTTTTTGCAAAGTTGTTCATTATATTATTTATAATAATGAAAACCAAAAGACAACTGAAATGTCCCAGAAGATGGAAATGATTAAGGAGGTCAAAATACAGTCACTCAAACAGTATAGTCAATAAAATTATTCATAAAAATTGCTAACATGGAAAGTGCTTACATTATAGTACTAATGAGAAAAGCTCAAAAAATTGTAAAGTTATTTCAATTACAAAACAAAACATGTATAAAGAAATGAGAAGAATCAGAATAATGCGAATTGGTAAGTTACTTTTTCTAAAGGGCAATTTAGCAGTATCTATTATAAATGAAAATGTGTGTACACTAGGAGTTCCATGTATCCCCAAAGAAACTCTAGTGCATGGGCCAGGGAGATAGATACGGAGTTTTAGTCATAGCCAGAAGCAGAAGTTTCCTGGTGTTTGCTTTTTGAAATCAGCATCCATCCATATTATTACTTCATGACTGTGCAGTATTCAACTGAATGAAAGTAAAACATTTTATGTATTCATTGAACAATTAATGGACTTTTGGGCAGGGTTTTGCCCTTTTTTGCTATGTTAAACAAAGCTGCTATGGACATTCAAATACATTTATAGAAAGACATGTGCAAACTTTTCTCTAGGGTATCTACCTAAGAGAAGAGCTCCAAGTTTATAGGGTATGCCAATCTTTGACTTTGATAGCTTTTGCCAAATTATTTTCCAATAGTTGTACCAATTTATATTCCCACTGGCAATACATGAGAGTTTCTGTTGCTCCTCATTCTTGCCAACACTTAGAATTTTAAGTTAATACAGATTCATTTAATGTATTCTATCTTAGTGAATAATCCACGTGCACTTCAAAAGAATGCATATTCTGCTCTTATTGGGTAGAGTTAAATTGTCAATTAGGTCAAGCTGATTGATAGTATTGTTCAAGTCTTCTATCTTTACTAATGTTTCCAATGATAGCCCAAGATTACATTAATGACATAAGCTGAACCATATTATATGTCTATGCATTGCTGGACTCACTTTGGCAACATTTTGTTTTGAGTTTTTCCATCTATATCGTGAATAAGACTAGCCTGTCATTTTCCTTTCTTGTATTGTTACCTATTTCAATATCACGGTTATATTAATGTTATATAATTAGTTTTAGAGTACACTTTTGTTTACAACGGTATATAATTTGTGTAAAATTGAAATTATCAATTCATTGAATGTTTAGAATTCCATAGAAAAATCCTCTGGTCCTGATGTTCTCTTTATGGCAATATTTTAAACTACTGGTTTTATTCAAAGATTATAAGATTACGAACATTTTCTGTATCTTCTTGAGACAGGATTTACTCATTTCTGTATTTCTACCAATATTTCATTTCACCTAAGATGTCAAATGTATTGACAAAGTGTTCAGGATATTCCTTCTTTTTAATTTCTGCTGTACATGCTTTATCTTCTTTCAGATCCAGTGGTATTTATTTGTGCTTCTTCTCTGCATCTTTTCCTTCTTTCCTTCTTTTTTGTTTGCATTTGATAAATCTTTACCAGAGGTTTGTCAATTTCATAAATTTTCAAAGCACAAACTTTTGCTTTGTTGATGCTTTCCATTGTATCTTTGTTTTCTTTTTCTTTAACTCATCTTCAAGTTTTTATTATTCCCTTTTTTCTATTTTCCTTTGGGTTTATCTAGCTGTTCTTTTAGGTTCTATTGGATTTTAGCTAATTAACTTGAAGACTTTAAAAATCTTTATAATGTAAACATTTGAAGCTAAAAATAATATAAAGCTTTAGTCATATTTCCTAAGTGTTGGTGTAAACTATACTTTTATCATTTTTAATCAGTTAAAGAATTTGACAATTTCTCCACAATTTCTTTGACTTGAGAATGATTTAGAAAACATTTTAAACTTCCAAATGTTGTAGGAATTACTTATTTTTTAGTTACATTTGTTCATTTATAACCACTTGTTTTGTCATAAGAGAATATGGTATGTGTCATGCTGATTCTTTCCAATTTGTTAAAGTTTGACTCATAGTTAAGTTTTTTTCAGTGTTCCTACATATTCTTGAGGAAAAAATGCATATTCTATAGTTGCTGGTGATATATTCTCCACATGTCCACTGAGTCAAGTTTGTTAATTGTATTATTAAATTTTTCCGTATATTTACAGATTTTTGTCTGATTATTCTATCAGTTGCCAACAGGGATATGATAAATCTCCCCACAATTAGGAATCTATTTCTCCTTGAAATTCTGTCAATTTTTGTTTTGTTTTGTTTTGTTTTGTTTTTTTGAGACAGAGTCTCGCTCTGTCGCCCAGGCTGGAGTGCAGTGGCGCAATCTTGGCTCACTGCAACCTCCGCCTTCTCCTGCCTCAGCCTGCTGAGTAGCTGGGATTACAGGTGCCTGCCACCACGCCTGGCTAATTTTTGTATTTTTTTTAGTAGAGACGGGGTTTCACAGTGTTGGACAGGCTGGTCTTGAACTCCTGACCTCATGATCCACCCGCCTCGGTCTCCCAAAGTGCTGGGATTACAGACGTGAGCCACCGCGCCCAGCCGAAATTCTGTCAATTTTTGCTTTATAGTTTGAAGCTGTTTTTAAGCCTACGTATCTAGTATTGTTACACTTCTCCTGTCTAATTGGACCATTTATCAAGATATAGTGTCCCTCTTTATCTCTAGAAATGTTTATTATTATATTTTTATTTCTTTTTTTGAGACGAGATCTCACTCTTTCACCTAGGCTGGAGTGCAGTGGCATGATCATAGGTCACTGCAACCTCAAATTCCTGGGCTCAAGCGATCCTCCTGCCTCAGCCTCCAGAGTAGCTAGGAGTACAGGTGTGTGCCACCACATCTGGCTATTTTTAAAATTTTTTTGTGAGATGGGGGTCTCGCTATGTTGCCCAGGCTGGTCTGGAATTCCCAGCTGGACAGGCATGAACCACTATGCCCAACCTAGAAATGCTTTTTGCCTTCACTTTCAAGTTTACTTTATCTGATATCACATAGCTATTCCTTTCCTTCTGCTAGTGGTTGGTATACCTTTCCCCATCATCTTACCATCAACTTTTCTGTACCCTTTCATATAAGGGATGTCTCTTGTAAATAAGTGTGTTGTCAGGTTTATGTTGTTATTTGTTTGGTACCTATTTGTTTGTTTAGTACCCTCTGACAATCTTTACTTTTTCTCTTGCAATCTTTTAAAATCCTTTAACATGTGCTGTGGTAAGATATATGTAGATTTATTTCTCCCAAATCATTTTATACTTTCTATTTGCCCTGCTTTTGTTTCTTCTATTCTTCTCCTTTCTTGCCTTCTTTTGGATTGAATCAGTTACTCTAATTTTTTCTGCCCCTACCATTTCATTTTTCTTACTTTACTAGTCTGGAAGCTATACAATCTATTCAATCTAATTTTTTTAATGGTTACCCCATAAACTTCTTCAATATCAGTATTTCAAAGCAAGTTTTTAAATTATAAGATATATACACAGAAAGATGCATTTTTACACACATACATAGAAAAAGACCACAGAGCATCATCCATGTAACCACTACCTAGGTCTAGAAATACAACTTTGTCACCTTCCTAGAAGCACCTTTGTGCCCTATCTCAATATCAATTCTATTTTTGCCTCTAGAGCTCTGTCCCATAGAAATGTAATGAGAACCCCATATGTAATTTTAAATTCTCTAGCAGTCACATTTTAAAGCTTTTTTAAAGTAAAACTAATTGTAATATATTTAATTAACCCAATATATTGGAAATATTATCATTGTAACCTATAATCAATACAAAGATTTATCAGTAAGATATTTCAGTCCTTTTAATAACATTACCATCTATGCAGCCCTAACACTATAGCTTCATTCTTACTTTGTTTGAATTTTATATAAATGGAATTATATAATGTTTTCTGTTATACCTTGCTCTTTCATTCAACATTCTACATGTGCTATTATGTTCTTGAATGTGGAAGAGTTCATTCCTACTCATTGCTGTGTCATATTCCATTGTTGACCTATTCATTATTGTTGTCCATTTTATTATTCATGAACACCTGGGTTTTTTTAGATTTTTTTTTTTTTTTTGAGACGGAGTCTTGCACTGTCACCCAGACTGGAGTGCAGTGGCGCAATTTCAGCTCCACCTCCCGGGTTCAAGTGATTCTTCTGCCTCAGCCTATAGCTGGGACTACAAGCACCCACCACCACACCTGGCTAATTTTTGTATTTTTAGTAGAGATGGGGTTTCACTATGTTGGCCAGGCTGGTCTCAAACTCCTGACCTCATGATCTGCCCACCTCGGCCTCCCAAAGTGCTGGGATTACAGGCGTGAGCCACTGCATCCGGCCTATTTTTTCTAGTTTTTAGCCATTGTTTACAATAATGATTTAAACAACTTTTTACACGTCTCTGGTATACATGTGAGTTTTTCAAGACTTTATATCTAGAAGTGGAATTGCTAGATTGGTAGGGTATGTACGTATACATGCCTTCAATTTTGCTAGGTAATGTTCCAAGCTGAAATTATTCAATTTATATACCCACCAGTGAACAAAAGTTTCTGTTGCTCCACACCCTCAGCAAAACTTGGTATTATAAGACTTTGTAATTTTTGACAATTTGGTATATAAACAATGTCTCCCTGTGGTTTTACTTGTATTTCCTGATAATCAAAATTTTATTCTTGTCCAGACAATAAATGAACCTTAAAATGATTTAACTCTGACCACCACTCTCTTAACTTACATCCAAGATTTAAGTTATCTTGTTCTTTAATCTCTACAAATTAGATATTATTTTACATGGTGATAGGGTTTGGCTGTGTCCCCACCCAAACCTCATCTTGAATTGTAGCTCCCACAATTTGTGGGACAGACCCAGTGGGATGTAACTGAATCACGGGAGTGGGTGTTTCCTGAGCTGCTCTCATGATAGTAAATAAGTCTCATGAGATGTGATGGGGTTTTTTTGTTTGTTTGTTTGTTTGTTTGACAGTGTCTAGCTCTGTCAGATCACCCAGCCTGATATGATGGTTTTATAAGGGGGTGTTTCCTTCCACAAATTCTCTCGTCTGCCACCATGTAAGATGAGTCTTTCAGCTGGGCGTGGTGGCTCACACCTGTAATCCCAGCACTTTGGGAGGCCAAGGCGGGTGGATCACTTGAGGTCAGGAGTTTGAGACCAGCCTGGCCAACATGGTGAAACCCCATCTCTACTAAAAACACAAAAATTAGCCAGGCATGATGGCGCACACCTGCAATCCCAGCTACTTGGAAGGCTGAGGCAGGAGAATCCCTTGAACCCATGAGACAGAGGTTGCAGGGAGCTGAGATCGTGCTACTGTCTCAGTGAGCTGAGATAGTGCTACTGTCTCAGTGAGCTGAGATAGTGCAGCCTGGGCAACAGACTGAGACCGTCTCAGAAAAAAAAAAAAAAAAAGATGTGCCTTTCGCCATGATTGTGAAGCCTCTCCAGACACGTGGAACTGTGAGTCCACTGAACCTCTTTTTCTTTATAAATTACTCAGTCTCAGGTATGTCTTTATCAGCAGCGTGAAAAGGGACTAATACACATGGTTTACCCTTATCCACAAATTTTACCAAAAATTTTTACATGGTCAATACTCATCCACAAATTTCCTATTTTCCTTTCTCATTATTGTTGCTACTCAGACATTCCTTCTGAGGGTTTTTGTTTTTTTCTTAAAATATATCCTTTAGAAATTATTTTAGTGGAATTCTATTGGTAGTGAAAGCTTTCAATTATGAGTCTGAAGATACCTTTATTTTGCCCATGCTCCAGGTATTTTCCATGGAAAGACAATTCTAGGTTGATAATTCTAGCTAATTTCTCTTAGCACTTTGAAATTATTTCATTGATTCTAGCTCATATTGCTCCTGCTGAGAAGTTAGCTGTCTGTTTATTCATTGTTGCTCTTTTCTCTGATTTAGAGAATGTTTTTTCTTTAATCTTTTGGGTTCTGCAGTTTCATTATAATACTCCTTGGTGATGTTATCTTCCCATTCATCCCAGTTAGAATTCACCGAGCTACCTATTTGAATACCAGTATATTTCATCAATTCTGACATATTCTCAGCTAAATATCTACTTGAATATTGCTTCTTCTCCAATTTTTTAATTCTTTATTTCTGGAACCATAAATTAAATGTTTGTTGGGCTTTCTTACTCTATCCTCTTAACATCTTTTTCATATTTCTATCTCTTTGTTGTACTGTATGCTAGGTAATTTCTTCATATCCATTGTCCGCTAATTCTCATCTTAAGCCATTTCTAAGAATTTTCTTTGCTTTTTACATCTGTCTTATTACTTTTAATGGTGTCCTGTTTGGTTCAACATACTTTCAATCTTGAATTTTTAAAAAATATGCTTACCTTATTTGCTGTACCTGATGATACAAATATCTTCAGACTTTCTCAGCCTGATCCTGCAGTTTGATGTTGCTGCTATCTCATAGTCATGGTGGCTTTTTTAACTCAGGCATTTTCTTTTTTTCTGCTTCTTCATTGTTTAATTGTGAGCCTGTGGCCCTCAAAAATTCATCTGTGTGAATTTTTAGACACCTGTGTTTTAAGTGCTTTCCTCCAGAAAAGACAGGCATTTTACAGATGCCTAGGAGTACTAACAATTCACTTCAAACTGAATTTTCATCATGAACCTTCTTGGGCCATAAGGAAAATACGATTTCCATTACCAAATCAACTGAATGTAGGGTATCGCTAAGGTCTGTCTCACCTGGGGCCATGGGCAAGTTCACTCTGTGAGAGTACTCTCCTTTTAGAGGTTCTGGCTTTATGTGAAGAGCTCTGATTTTGTTTCTTAAGCTGCACATATGCCTTCAAAACCTACATTCTAGGTCAGCACTGACAGACACCCCCTACTCCACGCCCCTGGAATAAATGCCAGCTCTCATATCTGTGGAATCACTCTCTGTCCTTTCTTCTGGCCCACATTATGTCTTACTTCACTACGCTGGCTCAGCCATGCTTTGGAAATGAAGTTCTTTACTGTACAGCCAGCATGTTTAAGTGTTCTATGCCAGGTGAGGTTTTTCTGCACATTCAATCTACCCATATGGCTAGAAACTGAACTACAATCTATTTTCAAATGTAAATAAAATCAATGTAACATCTCTGGTTTTCGTTTTCTTTATAAAATGGGTATAACAGTACCTACTCATAGGGTTCTTATGAAAACTACATGAATAAATTCATACAAAGTGCTTGGCACAGTGCCTAGAACACAGGAAGCATGTAAAAAAAAAAAACTGCAGTCTGGGTGTAGTGGCTCAGACCTGTAATCCCAGCACTTTGGAAGGCCGAGTTGACCAGATCACTTGAGTTAAGGAGTTTGAGACCAGCCTGGACAACATTGTGAGACCCTGTCTCTACAAAAAATATGAAAATTACCAGGCGTGGAGGCATACACCTGTGGTCCCAGCTACTGGGAAGGCTGAGGTGGGAGGCTAGCTTGAGACCAGGAGGTCAGGGTTGCAGTGAATCATGACTGTGTCACTGCACTCCAGCCTGGGAAACAAAACAAGACCTTGTCTCAAAACAAAAAAACAAAACAAAAGCAAAACAAAACAAATATATGTATGTGTGTGTGTGTATATATATATGTATGTGTATATATATATGTGTATATATATGTGTGTGTATATGTGTGTATATATGTGTGTGTATATATATATAGAGAGAGAGAGAGACAGAAAGACAATCATCATTGTCATAATTGATTTGGGTGCAATATTATAATCTACTAAATTTTGTTTTGTTTGTTTTTGTGGTTTTTTTTTTTTTTTTTGAGATGGAGTCTTGCTCTTGTTGCCCAGATTGGAGTGCAGTGGTGCCATCTCGGCTCACTGCAACCTCCACCTCCCGCATTCAAGTGATTCTCCTGCCTCAGCCTCCTGAGTAGCTGGCATTACAGGTGCGCACCTCCATGCCCAGCTAATTTTTGTATTTTTAGTACAGATGGGGTTTCACTATGTTGGCCAGGCTGGTCTCGAACTCCTGACCTCATGATCCACCCGCCTTGGCCTCCCAAAGTGCTGGGATTACAGGTGTGGGCCACCACACCCAACAATTTTGTTTTTTAGAGTCATGGTTTTACACTTGAATAGTTATTCCTCCAGCAACATTTAAAAATTCAAACATCTAAAAATGTATTACCCATGGCTTCTATTCTTTTATTCAAATAATTGATTTTTTTTTTTTAATACTTCAGGGAGGACCGGGGACACATCTATGGTGAATGGTCCTAACGACATCAATGTAGGGTGAAATGCATCATTTGTGTGCTTGTTAAACTACACTTCTCAAGCTTCCTTTGAAATCCCTTCATGGTATTATTTTTGTCAAATGATCACTGAGGGATATGATAAGAAGATCCCTACTAACAGATGTCACAAGACCCTAGATTTGCCATTACAATTGCTTTGTAATTACACATATGTAGTACAACTTATGTTTACCTAACACAACCATGAAAATCACGTCTTTATGGATGACTTAGGGGTGAAAAAAGCAAGTAAGACAAAAAATTTAGTTGCCTAATCAAAGAGTAATCAAATTCAGTATTGAGGTACCATGGAAATCACCAAAGTATAGCTTTGGATACTGTCAAGAAGGAATATTAACACTTTCAAGAAAAATCATTGTTGACATTTTTGAAATTTTTTAAGCAGAAATATTATGCTATTTTAAAACAAAGTTACAAATAACATCTGCCATTTTAGAACAAAGGATAGCCCTGTTAGCTAGAAACGAGATATAGAAGCTGAAAAACCATGAATCTGTAAACCTCCCCGGACACATACAGAGGCCTCTGGTCCTTTCTCATTCCTCTAATAAAATAGCCATGATGATTGTTTCTTTGTTTCCCTCTTACAATCTAGGCAGAGAGATGTCTTTGTTCATCTTTTTTAACCTGTTCTATAATGTTACCTCTCTTTCCACTAGAATGTAAACCCCACAAGGGCAGCAGATAGTTAAGTGCAAAGAATGAGATTAACACACAATAAGCACCAGTAAATAATTAATGATTTCACTTCTAGTTAGAATAATGCCATATTTTAAACTAACCCCCCATAAAAGTATAAAATAACTATACAGATATTTAATTGTGATTCAAGCAAATACACAGTATGTGACAAAACTGACAAAAAAGGCAACATGGAATATTATGCAGCCAAGTAAAGATGATGACATAGAATGACTTGCTAACATGGAAAGATATCCACAATATACTATTCAGTGAAAGATGCCAGCTACACAACAGCATAGTTAACTCACTTTTGAAAATTAATATATATGTGTTTAGCACTATTTAGAAGAGTGGTAATCTCTGAGCAATGGGATTTATGTGACCGTTGCTTTTTTCAAACACTTTTCAATGTTTTTTAAATATTTTAACAGCTAGCAAAGACTCTTTTATAATCCAAAAAAAAAAAAAGCTATTTTCTTTTGTGGGGGGAAAAAAATTGGGGGAAAAACAGGGAAGGCACGCAAGCAGGTAAGCTACATATAACACACTTTGTCCTGACACATTACCCAGCCTAACTTAATTACATGATTCTCAGAGGTCTTCTCACATCAACCACTTATGAAAACAGGCTATAGGCTAATGACAATTTCATATTCTTCTACAGGTAAAACTACATAATCTTTGTCTCTTCTAATCCTTAGCTTTTTTATAATAGGTTTGACTTAAATGAGTTTAGTGCTCCAGACAGGTGACACCATCCTTCCATTTATAAGGAGCTTTGGGGTCTTTTGAAAAGGGAAATGTTATGCAAAAACAATCAGATCTGTTCTTCCTTATTACTGAAATTCCCATTGGGGCTATAGGAATGGAGTCCATGCTCATTTAGAGAGACCAGAAACATCCAGATTACTGTTAAAACATAGTAATAATAATTTTATAAATCATACTAAACAGAAATTATTATGGAAAGAAACTTATATTTTCATCTATCTAATGAAGCACTGCAGATAAGGCCACAATCTATAATTTAGAACAAATATAGTCAAAAAGATACTACAGAAATTCCCTAAGAAACACAATTATTTTCTCTCAGATTACTGAATTTCTTTTCACAAAGACACATGATTTAGGCCTAATATAAGAACATACTCACATGTAATTGCTCCTGACTTATTCTCCAGGAAACAAGAAATAAGACCTCTTCGTAGAAAAAAGTACTGAAGTTTCCTTGAGCCCTCTGGCCATATAGAAAATCATTTTTCCTCACAATTATGAAATCAACCAATCCAAAGGAGTTCTCTCCATGAAGATTCCAGAGCTTTCTAGAAAGTGTAGATTTAAATACTGATGTGGCATGGCCACAAGTTACCCAGCTTGTCATGTGGATGAATACATAGGAAGTAATCCGAACAGCGCCAGGCACAATAAATGTTAGTCTTTATGTTATGCATGCACAACTGATAAAAATAAAAGACAAAATGAGCTATATGAGCACAGACAAGTCGCCTATTTCTCTGAGACTCAATTTTCCCATTTCTAAACAAGATGTTTATACCAGACAACACCTCATGCCTTTCCTATCTGTGTCTTCTATAATCTAGGACAGCAGTCCCCAATCCCCAAGTCACGGACCGGTGCTGGTTCACGGCCTGTTGGAAACCAGGCCCTATGGCAAGAGGTGAGCGACGGGCAAGCAAGCAAAGCTTTATCTGTATTTATAGCCACTCCCCATCGCATTACCACCTGAGTTCCGCTTCCTGTCAGATCAGCAGAGGCATTAGATTCTCACAGGACCATGAACCCTATTGTGATCTGTGCATGCAAGGGATCCAAGTTGCACGCTCCTTACAAGAATCTAATGCCTGATAATCTGTCCCTGTTTCCCATCATCCCCAGATAGGACCGTCTAGTTGAAGGAAAACAAAGTCAGGGCTCCCACTGATTCTACATTATGGTAAGTTGTGTAATTATTTCATTATATATTACAATGTAATAATAATAGAAATAAAGTGCACAATAAATGTAATGCACTTGAATCATCCTGAAACCATCCTCCCCCACCCCCATTCATGGAAAAATTGTCTTCCATGAAACCACTCCCTAGTGCCAAAAACGTTGGGGAGTGCTGATCTAGGAGATGCTGGACAGCCAGGCAGTACACTCTAATAATTGACTCCCAAAATTCTTCTCAAAAAGAGTGTGTTATCTTGATGCTGGTCCCTCAGGATACTAATCAGATTTTCTTTTAATGGTTCCAAGTCACAAAATTTTAAGAAATGCTGCCTATTATATTACTCTCATGGGGAATCCCAAAGTATATCATCATTTTAAATGCTCTGAGAAGTTCTGCAATATTCTGTTTAGTCTAGCATTTCTCAAGTTCACTCTGACCCTGGACAGTTTATTCTCCTTCCTCATTATCCTTCAATTGTTCCATGGAACACACTTTGGAACACCCTCTACTGGCTTATAAGCCATTCTCCCCATCGTTGCCTGCTTCTCTAAGGAGACAGGGGCTTCTCTAAGGAGACAGGGGCTTCTCAAATTTCAAGAATAACACCCACTTTGGAACTAAAAGGTTCTTAACTGGGGAATTACATAATTAGAAAAAAAATTGCTCAGGTATGATTAGTAAAAAGAGAAGGAAATAAAAACACGGGGCAAAGCTAAGTATTAAGAACAGGGAAAATTGTGTGAGATAGAAAAAAAGAGTGATGAAGAAACATCTAGTAACCAGTGATAAGAAATGCTGGTTTCTTAGGTGTTTCTTCATCACTTCATCTAATCTTCCCACAATGTATTAACCTGTTACTATAGCATTTCATAGAATCTAAACTCTGTCAATTACACTAGGGTACAATGTTTCTTAACTCTTAGAAAGTATCTACTATACTTACTGAAAAGGCCTTTTAGACTTTTTAAACACCAATTTTAAAAATCATATGTCAGGGCCAGACATGGTGGCTCACGCCTGTAATCCCAGCACTTTGGGAGGCCAAGGTGGGCAGATCACAAGGTCAAGAGATCGAGACAATCCTGGCCAACATGGTGAAACCCCATCTCTACTAAAAATACAAAAAACAAAGAAATAGCTGAGTGTGGTGGCAAGCACCTGTAGTCCCAGCTACTCAGGAGGCTGAAGCAGGAGAATCGCTTGAACCTGGGAGGCAGAGGTTACAGTGATCTGAGATCACACCACTGCACTCCAGCTTGGTGACAGAGACTCCGTCTCAAAAAAAAAAAAAAATCATGTCATGTGTCAGCCAGGCACAGTGGCTCATGCCTGTAATTCCAGCACTTTGGGAGGCAGAAGCAAGCAGATCACTGGAACCCAGGAGTTCAAGACCAGCCTGGCCAACAAAGCAAGACCTCATCTCTACAAAAAATACAAAAATTAGCTAGGTGTAGTGGCATGTGCCTGTAGTCCCAGCTACTCAGGAGGCTGAGGTGGGAGGATCACTAAAGCCCAGGAGGCAGAGGTTGCAGCAGTGAGCCAAGATCACGCCACTGCACTCCAGCCTGGGCGACAGAGTGAGGCCATGTCTCAAAATAAAATAAAATAAAAATCATACATCACTCTTGTACACACATGAAAAGAAAAATACATACAAAATAAATTTAATACAGTCCTAAAAGTAATTCACATTCAAATCTGACTCTTCTGAAACATTTATTGACTCAGAGTTCTCAATGTCCATGTTTCCATACAATATCATCCTTTGTGTAATCAAGAATGTTGGTGATACAGCATTTCTTAAAAAGTACTCCACCACTGGCCAGGGGCAGTGGCTCACACCTGTAATCCCAGCACTTTGGGAGTCCAAGGCGGGCTGATCACGAGGTCAGGAGATCGAGATCATCCTGGCCAACATGGTGAAACCCCGTCTCTACTAAAAATACAAAAATTAGCTGGGTGTGGTGGCACACTCCTGCAATCCTAGCTACTTAGGAGGCTGAGGCAGGAGAATTGCTTGAACCTAGGAGGTGGAGATTGTAGTGAGCCGAGATTGTGCCACTGCACTCCAGCCTGGCAACACAGTGAAACTCCGTCTCAAACAAACAAAAAAAAGTACTCCACTATTAATTTTCTTCCAAGCCACTGATACTCATTCCATAAATTTTGATGCTGGTGTTCTTACCATATGTAAGAAATTTTGATGCTGGTTGCTCTTACCATATGTCACAAGAAGGTTTTCAAGCACAACCAGGCAACAGTCATCAAATGGTTTGTTGACTGAAACATCAAGAGGCTACATATACCTAGTAACGCCACCAGGAAAAACACCAAGTTCTTGTATACACAGGCAATGCAACCACAACAAGACTACCAACTGGCTGGCAGCAACTGTTAAGACACCATTGTCTGTAAAAGGCATCCTGATTTCAGAAATGTGAAAATGTTTATTTAAAGTGCATTTTAGTATCAATGAAATGATATGTCTCCTTATATTCCCCCAGGCTATTTTTTATAAAAACTTTGTTGAGATACAATTCACTTATTATACAATATACCTAAAGTATACAATTCAATAGTTTTCAGTATATTCACAGAGTTGTGCAACAATCACAATCATTTTCCAACATTTTCATCACCCTCTCTCAAAATTCCCCATTAGTCACTCCTCATCACCCTATGTCCCTTGCTTCAGTCCCTGGCAACCACTAATCTACTTTCTTTCTCTATTAGATTTGCCTTTTCAGGACATTTCATATAAATGTAATCTTACAATATGTGGTCCTTGATAAATGGTTTCTCTCACTTGACAAAATGTTGGCAAGGTTCATACATGTTGTAGCATGTATCAATACTTCATTCCTTGCTATGGCTGAATAATATTCCATTGTATGGATATACCATAATTTGTTTATCCATTAATCAGTTTGGGTTGTTTTATTTCTTGGCTATTATGAGTAATGCTGCTATGAACATCTGTGATTTTTTTTCTGCAGATATATTTTCATTTCTCTTGGGTATATACCTAGGCATAAAATTGCTGGGTCATATGGTAATTATACAGTTAGCCTTTGGAAGAACTGACAGACTATTTTCCATTTTCCTTTCCCACCAGCTGTGTAGGAGGATTTCAAATTCTACACATCTTCACCAACACTTGTTATTATCTGCTCTTTTATCATTATTATTATTATTATTATTATTTGGAGACAGGGTCTCACTTTATCACCCAGGCTGGAGTACAGTGGCTCAATCACGGCTCACTGCTTGCAGCCTCAACCTCCTGGGGTCAAGTGATTCTCCCACCTCAACCTCCCGGGTAGCTAGGACCACAGACATGTGCCATTACACTGGATTAATTTTTTTTGTGGGAGGGAGGGGAGTAGAGACCAGGTTTCACCATGTTGCCCAGGCTGGGCTCAGACTTCTGGGTTCAAGTGATCCTCCTGCCTCTGCCTCCCAAAGTGCTGGGATTATAGGCATGATGAGCCACCATGCCTGGCCTGCCTTTTTCATTATAATCATCCTAGTAAGTGTAAAGTGGTAACTTGTTGAACTTTTAATTTGCATTTTCCTGATGACTAATAATGTTGAATATCTTTTTTTTTTTTTTTTTTTTTGACAGAGTCTTATTCTGTCACCCAGGCTGGAGCACAGTTGCACGATCTCAGCTCACTGCAACCTCTGCCTCCTGGGTTCACGTGATTCTCCTGCCTCAGCCTCCCAAGTAGCTACGACTACAGGTGCCTGCCAACATGCCTAATTTTTGCATTTTTAGTAGAGACAGGGTTTCACCATGTTGGCCAGGCTGGTCTTGAACTCCTAACCTCAGGTGATCTGCCTGCCTCAGCCTCTCAAAGTGCTGGGATTATAAGCATGAGCCACCGCACCTGGCCAATGGTGAACATCTTTAAATGTGCTCACCAGAATATGTGAACAATAATCTTTATTCACTGGAATTTCTTACCCAATTTCCCCATTACACTAACACATATTTGGTTGGCCATTAGATTTTACAACTATCCAAATACAATCACTGCAGCACTACCCTTCACTGGCTACCTAGAGTTCTTTAGTTTTCTACTGTGCTAATTGTGATTGTCATTCATACCATTTACTGATATCCAACTCTCCTCTCCCTCTGGGCACATGCTAAGTTCATATATACTACCTGTCCCCTTGGGGTTGGCCACATGACTTTGAGAGAAAGACTTGTGAGCAAGAATTATGAACATTTGTTACTTGTAAGCCATATCCTTTAAATGCTGACCAGATAAAACATCCAGAAGTTGCTTTACTTATGGGAGGACAACTGGCAATGTTTGAGAGATGGTGGCTAATTCATTAGCCTGGATTCCTGTGTGACTACAATGAGCGGAGCCACATACAGATCCACAATGAATATGGTATGAGAAATAAACTGCTGTTTTAATGCCATAAAGATTTGGAGGTTGTTTGTTACAGTGGCATAAACTAACTCAGCCTTTCTCAGCTGGGGTCCCATAGGAGATTTAAGCCCAACAGAAAATTATTTGAGTGAGTGTTTTTTCAGTTCCCTCAAGGACAGTACATAGCTACTTCCATTTGAGCACCGGAGAGGCAATAGGCCAACCCTATATAAGAAGAGCTCACCAACCCTATCTTTACTGATAACACACATTTTCATTGTCTTTATGCTTATATTAGGAAACACCGATAGAGAAATTAGCAAAACCTTGAAGACCAGATCTGCTATAAATGCATGTCATACAATTGTAACCAAATACCCAATACTGTCTAGGAATTCCATTACATATCTATTGATCACCTTTTACACTGACCACACCAACAAATTCCACAGAGCATGGATCATGTGGTATCCTGTGGGTTTTGAAATTACAAAGCTCCAAATTCAAATGTCAGCTCAGCTGCTTACTGGCTGTGTCACGTCACTTCTCTGAGCCTCAGTTTTCTCATCTATAAAATGGAAACATTAATAACTGCCTGATAAGGCTATTCTAAGAAGACAAGAGAACAAAAAGCACCAAACATAAGCATAAAGTCCATGTTAAAGAAATATGAAGTCCCTTCCTCAAGTTTGCAGTCCCACCCATTGGAGGCCTTGCAGTAGCAATGTTCTTCATTGCCTTCCCTCTGAAGCATATCAATGGCAAAAGAAGGGATAAGGTCCCTACTTTCATGGGCCTTGACAAAAAACAATAATAAACAAGTTATGATAAATGCTATGAAGGACAGAGCCCAAAAATAACAGGGAAGACCGACTTTAGCAAAATCAATTAAAAAAGTCCTTTCAAAGAGGTGACATTTAAGCTGAGACCTGAAAGATGAAAAGCAATCTAACTATTTTCTCTTATCTCATCACCTCCCTGATCCTGGCCTATACTATCGTTTCTCCTACTCTAGAAATCTCCATCACCCTCTGTGGGCCACCTGACCTCTCCCTGTAAACATGCACAGGCCTTAGACTTGTCTATGGGCAGAAGCTGTAGTCACGCAACCTCATTTAACTTACTACTATCTCTAGCTATTCATTTTATATTTACCACTATTAAAGATAATTAAAAGAATGGGCCAAAGTTGGCCAGGCGCGGTGGCTCATGCCTGTAATCCTAGCACTTTGCAAGGCAAAGGATGGTGGATTGCCTGACATCCGGAGTTCAAGACCAGCCTGGCTAACGTGGTGAAACCCTGTCTCTACTAAAAATACAAAAATTAGCCGGGCATGGTGGCAGGTGCCTGTAATCTCAGCTACTCGGGAGGCTGAGGCAGGAGAATAGCTTGAACCCAGGAGGCGGAGGTTGCAGTGAGCCGAGATCGTGCCATTGCACTCCAGCCTGGGCAACAAGAGTGAAACTTCATCTTGAAAAAAAAAAAAAAAAAAATGGACCAAAGTCTTTCAAAAGTAGGGTCCCCAAAAGTGAAATATGCATTTACTTTCTGGAAATACCACTTTTGAATGGAACCCCATTCATTTAAATTCACTGATTCCAGTGTATTGATTTTTAAGAAACAGTCATATTACTTACGACATTTCATTTATATCCTGAAAATCCCCTTGTTACCTTTTACATATGGCTGCCATTTAGCATTATGCTATCATATGTATACGATATGCACATGTACAGATATACAATAAATGGGAAATAAGCTTTAAAATTATAGCATAACAATATACAAACGAGAGGTATAATGAGCAGACCACACTTGCTTTTCATCAAATGCCTTACTAAATGCTCTTCAGCCTCCCAAGTAGCTAGGACTACAAGCATGCAACACTACGCTCAGATAATTTTTTAATTTTTTTCTAGTGATGGGGTCTCCCTATATTGCCCAGGCTGGTCTTGAACTCCTAGGCTCATGTGATCCTCCCGCTTTGGCCTCCCAAAGTGCTGGGATTATAGGAGTGAGCCACCACACCCAGCCTTAATGCTGTTAATGCTCATAATTTCATGTTTTTCTACCTATGGACTCTAATAATTTTCTGAATTTATGCATGGCCTCTTTTAGGTGAAAATATTCTTATGACAAGCTAAGGGCAGCCTTACTCCAATTGACTACATCTTTTTAAAACTAATGCACTTCTTATGCTCATAATTTAAAAGTGCCTACTTGTTTGCTAAAGAAAAGATTTTGGCAGGTCATAAAATCCCCTGATTCACATATAATGTGTTTACATACACTTTTACTTGAAACATCAAAATGCTATGCAGAAAGATCCAAAATTCTTCCTAAGTAATTGAAAATAGGCTTTATTATTTTACTACAGTTTATCATGAACATGTTATAGCTATATAATAAACATTTTCATGTATAGCTAGTAATTTCACATGTAAAATTCTGTTCCACCAAAAATACTGTAAATAGGAGTGGCTTTTAATGGAATAACAATAAAGATAATATCACTTCTTGAGGTAAGTTTTAAAGAAATGTTTTTGAAGTCTAAATGAAGAAAAGTCTTAAAATATGTAGTACTGGGGGTCAGATGGGAGAGAGGGATTATATGTAAATGGTTACCTAAAGCTTTTGGAGAAATGAGAGAGTAGAAGGGAAGAATGGGGAGAGAAGGGACTTATCTGCATCCTGAATACAAGTTGAGAATCCCTAATCCAAAAATCTGAAATTCGAAATGCTCCAAAATCCAAAACTTCTTGTGTATTGACATGACCCTCAAACAAAATGCTCACTGGAGCATTTTGGGTTTCAGATTTTTAGATTAGGGATTCTGAACCAGTAACACAAATATTCCAATATCTGAAGAAATTCAAACTCCAAAAATACTTCTGGTCCCAAGCACTTTGTATAAGGGATACTCAGCCTGTACTTTCTCTATAAACAATAAGTGCCAACGATATATTTCCTTCCTATATATAGTTTAAATCCCCTGAAATTCAAATCCTATTGTGAAGAAACACAGTATGCTTGCACTCTATCACACATATTTAATATCAATTTCTGAATGAAGATAAAGCTGAATAAGCTAGGTATATCTTCTTCATTTATAGCTAAATGAACTTTCAAGAAATTAAACTGTATATTCCTTTAAAAATCATGGAACAGGACATATGGCACCAATATTACAATGAATATTACAATAGAATTGGGCAGGCATACCAACCAAAAGCATTTCCAGATGGCAAAGAATTCATTGAAACAAGAATTACAGAAGTATATTCAAAGCAATATTCTGTCTTTGATAATTTAGAGGCAACCATGATAACCACTATTTGTACATGACAGTCATATGAAATAATAAACATTGCTAGCTACAAACATTCCCAAATTCTGACACTATTGATTTATTATGTCTAACAGTGACATCAAACCAAACAACTGACAGAAACAATGTTACAGCTTTAAGAGCAGTTTGTCAACGATTAATACTGCCAAACGGGGTTTAGTTTTATGCTGGGACTGCTTGTCTAGCAGTTGTCAATCCAAGCAAAAATTACTACTGCCACACGTCTGCTAACCCAGGCCCGAGGCGCCGCTCCGTTAGCCCTCATTACCCCGATCACTGCAAATACAGATGCAAGGCCAGTCCCTATTTAATATGCGTGTTAATTATGCAAATTATTAATTGGGCTGGTGCTTGAGGACTTGTGTTTATGCCCAGATTAGAGTCAATAACTGTATCACACAGCATTTTAAGCCTGACCTGTGACAGAAATAAAGCAGCGCAGAAAGCAACATTTTTCTCATACTCTTCCAGTTCAGAACACTAGCTCTATACAGAGTATTTTACATTGATTCAAAAAGAGGCCCCACTTGGGACACAGAGAAACCAGATAATATATCTTTTATTAATATATTTATTTGTTAATATCTCTCATCTGAGATTGTTCGTATTTATGACATTCATTAAATTACTTTACCAAGTCCATTGTTTCTATAGCAAAAATGTTTAATGCACTAAGCATTAAAATATATTTTTATAGTTATTTTTTTCCAATAAGGCTATGGTTTGGGCCTATTTATATTATATGTCCATAAAAATTGTATGACATGATATTATGTTGTAAATTTTTTTATTTAAAAAAATCATATAGATTTAAACCTCCAAAGATAGAGTGCAAAGCTATAAGGTTTTTCCAATTAAAATTTACAGCAGACAATGTTGTAAATTTTATACAGTTGTAATGCTTGCTGCAGTTGTACTGAAATGGGAACTATTGATCAGTATGATTTCCCAGGATACGTGAAGGGGGAACAAGGTATTGCACAAACAGAAACAAAACTTTCATCTGTAAAGCTTTCTATTAGACTTTATTGCCCTCATTTGGTTCTAGATGCATCTATCCAAACAGGGGAAAAAGTCACATTCTCCCTATAGAATTAGAATGAAAGCAAAATCACAACAAAACCCACACACTTAACCAAAAGTAATAATGTGCCCTAGCAAAAGCATAGTTTTGATATACTGTCAACATGACATCTAAAATTTGATGAAGGGATATTTATCATTTGAAGGAATTTTTTTAAAAAGAAAAAAATCTTTACCTTGAAGAAAGTAAGTCAAGATCAATTAGAATAAAACATATACCAATAGGAAGCACTAATACTACATATTAGAAGAAGTTTATAGGAATATATTAAAGTACTGTATAAATTCTGTAAATATGTTACTAGATTTATAAATAACTTACAAATAATTTTTAAATTATTTGGTATAAGGAAACTGAAAAACTAGGTCACTGTAAAAAAAAGTTAATAAAAATATCCTAAACTCAATCTATAAAATTAAATATATTACAGTTATTCATTCTTGGACTGATTCTCAACTAAAATGAAACTGAAGTTGATTCCATTCTGCTTAGTTTTGTTTTAAGTTCTTGCAGATGAGATCTCTAACTTTTCCTGATCTGCAAATAATGCAGTATGGCTGAAGTGAATCAACCATTGAAAGACAGAATTCATGTCAAGAGCACTCCATGCAGATAAGCCAGAAAGATAAAACTAAACTGACTTAATTTGACTTAGTCATCTCATGCTGATACAATCTTGCTTACTGATGATAAAAATATCTACTATTTACAGAGTACTCACTTTTTCCCAAGCTCTTTTCATAACACCCTTACAAACAGATATTATCTACATTTTTTATAATGAGAAAACCAAATCTCAGAAAAGTCCAGTAACTAGTTTAAAGCCATAACTGTAATAAATAGCAAAACTGGGAGTTTGGAACCCATGGCAACTTGATAACCAAAACACAAACTCTTTCAACCCAAGTTCCCTTTCAATTGTCCTAAATGACAATGATTGCAATGCTTATAAGTCTTAAGTACAAATGAATATGACTATGAAAATGGGGAAAGAAAGCAATGACATTTTAGTCTCTTGGAAAATCTGAGACAACTGAATTAGCTAAAGCTATCTGAGTAAGATGAATGAAACACATTCATTCACTAAAAATTACAAAGGTGTATTTAGATAACTAGAGAAGAAATGTTAATTTGTACAATTAATGGCCTTTTCACTAACAATTCTGCAAATACAATTTGAAGGGCAATTATTTGGGAAGCAGGGGGTGTCCAATAGATTAAATTTTTTAATATTAAAAATAAATTAGGGCTGCGCATGATGGCACACACCTTGTAATCCCAGCAATTCGAGAGGCAGAGGCAGGAAGATCGCTTGAGCTCAGGAGTTCAAGACCAGCCTGGGAAACATAGCAAAACCCTGTCTCTACAAAAAAAAACACAAAAATCAGCTGGACATGGTGAGGTTCACCTGTAGCCCCAGCTACTAGGGAGGCTGAGGTGGGAGGATCACTTGAGCCTAGGAGGTTGGGGGTGCAGTGAGCCAAGATGACACCACTGCACTCCAGCCTGGGCAACAGCGTGAGACCCTGTCTCAAAACAAAAACAAAAACAAAACAAAAATTAATTAGTTAATTAAAATAGCAGGTCTATATTGGTGCAAAGCTTGGTGCTCTCCAGAGATTCCGATTACAGTGCCATGTTGTGCATGTGTATGTGTATTTGCGTGTTTGTATATATGTATGTGTGTGTGTGTGTGTATACAGCAGCCAATTAATGTTTCTTGTTTAAATAAATGCATATTTTTCATGTCAGTGTCCATTTATTAACTCATATTGGGCATAGCTAAAGTATTTACTCCCTAAAATATAGCTTCAGCTTAAAAACTTTTTACTTGGGTTTTATTTTAAGAATTATTTTTAAATTGTGTTCATGTTAATTCAAGAAACTAATAAGTATTCACTCATAACCATCAAAAATTATTTCTGAAAAACAGCAGGTACACATAAACTCAAATAGTTGCAATCTTTAATAAGGAAACTTAACCCTTTCACCCAGGTGATTCTAAATTTTCAACTTCAATCTGACATTGAAATTTCGTATCATTAAACTTTGCACTTGGATACATTCGAAGATGGATTTTCCTTTCTTTTCCCACCTAAAGTCATCCAAAAGTCTCAATTGTTAGGGGGCCATTTGTGGCATCCCGGGTCAGCTACATTTTGATGTATTCTACAGTATTCTAACAGATGACTGATATTCTTCTTTTTGTAAAAATGATCTCCCAGGCTCTTTTCATAACACCCTTACAAACAGGTATTATCTACATTTTTTATAAAGAGAAAATCAAGTCTCAGAGAAGTCCAGTAAAAAAATGTGTTTTTTACACTAATTTTTGGACTCTGTCCTCTTGGCAACCGTTCCTAGAAAAAGCATCAGAGTAAAAGTATACAATACTTGAGGAAATCATGGCTATATTTTGAGGTAAATCAGTGAGACCTTAATTTGTCAGCATTATTTTTAAGAGTTAGTTTTGCACTTAAAGTAATTCTTAATTCAGGTAAGGAGTACAATTTAAATTCTGAGGTGTGGAAAAAGATGGTTGAAGCATAATACTAACATGGCCAACAGTATAATCTCTGGGTGGGCCAACACATCACATTTTATACAGATACTGACTCCACTGGACAGTCCTGCAAGTTGAGAAAAAGAATGTTTTTAGACACTGAGAGAGAAATGGATTTTAATAAAATGTTGACAAAACACTAAAAATAAAACAATCTACTTGCCTTATACAAAGCTGGAGTATTAAGTATGCATCAAAGGCCTACTTAGTATTGTATGCTAATTAACAACAAAAAAGTCTATTACTATTTGCATTTACAAGTTCCTAGGGCAGTGCAATCCAATCATGCAGTCACTACTAACTGTTGTGTTTAAAAGCAGAAGAAATGTCTCAGAAAAATAACTGGAAAGGTAATATTCTCAGAAAAAGTTATAACAACTATGAATTTAACATTTCCTGGGAAATGTTTCATAACAGAATAAAAACAATGTTATAACTTGACCCAAAACAATTCCACCTTCAATGTTTCCAGAGATTGCCTATTGGCCAACAGTTTATTCAAACACAGAACCAAGCTCTCCTTGATGTGCAATGGTACTAAAGAGAGTACACATTCAGGCTGTTTAGAAACTGGAACCTCATTGCACACTACAGTGCTTATTCCAAATCTGGTCAATTGTTCCGAAAGCCAAATTGCCCAGCTTTAGTACTGATCAGTTAACATGAAGAATGTAATAATTTAGATAACCTCCCACATTAACGGCTTGAATTAAAACAGGTAGTAAGAAGCAACATTTTACTATAAAGGGAAAAAAAGAAATAAGACAATGGCTGGATCTAATAATGGGAAAAGATAACAAAGACCTAGGATTCTAGCATCTGGCACTAAATGAACTTTTTTGTAAACTGAATGGCGGTTTCCAAAACTGCTCCAAGCATCATTCCTTTGCCAAGGCAGTAAACAGCTTTTATCAGCAATAATGATGGCATAATCCCAGCTAAAAAGGAAAGTAACATATGGCAGCAGCCCTCCAAATACCATCCTGACAAAGTAGGGGGCATTTTTATTACAGCGTCCACTTGCAGAAAATCTGCCAGACATCTTTCCCTTTTTTTCTGCTCTTTTTATTTATTTGTTTTTAAACAGGTTATCATCTTCTCCAAACTGAATACCACATTTGGGAATTTTAAACTAATGGTGCCTTTTTCTTAAATCCACTCAGAGACATACACAAAAAGACTGCCACATCTAAGGGAGGCTAATAAAATAAAATGGAGCTGCCTCTTTGTAAAAAAAAAAAAAAAAAAAGCAGCAAAAATTTTTTGAATTCTCTAAACTTCTAAACAAATGCTTTTAATTAAGGAGCATGTATCAGCACCCCAATGACTAATACACAGTGAGCACCCAAGAAATAATTGATTTCATAGTATAATAAAAGTTCTTAAGAAATTCAGGTGAAAAAATAATGCAGACAAAACATTACTTAGTATACAGCTGATAAACAACAAACTACAGTAAACTGCAAAGAAACATATCTATAAATGATCTTAATCTTATTTGATATGTGTTAAAATGTCAGGCTTCATAATATATAGCTCTGATCAAAACAATCACAGTGAAGTATTTTTTAGGCCAACATAGTGTTTATCAACAAACGTGTTAAAAAAGATGCTTCTATAAAATATCTCCTAATGGCCTGTGGGGTGTACTAATGAATCATAAATCCCACCTTGGTTTTCAATGACGGACTTTCTATTTTCATTGATAAGTCAATGGCTGTCTTTTTTACCTAGGCTGTCGATCTTTCTTAATACCTTGGACACAATCTGCGAATGGCAAAGATATAATGTTGATTTAGATTTTAAACATAATCAACAGATTTGGGAAATTCTTTTACTAATTAACACAGCAATTATTGTGTCTCGCACTTTAAGATGCAAACCTTTGTTTACTTAAGGCAAATTTATTAGCTGATAGAGGAACTGATGAAAAAGTAAAAGAATGTTAATATTTTTGACATCTCTACCCATAAGTATTTTTTCAGGCTGAAAAATATATCTAATAGCTCCACTCACTGATGTGCACTATGGTTTACCACAGTGTCTATATTTCTACTGTCAGTTTTACAGTATCTTCCTTCATTAAACCTATCAAGTTTTCCTTTTGATCATGCAACCAAGGCCAGAAGACAGATATCTTCCTGGAACAGAGCAGTCTGCCAAGTCTTTCACAAGACCAGCTTAACCTTCCTATTGATTTTTTCAACACTGCAGCCATTCATTGTTTGTGACATTTGGCTGTCGGCTCTTTAACACCCTTCAACCAAATCAATTTCATATTTTTGTCAATGCTCTGCAAGAGGATGAGTAAAAATAGGAAGAGATTTAGCATGATTTAAAATGTTGATTTTCTCAAACAGTTTTATCTTTAGTTTTTATAAGGCTTACAAACTTAATTCATGTGCTTATTTAGACTTCTGCATAAAACAAGGGGAGAAGCTTTACAAATTATAATTTTTCAGTACAATACTGACTTTATTCTTACTAAATCTTTAAAATTTCTAATTTCTTAATGTAAATTCATACTTATACCAATTGCATCCTACCTTACTTAAAGACTACTACTTAAAAATAATGTTTTCTGTGGTTTGGATATTTAAATAATATGTAGGAAACACTGAAAATTAATATATATAACATCATAATTACTATGTTTTCAAAAGGCAAAGCATGTCAAAAAAGCACAAGTCAGCATTTTGCTCAACTTTAAATCTGAACTTCCAGTGTACCTAGATACTAAATGCCATGGACTGGCTTCAGGCTGCCAATGCAAAAACTCCTTTTGACATCAGTTAGAACAACATGTGAAAATCAAAGACACATATGTTCCAAATCGTGCCAAACCTCCCATCATTCAGAAAATTCTGCAGACTCTCGTGGAAATAGATGGTATAAGAACAAAAATTAAAAGAACAAGGCATTTTCACTCTATTTCTGTTAGTAAAATTTAACGCTACAATTTAATATTAATCTACTAGGTTGCCTCCTGTAGCATTAATTATCAAAAGAAATAGACTAAGACGTCAAAATCACAGTTAAGTGGTTCATCTAAATATATATTTAAGGACTTTTTAAAAAGTGAGTTAATGACTTGAAAAGCCTGATGGTTTCTTTGGAACCATGATACATTACTGCACAAAGTACATAATACGTAATTCTTCAAAATATATTAATAATCCAATATACCTATGGTTTGCTGGCATATTAACAGATGTTCTGAAAACACCCAAACAGTTACACTGTTGATTAAGTAAAAACGTTAAAGCTGCATGGTAATTGTTAAGTATAAGCATTTATCTAATGCATCTAAAGCACTGAAAACACAAATTAATAATCTGATGATTGAAATAACTTCTATGCAGCCTTCAGGAAATAAAATGTATATTGATATTTAGGGTGTTGCCAAAATATAAATAATTATATTTCATCAAATCTAAGACTCATCATGATTTTATGTGCTACTGTAAAGAAGGAAAAACTTATGTCAATTAAACTATGACATGATATTGATTATAAGAGGCATCTTGATTTCAGAAATGCTAAAATGAGGAGGGAAGAATGAACATCTTAGAATCAATGAAACATGGTAATGATAAACTAGAATAACATCTACTCTTGGTTCATTATGTGTACCATTTTAAAATGTGCATGTTAAATACTGTGACATAGCACTTCAAGTCACTTTGGAACATTAACATGACCTTCTTCTGCCTAACAAACTGACTCCTACATTATCCTTCCTTTTTTTTTTTTAAATCCACCATGTGCACCCTGATATCCTTTCATTCCTTATGGATATGCTGCTACATAAAGGATAGCACAATAAATAAAGCACACATGAGGACATCACAGCCTATCTGTTATATCTGCAAATAAATCATTCTGAAAAATTCAACAACTGAGAATTTATGGAACATTCTCTTACAACAATGCTTATAGAAAAAGCCCTTTGGAATCAGAAGGACTTGTGTTTGAATAAGGTTCTGCCACTCACTTATTAGCCATGTGATCCGGAGCAAGCTGATTAACATCTTGGAGCTTCCATTTTTTTCACTAAAGAAAACAGAAATTCTACCAACTTCCTAAAAGTACTGTGAGAGTTAAATAAGAAAAGGTATATCAAAATTCTTAATAGAGTACCTGGCACATTATAAGTGTTCAATAAGTGTTTCTGTTCTTTACCAAGCTATTGCACAAAACCATATAAAAGCTAATAGATACTTGACTCTAGATCAAGCTTATCTAGCCTGTTGCTGATGACTCCCTGAAAATTATTATGCACTATCACAGAATGTACATGGTAGCAAGTTATGTATGAACAGATCCACAAGAATGTAAGTTCCATAAGGGCAGGTATTTGTTTTTCTTTTATTCAATACTGTATCTCTACCGTCTAGAACAATACCCAGAAAATATTAGGCACTCAGTAAACCTTTTTGAACGAATTAGAATTTCAATAAACTTAATTTCTGATCCCACACTAAATTTTAACTTGATAGCAAGTCAATGAGGACAATGTAGTAAGACTATTTGTCTTCTATTCTAAATGCTACTGACCATAACAATGTTACCTTTATAGCAATAATGCAATAGCACCAATCTAATTAATTCAACAATACTTACTATGCATCTACCACAGTACTAGATATTGAGGGAGAAAAAAGGAAGTAGTATAAGACACAACTATTGTACTCCTGGGAAGGCAAAATAATGACATGCATGAAACTAGATGTGATCAACTTTCAAAATAAACCACAATGTTTTTACCCCTAAATAACTAAAAATAAAAATAATGTAGAACAAGATTAAAAACTAAAATGTGGAAGACTGCTGGAATCAAGAGACTATACCTTGAGGTGATTTTAGGTGAGAGATGTACTAATCCAGAGAACTGATCATTGTTCATGAGATAGTGTGGATATTTGAAATGTTCTGCCCTACAGATGCCAAACTAGAGATTTGTTCTCTAAACTGGTTCTCCAGAGAGATCTGTTCTCTAAAGCAGAGATGGAAATATTTCACACAAAGTAAGTCACGCAGGATAAAGGAGCACCAATGAGCTGGATGTGAACCATCAACGCATTAGACCTAGCAATGACTCTAGGTCAGCCTACCCTAGCACTTACTCAATTCACCATATTTACTAATGTTGCTCTGTGCCAGACCCTGTATGAGGCATCTGGGTGTACAAAGATAATAAGAAACACACCTATCACAAAAAGCTATTAGGGGAGATAGCACTTAATTTAGATTGCAGTGATCTATTTGTGCCTCTACAATTACAACCATTCTACAGGTTAAATTTACAGGTTGAAAGATGGGACAAGATAGCCTACTATAGAAGATTCAGTCCCTAGACCATATTTTGCTCATTTGAAACACAGTTAAAAAAAAAAAAAAAGTTGGAAACTACAGCAAAGCATAAGGAAAATAAAGAAAAGGATAAAGAAAAAAATGTTAAAAATCCTAATGCCACTACTGAAAGGTAACCATTATATAATATAAATATTTGGTCTTTATTCTTTCAGTATTTTTGTCCTATTTAAAAGTACTTGGGAAAACAATTATGAGCATACCACTATTTTACTATTTACTACTACTATTTTACTATTTATTGCTGCTTTATAAATTTAATACATTGGACTTTTTCCATATCATTGGGTATTCTTCTAAAACATGATTCAAAATAATTATGTAGAATTCTATCACACAGCTATAACATAATTTAATCAATTCACCTATTGTTGGACATTTCAACTGTTTCCAATTTGTCCTTTTAGGAATAATGCTGCAAACTAGACCCCTCAGTAACTAAGTAGTAGATATAGGAAATTTTCTCTTCACAAATTAGTATAAGAAATAAATTGAAAAGAAATAATAGAATATTTCTATTTTGCTACCCCAAATAAACTAATAGATGTAAGCATTGATCACCAATAGCCGCCAACATTACCAATAAAGAGAAAAGCAGACAATATGAGCCACCTAATATAAGAATATAACACAACCTATGAAGCAATTCTTCCAGGAAAATAAATAATTAAACCTGAATTTTACTAAGCCTACAGATCCAACTCTCAACTTGTAGGAAATACAAAGAACAGAAGAACATGTTAAACTATACCATGGGGATGCAATCAGCAAAATACAGACTGGGAACTTACAGGACAAGCAACCCAATTTTTTCAACAAAAAAGTACAAAGGGTTAAAAAAAAAATGGAAAAGAAGCTTTAAATTTAAAAAGACGTAAAAGATATATCAACCAACTGCAATGAGTAGACCTTACCTGCATTCTGTTCAAACAAACAATTTGGATATATGATATCAAGGAATTATGGTTCATATTTTGGTGTAATAATGATACAGTGAAATTTTATGGTTTTTTAAAGATTTCTTAGGGGTACATGATGAAATATTTACAGGTGAAATAATATGTCTTGGATTTACTTTTTAAAATGTAGAAGGAGAAAGCTGATGGAGGTGACAATGGGGCAGGATTGGCCATAAGTTGGCTGTGTTTGCTGTTTGGTGCTGTAATATTCTGTCTTCTGTGATGTGACTCAAAATTCACCCTAATAAAAATTTAAGAGAGAAGGAGGTGGGGAGAATATTGCAGTGGTAACCATCTTCATGTGTTTATCTTTACAAATGTCTCTATTTCCTCAGTATGAATTCCTAATTAGGTAAATTATTTGAAAATAAATCTTTTTAAGCTCTCAAAATATTTTTCTAAAATGACCTGAAAATTTCCCTATACATTCACCAACATAATTTTATGTCTTATGTGAATAAACTTAACTCCCAGCAACCATATTTTGGCAATGTCTGAAGTTATTTCATTTTAATGTGGACATGAACAATAACACTTATCCCACAATCCTACACATTACATGGTACTACTACTGAGCATTTATAACTGTGTTTTTCTGTCATTTATATAATAATTTCTAGCTAATAGGAAAATAAAGAAAATTAAAACATGAGTAGATGAGTCTTAATTTTTGTTTGGATCCTCCTTCCTCAAATGACATCTTCAACCCACATAAATCTCATAATTTAGGCAAGAGAAACTAATATTCACTTTATTTTTTACAAACTTTACAGAATATATTTTTTAAAAACTAATTCAGTGAATCATTTTCACTTTAGAGTCAAGGCCTATTGCATAAATGCAACAATACAATAAAATATTTTTATACATTTACTTTCTTAATCATACCATATAGAATATCTGAATTTGTGGAAATTTATTTATTTCAACATTTGTCTTTTAAGATAAATTACAGTCAGATTACTACTCAGATTTTCTTTAGTAGCATATATAACCCCAAAATAGCCAAGCTTAGTGGTGGCAAAGCTTCAAATATTATAAACTCACATTTTTAAATCAGGGCAGACACCTGAGACAAAAACTGTCCCCAAAGCTGCCTACAACAGCTACATGCTGGTCACTCTTTCTTGTCAAGGCTGATTTATTGCCTCCTTGCTGTTCAATTTCACATTTTGTCCTCATCATATCCCTGGCTCATGATCATTCTATGCTGACCCTTGTAGGGCAGGCAGGGAATATTGATAAAACAATTATCTGTTAGCCGTTCATTTGATTTTCCATTTCAATTACGGATTGCACGAGGCAAAAGGAAAAAGATTGCATCATTGATTTTTCTACCTTACAACAGTACAGAGTTGCTTTGATGGTTATAAAATGAATGCAACTCAACCATGCTTTTAAAGGTCATATTTTTTGTTTTAGCGTAATTTTTTCAAAGCGTAATGTATGCAACTGTATGCATCCTAAAAAGAAAACTATCTTCAAAGCCAAGCTAAATTGCTGCACAGGTGAGAAAAATATATACATAAAAATGCTTCAGATGAGTCAACCATTTCACAGTTGCATCCACACTGCATAGTAAAGGACTTTTCGGGAAAAGTATACCGGTTAGGGAATTTCCAAGGTTTTCCGAAAGATTTAGGTACGGAGACATAGCAATCCCTTCAAAAGGAAGGAAAAAAATTAATGCTTCCTGACTAACGTAGTTAAATAGTGACAGTAGTTTGTTCAGTTTCCATAATATGAAAGCAGTATTTTTAAAAAAGCATATTATACTACTAACCATAATTATGTTTAAACCTCACCTATCTGAAAGGCTGATAATATGCTATTGCTAGCCAGTGATCCAGGACGGTCACAGTCAGAGAGAAATGGTGCTGAACCTACTAAACTTCATTATGGTTCAGCGAATGGTACAGCTCCAGGGGATGTTCACATGGCCGACCTTAAGAAAAGTTCAGCCTTTGATCAAGGTTTAGTGTTCCTGGAGTAGCAATGGTACAGGAAAGGGTTTCCATTTTCTGTGCCATAAGGTGCTGGTGTTGATCTTCTTAAAGCCCCAGAGTTTTCTTCCAAGACTGGATTACACTCAGCAATTAAGGTAATGAACTAGCTGAGGTAACAAAGCATAATGATCTCTTTTGTCCTTTGAATTCTTATGAACTCCACTCATTCACAATAGTCTGGCATGCAAAGCTTTTTCAACCCTGTACTGCTTAAAACTATGTAAAAATGATTACTTCCATTATGCCTTCATGGTTTGACATTTTTAATTTAAACACCTGTAATATTTAAGCATACTTTTCAGAACCAAAATACCCACTCAAAGAATGCTAGCTTACATTATGGTAATATTTTGACATTTTATATAGTATATTTTAATGCCTGAAAAGATAATGTGATGAATCCATTATAAATATATCAAAATATATATACCTAGGACTTTTTCTTGATTTTTTTTGTTTTTAAATCCTAAAGTTTAAAAAAAAAAAAAAAAGGTGGCATTCTGTTAAACAGTCACTTATGGAGCTTGTTGCCAGCGTTAACTCTCTTCAAGTTCAATGTGACCTAAAATATGCAGGCAAAAAAATTAAATAAAAATCTAAATTATAATAGAAAACTTCCTTAAAAACAGATTCTTTACTTTTTCCTAACAGAAAACCTATTTTAGAAAAAGATATTTTTATGTAGAAATTGCATTTTCTAGAATTTATGTCACTTTCATTTTATAATTTTTTTAAACATCTGGGCACTATTTTTTACATTTTCTCAAATCTTTGCATTTTATAAACCTTCACCACTGCAGATTTTGCTGCTCTCTGATCTTTCATCTTAACACATTTCCAGCCCCAAATTTCACTTCAATCTCACCTCATCTCTCCATACTACATTAACCCCTGGCAATTGCCTTCCAAATGACCCCATTAAGCTGTAATTGCCTCAGCAGGCCTGCACTTTCGCTTGTAATTCTGTACCTCTCATCTCCCAGACGTTCTCTCAGCATCATTTCATGTTCTGGCTCCCTTCACTGAGCTCAGCTTATGACCTCGCTGCACCATGGCCGAAATGACTACTAAAAGCATAACAGAGACGGAATTCCATTACTTATTTTTAAAAGTTCTCTGGTGCCCTAATGTAATATTCTTTCGGGACTGTTGTCAAGGATACCAAGCACCGGCCATTAAAACCTTTTGTTTTCCAAGGCATTCCGTCTTTTATTAATAAATAAAGATAAAGATAATGTGCATCCAGCCGGTGGAAAGTGAGGGTATGTTTGCAATTTTCTCTCTCTAATACAACCTTATTCTGCCCATAATATTTAGGAAATACAGACAATAGGAAAAAGCCTTTTTAAAAATTCTCCGTATACCCCATATGACCATACCAGGCCCCAAATTATATAAATAAGAATTAGTTAACATCTACATCCGTAGGGTTGAGAACCATCCCTTTTTAAATTTTATGTAAATTATACTCACATTTAAGTAAAATCAATTGAAGATATTTATGATATTAGTTTAAAAACAAAATTTGCAATCACTCCATGTAAGAATGTCAGTCTCTTATGGGTAAATGAAATTCCCAATGGGCAGTCTCAGAACAGTAGAACCAAATAACAAGGAAAACCTTATTAAATTCCCCAAATAGGTTTGTGGATATTTTAGGGAGACCTGTATTCACAGAGAAGAAGGAAAATAAAACATCTTAATATTTAGGATCAGGAAACCAAGTAAGTCAATCAAGCCCTGTAAAAAGTGAAAAGGTGAAATTTCTTTATCGTGAAAACCAAGGATAGCCTCAGCAAAACTCAGTACAAAGCTAGAACTGACATAAAAATAAAAGAGCTTAATTTTGTAAAGAAAAAACATTTCCCCCATAAACTAAAGATGAAGATTTGAATTATATTTGAAACAAACTCCAAATGCAAAACTAGCAAATTCCAATGTAAGTAAAACAAGTAAACAAAAAAATCAGCAATCAAAGGACTTCACAAAAACAACACAACCAAAAAGATCAAGTAGGAGGCAAAGCCCACAAAATTGGGCATGGATGAGGCCCAGCAAGGAATCCTTCAAACAGCAGTTGCATGCAAAAGAACTCGAGCAACTAAACCCCATAATCTTGGGTCAATACTGACTTGTTTTACCCTAAACTTCAACTGTTCTCTCCTAAAAACTGCCTTGTGCATTTCTCCTTAGTCCTCTCCTACTAATGAATGCCATTAAGCTAACACACTCTGAAAGGTGCCTCAAGAAAAACATTTTTTTAACTGAAGCTGCTATTTTCTGGACTAGACCACATTAAATGCAAAATGAAAACACTGGGTGTGCAGATTTCTCCTAACCGGAAGGCTGAAAAAGACTGAATGGAAAGGGGTGAATTCTTTTATGCATGTAATAGTTCAGAAAACTGATATGATGTCAACATGAATGTGTTTTACAATAAAATTGAGTGTCAGAGCCAGAATGGATTCACTGTCTCTGCAGGCCAGAGCATAGCCACTGTTGCCTAGAATTGAGTAAAGTTGTCAAGTGAACTGATGTTTAGTTTCAGTAAGATGGCCTGAAAGAGAAGAGCTAGCACAAGGAAAACTCGCTACAGCAACTTTTTGCTTTAAGAAATGACTTATATTTCTAACCCCATCTTAAGGAGGTCAGTTACTTCATCATCGGAAGGCAGAAGACAAATTGACACTTGATCAAAATACACAGATATAAATGAAAGTTTTCAAAATTAGAGGTTGAGAGACAATATAATCCATGCTTTCTGAATTATAAATGTCTCATAAAATCATCTCATATTTCAGATAAAATATAGTCTTTTACTCAAATTTTTCATCTAGATTTTTGTTAACAGTACAATAAAAGCTTCACTGAAAAGCACAAGCACTGAGGTCAAACTATCTCTACACATCCTAACTAAAGTGTTCCACTCTAAACCAATACTGCAGTTTACTACATGTTTCTGAAATTAACTCCAACATCCAGAACAGTTAAGAGATCAACTTAATCTCCCTTGATTCTTTAACCAAGATAATCAATTCTGGCTACAGTAAAGTAAGCACTGCCCATTCAACAGCATTCTGAACAAAAGCTGGGTCTATGTACTAGAGGCATTGCAAGCAAGCTCAAGACCAAAACAAGTCATACACCAGCAGAGCTATACTCCAGAGACTTCACTCTTTTCCTGTCTTCTCTGTCACTGAATAAACTGGGGTAAGACAACACTCCAGGGATGAAATAGCAAAAAGGAAGAAAAGTAGAATGGTTATAAATGTCCTGTTGCAACAGTTACGTACATAAAAATCTAGCCATGCATTTCTCTGGTGCCTACCACATCACAAGTTCAAGACAAAAAACATAGTACCTAGGGTGTGCTAGATTAACACAAACAAAAGAATCATCTACAACATTTCTCCTACACCCACAGAACCAAGCATTAGCTAAGTCTGATTTTAAAAACACTGCCACAAATTATTTGAATTTTCAACAGTAAGAATAAATTTAATTATCTGTATTTACCCAATTATTCAAATAGTTTAAGATCTAAGGCTTTTTAGGATTTAGATAAAACTTGGTAACAAGTCCAAGCTCTACTACTTAATAACTAGGTGACTTAGACAATTTATTAAACCTCTCTGGGCCTTAATTTCTTCATGTGAAAAATAGGAATAATCAAACAAACCATAATAAATTCCATGCAAAGAGGCTATTCATAGTCCCTAGCGCATGGTTAGCCCTAGTGTTAGTACATAATAATTTAAGAATTTCTAAAGAACAATATAGTTAGATGCTAGGTAATATAATAATTGAACTAATAGAAATCAAACAGCTGTAAGACTCTATGGAGACTTAAAAGTAACAAACTGAACGACTTAAAATCAAACAAGCAAATAATTTCACAAAGGAGGAATATTCTGGGTTCAAACCCTTACCCTGGACTCTCTTTACAATGCCCTTTTCTGAGCAATTCAGTTAGAATGAGGTTCAAAGGAAAGAAGAAGAAAGAAGAAATAACTCTGTAACATAAACATTTCCAGTCTTTGCCCTTCACCCTACTCATATATATGACTTCCCAAAAGACATATAGCATATTTTAAAACTAACAGTTTTCAAGTAAAAATTTTCTTGATATAGAAAGATATAGAATACTAGTGTTATAAAATTACAGTCAATGTACCAAGGAGATCGAGGAGTTAAGAAAGAAAAATGGCCAGTTCTTTAAAGGAAAGAGAGAAAAATTCACTCAGAGGGTTAGCTATAGCTAAGGGATGGAAGGTGTGTTAAAAGTCACTAATAAACTTCTAGAAGCATATATAAGTAATAATATAAAAGCCAAGCAGAAAAGGCCAGAAAAAAATATGTTACTACACCTTTTGTGACACACTGCCCATAAGAAACAATTGCTAAAAGGCCAGCATACGCAGGACAGCATTATTTACATCTGACCAGAAGAACACTATTAAATAAATTCATTGTAAGTGGCATCTAAAACACAATGGACACATTTCCAGTGTGCTAAAAAATGAAAAATAAAAAACTCCATCCTGAAAAAAATTCCTCCTTTATTCCAAAGTTGTTTCCATCTACAGAAAAATCTTCTGGAAAACAGTTTAAATATCACCATAATGCTAGACAAGTCACAATTATTAATCTTCACTATTTACTATTTAAGATATTTAAAAAAAAGAAGACAGGTCTGTGAACATGAAAAACATTTTTAAAAATCTCTCTGCTGATACCCATATTTACAAAGAGGCATCTGAATGGCCCACTGTCCATAGTGCTCCTCAAAGCCCAGAAATGAGTACCACAAGACTGACAGATAATAGAACACTGTACAGGTTTCTGAAAGCTTTTGCTTTATACTAAGAATTTAAGAGAGCAAAATACTTCAAAATAGAGTATACATATATCAGATGTCAGGAGTAAATTATCTCAATTCCATAAACAGGGAGGTCACTGAAAAGACAGTCTTGGAATGTTTAAGAATCATATCCCAACAGTATCCCTTTTCTCTTTTGCTTTCCTCGGCCTTTCATGTCTTCTTGTCCATACAATATATATACTTGGATGTGATCCAGTAATCCAAAACTATACATATCCAAAACATCTTCCCTAACTTTCCTAACAGAGACAAGAGAACCAAAAGACTCTCGTTTCCAGGCTTTTAAACTCCCCATAAATCTTTGGCTTTTCCCTCTCCTTCTACCTACATTAAATCTTGCTAACTTTTATTGTGAAGAAGTTACATCAGTTCATCCGGCACAACAGGAGCTTACAAAGATTGGAAATATTTCTGTTATAGGGTTATTTCTGTTTCCTTCCTCTTTCTTTGGAACCTCATTCTAATTGAATTGCTGTGAAAAAGACATTCATTTACTCAATCTATAGATCTGAACAAGTGAGAGATCTTCTGAATCTGAGTATAGTCCTCTTTATTCATCACCATGTTGCCTCTTGATTCCTCAAATCTACAACAATGAATGAGATTTAACTGGTTCACCTCAAAAATTATTGTTAATAGTAGTAACATATCTATTGAGTATCTTCTGTGGGTAAAGCGCTTGACTATATGTTTTCATGTACAATTTCATTTAATTCTCACAGCTACTCTATGAGGTAACCACTATAATTATCTCCATTTTAGAAATTTTAGAAGTAAAACACAGAAAGATTATTTTCAGTTACTTCCTCAAGGCAACCTAACTGGGAAATAGTGAAACTGAAGCCCAAATCCAGGTCTGAATGACTCCAAATCCCATATTCTGAACCATTCCCCTCCGTGTGTTAAGCTCTACCAAAAATCCCCATCCTAACTTGCTGCCTTCACTTTTTCCTCTACCTTGGCAAAAACTTCTATCACTTTCCTGGAAAATCTAACAAATCCTTCCAAAAATCCACTCCTTTCAGCCTTCAAAATTCTACTTTATTATTTTCATTTTATAAAACCTTCCCAGATTAGTGCCATACATTTCTAACCTAGACCTAGTTAGTACCAGCCACGACTCCTGGCCTTTGTTCTCTCTAATGTTTCGTACTTTGGTACAAAGAGCTAGTGTTATCTATCTATATTTTTGTCACTTGACATTAGCAGAAACCAATTTAATCTTGTAAATAACAAATAACAGTAAGTTGCACAACTAGCAATCAACAATTACATTTATGTAGGTAAACTGGTTATATCTTAAGAATGTGATTTGACAGATTTTTCATATCCTGCAAAGTATATCTTCCTATCATTTCCCATTTACAGTCCAAATCTTCTTGTCTACCAAAATACACCTAACGTTCTTGTGGATACCAAGGAGCTAAAAGCTGAGTAATTACAAATGGAAAGCAGTTTGTAGTGTGATGTAGCAATCACTCATACAAATTATAGAGGTCTCTTGAAAATTGTGAGAGCAAGGGCCCATTGTCCAAAGTAGACTTAGAAGACGCCAGGTGCAGCGGCTCATCACTGTTATCTTAGCACTTTGGGAGACCTACACTGGAGGATCGCTTGAGCTAGGCCAACATTAGGCCCCGGCCAACACAGTAAGACCCTGTCTCTACCAAAAATTTTAACAATTAGCCAGGCATTGTGGCGCACACCTGCAGTCCTAGCTACACAGGGGTCTGAGGCAGGAGAATCCCTTGAGCCCAGCAGGCTGCAGTGAGCTGTGATCATGCCACTGCATTTCAGTCTGGATGATAGAACAAAACCCTGTCTCAAAAACAAAAGAAAGAAAAGATGGTACAACCTTTTTTTTCCATATGGTATCAAATACATGGCATTGGCTTTGCTATTAAAATGTTTCTATCTACCATTTCAACAGGGTAGTACAAACCTAGAATGCACTCTTTGGTTGCTATCTTTTGAAAAAAGACCAACAAAACAAAGACTATAGAAAGTCTAGGCCGGGCGTGGTGGCTCACGCCTGTAATCCCAACACTTTGGAAGGCCGAAGTGGGCGGATCACAAGGTCAGGAGATTGAGACCATCCTGGCTAACACGGTGAAACCCTGTCTCTACTAAAAATACAAAAAATTAGCCGGGCATGGTGGCAGGTGCCTGTAGTCCCAGCTGCTCGGGTGGCTGAGGCGGAAGAATGGCATGAACCCAGGGAGAAAAAAAAAAGTCTTGAGACCTTTGCTGTTTAGGAAAATAAACTGCAGAACAATTCAAAGTGGCTCTTTATTAACCTTAAGTATTATCATTTAGATTCCTCTTAAAGTATATTTTCATTTTAACATTTTAAATATAGGGTTACATAGTTCAAAATGCAAAAAGTACATTTTTAAGTCTCTTTCCTATTCTTGACCCCAAACACCTAGTTTTCCTCCAGAGGCAAATAGCATCATGTTTCTTGTGTATTCTTCTGGAAATATTTTATATATATAAAATAAATTATATATATTTATACACATGTATACATATTTGTGTAATATATATACACACACAAAATAAGTATACATTTCTATTATTTTTCCTATATCAGATATACATGTATATAATACATATATGTACCATCATGTACTTAGCTTTCTGACTTAACAACATAGCTTGTAAACTGGTTCTGTATTAGTGCATACAGAGCTTCATCATTCTCTTTGACAGGCTGCATAGTACTAGACTGAATAGGAGTAACATAATTTAACCAGCCCTCTACTGTTAAACATTTAGGTGGTTTCCAAGCTTTTACTATTCTAATCAATACTACAAGTATCTCTGAACACATATATTTCTTACATGCAAATATGTATGAAGGCTAAATGCCAAGAATTGCAATTGCTAGGACAAAGCATGGTGATATTTAAATTTTGATAGATACTTCCAAACTGCCCTCAAAGAAAGGTTGTACCAATTTATGTTCCCACTAGCAATTTCTAAGAGTCTCTATACTAGTTCTCTATCACACTGTTATCATACTTTTTGATCTTTGCTAATCTGACAGATAAAAAATAGTAGCTCAGGGAAGTTTTACTTGTTTTGACTCTTAAAAAAATGTTATGGATACATAGTAGTTTTACATATTTATGGTAGGATATTTCAATACAAGCATAAAATGTGTAATAATCAAATCAGGGTGACTAGAATATCCATCATCTTAAACATTTATCATCAGTTTATGTTGGGAACATTCCAATGTCACTCTTATAGCTACTTTGAAATATACAATAAATTACTGTTAACTATAGGTCACCCTACTGAGCTACCAAACACTAGATCTTATTCCTTCTAACCATATTTTTGTACCCATTAACCAACCCCTTTTAGCACCCCTTCCCTGACTACCTACGCTTCCCACCCTGTGGCAACCATCATTCTACTCTAACTCCACAAGATCAATTTTTTTTTTTGAGACAGAGTCTCGCTCTGTCGCCCAGGCTGGAGTGCAGTGATGCAATCTCGGCTCACTGCAAGCTCCGCTTCCCGGGTTCATGCCATTCTCCTGCCTCAGGCTCCCAAGTAGCTGGGACTACAGGCACCCGCTACCACGCCCGGCTAATTTTTTGTATTTTTAGTAGAGATGGGATTTCACCATGTTGGCCAGGATGGTCTCGATCTCTTGACCTCATGATCCACCTGCCTCGGCCTCCCAAAGTGCTTGGATTACAGGCGTGAGCCACCGCGCCCAGCCAAGATCAATTTTTTTTAGCTTCCACTTATCAGTGAGAACATGGGATATTTGTGTTTCTGTGCCTCACTTAATTCACTTAACATAATGTCCTCTCGTTCCATCCATGTTGTTACAAATGACAAGATTCCATTCTTTCTTTTTCATGGCTAAATAACATTCCACTATGTATTAATATATGTATCACATTTTCTTTATCCATTCATCCACTGATAGACACTAAGGCTGATTCTATATCTTGCTATTTGAATAGTGCTGCAATAAACAAGGGAGTGCAGATTGTCTTGATATACTGATTTCCTTTTTTTTGGATATATGCCCAGCAGGGTGATTACCAGATCATATCATAGTTCTATTTTCAGTTTTTTGAGGAAGCTCCATACTGTTTTCCATAGTGAATGCACTAACTACAGTGTATGAACGTTCCCCTGTCTCTACATCCTTGCCAGCATGTTATGTTTTGTCTTTTTGATAAAAGCTGTTTTAACTGGGATGAGATGCTATTATATTGTGGGTTTGATTTGCATTTCTCTGACAATTAGTGATGCTGGGCATTTTCATACACCTGTTGACCATTCATATGTCTTCTTTTGAGAAATGTCTATTTAGATCTTTTGCCCATTTTAAAATCAGATTTTTTTTTTCTGCTATAGAGTTGTTTGAGTTCCTTACATATTTTAGTTATTAATCCCTTGTCAATTAAATAGCTTGCAAATACTTTCTCCCATTCTGTAGGTGGTCTCTTTGTTTTTGTTTTGACTCTTGCAAGTCAGTAGAATATAACGGTTAAGAGTATAGACTCTAGGGCCATCTCCCAGCTCTGCCACTCACTTGGAGCTGTGCATCCCTGGGCAGGTCACTTAACCTCTGTGTCTCCTCTTCCTCCTACATCAAACAAGGATATTAATACTGCAATTTCAAACATTCTTGTGAAAATAAAACAAGTTAATATAATACATATGAGATGCCTAGAACTGTGCCTGGCACATAGTAAACACTCAATAAGTAGTAATTGTTATTTTTTATCCTATTTTGAGTGAGGATGGACTTTTTCCAACATTTAAGAGTTATCTGTATTGTCTTTTCTGTTACTTGTCTTTTCATATCTTTTGCCCTTTTTTTTTTTTTTTTTTTTTTTTTTTTTTTTTTTTGAGACAGAGTTTTGCTCGTCACCGAGGCTGGAGTGCAGTGGCATGAACTTGGCTCACTGCAACTTCTGCCTCCCAGATTCAAGCGATTCTCCTGCCTCAGCCTCCTGAATAGCTGGGATTACAGGCGCCTGCCACCACACTTGGCTCATTTTTTGTATTTTTGGTAGAGACGGGGTTTCGCCATGTTGGGCAGGCTGGTCTCAAACTCCTGACCTCAGGTGATCCACCCACCTCAGCCTCCCAAAGTGCTGCGATTACAGGCATGAGCCACCATGCCCAGCTGAGATTTAAATATTTCACAAACAAGTAAAAATAATTGGTCGGGTGAGGTGGCTCATGCCTGTAATCCCAGCACTTTGGGAGGCAGAGGTGGGCGGATCACCTGAGGTCAGGAGTTCAAGACCGGCTTAGTCAACTTGGCGCAACCCCCGTCTCTACTAAAAATACAAAAATTAGCCGGTCGCAGTGGTGGTGCCTGTAATCCCAGCTGCTCGGGAGGCTGAGGCAGGAGAATCCCTTGAGCCTGGGAGGTGGAGGTTGCAGTGAGCCGAGATCAAGCCATTGCACTCCAGCCTGGACAGAGTGAGACTCGGTCTCAAAAAAATAAAAATAAAAAAAACAAGTAAAAATAATTGATCCATTCTTAGTTTTAGCCACTATCACATCAATGTATCACCTTAAAAACTTGTTGAAAGGTGACATCTTTAGAGTTTTTCTTCCCTGTTCCCTCCTCAGCTATACTTCTCTGTCTCAGCTCATATTTTTCCTTCTCTTACAGAAACCTTCCCAAACTACTTTTTCTAAAGTCTCCCCCTACTTCAGTCAATACTTCATAATGTTTATCATGCTTCGAAATTATTCTATTTATTGACTTATTTATTATCTGTCTCCCTGCACTTAATTGTATGGTCTTTCAGGGCAGCATATTTGTCAGCCATAGTCATTGCTGTATTCCCAACATCTAGAAAAATCTCTGGCTCAGAGAAAGCAAGCAGTGTTTATCCAATTAATGATACTGTTTAAAGTTAAACTGAAATTGGAACCCTCTTGGAGTGCAGGTAGAAATACAAAATGGTACAGCCACTTTGGAAAACAGGCTGGCAGTTCCTCAAAAGTTAAACATAGTTATCTATGACCTAGCAATCCCATTCCAAGGTATATACCAAAGAAAAATGAAAATATATGTCTACACAAAAACTTATACACAAATATTCATAGCAGCATTATTCAAAATAGCCAAAAGTTTTAGACCACCTAAAACTTTTTAGCTTCAAGTACTCTGCAAGCCTCCTTTGAACGAAATCATATTACAAAAAGTTCCTAGAAAGTAAATTTAGTCTAAATAGGGAAAAACACAGAATTTGAATACATTTCAGTTTGAATCCACCTCTGTCACTTATTAGCCATACAACATTAGGTTAATCCTCAAGTTTTACTAATCTTCAAGTTTTCTAATCTATAAAATTAGGATATAAAATTTACGGTGGTATTATAAGGATTCAGCAATAAAACAATTTTTTTTTTTTTGAGACAGCGTCTCCCTCTGTGGCCCAGGCTGGAGTGCAGTGGCATGGTGCAATCAAGGCTCACTGCAACCTCCACATCCCAGGCTCAGGTGATCCTCCTGCCTCAGCCTCCCAAGTAGCTGGGACTACAGGTGTGCACCACCACGCCCAGCTAATTTTTCTATTTTTAGTAGAGATGGGTTTCTCATGTTGCCCAGGCTGGTCTCAAACTCCTGAGCTGAGGCAATCTACCTCTCTCGTCCTCCCAAAGTGCTGGGATTACAGGCATGAGTCACCACGCCTGGCCAATTTTTTTCATTACCAGTACATTCTTAGCATATTGCAGGAACTCAGTAAACACAAATTTCTTCTCCCTATTTGCTCCCCTTCCTAATTGTACTTCAATAATTAGCACCCAAGAATAAAGCTCAAAGAAATTTTCCTTAAACCAAGTTGCATGCTACAGCGGTTAAGATTACACAGATGCTGGAACTTCCCGAAATGACATAACAATGTAGGTACTTTTAAGTCTCACCAAACTCCCTCACAAAACCAGACAGAGCCATCAGGAAATAATAAACCACAGATGACATTTCCTACAAAAGCAGGTGACAAGGAATCCCTCCTAAACCCTGGAATTATAGATAGGTGTGGCCAAAAACACCCAACAGCAGCAAGACCTGTGATCAGCAGCTATATGAAGCAGTGGTGGTAAAGAGAAATACAAAAGGGTCCTAAAAGCCATGAAACCCAGAACTCACCAACAAATAAATACCTGCAAAGGGAAAAAGATCAATACTATCATATCTGAGAATCTAAGCAAGTGAATCTGAGGACAGTCACTTGCCATTCAGGCTCTAAGTCATGAGGGAAAACAATCCTAAGAATAGAAAAACTAATTAAATGACATAACTGTCTATCTCTTCAGTGAAATATAATTTGAGGACCCTCTCCCAAAAAACTGCACAGAAAGTTTTAACTTCAGTCAGTAGTCAATTGTTATCTGAAAACCATTAGGCTGGGCGCAGGGGCTCACGCCTGTAATCCCAGCACTTTGGGAGGCCGAGGCGGGTGGATCACGAGGTAAGGAGATCGAGACCATCCTGGCTAAAATGGTGAAACCCCATCTCTACTAAAAGTTCAAAAAATTAGACAGGCGTGGTGGCGGGCGCCTGTAGTCCCAGCTACTCGGGAGGCTGAGGCAGGAGAATGGCATGAACCCGGGAGGCAGAGCTTGCAGTCAGCCGAGATCGCGCCACTGCACTCCAGCCTGGGCAACAGAGCGAGACTCCGTCTCAAAAAAAAAAAGAAAGAAAAGAAAACCAGTATATATTTATAACAATATATAGAATAAATCAAGTAATTATCTTAATTTTGTTAAGAATAAATTTTTTGTCATAAAAGATATATAAATATAAAATCTAAGAACTTAAGTGAAACCCTGTAATCTTACATTTGAGTTAGAATTATCAATGTGAGCTCACTTATCTCCTCTCTTTTCCTGAAAGCAAACAACCCAGTAGCAATAAGTACCCTTAAGGCTCAAATTTTGGCCTTTGTATATCACTCCTCAATAAAAAGAACCATGGCTCTTTGGAGAAATGGCAGATTCTACATCTGGTGGAGGAAATGTACAAGATGAGCCTGGCACGTTTTGGTGGGCCAGAAAGTAAGAAGCTAAAAAAGCTAAAAATGGAGTCTTATCAGAAGGACACAGGAGCCAACTTGAAGGGGTTCCCACTGGACAAATGTGGTACAATTTCAGCATCAAAAAGTATAATGTCTGAAACTGATTAAAACACACTACATATACAAAAAGCCAACACTTCATAATAACTACTAAAAAAAATCAAAAGTTATACACCACTGGAGGATACTAAGGCACTACCTCATTACTCTGGAAATTGATAATTAAAGGGAAAGAATTAAATATTTTATACTGCCTTTCCAGTATGAATTGTATTTCTGGGTAACCAAATAGCCCTAGTGAATGGATAAAGCTCTTTTAAAACACTCTGGCTAATCGAGATCGCACCACTCAGCCTGGGCAACAGAGCGAGACTCCATCTCAAAAAAAAAAAAACATTCTGGCTAATAAATACAGAAAGAATAACAAGTGGACCATTTTCAAGGCCTAAGAAATTCAGTAATCCAGGCACTGGGTCATCCATAGATGGTAAAACCATTAGGTGAAAGAAGGGGAACTTTACAATGAAGAAATCAGGCTGGCACTACCTAATCCACTGATCAATCAGTCTTAGCATTGCAAAAAGTAAGATGACTAAACGTTATGGCTGATGTGATGCATGATGAATCTAATCAAGCTTTTAGATCTAATTCTAGTCTAGAAGAAATTCAGCAAATAGAAGCGTAAATTAAATACTGCCACAAGGAAATATCAGCCAAATCTAGAATTGGGGCATTCTACAGGAAAAACATTCTGATTTTTTCAGCAAGTCAATGGTATATGAAAAAGGACAGGTGGGGGGCAGGAGGAAGGAATGTGAATCTGCACGGAGATACAAAACAAGTATAACATATTAGTGGTTAAAGCTGACTGGTGGTTATACAGGAGTTCATTGTACCCTCTACTTTTGTGAATTTGGGGGAAATTTTATAATAAAAAGTAAGACATACACACCAATGAACAACAACAACAAAAAAACCACAATGACTTAGAATCAAACAGCTAGAGTTTGAATCGCAGCTCTACACTTACTGTGAATGTGGACAAGTTACTTAGCTTCTTTAAACATGGTTCTCCTTCTATAAAATGGGAAAAATATTACCTCCATTTATTAAGTTTGAATGAGATAATAGACAAAATGTGTCTAGTACATAAAGAGCCCAGTAAATGTTAACCACTGTCATCATTAGTATTAATGTTATTATTATTATTACTATTATAGAGGATATGATAGCAAAGGCTTCTGTATAGTTCTTTATGTAAGTAGCCAATTTGGGGGGTTCAAAACTCTTATTTCATTTTCAAAAACACATATGATACACAAATATAAAACACCTATAAATAAGTACTTTTCTATTACTCAGCTTTTTGAAAATTAATAAACACAAACATTACTATCACCAATGTAACATTAAAGAAGTTTGTTTGTTTGAAATTTTATGCTATACTTCAGTTAAATTTAACTGACACAGTGCTATCAATATTGTATCTATAATTCTTCATAGTTCTATTGTTAAATTTACATTTTCCTTAACATGAACAATAAAATAGATTATATAACTAATAGCAAATCTAAGAAACATGCAAGGCAATATTTTTCAACTAAAAAATAAAAATATTCTTATTTCTAAACAAAATCAGTTGAATGCTCATATTACGTATGCTTTAGATAGCAAAAAATAACGCTTTTGTAAATAAAAAATTATACTGAACTCTACAGTGCTGAGACAACTGATAAATTTTTCCTTTCACTTTTAATCAAGCTTCCTGTTGTAAGAGCTCAGCAGACAGTGACGCGAGACACTGCCTCCCAACTTCAGTTCACCTTTGCAGTTCCACAAGGGACACCATGTCAAGATTGTTCAGCTTTTTTGATGAGTGCTGCGTGGGTAACTAATGTGTAAATGCAGATACGTATAGAAAGCAGTTTTGACAGTGATGTATTGCAACTGGTTCCAGATGTCGGTAAGGGATGCTTGGCCAGGCATCTAGAGCTCCACTGCCACGGAGCAGCACCAGGACCAAACCAGTCTTGAAAAGACCATGGCACTCTAACTCTTCAATTAGAATCTTCTTAAAACAATTATTTTGCTTCTCTTCTTTCAGAAAAACACTAAAATATTACTGCTTTGTTGCTCATTTTTTTTAATTTAAGGAAAGAGCTGACATAACAAGCCTAATAGTTTGGCTTTCAAAGGAAACTTCAAAGTGAATGGAGGAAATATTAAAAATGAAGCACATACTCATCTCCTATAATGAGTTTTTTAACTAAATTGCACCAAAACTTACGTATGTACAAAAGTTTAAAGCAACCCCTGACTAGCAAATTAAATGTTGAGATTACTCACCTAATATTAGAATTCTTAAGAATATCATCATAAATATGATACATATAATTATAAACCAAATCAGCAAGCTTATTTTCTCTTGCTGTCCAGAAACGTGACAAGTGTATATTAGCTAAAGAAAATGTACCTCGGTTGCATTTGACTTTAAAAATTAAATAATGAATCTTGTAATGATGTAGTTTGAGAATAAAATTCTAGAAATGGAAGACTGACAAGCAGCATGTGAATAAATGAATTTCTGGGCCACTAGCTAATGAAATACAGAGAGATGTATACAGAAATTCCAAAGTGAAAATATGTTATTACAATCATGCAACGAATCGTCTTTAACATTTAAAATTGATAAAGTTGCACTTTCTACATGAAAAATGTTGTAGCATGGCTCCAACACAAGCATTTGGTCTGATGGGAGTTTTTTCAAACAACCTGTCTGTCTCCCTCTTCTTTCAATACCAGACTCCCAGCTCCAATCAAAAAACCTCTCAGGGGATCACCTACAGCTACATTCTCGCCATGTGGTTTTGATATAAGGCATTTTCTCATTGATCAAGGGAGCTGCAGAAGCATGTGTTCTGTTTATCCTAGAACAAAGAAGGCGACTTACATTACTGATGTTCAGAATCAAATCAAAGGTTTTGAAATACTTTTAATAGGAATAAAGGCAAACAAATCTGTCAAACGACGTTTAGACTCAACGTTCCTTTTGATTTTCTAACAAATTGAATAAACTGAACATTCTAAACATATTACCAAACTTTTAATCTGTGAGAAGACCTTGTGGTCAATAACTTCCTATCATAAGTAAATTGTTTAACTATAGCTCAAAGTTACTATGTTTGGTCTGATATGACATGATATGCTAATTGAGGGTAGAAAGTAGTTTAAAAAACTGACCAATCTTATTTTTTCCAGATGGATCATCAAATGTTTTTCTAATCTTGCATTTTCTTAAATGACCAACTGGTAAAATTGTATTACCAGTTCTAATTGGCTTAGAATACAGAATGTTTCAAGATAGCAGAAGAGCTGTATTCATTCCCATCTCCCTTCTTATAGGGCTCTGTTTTGATAAATCATTATTGTGACTTGGTTTTTGTTCTATTCCTAATAAATTATGTTTAACAAATAAAAATATACTTTAATATAGCATTTCTATATAAACCATTTGTTGCTGTAAACTATGGAAAATTTGTCTAGGCAGTACATATATCTCAGTATCTCTGAGTATATATATCTCAGATCTGATAGGTCAAAAGCAAAATTATTACCCAATGAAAATGTGATGAAAATGTATTTAACTGAATGACTTCTGTGTTTATCTTGTTGGTTTACTAATAATTCAAAGTAAATCCTCTGGACAGCAAACTAGTACTCCTAAAAATACAAAATACACATCATTATATCCAGCAAAAGTCCAAACCTAAGGACTACTAATATCTGTATCCAGCAAATAAGGACACAGAAGACTAAGGTCCTAGATGAATTTAGTTTCTGATCCTTCCAAAATGCGTAGTTCCAGAACAAACCTCTGTATCAGTCTTATTACTGGTAGCAATATAAATTGGTACAACCACTTTGGAAAGCAATTTGGCAACATCAGATAAAGTTGGATATACACATACTCTATAAACCCAACAACTCTATTCCTAGTTATATACCTCAGAGGAATTCTTGCATATGGACAAAAATATGTGTACAAGCATGTTTATAATACCAAAATTTCAGATGAAATGTAAGCATCCATCAGTAGTGAAATGAATGTGAAGTTCATCTGCACGGTAGAATACTACAAAGCAGGTAAAACTAATAAAATCAATTCACGGATATCAAAATCAATGCAGTACATGTTGAAAACTGGTGAGCAAAAAATCAAGCTACAAAAAGATGTACAGTGTGTATATACGACACATAGGTATTACATATGTGTATATATACACATTATATTTGTCAATACTAAAAATACTAACATTATTTGTAAATACACGTATGTGTAGTAAAAGCATTTTTCACATGAGAAGAATATGTACCAACCATAAGATAAATAGGTACTAATTTGGGGTGGGGAAGTTAGTGAGCTGAACGGATGGGGAAACTTCAAACATATGTAAATGGATATTTTTTAAAAATAAATGTCTAAAGCAGAGATGGCAAAATGTTAACATTTATTAAACTTAACAGGAAGAAATAAAAGGCTATGTGTTTGAAATATTTCATAAGCAAAAATCAAAATGCAAAAAGTCCATATACCCTACATGGGTCTTTACTTCAGAATTACCACTAATAATTCATTCAAATACATTCATTGATATACTGCATAATTTTATTGGGTTAAAAGTTATGTCCCAATTTCACGTTCTCATTTATATGTGGGAGCCAAAAAAGTTGATCACACAGAGGTAGAGAATAGAGTGACAGACACCACAGACTGGGAGGGGTGTGGGTGGGAGGTGTGGATAAAGAGGGATTGGTTAATGGGTACAAACATACAGTTAGATTAAAAGTATAATTTCTAATGTTTGATAGCAGGGTAGAGTGACTACAGTTAGCAAGAATGTGTGGTATATTTCAAAGTAGCTAGAAGAAAGAACTTGAAATGTTACCAAACACAGAGAAATAATAAATACTTAAGGTGATGGATACCTTAAATACTCTGACTTGATCATTACACATTCTATGCATGCAACAAAATATCACATGTACACCATAAATATAGAAAATATTATGTGTCAATTAAAAAATATGTCCATAATTAAGGGTCAGAGCAATCCACTCTTCTGAATAAAGTCATCACACAATAAGTTGAACCATCTAAATACTTAGTACTGACATTACCTTTATTATATTTTTCAAATATTTAATATATCTTATGCATATATTTTCAAAGAAAAAAAGTGTGTGTCATCACCCAATAAGCTGAACTGTCTAAATACTTAGTAGTGACATTACCATATTATGTTTATGAAATATATCTTATGTATTCATTAGATATATTTTCAAAGGAAAAAATCCCATAATCACCAATGACCCTTCATTAATTTGTGAATATTCCAGACAAGCTAGAGTCGACAAGACTTATATTATCTGATTTTCAATTCTGTTTGAACTTCACATAAAAACATTTTGAAGAGAAAGGAAGGTTATTACTATATCATTTGTGACAAATAATCAAGATATGAGAATAGTAAATAAATTATTTGAATTTAAAGTTAGGAAGCACTTCTTTTTCAAAGAATCCTATATGTAAAATAATTGAGCCATGAAAAATGTTAAAACAGGTAAAAATCATGCCTCAAAAGAACCTGGTAAGATTGTGGTAAATAAAGGAATTTACTAGGCGAGAATCTCTATTCACTACAGGCAATTTTAGCTGTTTTCTCCTGGAATTAAATGTTCTATCCTAACTTCTGGAACTAGTTAAATATTAACGTTATTGCCTTTCTCAAAGATAATGGTAGAATTTAACTGGTTGAAAACTGCCACCCACAGCTAACATTTATAAAGTATCTCCCAATGCAAAATTAAACAGACTTCCTTCCAGGACATTCTAGGCAAGTTCCCAAATAAGATTCCTAAACTAAACAAAGCTACTACATTAAACTTGGCGATATCACAATCATGAATTGATCCTCTAAATGCCAAAATTGAGAGTAAAAAAGAAAAATGGACACTTGTTAGCAATACAGGATAGCAGAAGTACACAGTGATGCTTACTGATGAAATGAGGATACTTTCTAAATCAGTGGTTTTCAAACTGTGGCCCAGGTACCCGTGGGGTCACTGAGGTACCCTCAGGGCTCTGCAAGGTCAAAACTGTTTTCATAATTCATTAAGATGTCACATTTTCTGTTTTAACTCTAATTTGTTCATGAGTATACAATGAAGTTGACAACAGGCTACGTGAAGCATGGCATCACAACAGAATGCAGAAGGAAATATGAGAAAACAGCTGTTGAAGCCAGACATTAAAGAATTTGTTAAAAAAAAAAAAAAGTAAAACAATATCAATCATCTAATTTTTTATTTTGGAAATATAAGTTGTTTTTTATTTTAAAATGATACTTATGCTAACGTGTTATTGTTATTTTAAAATAAACTAATAAAATTTTTAAATTTCTAATACAGTAAATACTAATAAATATAACCCACATAAGCCAAAGCTTGCTAGGTTCTCAATAATTGTTTTTTTTTGCGGGGGACAGAGTCTCACTTTGTTGCCCAGTCTGGAGTGCAGTAGCACAATCTCAGCTCACTGCAACCTCCACCTCCCAGGTTCAAGCTATCCTCCCACCTCAGCCTCCTGAATAGCTAGGAAAATAGGTGCATGCCACCACGCCCAGCCAATTATTGTATTTCTTGTAGAGATAAGGTTTCGCCATGTTATCCAGGCTGGTCTCGAACTCCTGAGCTCAAGTGATCCACTGCCTCAGCCTCCCAAAGTGCTGAGATTTCAGGCGTGAGCCACTATGCCTGGCAATTCTCAATTATTTTTAATTTTAAATGTGGTATGGAAAGAGATCCTGAAAACAAAAAGTCCGAGAATCAGTGGCCTAAATCATAGAGTTGATACAAGGATTAAATGAACTAATGCATGTAAAGCACTTTTCACAACGCATGGCAAACAGTCAACGTTCAGTCAATGGTAGCTATCGTTATTGTTACATAACAACAGCTGCGGCTACAGATAGCAATGCTGAGATCAGCCATTTCTGGAGACTTTGTTGTCCCCCACTGTCTAGTAAGCAATGAGTATTTAAAAAAAAAAAAAAGCCAACTGATTCATCAAATGTAATTCATCATATAGATTCTAATTTAAATTCTAATACAATCAATAAGAACCTGTTAGTCTGAAAGACTGTATCTTTCTAGACCCTGTTAACTTCCTTATAAACTAGGAAGGCCTAGGACTAGACTTACAATATACCTTGGAGACTAGAGTTATCTTGTCCTTTGAGACACCTGGAAAACAGCAATGAGAAGCCTAAGTGTCCTGTGCACAACAAATTAATTAAATATGCATTCTCATAATAAAGAAAGGTATACTTTCCTTTGAAATACTGGATCAATAAGGCATCATGGAATAACGGAACTGTGGACAGGCCCTTGAGCATGCTTCTGGTTAAGATTCTTCATTCCAGGCATATCTAGCACACACCCAAGACAGATCAACAGGTACAGAGACTCACAAACGGACCAGTCATTTTTCACTCTAGTGGTTACGTAGCCCCTCTACAAATCAAACCACAATCTTTCTTACTTTCACTTTCAGGACACTTCCTTATGTTTCATCCTTTATTGATAAAGCTAAAAATAATAATAGTAGTTGTATACAGAGGTCAAACACCTGGCATCAAGCTCATAAAAATCCTTTAACCCTTTAGCCTACATTTTTTTTTTTTTTTTGAGACAAAGTCTTGCTCTGTCACCCAGGCTGGAGTGCAGTGGCACGATCTCAGCTCACTGCGACCTCTGACTCCCAGGTTCAAGCAATTCTCCTGCCTCAGCCTCCTGAGTGGCTGGGACTACAGGTGCGGGCCACCATGCCTGGCTAATTTTTGCATTTTTGGTAGAGATGGGGTTTCACCATGTTGGCCAAGCTGGTCTCGAACTCCTGACCTCAAGTCATTCACCCACCTCAGCCTCCCAAAGTGCTGGGATTACAGACATGAGCCACCGCGCCCAGCCTAGCCTACTTTTCTCTAGTCAAAACACGTTCCAAATCTTTTAACTGTTTCCCATTGGATCTGTACTTCCTTCTCTTAACCATTCTTTTCTGTCTTCTAAACCCCAAGATAAAAACATACAGAATTCTTTTTTAATCTTTCTTTCTTTCTTTTTTTAAAAAAGGAGACTGATCCAAAGTAGCTAACACAGAAATTTCATTGAGGCACTAACAGACTATTTAGCCTTTAAAACTTTATTTAACACTATTACCAAAAAAAAAAGTAATTTATCCTCCTTAAAAAGGACCATATTAACATTATATATGTTAAATTCAGTCTTTTAAAAACTATCTTTGTATCTTGAAATCAGCATTAAGATGAAAGCAAGAGATATTACTGTTGCTATGGTAATACTTCAATGAACAGCATAACACACACTGGTACATAAAAACCATTTTCTGAGCAGCATGTACAGGTAAATAAAAGTTAAATAGCACATCAACAACAATTTCCTCACAGGGTCATGACAACTTTTATTTGTGATGCTTATTTTTATATATTACAGTGACTGAAGTAAATTTGAAAATGTCAATAATCAACAGCAATGGTCAGCATTTGCAGAGGGAACCAGAGAATGTTCGTTTCTCCACTTTTCCCACAACTGTATTTTGGAGTTTCAAGAACCACAGAAGCGTCATCAAATATGACCATACCACAAACTTACACATACAAGAGGCATACTTGCTAAATAGGCAAACATAGGTGAGTTAGGAGAATTAATGAATGGTGGGAGGTTCTGACAAAGTAAAACTCACATCTTTTTTTTTTTTTTAGCTACTTAGCAAACAAAACAAAAAAACTAAAAAACCCCACAAGTTATATAACTATTGATATGGATGATCCATAAAATCCCAAAATTCAACTACTCATTATGGGGTGTTTCACAAGTATGAAGTACTGAATTAAGGTTGAGGGTATCATAATGTATTATGTGGGGTTTTAAATAATAACTCAATATAATAAGCTACTATACTGAGATACCCTGTATTAATGTACAAAAAACATTAATGAAATATATGCTTTGATTGGATTATGCAGCCTTTCTTCTACATTCAAATTACAATCCAAGTTGAACTCAAAGACAAGTTTCCTTTTAAAACATTTCTCTAAACTAGTGGAAAAAAATGTTTATAAAAATAGTGTAGTCTGAGTCTGAATAAACGGTATGCTCAGGGAAATTTCAGGTTTCAACGTAAAGAAATATACACATTTTAGAGTTTCTAAAGAAAGAGTATTATTTACAATGAAAAACCACATCTAAGGAAGAAACGTTTTTAAACTCTGGAGAACAGGGAAAAAAAGAAGAGTACCTCCTTTAAAAATAATTTTCAGTCATCAGTAAAGATCTTTCCCAGATCTTGTGTACAAGAGGAAAACCACTGCCATGGCTACGTGTAAGAGCATTCCTTATCCCCAATGCCAAATGGGCAATAGAACAGACAAAGTCCATTCTTTTAAAGCTATATGCTGTATATGCTGAGGTTAAAAATATTTACACAAAATTTTATAAAGAAGAAACAATATATTTGAGTCATAAAAATAAGTTAGCTCTCTGCCACCATTTACTACCCACCTTTAAATATTAAATTTTAATTTTACTTATTTAGGAAAAATTACATAATTCTTCATAGCACAGTTTAAAAATAACTCCACTATTAATGCAGGCCCTTTATTTAATCACAGGCTAATTTACTCCTGACAGAAAGTAAATTCCACTATTTTCTGTGAGGCTTTATGAAATTGCCATCATTTTTAATTAATTCTTAATTAAAATATATTACACCACAGCTTCTACCCATCTCTCTTGATATTCTAACATAATCAATTCAAGACCATTTACATATCATTAATTAAAAGCCTTCCTCTCTCATCCTTAAAATCATAATGAGGCTCTATTTCTCATTAGCAGCCTTTAAGGGGTAAAACAACAATACAGTCAAGAATGAATAGTAACTTGAAACAAATAATTTGTACTTTTTAAAACTATATAGTGGACAGAGCTAATTTCAAAATTTCTCAAATTTGAGAATCCTTGAATTATTTCACTGTGTTTCACAGGGGAACCACCAGAGCAACAATTGGTGATAAAATGAAACTAATCTTCAAATGAGTTAAGCAATAAATTCGGTAAGAAATAGTAGCATCTTTGAGATCTGGGAAAACCAAATAGATTTCTTTATTTAGACAATAACAAATCTTACCATGAAATACTACCAACAAGTTAGTTACTACAGAAAAGTAAAAAATAACACAATTAATATGATCTTGTCTTCATTTCCATTTTTAAAAATTAATCCCCTATATTAATCCTTTCCTTTAAAAAAGATTCTTTCTTTCAACTAAAGTCCATTGTTAGTATCTCTTAAATCTTAAGATACAATTAGAAAAATGTAATTGAAATTTATACCTCTATGCGTTTCTTATTAGCTTACCACTGTCAGAATGAAGTCTCTAGTATCTGTGGTTGTATGAAGAACTGAAACAGAGAAGCTCGTATAAAGTTCTATAATTAAACTCCAGAGCTATGATATGTTTTACACATTCTTAAATGAGCTGTAATATATACTGGTACTATAAAAAGTTATCATTTATTGGTAACGAAAAGAAAAAATTAACCACCTAATTCAGTGATTTTACCTCTTCAGGAGGCTTTAAAGGCAAACGCAGCTTGAGAGATTTATAGGAACTCATGACTTTTAACCCACTATTTTCAATATTTTGGCTATAAGTTACAAAATTAATACAACCTAAACTATGATTACATTTATGATTAGTATAAAATAAAATTTCATTGCTTTTCTTTTGCTTTGAGCAACTGTAGTAGTATTGCCTTTTGCAATACTACTTTTAAAAAGACTGAACAAAACATTAATTTGTCACATTTTTCAGAGTTTACAACTCATAATTATATTTCAAGGCCACACTACAAATACAAATAGAAAATAAGTGAGAATCAAAATGTGACCAAAAAAATACTACTACTTAATAGAGGCAAAATAAAGTCAGACTTGCAGCTTGGAAATTTTATGCAGACTTACTGTCACCAGCATTAACTATATCTAGGTGCTTCGTATCAGGCAAATCAGATTTATATCACTGTCTTCTGTCAAATGCAGGTGCTCCACCACAACTTGTCAAGACAGCCTGTCTGAATCTTCACACGTCAGACAGAATCACAGCACTTGGTGTTTTGGTCTGTTGACAGCAATTTATTTTGATGTGTTGTCACAATATGAAATTCTTCAATGCTGTGCACCATGGTGCCAGTAAGTCCCACTATACTTTTTTCTACTGTGAGATGCTACAGGTTTATTAGTGAGGGAGCGAGAACAAAGTTTTGTCTTGCTTTTAAAACCCATTTCATTTAAGCCCTAAACAGTTAATTTTAAAGTGGAGGGGAGTGCTGAATAGAAACAAGCACTGTCATGAGACATTCCTTAATCTCGGTATCAAGTGTCTTGTTTCACACCACAATCTATTTGGGTGAAGCAAAGCCAACCAGTCTGTTAGGAATAACCAGAGACCTTAAATATCCAGTAAGTCAAAATTCAGAGTAGACTACACTAAGACTAAACTAATAGCTTGGGCTACAGATCCAGTGTGGTCAATTGTTTCTTCATCTTTTTCACAGTGCTTCTTTCAATCCCACAGTAAAAACTTCAATTCAGTGCAGTGCAAACGTTTTCATGCACCCATTTATAGGTACTAGGAGATCCAGGTGAAAGAAACAATGAATAGGAATAGATTTCTTTGGGGTTTTTTAAAATTTCTTTTCCAAAATCTATACAAATTCCATATTAATCCTCCAAGAATGTGAAATAAAATTTACATGGGAAATACAAAAAAGATAACTAATTAAATGTGGCAGAAAAAAAGATAATATTCACAAAAAAGCTCAGAGTTGTTTTCAACTTTTGTAGTATTTTGCTATTTCATATTCTAAGTTTTCGTATTAAAAGATTCTAACTAAAATAAACTTAAAAGTGAAGAGTACAGGGTTACATTGTGTATATATACATAAAACACCAGTTTTATATATATATAAAACACTGGATATATATGTACACTGAAGATATATAAATCTATTCATAAATGAAGCTTTGCCCATATCTATATCTAAACCCTCTTCTTACAAGCAGGGAAGATATCAGTAGTATTTGCACGTTTCCCATTTCCATATAGTTCAGCTGATCTATTATAGCTAGAATTGAATTTTTTTTTCTTTTTTTTGAGATGGAGTTTCACTCTTGTTGCCCAGGCTGGAGTGCAATGGCATGATCTTGACTCACCACAACCTCCGCCTCCCGGGTTCAAGTGATCTCCTGCCTCAACCTTCCGAGTAGCTGGGATTACAGGCATGAACCACCACACCCAGCTAATTTTGTATTTTTAGTAGAGTCAGGGTTTCTCCATGTTGGTCAGGCTGGTCTCACTACCCACCTCAGGTGATCCGCCCACCTAGGCCTCCCAAAGTGCTGGGATTACAGGTGTGAGCCACCCCGCCTGGCCTTGAAAATTTAAAAATAAAAATTAATGTTCCTTTGGAAAATTAAAAAGTAAAAAAATAGTTTTAGATTTGGAATTATACATTAGAAAGTATGAGATTAAAAATAATTATCAGGCCAGGCACAGTGGCCCATACCTGTAATCCCAGCACTTTGGGAGGCCGAGGTGGGTGGATCACTTGAAGCCAGGAGTTCGAGACTAGCCTGGCCAACATGGTGAGACCCCATCTCTACTAAAAACACAAAAATTAGCCAGATTTGGTGGTGCATACCTCTAGTCCCAGCTACTCGGGAGGTTGAGGCAGGTGAATTCCTTGAACCTGGGAGACGGAGGCTGCAGTCAGCCGAGATCACACCACTGCACTCCAGCCTGGGCAACAGAGAAAGACTTCGTCTCAAATAATAATAATAATCATCATCATCATCATCTTCAAAATAATAAAAATAATTCTCATCAAGGCTGAGTGCAGTGGCTCACGCCTGTAATCCTAACACTTTGGGAAGCTGAGGCGGGCAGGTTTTTGAGCCCAGGAGTTCAAGACCAGCCTGGGCAACACAGCAAGACCCTGTTTCTATATATCTTTAAAAAAATAATCTCATCATGCCAGGTGTGGTGGCTCATGCCTGTAATCCCAGCACTTTGGGAGGCCAAGGCAGGCAGATCACTTGGGGTCAGGAGTTTGAGACCAGCTGGTCAACATGGAGAAACTCTGTCTCTACTAAAAATACAAAAAAAATTAAAATAAAAATTAGCCGGGCGTGGTGGCACAGACCCACAATCCCAGCTACTCAGGAGGCTGAGACAGGAGAATCAATTGAACCCAGGAGGCAGAGGCTGTAGTGAGCTGAGATCATGCCACTGCACTCCATCCTGGGTGACAGAGTGAGTGAGACTCCGTCTCAAATTAAAAAAAAAAAAAGTATGGTTATGTATGTAAGGCTCATTTTCAAACTTCATAACTTAAGTAAGAAATGTTTTTATACTTATGAGCAGGAACTCTCTGGTAATACTATATCTGGTTTTGGTTTTTGTTTTTTTTTTGGTTTTTTTGAGACGAAAGGCTTGCTCTGTCACCCAGGCTGGAGTGCAGTGGCACCATCTCAGCTCACTGCAACCTCCGCCTCCCGGGTTCTAGCTATTCTTCTGCCTCAGCCTCCCAGGTTGCTAGGACTACAGGTGTGAGCCACTATGCTAGCTAATTTTGCATTTTCAGTAGAGACAGGATGTCACCATGTTGGCCAGTCTGGTCTCGATCTCCTGACCTCGTGATCCGTCCGCCTCGGCCTCCCAAAGTGCTGGGATTACAGGCGTGAGCCACCGCATCCAGCCAATACTACACCATTTATAATATACTTTGTGAATGGTCCATCATCTACAGCTGGTGCACGCTATACTCACAAGAATTTATCTCCAAGGAATTCCACCGCAATTTTTTAAAAATCTAACAAATCTTTTCTGTGAGGTAAGTGGGTACTAGAGCAGATGGTATTTTTTCGATTTGTAGGACAAAAAAAATAAGATGTAAGACTTTACAGTGAGTTAGAATCAAAGCTGAATGAAAATTCCCAAACTTAAAATTATTTCATTAAATTACATTCTATGAGTTCTTTAGTTAGATTAGTTTAGTGGGGTAGCCATTGTGCACAATTCTAGAATGCACCGTTATCAAAGTGTATTATAAATGATGCAACCTGGAGTTGTGCAACTCAGCAAATATGAATGTAAAGAAAGACTCAATGAAATTAATGTGTGTGTGTGTTTCTTTCAGAATAGGGGACATGTATCTATCGCACAAACCCCAGTGGATTAATCTATAAGCAAAAAAATACATCATCACATAAGTCACAAGTACCTCTAGTCCACCTCCAAGATCTCTAGGAAAATAAGGCTTTGAATAGTGTTGGAATGTGGGATGCAAATACTCTTGAAGAAGATCTCTTATAGGTTTATTTTTACCTAATAAATAAGTATTGGAAGTAAACAACAAATCTGTGTGATTCAATATGTGTTGTATCTAAACTTCATCTCTAATCTACTTTAAAGAAACTAGTCACACTGATAAAACCAAACTACTTATAGGTAGCCTTTACAGACCAGTGCTAACACAGACCAATTCTTTACTCTATTGAGGTTATCAACACAGAATAATTCTTCACTCTAGTTTCATGACTGATTTTGGAAAGACTAAGAAGCAAAAAATGTTGATTAAAAAAATTGTTTCACCTTTTAACAAGGTGAAGATCAGCTACGCATGCACAGATACATTAACTGCAGAAAAAAATGAAACCATATAAGAACTCTGGTGTCTCCAAAAATAGTCAAAAAGGACCAATCATCTGATAATCTAAATGATGAGACATTACAAGAAAAGAAGAGAACTGGTAAAGGATAAAAAGATTAAACTGGGATTCTATGTTAAAGAAGGTATGGCACAAAGACCATGAAACTGCCAAGCAATTTCAGTGTTGAAATGTTCTGTGTATATACACACACACAAACACACACAAAAAAGAGAGACAGACTAAAACTTGAGGACAGACACAACCCTTTCCCCAGTCAAAAGAGTATAATATAAAGAGAACTGAACCCTGAGTTGGAAGATTCGAGCACTAATCTCTATCCCAGTTCTGCAACTTACTCAGGCAAGTGACCATCCGTAAATCCCTTACTTAGCCGCTCTAATCCTCACTTTCCTAATTTGTAAAACAAGAGTAATATACATTCCACCTAAATCAAAGGTTGTTATGAAGATTAAGCAGATAAAATCACTCCGAACAATGTAAAAGCACCATAGAAATATTCAATAACAATTGAAGACAACTAAAAAGCAAGCATCGCTCTGGATCTTCTGGCTCAAGAGAGCAGACTGAGTATGTATGTTTAATTTCCATTCTTCCTTTCCAGTTTCCCTCTGATAGGACTGTAAAGGGTATACCATTGAGAAGGGGGAAGAGCCGGGTGCAGGGGCTCACACCTGTGTTCCCAGCACTCTGGGAGGCCAAGGCACACAGATCACTTGAGCTCAGGAGTTCAAGACCAGCCTGGGCAACATGGCAAAACCCAGTCTCTACAAAAAACAAAAAACAAAAACCAAAATTAGCCAGGCGTGGTGGTCCTCGCCTGAGGCTGAGGTGGGAGAATCACCTGAGCCCGGGCAGTCGGGGCTGCAGTGAGCCATGATCGCACCCCTAAACCGCAGTCTAGGTGACATAGTAAGACACGGTCTCAAAAAACAAAAAGAGAGAGAGAGAGACGGAGGGAGGCAGAGAGAAAGAGTAGGGGGTGGGGCTGAAGAAGACCAGATTTTGATAAATTTCTGTAACACAGATAACAAATGAGACACCACAATGACAAGTGCATCACAGTGAAGGAGGCCCAAATCTACAATGAGAAGGAGGTAGGAGCCGGTTTTCCCAGCAAAGACTGACAGAGGCTCCAACCTTGGACAGAGAACAGCAACAGGAAATGGGGCAGTAAATTAAAAGAAGGTCTGAGTAACACCTGAGAAATTTGGTCCCTCCTCACATTTTCCACACACACACACACACACACACACCCAGTCACTGCAAAGAACATTTGCCCAAAGGAGAAGTCAGACAACCATTCTCCAAAAATAATTAAGAGGTAATATCAAAAGTACAACAGTTAAAGAAGGGAGTACTAATTTCCTCCTGTTTCATATAAAAGTAAAGTAATACAGTCTGATATTGATGGAATCAAAGCTAGAGAACACATTGCTTATGTTATACGAGGAACCTACAGCAGAACAAAAAATAATACAACAACAAAACCAGAGAGGAAGAGAAGGAAATTATGTGGGAGATTATATAAATAAGCCAAATTCCTTACCATGGAAAAATGATATACAGTCAACAATTTCAGTTATTTAAATTTATGGTGGGTAACTAGCAAGAAAACAAAAAAGAGAAAGATGAAATGTGGTCTTCTCTGATGAGTGGGACTATAGGAAGGAGAAGAACAGCAAGAGGTTACAACATTTTTTTCAACTGTGCAAGGAGAGTACTTTTATAATTTAAAATTACCTGCTAACTAGTTGAAAAATATTCTTTTCAAAATGGATTGACCCAGAAAGTTACCCTGAAGGACAGAAAATCTGACTACTTAGTCTGATTTCTTTCAGTCTTTCAAAAAAATAGACATAATTCTTCAGGTTGTGAGGAAAAATTATCTTCCTAAGCATACAAGTAAGGAAAAAGAAATGGAACTGAGAAATAAGGAAGATTTTATCTTTCAGAATTCTGATAAAAGATGAGTTAGAAATGAGAGGCTGTAATTCCCTAATCCTTCAGGCTGAAGAATGGCAATTGGGAATAGTGTTTTCAACCTCAAATTCCTATTCTGGAAGTTGTTAATCGGCTTGAATGGTGGATGGCTTAATTATATAAGGACCACATTAATGTCTCAAAGGAGGGAGAGTGATCTGATAGGTTTTAATTTAAAACACTCTTCATAAAATTAAAAACGAATGCCAAACTGACTATAATCTGTGCCTCTGTGGAGAAGTAAAAGGCCAATACAGCTCTAAGAATACAGCATGATCAATGGTCTTTGAGGCTAAATTGATCCAGTACTGGTCAATAATCATGAATGTTATTCATTGGGCAGTCAAAAGTAGTCTCTCCATTTCTGTTCCAGATAGCAGGTCTTTTTCTAGGTTATTTTCAGATAGTTAGAATTGCATCTATCTGTTAATGGGAAACATTTTCACTATTCACATCCTCTAGAATGACTCTATAGAACTAAAAATCCTGGGATCTAAATGTATATATGTAGCTCACAGCACTTACGGCACTCATCTTAAATAGAACAGTACAGTTTGGAACAATTTGGATCCATTCTGTCTCATTCTACAGTTTTACTGGCATTGTACCATTCCAAAAAAAAAGAGATGGAACAAACAAGTTAAAATCTATACAAAGTTAGAGTTAACAAGGGTAGTAACTTTTCAAAGTATAGAAAAATATAATAACTGCGAGAACACTAGGTCAAATATGAAAGTACCCATCTTTGAAGGGAACATGCAACCTGCTAGCTTTGATCCTAGGATACTTTTTTTTTTTTTTTTTGAGATGGAGTCTCACTCTGTCGCCCAGGCTGGAGTGCAATAGCGTGATCTCTAAGCTCACTGCAACCTCCACCTCCCGAGTTTAAGTGATTCTCCTGCCTCAGCCTCCTGAAAACCTGGGACTACAGGGGCGCACCATGCCCAACTAATTTTTTATTTTTAATAGATACAGGGTTTCACCATGTTGGCCAGGCTGGTCTTGAACTCCTGACCTCAGGTTATCTGCCCATTTTGGCCTCCCAAAGTTTTGGGATTACAGGTATGAGCCACCGTGCCCGGCCGACATACGTGTTTATGTATGTATTTCTCTAGATCTTTTCATTGAGTAGATTCAGAAGCAGTGATACCTAATAGCAATGAGCATAACTTACACTCAAATCTTGTTTTCTCAATGTCATTATCCACTAAAAGGAACCAAGTATACTTAAAGAAACGGTTGATTCCAGGGCTAGGACAAGGCAAAGACAAGATAAGCTGGGAACATCTTATCATACCAGAATATAAGGAACTGCTTGAAGAATAATGGTGACATGTCAAAAAGACACAGATGACAGCCTGAAGGGCTCTCATTGGCCAGAAGGATTGCAAACACAATGGTTCCAACATTAATGAGTTACTGAATCAAATTGTAATCCTCTGGGTGTCTTGTTATATGACATAAAAGATATCTTGATGCGTTTAAATGACTACAGTTGGGGTTTGCATTTACTGTTATACACTGCATAATGATGTTTTGGTCAACCATGGACCACATATACAATGATGGTTTCATAAGATTATAAAGGAGCTAAAAAATTCCTATCACCTACTGATATTTTGATGATCATGACCCTACTTACACATTGGCCTATGCCAATGTGTGTTTGGCTTGGTTTTTAACAAAAAAAAATTAAAAAGTAAAAAAAATTAATAAAAAGGTTATAGAATACGGATATAAAAAAAAATCTGAATGCTCTGTGGTGTAAAGAAAAAATATTTCTGTAAAGCTGTACAATGTGTTTTAAGCTAAGTGTTATTACAAAAGTCAAAAAGTTAAAAATTAAAGTTTATATAGTAAAAAGGTTATAGTAAGCTAAGGGTAACTTATTGAAGAAATAAAAATATTTTTATAAATTTAGTATAGCCTAAGTGTACATCATATATAAAGTGTGCGGTAGTATGCACTAATGTCCTAGGCCTAAACATTCACTCACCACTCACTCACTGAGCAATTTTCAGTCCTACAAGCTCCATTCATGGTAAGTGCCCTATACAGCTATACCATGTTTTATCTCTTACACCATATTGTTACTCTACCTTTTCTATGTTTAGATACACAAATACCACTGTGTTAAAATTACCTATAGTATTCAGCACATAACATGCTGTATGGACTTGTAGCCTAGGAACAATAATGAGCTATCCCATATAGCCTAGGTGTACAGAAGGCTATATCATTTAAGCTTGTGTAAGAACACTGTATGATGTTCTCACAATGACAAAATTGCCTGATGATGAGTTTCTCAAAATGTAACCCTGCCATTAAGTGACACGACTGTATTCGTAACCCACGCAAAAGCGTAAAACAGGAGCAGGAAGGGGAACTGAAAACGCTCAGGTCCCTGTATTGATCAATAAAGAGATTTTGAGTCTTAGTAAAAACGCATGCTGATATCAATTAAAGTAACAGAATGTTAAACTCTTAAGTCTGTAAATGGAAAAGAAACAAAGCAAATCCAGTCAATTAAAATATCCAAATAAGCAGACTACATCCATAATATCTAACGACTGTTAAAAATCTGAAGAAAATATGGTTAAATGCATATATTTGGTAAAGCTGAGTATGAGTACATGGCTGCTGGTTTTATTATTCACTAATTGCTATGGAGGAAATATTTGTGCCCCCCAACCCATTCATATATTGAAGCACTAATTCCCAATATGATATTTAGAGGCAGGGCCTTTGGGAGGTGTCTTGGTATGTTTAGGCTGTTAAAATAAGTTAGACTGGGTAGTTTGTGGACAACGCAAATTTATCGTTCACAGTTCTGGAAGCTAGGAAGCCCAAGATCAAGGCACCTGTGGATTAAGTATCTGGTGAAAGCTCAATCTACTTCATAAATGGTGCCTTCTTGCTGCGTGTTCACAAGGCAGAAAGGACAAATAAGTTCCCTTGGGCCTATTTTACAAGGGTATTAATATAATTCATGAGGGTGAAGCCCTCATAACCTAATCACCACCCAAAGATCCCACCCCTTAATACTACCACAATGGTGACGAGGTTTCAACATATGAATTTGCAGGGGACACAAACATTCAGACCACAGCAGGAGATAAATAGGTCATGAGGACAGAGCCCCCATGATGAAATTCATCTAAATGTCTAAAAAAAGAGACATGAGAAAGATTATCTCTCTCTCCACCATGTAAGGATACAGCAGGAAGGTAGACATCTGCAAATGAGAAAATGAACACTCACCATACACTAAATCTGTAGGCAGCCTGTATTAGTCCATTCTCATGCTGCTATGAAGAAATACCCGAGACTGGGTAATTTATAAAGAAAAGAGGTTTAATTGACTCACAGTTCCACATGGCTGGGGAGGCCTCAGGAGACTTACAATTATGGCAGAAGGAACCTCTTCACAGGGAAGCAAGACAGAGAATGACAGCCAAGCAAAGGGGGAAACTCCTTATAAAACCATCGGATCTCATGAGAACCCATTCACTATCATGAGAACAGGATGGGGGAACCACCCCCATGATTCAATTATCTCCACCTGGTCCTGCCCTTGACACATGGAGATTATTACAATTCAAGGTGAGATTTGGGTAGGGACACAGAGCCAAACCATATCACAGCCTGATCCTGCACTTCCCTGCCTTCAGAACTATGAGAAACAAACGTTTATTATTTAAGCCACCCAGTCTATGGTATATTGTTACAGCTGCCCAAGCTACGACACTGATTTTCCATATGCTAACAATAATTCATAAAACATACATATTTTACAGGCTAACGGAGAAGCTATTGGACAGGCCTTCCTTCATCAGCCAACTGAGATTTGTATCTCATGTTTGCCTTCTAAATATGGATTTAAAGAAAGAGGCTAAGGAACCATGAAGAGATGGGAGCTATGCTAGCTACTTTTAGCAGAAGAGAAGTTTATAAAAGATATTAGGGAGCTTACAGGATCCCCAGGAGTGCCTGAGGTCTATGTAACCTGGAATAATAACCAAATCCTCATGGAAGACTACCACTGGGCACAGATACCACACCTCGCATCTTGGGAGCAGAGAATGCTATAGTTAAGATTTCTACCATTTGCCACCCCCAAAAGCCTATCTCTCTGCCAGTTCTTCCACCTTCATCAGGACAGATTCCACACAGCACCACCTTCTTCACACTTCTTTCTTCCAAACTCAGGTGACTGCATCTGATTGGCTGGCTCTGTGTCATATGCCTGAGCTCTGGCTGCAAAGAATACAAAGAAATTGTCTTCTAGCAAGGGATATAGAATCAATGGTAAGATTTTCCTCAATATAGGACAAATAATCAAAAGATGCTGGGTAACTACCCAGATAAAAATGTCCACAAGTCCACTAGACTCTGAAATCACTGAAAACTGGCCAAAAAGTTCCACTCAACACAAGAAGACATTTAGAAGTGGAAATCATGGAGAGTCAGAATGAAATTCTGTAAAAAGACAGACCTTATAGGGAACAGAAGCTTACATGTATGGTTTTCTAGGTACAATAAAAAGCTTCTCACCCATTGCTCCACCATACACACACACACACACACACACACACACACACTCATTCCTGCTCCAGAAGGTTAATATTACAACATAAAATACATTCTTTTGAAGAAAATTATCTTTAAATTGTAAGCCCCTTGAGAATTATAAAATATTAACCTAACATGAGTCATAATAAGTTAGAACAGAGTGCTTGCTTTGAGAAACAAACACTGAGAAAACAGAAATTTTTATAAAAGAGTAGGGAGGGGTGACTTAGTAGAACATTATCAACTACTTCAGGTAGCTAATAGATGTTTGAGATGTGTGCACTTTGTATATTCCTATGTGGCTCAGTTCAGCCAAGTGCAGTTTTCTGCATTCATCTAGTGTTTCTTAAGGACAAAATCACATGAAATTCACATTGTGCCCAAACTATTCCCTAATATACCAATCATGTTGGAACAATCCTCACATTTTCAAAACAAGCATTACAACAGAACTTACTGTATTATTTAGACTTCATGTTTGGTAAAATAACCATTCAATTTTCTTTTCTTTCCCATTCAAGTTTTTTGTTCATTTTTCTACCAGGTTGCCTTTTTCATAATAATTTATAGGAATTCTTTAAACATCCTGACCAGTGATCTATATTGCAGTGTCTTCTTCCAGTCATGGCTTGTACTTTCATTTCTTCCTTATGGTTTACATTGATGATCAGAAATTCTTAATTTTAATATAGCTGAATATTTCCTTTATGATTGTGATTTTTATATTGTTTAAGAAATCTTTCGCCCACCCTGAGGTCACAGATATTCCATTTTGCCTTCTAAGTTTTACAGTTTATTTGCTTTCTTCCGTGTTTTCTGTTTAATTGAGATGGTAATTGTCTTTACACTTTTAAAGAACTTAGACTATCCTCAGAAGTACAACTGCATTTGAGTTATAAAAATAACCAAATGATTACAAAGGTAATACCTGGAGCCTTAGGATTATTTGGCAAAAAAAAAAAAAAATCAGCATTGAGATGGAAAATAATGTTACAATAACTAATCAAATGTTCATCTTATCACATCTCCCCAAAAAAGAAAAAAGATTTTTTCCCAAGAATAAAATAAAGTCACTCTATATTTACAAATTTGCCTACTCACTAAAATTTATTTGTAACCCCAAAATCAACCCTCAGGGCACTTTTGCAGTCATCTGCAGTCACGCATATGCAAGGAACAGTGAAAAATTTGATTTGCCCAACACCCACATTCCCAGCTGAAGTTGAACAAAATGACGCTCAGCTTTCTTGTTTCAGCTCTTATATGGTTAACAGGTATCCTTCTTGCAGTCTATTTAGTACCAGGTTTTTTGTAATTTTGTGCTTTTTGTTGGTGATTTCCCTGTTTAAAATGGCACTCAAGAACAGCGGTAAGTGCTGTCTGGTGTCCCTGTTTAAAATGGCACTCAAGAACAGCGGTAAGTGCTGTCTGGTGTTCCTAAGGACAAGAAGGCTGTGATGTGCCACAAAGAAAATATGTGTTAGATAAACTTCGTTAAGACATGAGTTACAGTGCTGTTGGCTGAGAGTTCAATGTTAATGAATCAACAATATATATTAAATAAGATGTGTTTAAACAGAAACACACAAAACAAGGTCATGTATGATTGGTTGACAAAAATTGTGACCAGAGACTCACAGGAACCTAACCCTGTATTTCTTCTAGAAACAATACCCCATTGTAAACACTGAATTAGTGTTTACAGTGACTGTATTTTTTATTTTATTTTGAGATTGGGTCTCACTCTATAGCTCAGGCTGGAGTGCAGTAGCATGATCATAACTCACTGAAGCCCTGACCTCCCAGGCTCAAGTGATTCTCCCATCTCAGCCTATTGCCTCGCTAAGACCACCAACGCATGCCACCACACCTGGCTAATTTTTTAAATTTTTTGTAGAGACAGAGTCCCCAGGGTGGTCTCAAATTCCTGGGCTCAAGTGATCCTCACACCTCAGCCTTCCAACGTGTTGGGATTACAGGGGTGGGCCACTGCACTCAGCCTTACAGAGACTTTATGAAACATAATTGCTATAAATAATGAGAATCAACTCTAACTTTAAAGTACCGGAAAGAAAAATAAGGGTATCAGTTTGGATTCTGTCAAGTAATAATTTTTTAGATGCTGTCAGTCCCACATTTTTCACACTATACGTCCTATTTTATACTAGAAAAATGATATAATCATAAACCAACAAAAAAATTGTTTCCCCACATAGACCACTCCTTAGGAAAACTTTTTAATTTTTAACAATTGTATGTATGTAGTGATTTTTACCACCATCCAGAATCTCCTAGTTTGTCTTGAAGGTCTAGAAAGTAGACTTTATCCCTATCTGGACTTTATCTATCTATCAATCTAGATAATCCAATCTATCTGTTTATCTATCTATCTACATGAAAAGTGGACTTAATTCATTCACCCAGAGATTAGCAAAATTTCACAGACTTAATAACTCAATTAATTAAAAACTGATGTATACACTAGAGTTAAAATGTATTGATTTATAAAGAGATGTCTCTTTTTGATAACATAAACACTGATATATCCTGCCCAGGAAACTTTATTCCTTTCCTGGTGTCAAGGTGCATGGGAAACCAAAGTAATAAAAACTAGACTGGCAAGTACAGCACTGGTCTTGAAGGATATTTAATAAGAGAAGTTTGATGAACTATCATGTACCTACAATAAAAAAAAAACATGTTTCTAACAATAATAATCTAGAGTATCTATTAAGGGCTAACCAGGTACTGATACATAAATTTACTCAACAGCCCTATGAGGTAGGTTACATACTAGCCTTTTAGATTAGAAATGTGAATTTAGACAAGTTAGAGGGGTTAGGAATCTTACGCAGGTTATGCCACTTGTAAGTATTAAGGGTTGAGAATCAAATCACAATCTGAATTCAGAGCCCTTACCAAGTGTCCCAACCTCTACCAGAGTGCTCATGCTCAACACTTGCTTCCTCCCTGTTAGGAAAGCTAACTACATCAGTTTCTATAGCCGCCTATTCTACGTTGTACCACTCCTTCTGTTAATATTTTCTTTTTTTTTTTCTTTTTTGAGTCAGAGTTTTACTGTCACCCAGGGTGGAATGCAGTGGTGCAATCTCAGCTCACTTAGCTCACTGCAACCTCTGCCTCCCAGGTTCAAGTGATTCTCCTGCCTCAGCCTTTCAAGTAGCTAGGACTACAGGCACATGCCACCACACCCAACTAATTTATGTACTTTTTACTAGAGATGGGGTTGTGCCATGTTGGCCAGGCTGGTCTCAAACTCCTGGCCTCAAGTGATCTCATCGCCTCAGCCTCCCAAAGTACTGGGATTACAGGCATGGGCCACTGTGCCCAGCTAATATTTCTTTCTTAAAATGTGTTTACCCCACTGATTAAACTAGCAATCCATTTCTAATAACTTAAAGGTTTATGGTGTCCCCTAGGAGTCTGTCTTATATCTTCTCCTCTCAAATTATTCAAAACTTTCTGTGAGTGATCTCATCCATGTCCATGGGTGGTCTTAGATTTGGGAATTATTTCCTGCACAGCAATCTCTTCTGCACTCCAAATCTCTGTGTCCAACTATCAACCTGACATCTTTACTTCAATGCTACATGAATGCTCATCTCATTCTAAATAAAAGTCAAACTGCTCACAATAACTTATGAGACACTGAGCTTAATATGATCTGCAATTTCCCCCCATATGACTGCCATGATTTGAACACATGTGCCCTCTCCAGAATTCATACTGAAACCTAATCCACAAAGCAACAGTATTAACAGGCTTTGGAAGGTGATGAGGCCACACAGGCTCTGCCATCACAAATGGTTGAGTGCTCTTATAAGAGGCCTGCAGAAAGCAAGCTAGGCCCCCTTTTTGCCCTTCCACCATGTGAACAGACAGCATGCAAGGTGCCATCCTGGAAGCAGAAGCCTGGCCCTGACCAGACACCGAACCTGGCAGCATCTTGATCGTGAACCTCCCATCCTCCAGAACTGTGAAAAAGAAATTTACTCTTTATAAATTACCCGGTCTCAGATATTTTTTTACAGTAGCACAAACAGACTAAGACAATACCCATTTCCTCCTACTCTCCCTCCCTCCCTCTGCTCCAGCCACCTAGTCTCTTCACTGTTCCTCTAACTTCACAAGCATGCTCCTACCACAGAACCTTTACATTTGCTCTTCCTTCTGCCTGAAGTGCCCTTTCCCTGGATATATGCATGCCTATTTCACTTTCTTCAGATATGAGATCAAAAGTCATCTTCTCAAGTAAGGCTGGTCTCTAGTCACCTATTAAACATTTTAAAATTTCAACACCACCTCTCTGACACTTCCTTGTTTTTCTCCAAGCAGTTATCATACATTTACACAGATATAGAGATGGATACATAGATACATAGATATATAGAAATAAAAACTTATTTGGCTTATTACATTTCTCCCATTGCAAGCTAAGCTCTATTAGGATAAGAAATTTTATCTGTTTCCTTCATTCCTATGGGTATAGAATAGTGCCTGGCATACCACAGAACCTTAATAAATATTTCTTGAATAAACTAATGAACCACAGGCAATCCAAACTTAACATGCTCAAAATGGAATTCATCATTTCTCCCTCTCCCACCCCAAAACCTATTATTCCCACTGTACTTTCTATTTTAGGGAAAGGCACCATCATTTAACCAAGTGTTCATGCCAGAATTCTCCAAGATTCATTCTTGACTCCTTCCTTCCAAGCAACCATATTTCCAAGTTCCATCTCCAAGTTCTATTACTAAACATCTCATTAATCCATCCATTTATCTCCGTCTTTACTGCTATCAGTCTAGTCTAGGCCACCATCATCTCTCACTGGGACTACCATAGCCTCCAAGTGGCACATTGTTTTCATTTTTTGGCCTCCTAAAATCCATTCATTCAAAAGTCAAAATCATCTTTTTAAAAAATGAGCCTATGTGCCTCCCCTGTTAAAAACCCTTCACACGCTTCCCACTGCATGGAACAAAATCCAAATTCCTCACTCTGCCCAGAACCCCCTGCATCACATGGCTCCTATTCATCTGCCCAACCTCATCTCATACTATTCTTCCCCTCACACACTACACTCTAATCCCAAAGGCATCCACTCTGTTCCTCAAGTCCAACAAATCCTTACCACAGCCAGGCCTGTGCACTTGGCAGTCCCTCTTCCTGGAATGCTCTTCTCCCAGTTTTTTTTTTTAAGCCTGCTCCTTCTCATCCACCAGTCTCAGTGAAATGATACCGCCTCAAAAAAATATTTTCTTTTAACAACCTATCTAAAGTGGCCTCACTTAGTATCTCTTTCATCAGTCTGTTGATATACTTGGATTTTGTCTATGTTCCCCCAACAAAATATAAAAGCTCAATGAGAAGCTTATCTGTCTTCTTCCTCTTCTTCTTCTTCTTTTTTTTTTTTTTTTTTTAAGACAGAGCCTTGCTCTTGTCACCCAGGCTGGAGTGCAGTGGCATGATCTCAGCTCACAGCAACCTCCGTCTCCCAGGTTCAAGCAATTCTCCTGCCTCAGCCGCCCGAGTAGCTGGGATTACAGGTACCCGCCACCCCGCCCAGCTAATTTTTTGCATTTTTAGTAAAGATGGGGTTTCACCATGTTGGCTAGGCTCCAGGCTGGTCTTGAACTCCTGATCTCAGGTGATCCACCTGCCTCGGCCTCTCAAAGTGCTGGTATTACAGGCATGAGCCACCACGCCCACCTGTCTTCTTTATTGCGCTTTTCCTTAAGTCTAGCACAGTGCCTGGCACATAATTTGTATCAAATATTTGTTGAATAAATGGCTACACTAAATCATCATTTAGCAGAGATGGGACAGAAGGAGATTTTAACATGAAATGGGTTGCTGGACAAAGACAGTCTCCTTATAATCCCTTCATGTCACGGTGTCCCTAGAAAATGGTTTTGTACAGCACACTACGATAAACAGACAAGAATGCTTGCAGCCACAGGTGACCAGCACAAGGGCTTAGCCATCCCAGGATGAGCCCAGCCGCCCAGAGAGCTAAGAGGCTCAATAGCTCATATACCTTGAAAAGCTCTGGATTGTGACACTTAAGATTTCTTCCAACTTTGAAATTCCTTTATGAATTTTCCCAAGAAATGCATAGACCTAAGAATCTTTATAACTCTTAGCTATCTAACACTGAATAAACTCTATATTTATAAACCCTACCACTGATTACCTACATATAGTCTATAACCTATTTAGTCTTCACCATTTCTAGTAACTTTTGTTATCCCCAAGACTGATCTGAGAGTAGGCTACTGACATGAAAACTCATGACAGCAAATGTAGCAAGAGATGAAGAAGCTATAAAATCACAACAAAGATGCTCAACACTCAGACTAGATAAAGACCCCAAAGTCAGAAAGCCTGCTCTTCTTTTACACCAGTTATTCACCTTTTACGACATGTAGAGTCTACACTGACTTTGCTAGCAAACCAGGCTAGCACATGGCCCTGACATTTCATAAGGTTCTGGTAATTCAAACAGAGAGTTCATAAGACTACACTCTAAGGTCATTAACTTTACTCATCAGTTATATTAAAAATTAGAGGTAGATGAGTACAGTTTATTGTATGTCTATTACACTTCAATAAACGTGTAAAAAATAAACGAGAGTAGTCATCAAAGTTAGTATGACTAGTAATATGACAAAGTGACATCATATGCCTCTTGATCTAATGACTGAGGACAAAGCATCATTCTTGTGATATTCCTGCCAAAACAGTATAACTTCAATTTAATTATAAGAAAACATCAGAAAATCCTGGATTGAAAGCATATTCTAAAAAATAAATGGCCCATTTTTTTATGCCAAGGTCATGACAAAGAGGTTAAGGAATTGTTCCAAGTTAAAGGAGACAAAAGTGGCATAAAAACTAAATGTAGTTCATGTTCATACTTTGAATCCTGGAAAATAATTTTTTTTTTTACTTTTACTTTTCTTATAAAAGACATCAGTGGGGGCCGGGCACAGTGGCTCATGCCTGTAATCCCAGCACTTTGGGAGGCTGAGGCGGGTGGATCACTTGAGGTCAGGAGTTCAAGACCAGCCTGGCCAACATGATGAAACCCCGTCTCTACTAAAAATACAAAAATTAGCCAGGCATGGTGGCCCGTGCCTATAATCCTAACTACTCAGGAAGCTGAGGTGGGAGGGAGGATCACCTGAGGCAGTTTGCAGTGAGGGGAGATCGCACCACTGCACTCCAGCCTGGGCGACACAGCGAGACTCTGACTCAAAAAAAAAAAAAAAAAAAAGACATTAGTGGGAAAAATCACTGAAATAAGGTCTATAGATAATAAATTCCTGATTTTAATAATTGTGTTATGGTTATAAAACAGAGTATCATTGTATCTTCTAAAAAATATGCAGCCAGGCACGGTGGCTCACGCCTGTAATCCCAGCACTTTGGGAGGCCGAGGCGGGCAGATCACCTGAGGTCAGGAGTTCGAGACCAGTTTGACCGATATGGGGAAACCTTGTCTCTACTAAAAGTACAAAAATTACCCGGGTGTGGTGGCATGCACCTGTAATCCCAGCTACTCGGGAGGCTGAAGCAGGAGAATTGCTTGAACCCGGGAGGCGGAGGTTGCACTGAGCCGAGATCGCACCACTGCACCCCAGCCTGGGCAACGGAGAGAGACTCTGTCTCAAAAAAACAAACAAAAAAAAAATGTATTGGCCAGGCACAATTGCTAATGCCTATAATCCCAACACTTTGGGAGGCCTGAGCAGGCGGATGGCTTGAACCCAGGAGTTTGAGACCAGCCTGGACAACATAGTGAAACCCTGTCTCTACAAAAAATACGAAAATTAGCTAGGCCTGGTGGTGTGTGCTTGTAGTCTCAGCTACTTGGGAGGCTGAGGTGGGAGAATTACCTGAGCCTGGGGAGGTGGAGGCTGCAGTGAGCCATGACCATGCTACTGAACTCCACACTGGGCAACGGAATGAGACCCTGTCTTTAAAAAAAAAAAAAAAAAAAAAAAAATGCACTAATGTTCTCACAAGTAGAAGCTAAACATTATATACACATGAACATAAAGATGGGAACAACAGACACTAGGGACTACTAGAGAGGGGTGGGTGGGGACAGGGGCTGAAAAACTACCTAGTGGGTACTGTGTTCACTACCTGGGTGACAAGATCAACCCCAAACCTCAGCATCACGCAATATACCTGTGTCACAAACCTGCACGTGTACCCTCTGAATCTAAAATAAAAGTTGAAATGCAAAATTATTATAAAATTAGGAATAAAAATAAGTTTTGCTGTTATTGTTGTTGTTGAGATAGGATTTCATTTTTGTTACCTAGGCTGGGTGCAGTGGCACAATCAGGACTCACCCAGGCTCAAGTGATCCTCCTGCCTCAGCCTCCCAAAGTGCTGGGATTACAAGCATGAGCCACCACACCTAGCCGAAAATAAATTTTCTTAACCTCAAAAAAATGAAATATACACTGGAGTTTTTAGTTTTAACCATACCAAGTCTGCAACTTATAAATGATTCAGAAAGTTAAGAATATGTGTGTGTGTGTGTGTGTGTGTGTGTGTGTGTGTATGTGTATACATGTTCATATAAACATTTAAGAGGAAAAAACCTTTTTACAAAACTAGGTGAAGAACACATGCAAGCTATGACGGGAAATGCTGGAGAATTTACCAGTTTCAAATACAAAAAGATGGAATGTGAAAAAACATATCACACGATAACATACATCACTAATTTTATTATGAGAGAAGGGAGAGAAATTTCTGCAAAAAATCTTTATCAGGAACAGCATTTTCTTATGTGAAAAGGTGTTTGTAATTTTATGGTCTTTGGTTAATAATGGAAAAATTTATGGTAACAAATATATCAAAATACTTGGAAATCATATGCTAATTTTTGAAGGAAATAATTTTACTCAGTCATTCCCAAAGCTCCATAAAATAAAAGGAGCCAGAGTTGTAGGCAAGAAAAATATAAGAATGACACGTTTATCTGCCAGAATAAACAGTGCTGTGTCTTATATAGACAGATACACCAATGGAATTTTGCTGAAGACAAGGCAGCCTAATTCGGCAGCCTGAAGCCCGGCAGAAAATTTGGCAGGATGAAAACAGAGAAGTACTTCAAAATCAAAAGGATATGCAAGGTATTTCATTGTTCATATTAATCTAATGTTAATATATACAAATGCATCTTATTTAGTTCATAATAGAAGGAGCTACAGAGTTAAATCAACAAATATTCATTGAATGTCTAGCATATGCCAACACTGGAGATACAGAATAACTTCAAATAAAAATTAATTCCAGGCCAAGCACGGTGGCTCATGCCTGTAATCCCAACACTGGGGGGCCAAGGAGGGAGGATCACCTGACGTCAGGAGTTCGAGATCAGCCTGGCCAACATGGTGAAATCCCGTCTCTACTAAAAATACAAAAATTAGCCAGGCATGGTGGCAGGCGCCTGTAATCCCAGTTACTGGAGACACTGAGGTAGGAGAATCGCTTGAACCTGGAGGTAGAGGTTTCAGTGAGCCGAGGTCATGCCATTGCACTCCAGCTCGGGCCACAAGAAGGAAACTCTGTCTCAAAAAAAAAAAAAAAAAAAATTAATTCCAAGCGCTCAGATTAGTGTTCCTCCTAAAACCTTTAAGTAAAAGAAAGAATACAACTTATACATTAAAATGTTTAGTTAGTAAATATCCCATGAAGCTATAAAAAAAAAACTTCTCCTGGATAGAGAAATTCTCTCCACTAGCAGCAGCCATTCCAACCAGTTTGTTTCACTGAGGTGTTGGGATAATGCTCGTTTATGTTGAGGAATAGCAGAGTTTTCCATGTAGTAAGGTACTAAATAGGTATAATAATAGAAAAACTCTTTATTGGCACAATAATTTACTGCTAAGCATAGAATTTAGGGTTATAAGATTAATAAAGTACTGTTTTCTGAACCAACATTACAGTGTAAGAACTCCCAAGAGTTTCTTAGTAGAATATATACCACTGAGGTACTCTAAATAATTATTTATACCCTATTTCATTCCATGAGCAATTTGAGACAGGAATCTGTGACTGGCTTAATTTGGCTTTTGCTCATTATTGATATATACAACCTCTTTTGTTGACATCACACCCTTACTTATCTTTTCAGTAGACATCTGTGATGTTTCTTTGAAGTGGAACATCTCTCTATCAGATCAGTAAGCACCACTGAGTCCATAGTTGAAGCAAAAACCAAACATCAAATTGTTAAGATCTGATGGTCTATTTATTATAACTGCTTTAACATCAAATATCTTGTAGCATTTATTACTACAATTATTATTACTGTCATAAAAATAATTGAATTAATAATTACAATAATAAGCATTGCTGAAACAATGCAGTCCCTTGATTTGTGAGGCTTCACCTCCCAAGAGGAAATCAAGAAAAATACACTGAATATATATATATCCTGGAAAATAAAGTGCCAAAAATTAGACAGAATTGAATTTAAAGAGTACAGTTTCCCTGATTTAGAAGGATGTGAAAACTCAGTTCTGTGGATCAAAGATATTATAAACACATAGAAAATTACCACTAAATTCTAGCTCATGACATTTTTATCTTATTCTTTAAACTGGATCTTATATGCCTTTCAAAATAGAGAATTATCTGCTAATGCTGAATCTGCTCTACATGTCTTCATGTAATTACATCCATGCCCAGGAAAAGAAAATGTTGTCTACACTATAATGCTTATTTTATATTTATATTGTACTATAATGCAATATTTTAGAGAAGAAAAAATGTTCACACTTAAGTAGTCAACAAACCCTTCCTAAAATAAGAGGTTTGTTTTGTCTGTTTGTTTTGAGACAGGGTCTTGCTCTGTTACCCAGGCCGGAGTGCAGTGGCACAACCATGGCTCACTACAGCCTTGACCCCCTGGGCTCAAGAAATCGTCCCACCTCAGCCTCCGGAGTAGCTGGGACTACAGCGTGCACGCCACCACACCCAGATAACATTTTGTAGAGACGGAGTTTCGCCATGTTGCCCAGGCTGGTCTCAAACTCCTAGACTCACATGATCCGCCCACCTTGGCCCCCAAAGTGCTAGGATTACAAGCCTGAACCACTGAACCGGCCTGCTTCTTTAATTATTGTTACTTCTGGTCATCTCCATACTGCATCACAACATAAAACACATTCCCTTAATGTGAAAAGAACAAAAAAATAACTGAAACATTTAACTTCAGGATGAATGGTGATTTAATATCAGAATGGAGATGTAATAAAGTTTTATGATTACTAAACAACAGACAACCCCAAAAACATCAGGAAATTTAAAAGCTAAATGTATATATACCCAATTACATATTTTTAAGAATGCAAATAAAACCTTAAGAGTAAAATTCATTCTAATAGCTATTTTTTAAAATTAATATTAAAGTCTTATATATGTATATATTATTTAACAATGTATATTAAATAATGTAGTTAAACAAACTGGGGACTGTTTTTTGTTTGTTTTGTAAGATGGCAGTTAAAAGTAATTTCATTAGAAGGGAACAAATATACATTTGCTTAGTTATATCCAAACATAACTTTTAAGAGTCCATTACCTACCACAGCTGCTATGGTAAGTTCATATATATGTGTTACCAGGAAGACATAAGGGCATGATATAATGAAACAATAATTAGAAAATTAAGAAAATACATTAAAGGTTCTATTTTTTGTAGAGTTAATTACCTCTATCACCCACTTCTTCCCTCTAGAAGTTTCCAGAACTCAAATAAATGCCTTTATTCAGTAATCATTTGTTGAAAAACAAATGTAAACAATCACCATACTATTCTAAAAATTATTTTCTTTTTTTAAGAAATGGGAGGTGGGGATAAGAGGAAGAGAAGAAAAGGATCCTTAGTAGGGGTTTAACAATCAACATCAAGGGGCTGGTGGGTGGGAGATGCAAGAAAAAGCCAGTAAAATGTATAAGTAGTAACAATTGTGGCTTAGAATATAAATTTCATTAATAATGACTGAGAACTTGTGTGTAATTATAGACAAATGTACCAACAATCTTTTGAAACTCCATGAGAGTAAAATAGCCATCAGTATATTTCATAATCCTAGATTTGAACAGCTTTTCTAACAACAAGCTGTCTGGGTAATTACTAAGCTATCTGAGAATTACTGTGAACTTTGTACCTTTTTAGCTCATTGACAGATGACTATTTGTTATTAGCTCAAGTAATAATAATGTATTAAAATACTTGCTTTATATACAGAAACGTATGTTTGCATTTAGAGTATACTGAACTTTGTTCCCCAGAAATGCATTGTAAAAAGCCACATTGAAATCTGTGAAACAGCAGCAGGACCAACAAAAATGAAACCGGTTGCTATTTCTCTCACAGTCTATGATAAATAAAAACTGCTTCATGCCTGGATGTGCATTCTCAAGGATTATTTTTGATTTCACAAACTTTCTTGCTATTGTTACTGTTAATGTTTTGCTTCTGGTCTCTTACATACTTGGAGGAGAAAGCATATTAAATTTTCCTTAAGATTTCCTGACCCCAGATATGTAGAATGAACAAGTCTAAATACCTAATGTACAATATAAGGACTATAGTTAATAATAGTGTACTGTATTCAGAATTTTTGCAAAATAAATCATTATAGCTGCTCTTGCCACAGGGGAGAAAATGGGTAACTATATGAAATGATGTACATGTTAATTTGTTTCACTACAGTAACCATTTTACTGTGTACTATATGTATCTCATAACATCACACTGTATACCTTAAACACACACAATAAAATTTATCTTATATGAAAAGAACTTCTGATCTTCACAAACATGGTTAAGTGTGTTGATTTGATTTTCTGAGAATTAAATAACTCACCTTGAGTAGAGGTAAAGTAACTCAGAGACCAAATCCATGAGTTGTTAAAAAAAAGTTTAAATGAGGACATTCTGAAAAGTAAAGTAAGTTCAATGAGTGAAAAATTGAGCCAGAATACAGTATGATTTAGAGCATGTAACTAATTCCAGCAGATAAAGGAAACTTCATTACTGATTAGTAATTTAAATTTTACTGAAAACTTCTTCCTTATTTCAAATACTTTTCATTCTAAATATGTCCTAAAAATAGAATCTAGGCTCTTTATGTTATGGATTATTTCATTTCAAAACATTTTTTAAAATATATTTCTGCTTTTGATATAACATATTAATGTCTCATAACATTCTTCTTAGTCACTATAGTATTATAATTCTGTTGATTTTTTAAAATGAATAAAAATAAGACAAATAAACGTTCATTAGCATAATGGCAACTGGGTGTTTCAACCAAGAATTATTGGGGGGTGGTTACCATACGAATTAGGTAATCTCAGGCCTTGCAAACAACAACCAACATTAACATTCTAAATCTAAATTTTTAAATATGATAAATCTAAATATAAGAGGGCATTGGTGCAAATTAGGAAATATGTGTGTGTGTGTACGTCCATAAGGACTACAGTTAATATGACACTCTCATTAACTATAGTCCTTACGGTGTATTATATATTTTTATATATTATATAAAGTGACTCTATACAACTGCTTTTAAAAAGACCTCCCACAGCATTACATACAATTAAGAAACTTGACTAATGCTTTTCAGTGATGTTTAATCAAGAAAATCTCCTTGGAGTGGATGGGCTCAACCTATGATTTAAAGAAGGAGAGGGAAATAGCAGATAGGAAGAGAATTATTCCCTATATATTAGACCTTACAGCCTCCCTACTGCAGACAATATATCTCTTTTCCTCGCCATAGGCTACCCACTCACAAGTCTTTACAACATCCATGATAGTGGTAAGGAACAATTTAATACAACAGCCCGCCCCACAGAAAATTTCCACTCAACTTTAAAGGCTTGTCATATCTGTCCCATCAATTGGTGGAGAAAATGGATTCTCAAGAGCAATAGGCTTAATGCACTACCCCTGAGGTAGTAAACCATCCCACTTAGTGTAAATAGTTTTGAAACCTGGTGATATAAGTATAAGATCCATTTCTCATCTGTAAAAGCAAAGGCTAAAGCATATTAACTGCTATGGTTTCAAATCATCAGTAAAGCTAAAACACCAGGAGAGAAAGGTGAAGATCCACTTTCTGTGGCGCTGGACTTTAACCCTGGGCAGTGAACTGAATACATGCCAAGTCCAGTTTCTAATTTTAATCTGAGCTATTCCCACACTAACCATATTTTCACTGCACATTACTAATTGTATAACCGCAAATAAAGAAAATAGACATGCAGAATACTGCAAAAGGATAAGCTAGACTTTACACCTAAGAGTCAAGACTCAAATGAACTAAATACACTCCAAAATATGCAAGAGGACTCTTAGTCTCTTACACCAAAAATGGCTCAAAATAGTGACAATATAAATTTTGAGCAACTTCTCAATATATGTACAACTACCATGTTTTTATATCTTTCATATCATAAGTTCCAATGCAACTCTTAAAAAGGACACCACTTAAAGAAATCATTTTCTAATTGCTGTGGGACCTCGTGTATTAAAGGTTTATTTTAAATTTTTAAAATTTTATTTTTAAATCTTCCATTTCCATTAGCATTAAAATAGAAATTGTATTGGTGTTAATGGCCCATGGTCTTACAGTGTCAATACCAAGGAAACAAAACAGTGCCTCTGGGTAAAGCCCTCTGCTAATATATATTAATAGTGGAATCTGATTTATGGGTTTCTTTAGATGCAATAAGGCATCATTGGAATCATTACAGTTTACATGTTGTATATGATTGTTGAACTGAGTACATACCAGACCCTGAGAACCCAAAGACTTAGTAAAACTGGAACCATTAAAGTTATTTAATGGTTAACTCTAGAGCATATGCTTTCATCACAAAGAATATAATATCAGTAAAAAGAATTGGTAGAACCTCTTTTCCTAAATTCTGAATCAAATGTTTTCTCAGCCACCAAATAATTTCCCTGGAAAGGTAAAAAGATATACCAGCTAGGTGCTATATGTGAAAACATTACAAATCAGAAGAACAGCACGGATACTTCCTCTTTGTTAAGATGCTAATATCTTACTATAAGACAATGCACCTCAGAATACACTTCAATCCTGCACAGGTTTTTACCTGGGACCCTACCAAAAGGGTTTCCATTAATGAATAACAATCATCTAGAAAATGCTTCTGGAGCATGGACGCAAAGAACAGAATTATAATGGAGCCTGTACATGTAAGGGATATGGCAACAGAAGTAGTATTACAAGGCTTCATTGAGAGTGAGGATGAAGCCAGTGGCTATTTGTACACCACCATTAGTAAAAGGCTGGTCTGCCGGAGGCAGAAAAGTTGGTAAGTGAATGCATCAATACTGAATTCAGTTTGAGTTGCTTTCAAAACGTAATGGCTCATTCAGTGCAAACATTAGGAACAGGCTAATGGAAGGGTTGCCTAGCCAGCTAGATTGAACACAACATGAAGTCTTCTCTTGGTGTACACACTGAACAGTGCTTAATTCTGCCTCTGGTTGCCCAACCTTGTTATCTTTGGAATTGAGGTGGGTGGGTGGGAGGAGGACTCTGAGTTTTTATTTGTTTTATTAACTTATGGGACTGTTAAAAAAAAAAAAAAACAGCCATGAGTCTCCTACTTTCCCTTCATAGACCAAACATAATCCTGACAAAAGGCATACATGAGTAATTATAATTGTTTAGGGTATTGTTTTGTTATTTTGTTCTCAGAATCTTTTTTTTTTAATAAATTGAAAATGGTGACATAGGAAAGCTAACCAATTAACTTCTCATGGTACCATATAGGGCATCATTCAATAATAGAAACTGAGCAGTAACTAAAGTCAGGTTTCCAATTTTTTTCCCATTCACCAACCTCACTTCAAGAAAGATTTTTAATTATAAAATTTCATTGTTGCCCAAAGAGGCAATTTGCCTTAACACTGAGCTTCTCAAACTGTAATGTGTATATGATTACCTGGGAATCTTGTTAAAATACAATTTCTGATTCAGTAGTTCTGAGGTGGGGTGTGAGTATCTTCAGTTTTAATAAGCTCCCAGGTGATGGCCATGCTGCCAGTCCACAGAGAACACTTTTGAGTAGCAAGGGTCCAGTAAACACAGAAGCAGAAAATATGTTTTTTCCTCCTCATCAACTCCCGCATTTCCATAACTTAAACATTTTTTCAAGCGATTCAATTTATCCACATTTTAATTTCCTCATTTGTAAAATTAAGAATTCAGTTTATCAGGCTTTTGTAAGAAAACATCATATTTGTAAGAAAACAAAAATTGTAAACATTATAAGATTAAAAATGTTATCACACAAATTTAAGTTGCGTGATTGGGTACACAGAAGTTTATAACATTACTCTCTCTGTATGTTTTTAAATCTTCATAATGGAAAGGTTTTTAAAATACAATCGCTCACTAAATTCCCTACAATAATAGCTTTATTTTATATATATTTAATATAACGTATTACATTTTTAAAATTTACCCAAAGGGTACAAAGAAACTTTAGGCCTGATGGATATGTTCATTATCCCAACTGCAATGATGGTATTTACCTATGTCAAAACTTATCAACTTTGACAGGGCACAGTGGCTCGTGCCTGTAATCCCAGCACTTTGGGAGGACGAGGCAGGCGGATTACCTGAGGTCAGGAATTCAAGACCAGTCTGGCCAAAATGGTGAAACCCCGTCTCTACTAAAAGTATGAAAATTAGCTGCGTGTGGTGGCCAGCACCTGTAATCCCAGCTACTAGGGAGGCTGATGCAGGAGAATTGCTTGAACCCAGGAGGCGAAGGATGCAGTGAGCTGAGATCGTGCCACTGCACTCCAACCTGGCAGACAGAGTCAGACTCCATGTCAACCAAAAAAAAAGGAAAAAAGCCTTTATGATGATCCACTTCCACTTAATAGTAAATATATATATATATATATATATATATTTTTTTTTTCCCCCCCAAATGGAGTCTCACTCTGTCACCCAGGCTGGAGTGCGGTGGCGCAATCTTGCCTCACTGCAAGCTCTGCCTCCCAGGTTCACGCCATTCTCCCGCCTCAGCATCCCGAGTAGCTGGGACTACAGGCGCCCACCACCACGCCTGGCTAATTTTTTGTATTTTTAGTAGAGACAGGGTTCCACCGTGTTAGCCAGGATGGTCTCGATCTCCTGACCTCATGATCCGCCCACCTCGGCCTCCCAAAGTGCTGGGATTACAGGCATGAGCCACCGTACCTGGCCAATATATTTTTTTAAAACTTATCAAATTGTACATTTTAAATAAGCACAATTTATCATAAATTAAGTATACCTCGGCCGGGCGCGGTGGCTCACGCTTATAATCCCAGCACTTTTGGAGGCCAAAGCAGGTGGATCACAAGGTCAGGAGTTCAAGACCAGCCTGTCCAATATGGTGAAACCTGGTCTCTACTAAAAAATACAAAAATTAGCCGGGCGTGGTGGCACACGCCTGTAGTCCCAGCTACTCGGGAGGCTGAGGCAGGAGAATTGCTTGAACCCAGGAGGCGGAGGTTGCAGTGAGCAGAGATTGTGCCACTGCACTCCAGCTTGGGCAACAGAGTGAGACTCCAACTCAAAAAAAAAAAAAAATTAAGTATACCTCAATAAAGCTATTTAAATAATAATAAAATTTATCCACATCCAATTTTTTGTTTATGAAAAACTAAAACAATGCCCTGAAATTCTCAATGGGAAACCACTGCTCCCTATCACTGGGAGCTATAAGCTAAGGCTGGCTCTGGAAGTCTTGACCTAAAGGATACCACTATGGGCCAAACTAGCCAGTTTCCAATCAGGGAACTAAGGGACTCCTTAGTTCTAGTGGATCATGTCAATTTCCTATTTAATTGATCTCCACTAGCTCTACAGAGCCTACCTTCTGGCTACCTCCTACATCTCCATTCTCATTTTCCTTCACCTCCCCTAATATTTCTGACACTAAGCACCTACAAAAGTTATTACCAATCTTCAAAGAGCCATACCCTGAAGGATCTGTTCCTTTGAAAATGCTGTTTCCTCTACCAAAAAGGTCTTTTTTCTGTCCTTTGTGACCCAGCTCAAAATCTACCTCCTCTGTGCAGCCTTTCCTGACTTCCTTTAGGCAGTTAGTTGCTCCCTCCTCTTTACTCCCACAGTATTCTTTTCCTACATCTAGGATTCTAGTATAAGAGTCTACAGATTTGATCATGTACTCTCCAATATTTATTTATTTATATGCGTGCGTGCGTGCGTGCGTGCGTGCGTGCGTGTGTGTGTGTAGTATTAATCCATTCTCTCACTGCTATAAGGAACTACCTAAGACTGGATAATTTATAAAAACAAAGAGGTTTAACTGACTCACAGTTCCACAGGCTGTATGGGAAGCACGGCTGGAGAGGCTTAAGGAAACTTTTTTTTTTTTTTGAGACGGAGTCTGCAACCTCTGCCTCCCGGGTTCACGCCATTCTCCTACCTCAGCCTCCCGAGTAGCTGGGACTACAGGCGCCTGCCACCACGCCCGGCTAATTTTTTTCTATTTTCAGTAGAGACGGGGTTTCACCGTGTTAGCCAGGATAGTCTCGAACTCCTGACCTTGTGATCCTCCCGCCTTGGCCTCCCAAAGTGCTGGGATTACAGGCGTGAGCCACCGCGCCCGGCCTAGGAAACTTAAATCATGGCAGAAGGCAAAGGGGAAGCAGGCACATCTTACATGACCAGAACAGGAGGAAGAGAGAGCACAGGAGGAAGAGAGGGCAGGGGGAGGTGCTACATACTTTTAAATAACCAGATCTCGTGAGAACTCACTCACTACCATAAGAACAGCAAGAGGGAAATCTCCCCCCATGATGCAATCACCTGCCACCAAGCCCCTCCTCCAACATTGGGGATCACAATTTGACACAAGATTCAAGTGGGGATACAAATCCTAGCTAGACAGATAGATAGATGACAGATGATTGACAGAGATAGATAGATAGATAGATAGATAGATAGATAGATAGATAGATAGACAGACAGACAGACAGACAGATAAAAATGTATGTGTACTACAATTATTAGCTAACATCTTAAGGCACTATTAATATACAATTAGGGTGGCCAGGCATGGTGTCTCATGCCTGTAATCCCAGCACTTTGGGAGGCCAAGGCGGGTGGATCACCTGAAGTCAGGAGTTCAAGACTAGCCTGGCCAAAATGGCAAATCCCCGTCTCTACTAAAAAATACAAAAATTAGCCAGGCGTAGTGGCAGGCACCTGTAATCCCAGCTACTCGGGAGGCTGAGGCAGGGAGAACTGCTTGAACCCAGGAGGCAGAAGTTGCAGTGAGCCAAGGTTGCACCACTATATTCCAGCCTGGGCAACAGAGCAAGACTCTGTCTCAAAAAAAAAAAAAAAATATTAGGGTAAGGTTCATTGTTAACAATGGTGGTAATAATTATAAAGACTACAATTGAATTCAGCAGGGAACGGTGGCTCACACCTATAATCCCAACACTTTGAGAGGATCACTCCAGGCCAGAAGTTCAAGACCAGTCCGGGCAACATAGTAAGACCCCATCTCTACAAAAAATAAAAATTAGCCAGGCATGATGGTGCACAACTGCAGTCCCAGCCACTGGGGAGGCTGAAGCAAAAGAATCACTGGAATTCAGGAATTTGAGGCTGCAATAACCTATTATTGTGCCACTGCACTCCAGCCTGGGTGACAGAACAGGACTCTGTTTTAAAAAAATTAAATTAAATTATAAAGAAATAGTTGGCCAGGCACGGTGGCTCATACCTGTAATCCCAGCACTTTGAGAGGCTGAGGCGAGCAGATTGCCTGAGCTCGGGAGTTCAAGACCAGCCTGGACAACATGGCGAAACCCCATCTCTACTAAAAATACAAAAAATTAGCCAGGCGTGGTGGTGCATGCCTGTAGTCCCAGCTGCTAGGGAGGCTGAAGCACGAGAATCACTTGAACCCGGGAGGTAGAGGTTGCAGTGAGCTGAGATCGCGCTACCACACTCCAGCCTGGGTGACAGAGCAAGACTGTCTCAAAAAAAAAAAAAAGAAAGAAAGAAAGAAATAGTCTCTGCAATTTTAATGCTTTGGATGGCTTTCTGTCAGATATTAGAGATCAAAATTATCTTTCCCTCATACACAGTTGACTAAGAGCTTATATCAAGAGTAGAAGTATCATTTCTCCCACTTTCTTATTATACACTTACATTATTCCTCTTATTTTAATCCACGTATTTCTTTGCAGATGTCTTCAGATAACTTGTCCATTTGATGAGCATCAGTTTAGTTACATCTACAAAATACAAATACTCCCAACCAGGAACAGAAAGTGGTAATCTATCAAAACAAACCTGGAACTCCCACTATTTCTTCTCAATCCTGAATGCTCTAAGTAAGCTTCTAACACACAAACCACCAATATTGATTCCTATTTTAAACACTAGTAAAGCTTAAATTCTTACTTTTTAGGAAAGTATACATTAGAATAGCCACAATAGGAATATTTCATAATATCTATTAAATAATAAAATGGATGATGTATACCCTTTCACCCAGAGTGGTAGGCAGCCTCTAAGAAGGCTCCAATGGTCCCACTGCCTACTATTCACACCCTATGTAGTAGCCTCCCCTTGAGCATGGACTGATCTTAATGACTTCACCCTACCAAACAGAATATGGCAGAAGTAATGGGATTCCAAGATTAGGTTACAAAAACACTGTGACTTCCAAATTGGGTTCCCTGTCTCACTCACTCACTCACTCTGAGGGAAGCCAGCTGCCATGCTGTAAGCTGCCCTAAAATGGGGGGCCCAAGTAGGGAAGAACTGATGTCTCTGGCCATCAGTCAGTGAGGACTGAGTACTGTCAATAGTCATGTGAGTGAGCAGAGAGGCAAACCCTCCCCCAAGTGACTCTCAAGATAACTGCAGCCCACTGTCACCTGACTGAAATCTTGTGAGAAACTAAACACAGTGGCACCCTGCTAAACTATGTCTAGCTATCTAACCCACAGAAACCATGAGATGATAAATGTTTGCTGTTTTCAGTCACTAAATTTTAGGGCTATTCCTTATGCAGCAATTGACAACTGAAATTTTATAATAGGAAAAATTGGAGCAATTTCAATATCTATCATCACAAGAATTAAGAAGGAAATTACAGAATAATCACAATAGAATACGATACAGCAGGAAAAATGAATTAACTTGAACTAAATGTGTCAATGTTGAAAATCTTAAAATAAGTGTTGAGTGAAAGCAAATCATAGAAAGATAACAACAGTATGAAACAATCTTAAAGGTTCAAAAACATGCAATATTAGTAAACACTAATAAGAATGGTGAATAATAAATTCAGTGTGGGGAGGAAAGAGAAAAAGGAAGGGAAATGGGATTAGGGAAGGCTACACAGCAAGCTTTCCTTTTTTTTTTTTGAGATGGAGTCTCGCTCTGTCGCCCAGGCTGGGGTGCAGTGGCGCAATCTGGGCTCACTGTAACTTCCACCTCCCAGGTTCAAGCCATTCTCCTGCCACAGCCTCCCAAGTAGCTGGGAGTACAAGCGCATGCTGCCGCAACCAGCTAATTTTTTGTGTTTTTTAGTAGAGACGGGGTTTCACTGTGTTACCCAGGCTGGTCTTGAACTCCTGAGCTCAGGCAATCTGCCCAGCTCGGCCTCCCAAAGTGCTAGGATTACAGACGTAAGCCACCATGCCCGGCCCACAGCAAGCTTTCAGTTACATCTGTAATATTTTATTTCTTAAATGCCAGGAACATTAGTGTTTTTGTATTTTATCTATGCTTTTATATTGTCTGAAATCTTTTGTATTAACAAATTATAACGAAAGTACAGACAATGAATAGATAAATGTAAGTAGAAGTTCTGATATTTTCTTGCCCATCCCAATGGGTTTTGGGATATGTCCTTCCCACGACACCACTGCTTTACTGTAACATTGAGCACACTATATCAATTATCTGTTTAGAAATTTGTCTCTTCCCCTTGGCTGCAAGCAACTTCAAGTCCCAGAATAAGAATTTAGTAAATATTCACATAATAAATTTATGGTATGAACAGTGCTTATATGGGTTTCATTTTCCTAACTTAATATTCTGCTTTTCTAAATAAACTGACCATAGCATGATCTCCACATTAAACAACTAATTATCTAAGAAAAATTAACTTGGCAAGGTAGCATCCACTGTTGGTTATTAACTAATATTAATAATTGTCACATTCATTTAAAATGTTGGCACAAGATTCAGTCTCCTTCTCTATCCCAAGTAATTCCATGAGTCTGGCTTCAGGGAGCATATAAGATATTCAACCAACAACCTAGCCTTACAGTTCTCTGACCTCCTTAAAAAATAAATAAATCACCAATGACCTTTAGCTCCATTTCACTTTGACACACAAGCTCCCAGGGCCACATCCTGAACTTTATCATCCATCACCTAGAAGTGCTTCATTTCTGAAATAAAATTCAAATGTCTCATCCTATGATAACAGTCTTTTACTCCGCCAGTCACCTTCCCTTTCTTGCACTCCACCTATTTATTCCTCAATTTAATTAAACCAAACAATCCTAAAATCCCTCCATTTTCTCATCTATCAGCCACTCCTTTACCTTTCCCATCTATGCAAAATGGATTATATGGTTGAACATCTTAACTATTCTTGCAACAGACCCCTATAATCCATTTCACCCTATCCTTTTCTCTCATTTGCCAAGCAAGCCCCAAGCATATACTCAAGTTGTAGTCGATGTTAACCTGCTAGAGAAATGACAAGTGGTCATGATAGTGCCATTTCAATTTCAGTCTCCAACCTCAGCTGAGTCTTCAATCTGACAATACTTTTCTTATCCTTGGCCAGCTCACTCTTTCATTATCTGGAGTAACTATTCCAGGACTTCATCACTCCCTTCAAACTCTACTTCATCACAGCCCAACTTACTGAAGAGATTATCTTTCCTGCTCATCAAAAAAAAAAAGTTAATCCATGCAGTACACTTTCCCTCAGCTTTCCAATTCCCACTTATAAACTTCTCTACATCAGCCTAGGCAACACAGCGAGACCCCATTTCTACAAGTAAATAAATAAATTAGCCAGGTGTGGTGGTGTACACCTGCAGTCCAAGCTACTGAAGAGGTTGAGTTGGGAGGATCACTTGAGCTAAGGAGGTTGAGGCTGCAGTGAGCCATGATCATGCTACTGCACTCCAGCCTGGGTGACAGAGCAAGACCCTGTCTCGAAAAAATAAAAAATAAATAAAAACTAAAAATAGGCTAGACACAGTGGCTCATGCCTGTAATCCCAGCACTTTGCGAGGCCGAGGTGGGCAGATGACCTGAGGTCAGGAGTTCGAGACCAGCCTGGCCAACATGGTGAAACCCCGACTCTACTAAAAATACAAAAATTAGCTGGGTGTGGTGGTGTGCACCTGTAATCTCAGCTACTCAGGAGGCTGAGGTGAGAGAATCACTTGAACCCAGGAGGCAGAGGTTGCAGTGAGCTGAGATTGGGCCATCGCACTCCAGTCTGGGTGACAGAGCGAAACTCCATCTCAAAAAAAAAAAAAAATCTCTACATACTTACCTATCTCTCACTTTATCTCCAGTCTTAAAAATCGAAATGTCCCGACATCTACTGAAAGCCAACTCTATTTGTGCTCTTAACTCTATTCCTCTGTTCTCCTCTAAGACTCTGCTCCATCATTCATCCCTGTTCTACTCTATTCTCTCCACAGGTCCTCCCACAACTCCAAACCTAATGCTCAAATCTCCTGTCCATATAAAAGAGTAAAAAGAAGTCTTTCACCTTATATCACCTCCTAATCGCTATCTAATTCCCTTTTTCTTTTCATTCAAATGTCACCATTCTACTAAAATAACTTATGATAAGAACACCTTTCACTGTACCACAGGCTCCTGGTTTTCCTTGTACTTTGTGCCCATTGGTTTTCTGCCTCTACTGTGAACTCATCTATGGTGGTATGCCCTGGAACTCTCCCTGATGATCTTAAACACCCTTGCATTTTCCATGATAAGCAGGTGACATCTCAGTTCATATGTGTAGCTCAAATCTCCTCTCTTAGAAAGAAAGATTCAAGCTCTTATACCTAATTACCTGTGAGATATATTCACTGGGCCTTCTCATAGTACCTCAAACTCAACATATTCAAACTAATTTCCCCCTTTTGGGAGTGATATCAGCAGGAAATGGAGTAGGTAGACCAAGGGCCAGTTCTTCCACAGTAACATCAAAAAATCAAGAGAAAACGATCAGAATCAAATTTTTCAGTATGCTAGAAAATAGTCAAAGGTTTACAGCAACCATGTAAACACTGAACTTAAAAAAAAAAAAAGCGACTTTAAACAGTCACCTTTAAAATGAGAGTCTTGTGACATTTTTACTTTCCCTTGTATCATCTCCCAACCTGGTTTAGTGGCAGGCTCAAAGTCAGCCGCCTGAATTTCCACTGTGGGATACTGGTCCCTGGTTCTGAAGAAAGCAGAAGAGATCTTATTCTCAAGAACTATGTTTGTTTCTGGGGCCAGCCTTAAAAATTGTATTAGTCAGTGTTCTCCAGAGGGACAGAACTAACAGGATATATGTATAAATGAAAGAGAATTTATTAGGGAGAATTGACTCACATGATCACGAGGTGAAGTCTCACAATAGGCCGTCTGCAAGCTGAGGAGGAAGGAAGCCAGTAGTGGCTTAGTCCAAGTCAAAAAGCCTCAAAAGTAGGGAAGACGACAGTGCAGCCTTCAGTCTGTGACCAAAGGCCCAGAAGCCCCTGGGAAACCACTGATGTAAGTCCAAGAGTCCAAAGGCCGAAGAACCTGGAGTCTGATGTCCAAGGACAGGAAGCATCCAGCATGGGAGAAAGATGAAAGCCAGAAGATTTAGCAAGCCAGGTTACCCCACCTTCTTCCTGCTTTGTTCTAGCTGCACTGGCAGCTGATTGAATGGTGCCCACCCACGCTGAGGGTAAATCTTCCTCTCCCAGGCCACTGACTCAAATGTTAACCTCCTCTGGCAACACCCTCACAGACACACCCAGAAACAATACTCTACCAGCTATCTAGGCATCCTTCAACCCAATCAAGTTGACAACTAATATTAACCATCCCAAGAACTGACACAAGGCGCTTGTCTGTTTCACCTAATTCAGATCTCACTCAGGGCAGAAAAACAGGGGATATTCTTCCAAAACATTATAAGTAAAAGAAAAGATGTGCAGCCACCTGGGGCAAAAGACTTTAGGTGAGGCAAACAGTAAAGTAACAAAAGCCTAAAAGAAAAGGCTAGCGAAGGGAGAATGTTTCTTAGAGAAATTAGGACATTTAAAAGCATCATATATACTATGAAATTCAGAAAGTCATGGGTATGCTCAGGGCAGGACACATGCTCAGCAAAGACCCAAGAATACTGTGGCTGACCTCTAGGCTCAATACAAACAGAAAGTAAAAACTAAGGCACAGTCGTAAATGACCTTACCAAGTGATGAAGGAATGTCCCCAAACAGAGACAATCCACAAAGGCTGAGAAAGGGGTTTTTTCTTTCCCTTTTTTCCTTTCTTCTTTTTGTTTTTCCTCCTTTATTTTAATTATTTATTTAGGCTCTTGGCATTCAAGGAAATCCCTATCAAAATACTAGCTGAACACAAGCTAATGGAACAGAGACTTCAGAAACCACACATGACAAACATCAACTTTACAAAAATAATTTTTGCAAGTCCAAACACAAACAGCCATAGTCCACTGCAAGCAACAAAAATAAACTCTGAGGAATGAGAAGAATCTGATTTCCAGAGTTACCACCACATTAAAATATCCAATTCTTAACCACAACAACAACAAAATCACAAAACCTGGCTGGGTGCGGTGGCTCACAGCTCTAATCCCAGCACTTTAAGAGGCTGAGGCAGACGGATCACCTGAGGTCAGGAGTTCAAGACCAGCCTGGCCAACATGGCGAAACCCCGTCTGTACTAAAAATACAAAAATTAGCCAGAGTTGGTGCCATACGCCTGTAATCCCAGCTACTCGGGAGGCTGAAGCACAAGAATCACTTGAACCAGGGAGGCAGAGGTTGCAGTGAGCCAAGATCGCACCACTGTACTCCAGCCTGGGAGAAAGAGAGACTTCGTCTCAAAAAATAAAATAAAATAAAACCATGAAACCCATCAAGAAACAAAAACTATGGCCCATCCACAGAAGACATTAACAGAAACTCCCTGAGGAAGCACAGATATTGGACTTGCTAGACAAAGTAAGGGTTTTTGTTTGTTTTTTTCTTTTGAAACAAAGTCTCCATCTGTCACTCAGGCTGCAGTGCGGTGGCATGACCTCGGCTCACTGCAACCTCTGCCTCCTGGGTTCAAGTGATCCTCCCACCTCAGCGTCCAGAGTAGCTGGGATTATAGGCGTGCGCCACCATGCCCAGCTAATTTTCTTGTATTTTTATTAGAGAAGGGGTTTTATCATGTTGGCCAGCCTGGTCTCGAACTCCTGACTTCAGGTGATCTGCCCGCCTCAGCCTCTCAAAGTGCTGGGATTACAGGCATGAAGCTGCTGCTCCCGGCCCAAAATAAGTTGTGAATATGCTTGAAGAGCTAAAGGAAACCATGAACAAGGAGTTAAAAGAAACCAGGAGAATGATGTTTTAACAAAAACAGAGTATTAGCAAAGAGATTAAAACTGCAAAAAGGGATCAGGCCCACGTGGTGGCTGATGCCTGTAATCCCAGAACTTTGGGGGCTGAGGCAGGCATATTACTTGAGGTCAGGAGTTCGAAACCAGCCTGGCCAACGTGGTGAAACCCCATCTCTACTAAAAATACAAAAATTAGCCAAGCATGGTGGCGTACACCTGTAGTCCCAGCTACTCAGGAGGCGGAGGCAGGAGAATCACTTGAACCCAGGAGGCAGAGGTTGCAGTGAGCTGAGATCGTGCCACTGCAGTCCAGCCTGGGCAACATGAGTAAAACTCCCCTCAAAAAAAGAAAAAGAATAGAAGGAAAATGAAAAGAGCCTAAGAGAATATCATGCATCTCAATGTATAATAACGAGACATCACGCATACCATCACACATGTTGGGACATCATGCACACCAACATATAATAATGGGAGTCCCAAAAAGAAAGGAGAGACAGAAAGGGACGGAAATAATATTTGACAAAATATTGGCTTTGAAAGCTTCCAAAATTTGATAAAAGACATTAAATTATACATCCAAAAGGTTCAATAAGCTCTAAGAAAGATACACACAGAGATTCACATTGAGACACATTATAATCAAACTGTTGAAAGAAACAGAATCTTGAAAACAGCAAGAGAAGCAAGCTCATTACATAGAAGGAATCTTCAAAAGGATTAACAGGGAAATTCTTATCAGAAACTATGAAGGTGAAAAAGCAATGGGACAACATATTTAAAGTGCTGAAAGAAAAAAAAACCTGCCTACTAAGAATTCTCTATCTGGTAAAATTGTCCGTCAAAAATGAAAAAAGTAAAGCATTAAAAGTCACCCCAAAGCCAAGAAATTTCACTGTTAGTAGACCTACCTACGCTACAAGAAATGCTAAAAAGGGTCCTTCGGGCTGAAATAAAAGGACACTAAACAGTAAGTCGAAACTATGAAGAAATAAAGAACTCCAGTGAAGATAACCACATAGGTAAATATAAAAGCCAATATTAACATATGTTTGGTATGTAGCTCCTTATTGTTTCCTATATAAATAAAAGGCAAATGCATAAAACAATTATGGCTATTTTAATGAGCACACACGTATAAAAATGTAATTTGTAACAATAATATAAAAGAGAAAAATGGAGTTGTAAAGGAGTAGAGTTTTTATGTGCTATTGAAACTAGGTGGGCAAAACCAGATGATATGGTTTGGCTGTGTCCCTACCCAAATCTCATCTTGAATTCCCACATGTTGTGGGAGGGGAGGGGTGGGACGTAATTGAATCATGGGGGGCAGGTCATTCCCCATGCTGGTCTCATGATAGTTAACAAGTCTCACAAGATCTGATGGTTTGAAAAAGAGGAGTTTCCCTGCACAAGCTCTTATTTGCTGCCATGTGAGACGTCCCCTTCACCTTCCACCATGATTATGAGGCCTCCCCAGCCATGTGGAACAGTAAGTCCATTAAACCTCTTTATTTTGTAAATTGCTCACTCTTGGGTATGTCTTTAGCAGGAGCATGAAAATGAACTAATACACCAGATTGTTATAAACTTAGGATATTAATTGTAATCCCCATAATAATCACCAAGAAAATATCCAAAAATTATACACAAAAGGAAATTAGAAGGGGATCAAATGATATACAATTAAAAACGCAAACACAAAAGAAGGTAATGGAGGGAATGAGGAACAAAAAGGTATAGGACATACTTAGGAAAATACAACATACCAAAACTTATATAGCAAAAGCAATGCTCAGAAGTAAATTTATAGCCATAAATGCCTACGTTAAGAAAAAAAAAAGATCTCAAATCAATAACCTAACTTTATACCTTAAAGAACTAGAAAAAGAAGAAAACATTAAGCCCAAATCTAGCAGAAGAAAGTAAATAATAAAAGTTGGAGTGGAAACAACAAAACACAGAACAGAAAAACAATAGAAAGAATCAATAAGACCAAAATTTGTTTCTTTGAAAAGATCAGGTTCTGCCTCTGCCTCTGCCTCTCCCTCTCGCCTCTCGCCTCTCCCCTCTCCCCTCTCGCCTCTCCCCTCTCCCCTCTCCCCTCTCCCTCTCGGTCACCCTCTCCCTCTCTTTCCATGGTCTCCCTCTGATGCCTAGCCGAAGCTGGACTGTACTGCTGCCATCTCAGCTCACTGCAACCTCCCTGCCTGATTCTCCTGCCTCAGCCGGCCGAGTGCCTGCGATTGCAGGCGCGCGCCACCACGCCTGACTGGTTTTCGTACTTTTTTGGTGGAGACGGGGTTTCGCTGTGTTGGCCGGGCTGGTCTCCAGCTCCTAACAGCGAGTGATCCGCCAGCCTTGGCCTCCCGAGGTGCCGGGATTACAGACGGAGTCTGGTTCACTCAGTGCTCAATGGTGCCCAGGCTGGAGTGCAGTGGTGTGATCTCAGCTCGCTACAACCTCCATCTCCCAGCCGCCTGCCTTGGCCTCCAAAAGTGCCGAGATTGCAGCCTCTGCCCAGCCACCACCCCGTCTGGGAAGTGAGGAGCGTCTCTGCCTGGCTGCCCATCGTCTGGGACGTGAGGAGCCCCTCTGCCTGGCTGCCCAGTCTGGAAAGTGAGGAGCGTCTCTGCCCGGCCGCCATCCCATCTAGGAAGTGAGGAGCGCCTCTGCCCGGCCGCAACCCCGTCTGGGAGGTGAGGAGCGTCTCTGCCCAGCTGCCCCCTCTGAGAAGTGAGGAGACCCTCCGCCCAGCATCCGCCCCGTCTGAGAAGTGAGGAGTCCCTCTGCCCGGCAGCCACCCCGTCTGGGAAGTGAGGAGCGTCTCCGCCCGGCAGCCGCCCCGTCCGGGAGGGAGGTGGGGGGGTCAGCCCCCCGCCCGGCCAGCCGCCCTGTCCGGGAGGGAGGTGGGGGGGGTCAGCCCCCCGTCCGGGAGGGAGGTGGGGGTGGTCAGCCCCCCGCCCGGCCAGCCGCCCCATCCGGGAGGGAGGTGGGGGGGTCAGCCCCCCGCCCGGCCAGCCGCCCCGTCCGGGAGGTGAGGGGCGCCTCTGCCCAGCCTCCCCTACTGGGAAGTGAGGAGCCCCTCTGCCTCGCCAGCCACCCCGTCCAGGAGGGAGGTGGGGGAGTTAGCCCCCCACCCGGCCAGACGCCCCGTCCGGGAGGGAGGTGGGGGGGGTCAGCCCCCCGCCCGGCCAGCCGCCCCGTCTGGGAGGGAGGTGGGGGGGGGGTCAGCCCCCCGCCCGGCCAGCCGCCCCGTCTGGGAGGGAGGTGGGGTCAGCTCCCCGCCCAGCCAGCCGCCCCGTCCGGGAGGTGAGGGGCGCCTCTGCCCAGCCGCCCCTACTGGGAAGTGAGGAGCCCCTCTGCCGGGCCAGCCACCCCATCCGGGAGGGAGGTGGGGGGCTCAGCCCCCCGCCCGGCCAGCCGACCCGTCCGGGAGGGAGGTGGGGGGATCAGCACCTCGCCCGGCCAGCCGCCCCGTCCGGGAGGTGAGGGGCGCCTCTGCCCGGCCGCCCCTACTGGGAAGTGAGGAGCCCCTCTGCCCAGCCAGCCGCCCCGTCCGGGAGGGAGGTGGGGGGGTCAGCCCCCTGCCCGGCCAGCCGCCCCGTCCGGGAGGTGAGGGGCGCCTCTGCCCGGCTGCCCCTACTGGGAAGTGAGGAGCCCCTCTGCCCGGCCAGCCGCCCCGTCCGGGAGGGAGGTGGGGGGTCAGCCCCCCGCCCGGCCAGACGCCCCGTCCGGGAGGGAGGTGGGGGGGTCAGCCCCCCGCCCGGCCAGCCGCCCCGTCCGGGAGGTGAGGGGCGCCTCTGCCCGGCCACCCCTACTAGGAAGTGAGGAGCCCCTCTGCCCAGCCACCACCTCGTCTGGGAGGTGTACCCAACAGCTCATTGAGAACGGGCCGGGATGACAATGGCGGTTTTGTGGAATAGAAAGGGGGAAAAGGTGGGGAAAAGATTGAGAAATCGGATGGTTGCTGTGTCTGTGTAGAAAGAAGTAGACATGGGAGACTTTTCATTTTGTTCTGTACTAAGATAAATTCTTCTGCCTTGGGATCCTGTTGATCTGTGACCTTACCCCCAACCCTGTGCTCTCTGAAACATGTGCTGTGTCCACTCAGGGTTAAATGGATTAAGGGCGGTGCAAGATGTGCTTTGTTAAACAGATGCTTGAAAGGCAGCATGCTCGTTAAGAATCATCACCACTCCCTAATCTCAAGTACCCAGGGACACAAACACTGCGGAAGGCCGCAGGGTCCTCTGCCTAGGAAAACCAGAGACCTTTGTTCACTTGTTTATCTGCCAACCTTCCCTCCACTATTGTCCTATGACCCTGCCAAATCCCCCTCTGCGAGAAACACCCAAGAATGATCAATAAAAAAAATAAAAATTAAAAAAAAAAAAAAAAGGAACAAAGTTCTGACACACATGACAACAGAGATGAACCTTGAAAACATTATGCTGAGTAGAATAAGCCAGACACAAAAGGACAAATATTGTAGGATTCCAGATCTAAACTAGGCAAATTTATAGAGACAAAGCAGATTAGAGGTTACCAAGGGCTAGGGGTGGGGGATGGGAGGTTATTGCTTAATGGGTTCAGATTATCTGTTTGGGATGGTGAAAAAGTTTGCAGTGCACAAGAGTTCCAGTTTTGGAAGTAGATATCAGTGATGGTTGCACAACATCGTGAATGTAATTAATGTGAATTATACACTTAAAATGGTTAAAATGGCATTTTTGTGATGTATATCTTTTGCTACAAAAAGAACCATTTTTTAAAGAAGCAATGGTGAGCAAAGTTGGTAAATCTGTAGGTAGATCCAATAAAGCCTTGACAATTCAAAGAAAAGTAATAATTAATTTATGGCCATACAAACAGGGTGAGGCTAGTACTCCAAACAGCAAAGCCTAGCATGCCCAGTACCGGGCAAAGAGCAGGGGGAGACACGGGCTGTGTCTACACAAGGAGCATGCCTTTCTAGCACAGGTGTTAAAACTTTAGGACAATTTATTAAAGAAATAGAAAATATGAAAAAAAAAAAAAAGAAAAGATCAACAAAATTGATAAACTTTAGCTACACGAAGGAAAAAAAAGGCCGGGCGCAGTGGCTCACGCCTGTAATCCCAGCATTTTGGGAGGCTGAGGTGGGTGGATCACGAGGTCAGGAGTTCAAGACCAGTCTGGTCAAGATGGTGAAACTCTGTCTCTACTAAAAATACAAAAAATTAATCAGGTATGGTGGCAGGCGCCTGTAATCCCAGCTATTCGGGAGGCTGAGGCAGAGAATTGCTTGAACCCAGGAGACGGAGGTTGCAGTGAGCCAAGATCATGCCACTGCACTCCAGCCTGAACGACAGAGTGAGACTCCGTCTCAAAAAAAAAAAAGAGGGCCAGGCACGGTGGCTCACACCTGTAATCCAAGCACTTGGGGAGGCCAAGGTAAGTGGATTACCTGAGGTCTGGAGTTTGAGACCAGCATGGCCAACATGGTGATACCCCATCTCTACTAAAAAATACAAAAATTAGCCAGGTGTGGTGGTACAAACCTGTAGTCCCAGCTACTTGGGAGGCTGAGGCAGGAGAATCGCTTTAACCTGGGAGGAGGAGGTTGCAGTGAACCAAGATCACACCACTGCACTCCAGCCTGGGCAACGAAGTGACACTCCATCTCAAAAAAAAAAAAAAAGAGAAGATTTGAAAACAAAAATCAGAAATGAAAGTGGAGACGTTCCCACCAACCTTACAGAAATAAAATGGATTATGAGAGAATTATACAAATAATTATATACCAACAAATTAGATAACTTGGAAGAAATGAGCAAATTCCTTGAAACACACAAATTACCTTAAGAGATTCCAGAAGAAACAGAAATCTGAACAGATCTATAACAAAGAAAGAGAGTAAAGTAATCAAAAAATCTTCCAAAAAAGCCCAGGACCAAATGGCTTTTCTGATGAATTCTACTAAGTATTTAAAGAATAATTAGGCTGGGCGTGGTGGCTCACGCCTGTAATCCCAGCACTTTGGGAGGCCGAGGCGGGCAGATTGCCTGAGCTCAGGAGTTTGCGACCAGCCTGGGCAACATGGTAAAACCCCGTCTCTACTAAAATACAAAAAAAAAAAAAATTAGCCAGGCACGGCAGCTTGCACCTGTAGTCCCAGCTACTTGGGAGGCTGAGGCAGGAGAATTGCTTGAACCCAGGGGGTGGAGGTTGCAGTGAGCCCAGATCACGCCACTGCACTCCAGCCTGGGTGACAGGGTGAGACTCCATTTCAAAAAAAAAAAGAAGAAGAAGAAGAATTAAACCAGCACTCCTCAAACTCTTAAAAAGAAGAGGCTGGGAGCAGCGGCTCACACTTGTAATCCTAGCACGTTGGGTGGCTGGGCCAGGCAGATTACCTGAGCTCAGGAGTTCAAACCAGCCTGGGCAACGTGGCAAAATCCCATCTCTACTAAAAGTACAAAAAAATTAGCTAGGCATGGTGGCACATATCTGTAGTCCCAGCTACTCAGGAGGCTGAGGCACAAGAATCGCTTGAACCTGGGAGGCAGAGGTTGCAGGTTGCAGTGAGCCAAGAGCGCACCACTGCACTCCAGCCTGGTGACAGAGACTCCGTCTCAAAAAAAAAAAAGAAAAGAAAAGAAAAATCATGTGTCAGCCAGGCGCAGTGGCTCATGCCTGTAATTCCAGCACTTTGGGAGGCAGAAGCAGGCAGATCACTGGAACTAATCTCAAAAACAAACAAAAATAAGCCACAATACTTCTATCTGATTCCATGATGAAAGTAATATTAATATCATGCAGACCAGGCACAGTGGCTCACACCTGTAATCCCAGAACTTTGAGAAGCTGAGACAGGTAGACTGCTTGAGTGCAGGAGTTCAAGACCAGCCTGGGGAACATGGCAAAACCCCGTCTCTACAAAAAATACAAAAAAAATTAGCCAGGCATGGTGGCATGTGCCTAAAGTCCCAGATACTCAGGAGGGGAAGCTGAGGTGGGAGAACCACTTGAGCCCGGGGGGCAGAGTTTGCAGTGAGCCAAGACTGCATCACTGCCTTCCAGCCTAGGCAACAGAGCAAAAGCCCATTTAAAAAAAGAAAAGAAGTACTATTGTGAGACTGAAGCCAGATAAAATTACCACAAGAAAACTATAGACCAATATATTTTACAAGTATAGACACAAAAATCCTCAACAAACTCCTATCTAACCAAATCCAACAACATTTTTAAAGGATTTCACATTATGACCAAATGGAATTTAGTCCAAAAATGCAAGAGTGGTTCAACACACAAAACCAATCAAGGATGAAAAAAAAAACTATTTGACAAAATCCAACACCTTTTCATGATAAAAACACTCAGAAAACTAGAAATAAAAGTGAACTTCCTCAACATGGTAAATAGCTTTTATGGAAAACCCACAGGTAACAATATACTCAATGGTGAAAGACTTAAAGCTTTCCCACTAATATTAAGAATAAGACAAGAATGCCTGTTTCTACCACAGCCACTCAACATTGTATTGGAAGTTCTAGTCAGATCATTGAGGAAAGAAGAAGAAATAAAAGGCATCCAAATTGGAAAGGAATAAGTAAAACTGTCTTTATCTGTAGTTGTCACAACCCTATGTATAGAAAATTTCAAAGAATCCACACCAAAAAACCTGCTAGAGTCAATAAACAAATAAATTTAACCAGGGAGGTGAAAGATTGGTACAATGAAAACTATTAGACATTGCTGAAAGAAATTAAAGACTTAAATACATGTAAAGACATCCAATGTTCATGGATTGGAAGACTTAATATTGTTAAGATGGCAATACCACCCAAAACAATGTACAAATTCAATGCAACTCCTATCACAATTTTTTGCAGAAATAGAAAAGCCAGTCCTCAAAATCATATGGAATTGCAAGGGGCCTCAACTATCCAAAACAATCTTGAAAAAGAACAAAGTTAATACATCATCACTTTCTGATTTCAAAACTGACTGCAAAGCTACAGTAATCAAAACAGTGTACTAATGGAATAAGGATAGACATATGGATCAATGAAATAGAACTACGAATCCAGAAATAAACACATATATCTATAATCGATTTATTTTTGACAAAGGTGCAAAAACATTCAATGAGGGAAAGAATAGTATCTTCAACAAATGGTACTAGGACAACTGAATATCTACATCCAAAAGAATGAATTTGGACCACTACCTCACACCATATTCAAAAATTAACTCAAATGGATTAACCACCTAAATATAAGACCTAAAACCATAAAAGTTTTTAAAAATGGGCAAAAGATTTGAACAGATATTTTTCCAAGGACAAATGACCAACGAGCACACAAAAAGATTATCGTTATTCATTCTTTAGAGAAAAGAAAAGTAAAACCACAGTGAGATATCAATTCACACTCACTACTGGTGATAATAAAAATGGAAAATAATAAGTGTTGATAAGAAATTGGAACTCTGTGGGCCAGGCACAGTGGCTCATGCCTGTAATCCCACCACTTTGGGAGGCTGAGGTGGGTGGATCACCTGAAGTCAGGAGTTTGAGACCAGCCTGGCCAACATGGTGAAACCCCATCTCTATTAAAAATACAAAAATTAGCTGGGTGTAGTGGCACATGCCTGTAATCCCAGCTACTTGGGAGGCTGAGGCAGGAGAATCGCTTGAACCTAGGAAGCAGAGGTTGCAGTAAGGTTGCGCCACTATACTCCAGTCTGGGTGACAGAGCGAGACTCTGTCTTAAAAAAAAAAAAAAGAAACTGGAACCCTGTACATGGCTGTGGGGATGTAAAATGATAGACCTACTATGGAAAATTGTTTGGCATTTGCTTAAAAAGTTAAACACATGATCTAGCAGTTCTACTCCTAGCTGTACACCAAAAGAATTGAAAACAGGTAATCAAATAAATACCTGTACACAAACATTCTGAACAGCACTATTCACAATAGCCAAAAAGTAAAAAAAAAAACCCAACTGCCCATTAGCTGATGAATGGATAAACAAATTGTAGTATATCCATACAATGAAATATTACTCAGCCATTAAAAAAAATGAAGTACTGATATATGCCACAACATGGAAGAACCTTAAAAACATTAAGTGAAAGATGCCAGTCACAAAGAACCAAATACTGTATGATCCCATTTATATAAAATATCCAGACTAGGTAAATCCGTAGAGATAGAAAGCAGATTGGTGGTTGCCAGGGGCTGGGAGAAAGGAGAAATAGAGAATGACTGCTTAATAGGTGACATGGTTTGGATCTGTGTCCTCAACCAAATCTTATGTCAAACTGTAATCCCCAAAGTTGGAGGTGGGGCCTGGCAGGAGGTGACTGGGTGATGGATGGGATTTCTAATGGGTTAGCACCATCCCCCTAGTGCTGTTCTCATGATAGAGTTTTCACAAGATCTGGTTGTTAAAAGTGTGTAGCAGCTCCCCACACTCTTCCTCCTGCTCCGGCCACGTAAGACACGCTGGCTTCCCCTTCACCTTCTGCCATGATTCTAAGTTTCCTGAGGCCTCCCCAGCCATGCTTCCTGTACAGCCTGTGGAACTGTGTGCCAATTAAACATCTCTTCTTTATAAATTACCCAGTCTCAGTTATTTATTTATAGCAGTGCCAGAACAGACTAATAGGTATGGGGTTTCTTTAGAGGGGATGAAAATGTTTTGGAACTAGAAAGAAGTGGTGGTTGTACAACAATGTGAATGTACTAAATGTCACTGATTATATACTTTAAAATAGTTAATTTTAGGTTATGCAAATTTTACCTAAATATGAAAAAAACTAATGTCCTCAAGCAAATAGAACAAATATACACTGCTGTATTGAATATAAACTGGCACACACATTTTGGAAAATAATTCAACATTATCTAGCAAAGTTGATAACGAACATATGCTACGACCCCGCAGTTCTACTCTACTCTCTCTCTCAGGTGGAAAACGACCACTCACCTGGGGTCACCTATGCTAGAAACAGACGCCCTTGTTTTCTCCTTCTTCCTCACATACTACATTCAATTCATTTTAAAAAACAGATATTGAGTGCTTCCTACTATGTGCCAGAGGACAAAACAGTAAACAAAACACAGTATCTCTGCCCTGAGTTCACAATTTCCTGGAGGCAACAGAAAATTAAATATGTAATTAAATACAGTGTCATGAGCACAGTAACAAGGGGGAACACAGGATACTACTGGAGCACATAAGATAGGTTTTCAGACTTAGGTAGGTTATCAGCAGACTCAGAGGTGGTCAAAAGGCTTTCTGAAAGGACATCCAGGCTAGGATCTGAAAGATACATAGGAGTCAGCCAAGTGAACGAAGGGACACAAAAATTCTCCAACCAATCGCCTAATCCTTCCTTCTCATTTTTCAGTTTAAAACCATTGTTTCCTCTTTTTTAACCCCACTATTACCCCATTACAAATACATATCGTCACTGATCTACGAAAGTCTCATAAGTAATATATTCCTTCTAAGTTTCCAAAGTGAACTATATAAAAAATCTGATCAGATCAATCCCTTGTTTGAACCCACCAGTAGCTAGCCAAAGTATAGAACAAAGACCATACTACCCTCGCACAGAACTGAAGCCTCAATGATGTCATCCCTGCCTGTCTCATCACCTGCCTCTACTTACTTAATGGTCCAGCTTGTATTTATAAATGACTCAGCTTGTATTTATCCACATATATCACTCTTTTTTCTGGGGAGAATAGGTAGAGATGGTGTCACCCCATGTTGCCCAGACTGGTCTCAAACTCCTGGGCTGAAGCAATCCTCTCATCTTGGCTCTCAAAGTGCTGAGATTATAGGCTTGGGCCTGCAAACACATGCCCCAGTATGTTTCTCGAAGAGATAAATGAATAGATAAGATAACAGCAATAGCTGCAATTTATTAAGCATCTATTACATACCACGTATCACATTAGGTCCTGTACATACATTCACCTCTAATTCTCACAATCCTGAAAGCTACGAATTAGTGGCCTTACTTTAGGAAAAGAAAACTAAAGCTCAGGAAAAATTAGGTGACTTGTCAAAGTTACAAATCAATTAAGCAGCAGTTCAGAAGTAGGACTCATCTATTAATTTCCAAAATCAGTATTATTCTGCATCAAGCTGCCTCCCAGACTACTCTTACTGTATCTCTCCAAATATCAACACATCTTGTTATTTATAAACTATCTTCCCCAAAGTGAACATCAATTAGAATTGTCTGCCTGTAATTATGTTAAGATGTGCCAAGCTACTTTAGGAGTACTAACCCAGTTCCCAAAACATAAAAGTGAAAAAGAACTAGTAATTATTAATAGCCCGATCACCTCAATAAAGCAATACCTGTCAATCATCCAAGATTGGAAAGAAAAGCAAATTTTTGTTTTGTATAACAAGGTTGAAAATCACCTTATTATTCCTTAATACTTCACATAATAAGCATTTTAGTGTGCTTGAGAGTAGAATGAAAAACGCTCTACTTATCCCAGACACGTAACTGCCCTCAGGAGGCACATGATACAGAAAGATTCACTTTGAATTAGGCAGTACATGCTTCAAATGTACTAAGAGGTTAATATTCTACTTTTCATATATCTACCACCTACCTACCTCCCACCCCACTGCCTGCCATAACATAAATTATACCAGCAGACACAACAAGAACTCAGGTCACACTGGGGTCCCCCTGGTTACCCAGCACGCTAAAATGATAACCTCTCACCCTTGCACTACTCTCCTCAAAATAAAACACATCCCAAGAAATTAAGACCCAACAGGATTAAAAATTCAAATTCTGAAGAATGTAAAGGCTAAACAATGCTAACACAGCCTTAAACATTAAAGGAAAGGAAGAAAAGTAGGTAGGAAATGAGAAAATAAAATTATCAATAGCAAATATTCAGTACCTACTATCAACCAGGCATTATACTAGATATTTTCAGACAAATTATTTCATTTAATAGATCATTAATGTTGCTTAAATAACTGAAAAAAGATATGATTTTACATCTCAATTTTGCTAAAATTAGTCCTGAGAGGGAAGGTATCATGCAAGGAGAGTAACCTTACTTCTTGTTCCTCTATTATTTGCACCATTTTAATGGGAATTTTATATTAATCTTTGACAAGCCATGAAATTTTATATTTTCACCATGACCAACCCATGAAATTTACCAACTTTGTCCATGATTCATACCAGGTCATAGTTATAATGTCTGCTATGCATTTTAGCTAAATAACCATTGAAACTTCTCCCTTTGGACAGAATAAAAAATCTGCCTATAATTAAAACAGGAATTGTTAACTACAAGCAGTTAAAGTTTACAGCATTGTTTGACAGTTGCAAAGATAAGCCAGTAAAAAGCCTGGGATGTTGTGTCTACCTGTACTTCCCACACATTTGAACAATAGTGTGATATCTCTTAGCATCATAAAATCAATCTCAGATTAAGTAATGAAATATGCACCAGCCTTTTCCCAGAACCTTTGACAAATCACACACAATCCTAAATCTTCATAAATCATGATTAAAGACAAGTATATCATCACCAACACATATATCTTCCCAAGCCTGACCCAGAGACTAATGAGAAAAGGCCTAGACTATCTCATCTGATTAATTAATTCAAAATGTCTGCTGTTATTCAAATGTGAGGCTGGTATTATTTGAATAACACTTGACAGCAGCGCCTGAAGATATCATTTCTGATTTGTGAAGCTGCTGCTGCATAACTGATGATAGTTTATGAAAATGTTCCAATGAAGCTGCTTTTCTTGGCACAACTGTGAAAGATTTGCCAAAGAGGTGGTTCTTTTTTTGTCAGTAGTTGATGTTGCTAATGTTGTCAAATATTTCCAAAATACATAATCTCTGAAGTCTTTTTTTCTTAAATATTGCCACAATAGCAGCTTCCCAGCTTCCAAGTCTGATTTGCCTGAACACAAACTGCATCCCAGGAGCCCTCTCTCCTTTTTAAGAATCTAAATAGCACCTTCCCAGGATTCATCCAGTCCCTTCCACTAGCTTTTTAAATTTTTAACGGACTTTGACACTGTGCTGGGCTGAGTAAGAACCTGAGTTTGGGGGTCATTTTTTCCTTACTGAATAGTATTCCTTCCTTCTAAAGTATGAGAAGGAAGATCAAAAGATCTCAAGGTAATACAAGATTTTTTTCATTGAGGAGCAAAAATAAATATATTTTAATGCCTAAGTACTATATTCCCCTTCAAAAACTATTATAGCTTTCTGGTCAAAATTAATGGAGCTAAAGGAACCTCAGAATCAACATTATGTATTTATGTGCTGAACCACTTTTTACTCTGGAGATTTTTTTCAACAGTTCATATTACACATGTCACTATCAGAGAATATTACTGGTAGATTCTTTAACTTACAGGCTTTACTGTTATTTCTGAACTCAAATTTTCCTTCTCTGCTATTATAGCATAGGCTATAAAGACTCTGAATTCAGAAATATGTTAAATACACTGCAATGTACATCCCCCCCACCATCCAAATTTCTTCTTCCTTGCCACTTAAAATTCACTTGCTTGTAGAAGCCTTCTTCATTTACAATTCCCTTCCATTTCCTCTTCTATACATTCCGTTTTTCAATACTGCAAAATAACATTAATGCTTAACCAATGTGATAGCAACAAATACAAATTATACATAACCAGTTGAGCTTAAATAAATTAATAAGTGGTTAAGAGCTAATTAATAAACAATTCACTCAGTTTAAAAAAAAGTCAAAGAATCAGAATATTAAACTGAATAAAGCCTTAGAAATCTCCTCGTCCTACTTCCTTATTTTGTAAATAATCACTCTAGGACTTACCCAGGAACCCCAGGAAGCTTACACTAGTTCTGTATGGAAAACTATGATCCAACAAAATGTGATCTGTTGATCTATCCTTTTTTTCCCTTTATGTGTGCAGTCAAGACTGACTACAGGGTCTGCCTTCTAAGGGCAAAAGCTGTTTCCACACTGAAGAATATTCAGCAGAATACCATACTTGTGTAGGCACTTAACAAATACGCTAAGAGGATCACGCTAATGGCTTCACGATATATTCTGTTGCCTTTAGGATCAGCATACTAAAAACCTGTTTCTTTCCAGGTAAGGTAATCTTTCTGTATAGATATTACAGATGAAAATAAAATAATGCTCTCAGAGCAAATTATATTACATAAGCATTTCACTTTACACAGACTTGTAGTTCTGAAATGGTGTCCGTGGACCCCTGGTGGTCCCTGAGACCCTTTCAGGAGTCCACAAACTTAAAATTATTTTCACAGTAATAAGATATTGGTCTTTTTCACTGTGTTGACATTTATACTGATGGTGCACAAAGCAAAGGTGGATAAAACTGCTGGCGCCATTGCACAAAGCAAGACAGCGGCACCACACTATACTAACAATGTATTCTTTACCACTAGGCACTTAAATTTTTTTTTAAAGGCCAGTTTCACTTCACAATGTCCTTGATGAAACAGTAAAAATTATTAACTCAATCACACCTTCACTGTGTCTTTTTAATATTCTGTGACAAAATACAAATTCTCCACAAAGCACTTAGGCTGCATGCCAAGTGTGAGGAAAGCACTTGCATAACTGTGAGTTGCAAGCTGAACTAGCTGCTTAAAAAAAAATTAACAAATTATGGTTATTTCAGCTTATTTTGGCAGACCTTTTTTCAAAAAGAAACCAAGTAAACCTATACTTCAAGTAAAACAATAAACAGTTTTGGCGCTAATAATAAAATTCATGCTTTCAAGCAAAAATTAGAATTTTGAAACACTGTGTCCTCCACTGTGAGTATGAAATCTTCCCAGCACTTAAAAAAACTGTCCTGATAAGTTTGGTGGTAATACTCTTTCCTTTTCCAATTAGGTATCTGTATGAGGCCAGATATTTCTTCATATACATCAACCATATGATGACAGACTGAATGCAAAGGCAGATATGAGAATCCAGTTGTCTTCCATTAAGTCTGACATTTAAAAGATTTGCAAAAGTGTAAAACAATACTATTCTTCTTATCATTTAGTTTTGCTTAGTTTTGTTTCAGAAAATGCTGTTTAGGATAACATATAACAAGCTGATAATTGTAATAATGTTATTTATGCTAACATAATCGATTTATGATTTTAATTTTTAAATTAACTTAACGTTTTAAGAATTTGTTTCGATTGTTCATACAATAAATAGAGATTAAACCCGCATAAACAAAACTTATTTTAGGAGTATAAAGGAGTCCTAAGATCAAAAAGTTTGAGAATAAATGACACAGATATTCTCTTCAAAAGTCTTTACATAGGAAAGTTTAACAAATTAAATACAGATTCTAACCCAATAAATCATCTACTTATTTTATATACACAAGGATGGCATGTATCTTAAAAGAATTCTATCACATAGCAGAAATTAAATCCCTATAAAGCAACATGAAATAACAAAACAGTTACCAAAAAGACAAACTTGCCCCCCACCACCCCCAAGGACCTTATATCATCTAGGTCATAAACCAGTAATTTTTTTTTTGTATCATTCTTGCAAGGTAATATATGCTAATTACCAAATAAGTTCCTTCAACAACCCATGTCTCTAATTTCAGATTTCCCTCTTCTAAACTCCCCTCTCCCCGTCCCACCGGCCGCCAGCCTTTTTCTCTAGTCCTACTAGCACCTGAGTCTCATTGCTAGCCTGCTCCTGCCTTTCATGTAATTGTTCTATTCCATTTTTCTGATTCTTTCCCCTCAATACACTCAAAGATTCACTACACTCAGAAACGACTGGTGGTCTGAGTGTTTGTAGAACCACTGGGTAGAAAGCAGATCCACTAGGCTTCTCAGAAGAAAGTGGATTGCAGTTACAAATTTGGATAAAATGTAGTTTTTTAAAAAGTCTACCTCTACAAAGCTATTGTTAACCCAAGGTCCATGGTATCCATGAGGGATCCATGAATGATATTCAAGGTGTCTATAAACTCCCTGAAACTGTATTTAAACTTGTATGAGTATGTGCACTTTTCTAGAAAGTGAGCAGTGGGTCCACTGCTTTTATCACTTTCACATAGGAAACTACACTAAAAACAGATTTCCTGCACTACAGCTTTCTGGAGTACCACAAGCATAGATACCTGTGAATGGTGGTATGAACAGATATTAACTATTACATGGAAGAAAGGGCAGATTTTTGAATTACATGACTTTTTAAGAATAAGGACAAAATCAGAATAAACTATTCACCAGCCAAATAGTTATGAGCTTTCCATGTCTTAATGGTTTTCATGAAGCAAAATACTTGGCAGTTGGTTTAATGCCATTGGTTTAATGATGAGATTTAGACATACATATCAGCCTAACTCACCACTTAGCATTCGCCAAATTCACCGGTCACCTGCAACTAAGAGAATCCATGACAAAATTACTTCCAATGGCTTTCCATTATAAATAATTGGGGTTTTGTTTTTTAACTGTTTCAAAATGCTGTTAAGGGTTACAGTTAAAAAGCAAGTGAATATAAAATATAATTTTCCAGGTCTTTCCACCTGATGAGCGACAGCAACACATCAGTGGTTGATTCAAAATAGGAAGTAAACAGTTCAACAATGACTGTAACACAGAGAAGTCAAGTAAGTCTAAAAGAACAAAAAACTATAGCAATTAAATAAATGATACCTTACTGTATTCTGTTCCCAATCATGCTAAATTTAAAATTAGCATTCATTTCAATAACTCATAATCATAGTATTTTTTTACTTAACTACTCTTAGGTTAATCTTTGGACGTGACCCATCTGTCACCTTTAAAGATAATTATTTAATTTATCATTAACTTAAACAGTGATTTCTGTACCTTATAGATAGAAAACTCAGCTAGGAAACTGTACAGTCTAAAATGAATATAAATCAATCATTAAGACAGAAGAACTTATTTGAGAGTCAAAATGAACAAAATATTCTGTGTCAGCAAAATGTCTCTTGTCAAAATCTACTCTTTAAGATTTCATTATAATGTACTAAAACAAATGTCCTTCCCAACTCTATAGAGAAACAAGTCTTAAATCATCCTAATTCAACCCTACAATTTGGAAACACACAAATATTTCCTCACTAGAAAACAGAGTGCTTATTATCATAGTTTTAAAGTTAAAACTTTAAAAGTGAATATTCAACTTTAAGCATGTTACCAGGAGTTTTCACCACAGATTTTTCTATTTTTAAAATATTATCATTAATGATAGCAATGGAGCAGTAATACATATAAATTACTTTACAAATAATTTACATATAAATTACTTAGGATCCAGGTAGGTAGCTATGGCAGTTTTCTTATACTGTATGTATATAGTTACTGTAATTAAAATAAATTTATATGTAAAGAATTAGAAGAATATAGTATCAGATTTAATGTACTCAGCAGATATATATCTAATAATACATGGAGAAGGCATGCATTTATTTAAAAATGTTACTGAGCAGATTCTGTGTGCTAAAAAAAATAGATGACAGATAGTCCCTGCCCTCTAAGAACCTACAGTCCCTTTGAGAATGAAAACTAAAATAAAACTAGTCCTCCCATTCCTAAATGAATTTTTGTAAGATGCCACTATCAGTATTAACTTAGGCCAATTTTATCCAATGATGAACTTTAATGACTCAGAAAATATCAAATTTATAAATTATAATAAGAACAAGCCCTTTTAAGTAGAAAAATAAAATCTCCCATTATTCTCTCCATTCAATCATAATACTCCTTACTTCATCTTATACCCACACAAACTCTTCTTTTTTCCCATAGCTTGTTACCTCAATAATCAAGTCTAGATTTATGACTGCACACCCCGCATGAGTTACTTTGGAGCTTTAAAAATGAACAACAAAAAATAGTGATAATTGGGAATGGTAGTACAAGACCCAAGTTTTAAAGATGAAATATATTTTCAGTTGTCTACTTCTAAGAATGTGTCTGTAAAAGACTTGCAATATAAATAATACACTAAAAACAAATATTTTTAAGTAAAGAAGAAAAAAAACAGGTAGTATTTGTGCTCATATCCCTTCAACTAGTCTTCTGCCCTTTAAATGTGGGGTCTCAAGTGGCCAGTAACCCTATTATCAGATATCAGGAGGGTGTATTGTTTCAATTTTTATAAAAACTAATTTCTTGGTCGGGCGCTGTGCCTCACGCCTGTAATCCCAGCACTCTGGGAGGCCAAGGTGGGCAGATCACTTGAGCTCAGGAGTTTAAGACCAGCCTGGACAACATGGTGAACAACAGTCTGTACAAAAAAATACAAAAATTAGCAGGGCACAGTGGCGCGCGCCTGTAGTCTTGACTATTCGGGAGGCTGAGGTGCGAGGATCACTTGAGCCGGGAGGCAGAGGTTGCAGTGAGCCATGACTGTACCACTGCACTCCAGCCTGGGCAACAAAGTGAGACACCCTCTCAAAAAAAAAAAAAACCAATTTCTTTAAAATACAAATATAAGCAACTTTAAACGATGCCATTTACAAGAACCTGTTACCAGGGTCAGTATCTGTATATAATCTGCTTCTGGAGCCTCCATTAAATAAGGTAATTCAAAGTTTATAAAATTAAAAATAAGGCTTTTATTTTAATTTTATTGATTGGATTTCTTAGATGGCTAGACTCTGCAGCCTTCACAGTAGCCGTCAAGAACCCCATGTCTACAAAACTAGGCAGAGGTAACAGAATATCTAGACAAACCAGTGCAAAGAAGAGGAATAGTGATTTTTCTGCATTTCTCTTTGAACTATAATTATATCCCAATACATAGAGTTCTAAAAATAAAATATAAAAACAAGCTTAAATCTACTATAACTGTCCCTGAAAAGCAAACCTTTGCAATCAGCAAAGGCAACTCTAAGCAATGATCTAAAACTCTAATATCCTAAGGTTCCAAGAACCATTTCGGATCTTAAAATAACAGCTTTACCTTAGAAAATGTAGTGTATTGCTAACTAAAAATTGAAACTTTTTGCAAAACAATATTTTTCTTATAGCATGTAGTTCCCCCAAAAGGCGATAAACTCTTTATTCTTGCTTTGTGCCTTAAGACATAATCTGCTTTTATCCGTTAGCAAAATATGAACCAGCTACTAGGCTGACAATGCCAAGAACCATGACAAAATGGATTATTAATGAGAAACTGAACTCCAGAACTCTATTAATTTATGTCTTCCTGTCGGATCCAAAAGATATATCAGCCTTCTCACTCAAAAGAAAAAAATGCCAACACTGTACTTTGTTTTAAAGTTCTCCACAGATGAAGAATTCATTATCCAAAGTACAGTTCTGTTATTTCAGGCTTTCTTGTAGGATAAAGAATCTTTATCAAATGGCTAAGAAAGCTGCTGACAAGTGCAAGTACCTTGCAAAATATATTTACATCAAACATTCACTGAGAAAAACCAGGGGGAGGGGCAGGAAAAAGGTGAAAGCCCCTGCAACACTCTTATCCCCGCCCTGTCCTTGCAGTCTTTAGAAAACTAAGCTCTTTTGATTCCAGTTGTAAAATAGTAAGCAGCATTAATACAATTTCATGTTTGCAGGCTTTTAAAATTTCTAATTACACTAATTATTCTGACATGAAGGGAAATGATCTAACAAGTGAAGAAAAGAATGTGTGATTTCTTTATGCATAAACAACGTTTAAATGACATAAAATATCCTTTTAAGCTTCCACAAAAAAATCTATCTAATCTATGCTTATCATAATATTTATGAAATAAAAAAACCAGAGAGGAAAAATTGCTATAATGTACTCTGTGTGACCTCTGCTTTCCACAGAGAATGAAAACAGCCTTTTGCTTTTCAATCCCCATCAAAGTGGAGTAAAAGGAGGGACAGCGTTCCCGTGCTCACTGCCATTAATCATTGCTTTCTTCAAGCAAGTGCGTATTAATTTCTGTCATCCCAAACATCATCGAGTATTGTTACAGCACCGTTCGCTCCTCATTCACCACCAGTTGTTACCAGTTTCCCTACACTGAGCAGAGACAGGGTGAATCGTGTGGATTTCAGTGTTAGAGGCCTTTATCCCTGGGGTGCTGACACCAATTAAGCCATTTCAAGAAGAAATGAGAACAGGCCCAACCCTTCCATGTAACAAGAGCTTGCACCTAGCTTTGGCAGGTTGCCATTTTCTCTGGCTTCACACTATAGAAATACTCTTCTCCACATCCCTTTGAATGATTCAGGCTGTTTACATGTAATCGGTAACAATATCTTTTTGTTCATTTCTGCAGGTTCAAACTTAATGCCCAACACAACCTCACACAAAAAGATGGTAATCTAGAAAGATTAATGCTATTATTACAAAATCATTAAATTCAGGTTATGAAATAAAAACATATATGCCTTGTAATCCTGTGACAATTTTTTTCCCCCACAAAGGGCATTTCAAAGAAAAATTAGACTGCAAAAGCTATTGCTTTTCTCAAACTGGGCTAATTGAAGATAAAATATTTTATGCCATTGGCTCAATTTCAGCACTGTATTTGCTGAGAGACTGCATATACACAGGAATATAAACCAGATACTTCCAATATAAATGGCACAGTTTGTGTCCAGTTTAAAGAGGCTTATTACCAACATTGTATTGACATTTGCTTTCTTTCCAAGTCTTTGACTAGGCACTAAAGGCTATGCTTTGTAAAAGGTTACCTCTAAGTCCAAAAAAAAAATCTGCTCAAGTGAGTTTAATTAATATCATTTTTGCATCACTAAATATAGAGATCCATCAAACTCTTTCACAATATTGTTGATTTTTTTGACCGCTTTAGATCGAATCATTCTCCTTGTTTTAGACATTTACATCTGCTTTTAAGTTTTTATGGTTGCCTGTTGGCAGGCAGCAAAGTGGATCTGTCGATGCTACTGCAGAATAATGCAAGGTTTGTTATGAATTAAATATTAGAAACCTTAACACAGCGGCCAATAAGAATTATTTGCCTTATTAAAGCAGCAGAAGACGCTGATTAAATTTTCATTGCATTGCAGTCTTTTTCCCATTTCTGCTTTCAATTCATCATTCTAATGTATGAAAGGCTCACCGAATAATGGCAGGGGGACTTAATTTCTGGAATGCAAATATAGCAAAGAAAATACCATAAATACCCTCCCAGAAAACATTAAACAGTCAGTTCTAATTAAGTGAATACTAACTAAGTAAATATTCTCTTAAAGGGAAAAAAATAACTCAAAGGTAAAGAATTTGAGAAGGAAAGCACAATTACCTATATTACAAATATATACAGATACACATAGTGGGTGGACTATATTTTTTGGGGAACTACACTTCTTGCAATCAGTTAACTCTCTTAAAGGCCTTACAGCACTCTAAAGAAAGGGAATACAGTCATGATTGTACTCAGCTTTGCAGTTCCTGAAAATTTAGTAATTTTTACAAGAAAAAAAATGACAAGAAGGGTAATAAAACAATGTACGTAAAGTAGCACTCAGCCAGAATAGCAACTAACATTTCTGAATCTCTACATTGTTTTAAATTTACAACATTCACTATTGCAAATATATTTAGAATATAAACTGCCCCTGCAAAAATACTGTAATCATATGTCCTATACTGAAGGTTGTTCACATTTTTGCCTTAATATGAGGAAGAAAATGAACTTCAAGTATCCATTTCCCCTAGAGAAAATCTCTTCCTTGAAACTCTGCAACTAATGAAATGGGGATCTATAAATAGCAGCATCATTACCATGAGAGCCTCTACTCGGTACCAGTCTCTGCAGCTGACCCTCTTTATACTAATAACTACCAGACTTCAGTCTCATTCCTCTATAGGGTGATCAATACTGGGACAGTTAAAAATGTGATGGAAATTTAACCTACAGAAATGGTATTTACTTAGCAAGTTTCCTAAAAACACATAGTGCTGCCTGTTCTTAGTATCTTTCTATTCACACTTTATTAGAAAGGTAGGGGTTTTGTGTTATTGTTTTGACTTTTTAAAATTATTATTATTATTAACTGAGATGAGTGGGGCCCTGTAGCTTTTTCTCTAATGTTACGGAGACATGCATCATGACAAGACAAAAGCCATAATACACCTGAAATGCTCCCTGCTGAAGCTCTCTCGATGAACCTCATTAAAATGGTTACTCTATTCCAAATATTATCCACTGAAGCATTACTGTAGTAAACTCTTGCTTGAATTGTGGAATAGTGATGGATAAAAATCAGTGAGCATTTAATCAGTAAATGTAATGATATGGAACAATGTTTTACTCTTACTCAAAATACAATATTTTCAAATGCAATAGATCACTCTAAAAAGTTAACCAATATTAAATATCACCATTGGCTGTAAATTAGACCATAATAAAGAATGTAGCTAAAGGATCTAGCAAAAAAAAAAAGAAAAAAGAAACTATTTATTAGATGTCTATAGAATACACTGTTGCTATGTATAATTTATTGGCACTGAGATATTTATGTTGCACTTCATTAATGGTAAATATCCAGTTACATTTGCATCTCCTAAATATAAAAAGCTCAATTGTTCACTAATTTCATATCTCTTAAAATAAATATGATAAAACGTTCCAGTGGGTGGATGAGTTTAAAGCCTTTTATTCTCAGTGACAAAATTATTGATGACAACATATCATAAATGGCACTTCCTCCATATACACATGTCATAAGAAAATGTAAAATATTGGTACAGCTGCACATGTAGAACATTTACTTTTTAAATGAAAATATGACATTTCAACATTACACACAACGTGGCTTAATCAAGAAAATATATGTGAATTCAAAGGTGACATCAAATTTCACACATGCTTAACTTCATATTCAGTGTACTTGTAGGTACTTATATGCACAGAAAAATGTAATTAGCCTAATTTAAACACAAAAGGTATGGTTCATTTTGGCACAATCAGATGCACAATGTGCCATCATGCTGTGTTCACTAATGTTTATGTTTACCAAATTATTGTTACTATCCAAGTAAAACTATGAAATAGACCACAGAAATTTAAATACAATTTTGAAAAAATAATTTTTAAAACATACTGTAGATAGAATTCTAATAGTGGTATACAATATCATCACAATATGCCATGCTAATATTATTTTATAAATTCTACAAGCAAAATGAATTTGTCCACTGTATGAAACCCTTACATCAGATTCTTTTCTTCTCCTATGTCTCAAAAAAAAAACCTAAGACTAAAATACACAAACAGTATTTTCCTGCAATGAACCTATGAAGCACAAAAAGATGCACTGTTTAAAAGAGTTAAATCATTAAAAAGCAAATAATCACATATGAAGTCTTGAGAACTGAAATTTACAATTTAATTAAAATAGGGAATTTATGACTTTTTTTCTATTTTAAGAGAAAAATGTTGAGATGAACTTTAAAATAGAAAGTAAACTTTCAGCGTCCTGAAATTCGAGCACAAAATAATTTGTGTTGCCATCTCGTTTTAATGATCCCAACGCAGAACAAACCGCGTGAAATAAACTGCTCAGATAGGTTGGAATGGAAGAGTTGCAGAGTTAAATAAAGCAGATTTGTAAATGGCAGGATCCTCGCAGCAACTACCGAGTTCTTGCTCTGAGGCAACTGATGGAGCAGAGCTGCTCAGCGGCACTTGACAACAGCAGTGCTCCCACAATTGTAACCCTCAAATCCAATCAATCGTTGCTCTTTGCATTTCAAGCAGCTCCTGGCTGCCACTGCCTGAAGATAACTATTTTACCACCTCTGTCATGCCTAATTAACAAGTCAGATGTACAATTTAGAAATTTTGCAATTAACCTGCTAAAATATTGCTGGAGGATGCTAATTGTTATGCCAGTTGCCATAAAAGCTCATTTGCATAACTTATGTGTGAAAAACAATTATGAGCCGCGTTCACAGACGCGGTCCACAAACTGCTCCTAGCTACGGATGAGAGGGCCACAAAAACACTTAATTCATTGCCCACAAAATTATGTTCCCCCTTTTCTTAAACAGCATCTGTTTTGTGAAGCTATATTCATAGAAAATCCCCAAATCAACAATTAGAAGCATATGTAAATGTGCGATTACAGTTCTTTTTCTTTCATTGACAACTTCTCCTTTTTTGCTTGCATGAGGAGTAGGGGATGATATGATAAATGCCTCACTGTTCCAATTCCCTTGCACAACAAATAGGAAGTACATTTGGCAGTGCCAGTGAAACTGCCAGCCCACCAGCCAGGAGGAAGCCATTCTCCTCTGCTCTATCTAGTCACTGCAGCACTATCACTAGGGGCCACTTTAACAACAGAAAAGCTAAAGTCAATTGTTTCTTCAGTGAATAGGCTTCTGTTCTCCAGCATATATTTACTGAGGCATTTAGGGCAGATTTTTGCCATTAAACTGAAGTCTGTAAAACATGGTTGTCTACAAATATTTACACTAGTGCTGACCACAGCTCTGCTGCCACTCAGTGTCACTCTGGACCTGACCACATTTTTTTAAGCTCAGGTTTTGCCATCTTTGAATCAACCATTTCCACTACTTTCTCTGCCTAAGTTGAGTAGTTCTGCTGCCACCTCTGAAGCAAAGACAGCCTGGGGTGTCACTCACTATGGGATCAGGGACAAATTACTTAACCTCTCAGTGTCACCTTCCTCATATGCAAATTGAGAATTAAAATACCTACCTTGGAGCATTGCTACAAGTTTAAGAAATAATATGTCATCAGCATTATATTATTTTTCCCAATAAGTATATATTACTTTAGATTTAAAGCATGAATTTTTTTTAAAGAAATGCATGTAAAGCACCCAGCACGCAGACATTGCTGCACACAGACATTGCTCAATAAATGGCAGTAATTTTTATTATCATTATTAAATGAATGGAATCTTCTGGAGGGGAGAGGCTTATTTTTTCAGCATGCTGCATTAAAGTTCAGCAAATTATAATCGCTTAAGGAAGAAGAGGTTTAGAAATTCTACAGCTTGGCCATCAATTCTAACATTTAAAACTGAAAGGGAAAACTTTATGGGAACATCTTATCTTTTTTTCACATTACAATGGTTGACAGCTACTTTTTTATATTGGAAAATGTTTATATTTCTGAAATTATTCACTCACTGAACATCAGTCATCTAAACGAAAACTTTGAACTCCTAATTTTCAAGTTAAAGCACTCATACTGATTAAAGTTCAGTCTTTAGAAAACACTATTAGATGGCATGTCAATATTCTGCAAAATATTAGAAATTTAAAAGTAACATAATAATCACAGTAATTAAAAAGCAGCCACAATGATAATCAGTCAAAAAAAAAAGGAAACTGGTTTGATGTTAGAACTATAACATTATACTGATTACACTGAAAGTAAGAAATATTTCCTTTATTGAATACAAAATGCCATAAATTTAGGCAAATCAAAATTAGTTCATGCAATACATTGACAGAACAGAATTTATGTTTATAGAGTCCATCATTTCATTTTCAGGCATTCAGTATCTCTACTTGATCACAGTCAAAAGGTCAAGAACCAAGAAGTCAGTAAGTTCCTAAGGACATCCTCAGTATCACATCACTGCTGTAACAAGTGGTGAACACGAGGAAATTCAGACAAGTCAAACACCCACACCTCATACACAGTTAAAAGAATTTTCCTTCATTTTTTTCTCTACTGATTCTAACAAAGAAATATGATGAGAAAAACTGGAGGTTTCTCACTTATTTGAATAACAAGTGAAAATCTAAAAATATCTTCACTGTATGTTATTACCAACTGTATCACTGGGTTTTATAGTGACAGCCCTGTGCTATAATTTCTGAGAAAACCTCTGCATAAAGCTCCATAAACCCAACCATTCCTGTAATGTATCACCTTATCTAGCACACAATCATTTCAAATACAACTTTTCATGTTAGTGTAATTTGTTCAAAAATGGTAATAAATACATCCATGAAGCCACAGAAATCACTGCACAATCTATTATAACTTGTTCTTACCAGTACTGACAGTTAATCCTAGACCCAAGATCCAGTGTAAAAGAAAAATAAAATATGCCAATATTACTAGGTTTAATTAAAGATATTAATTACACACATATCTTTTAATGGACCAACAGTCCCAATCAACATTATAAATAATCTGGACCAACTACAGAGTAATGTCTGTGAACAATTATCACAAAACTAAAACATGGATGGCTGTCAGTTGGTGGCAGAGTTCTTGCTTTCATAATAAATATAAAATCAATTTCCTGCTCTAGTTCCTATTCCAAGTTGAAAATGATATATCTGACTATGAATTCCAACAACCTTCACCTGTAGTTTTTTTTTTAAAAAAAAACAATGGTGGGAGGAGAAAAGAAAGAAAAATGAAACTTGTAAGACCACCTAAGTCAATTCTTCCTCATTTAAGGACACTTGGATAGTAAAGGTAAGATGCACATTTAAGCTTGCCATTTCAAATATATATATTTTTTAATGCAATGATTTCCTCCCCATCAAATGCCATTCAAGAATTTCATAAGTCCTTCCCAATAATTCCTCTATAAATTATTTGCAGGGCTTAGTACATCTGAAAGCCTGTAGAAACCTTTGTTTAAATAATAACATGCAATTTCAAAAGCTTTTTGTTCCCTTTTCAATCAAAAATAACTTCATATGTTTTAAATGAAATTTTGCAAGTAATCAGAGACTAATGAGGATTCACTGATTTAACTAGTTCAGGGAATCAGAGAAGGGAGTGAGAATTTAAAGTAACCAAGTGTTTCATTTAGAAAAGCAGCTAATGTGGTAGGTACACTAAAAGTCGTCTTCACAGCGAAATGTAATCAGGACTTTTGTCTCAGGAGAAACTCATCCTCCTTTCTGTGCACATTCGTAACTCACATTACCATTAACAGGCATCACACATGCACACCGAAGAGATGCCTGCCTTGGTAGTATGCATGCATGGCAGCTGTGGTGACTAAATAATCCACATGGCTCTGAAGAGAAGATATGGTTTACTGGGTCCAGAGTCACAGCTACAGTGGTGGAATTCAGACACTTGAACTAAACCCCAGTAGGAATGCCTTACCCAAACCCTCTTCCTTCTAACCATACCCAGCAAATACAGTTAGGCCAGGATTTTGCAATTCCATCCTCTATGCATGGTTTATAGATAGAAGTTCCATGTTTGAGTAAACCTTAACCTTCTTGTAGGCACAGAAGGTCTGTCTTCCTCCCTTTCCCCACAGCAATCCTAGTATTCATTCATGTATTTCTCCCCAGAATATAAGAAATATCACAAAATAGCTTTATAGAGAAAAATTCAGAGGCCTAGCTTAGGCCACAAAAGTCAACAAAATCTGAATCCAGTATGAAATTCCATCTTCCACACAAAATGTCATCAGTAATCTTACCTATAAGATATATGCTGAAATATAAATTCCACAGGTTGTATAAAGGGCAGTTTAACCATGAATTATAATTGTTACAGCTTTTATGGATTCAAGTCAGAATGTTAATACTCATTTAATATAGTTTTCTGAAGCCCAATTCAACTTCTTCCTTCCTTCCCTAGTGAAGAAAATATCCTTGTGAAGTTCAATTTAGTGACATTGGTGCACAAGCCCATACACAGAAGTTTACACTTCTGAGAAGAGATAAGTGATAAACAGTTCATTAGCCATGTTAATGAAATTATGTTTTAGGAAAAAAAAGACTAGGTGACACAAAAATTTTAGTATATTTTTATACAGAAACATTACAATAAAAACTTTATATTCAGTATCTCCAATTAGGTCAATTAATATTCAGAAAAATCCTGTAACATTTCATTTAAATAATCATAGGAGGGGGAAAAAAGAATCCACCAATGTTCTGGAAGCTTCTCTAGACCTTTCAATCAATTTTATTTATATGCAAAACCAAGAGAAACTCAAAAAAAAAAAAAAAAAAAAAACAAAGCTCCTCCTGATGCTAAAGCTCTCAATTTACTGACAGGCAAATGGCTTCATGCTGCCACTTAATCTCATTTCTTGCATAATGCCCTCTAATTAGCATATCAAAGTGAATTAATACTTCTAGGGCATTAGCAATGGGGAAATCTGCTCCAGGCTCACAATAGCAGTTAAGAGAGAGCCAAGAAATCCTCAAAAACACCACAAACCACTTTGCATTGCAAAACTGTTCAATTTATTTATCCTCTCTCTCTAAACACTTTTACCGCACACTGTTTTACTACTGTTCACCAAACAAAATGATAATTGCCAAAGTTACCAGCATCTGTAATGCCTGTTTAGAATCTTAATTTAGACTGTTGCAGATAATTTCTATATGCAACCATTTGTTCTATTATAAATGTTAATATAGAGACAGTGAAAATGTTGACATTCTCAATTAGTTAATTTGAATTTGAAATAAAATTTTATGGGATTTTAAAATTTATGAATTTTTTAATGTAAAAAGCCACCTGCTGGACTCTGAAGCCTAAGAAATATGCTTTGAAAACTGATGTATCACATAAAAGAAAACAAAACAAACAAAAAATCATTTTGCCATAACATGTTGAGTCTCACAAATAATGGTTTAAACATTGTGAGGACTCATCAGCATTAAAAGGATTACATTGTATACCAAGTCCTCATTAATATGATCACTAAAAAAGAGTTATTGTCTAAACAGCTTAACATTTTTAAAGCACTTAAGTTGAAAGAAGTAGAAAACTTTTAACAATTATTTTTATCCATAAATATTTTTAATTGCTTTCATACTAACCTGTTACTATTACGTAGACAGTTATACAAAAAAAGTTACGCCAATTCAGTTTGATACATTCTATCACACCAATTTTTTTGCTAGATATACACTCAAATTTAGTGCCAAAGTAAACTAGTTACCATTAAAACCTACAAACATATTATACTATGGAATATATCTATGAAAAAATAATACAGAAGAAATTCTTGTTGCAATTCTGCCTACAAAAGGGATAATTAGAATCAAGTGTTGAAGATTAATGAAATTTATTTTTTAATATGTTCTGAGTTTGAAGGCATAAAAAGGTGGTTTATTTTTTCAGTAGCTCATTCAAGAATTACTTATTATTTGCTAAATATAGCACTGTCAACTAGATGTGATAGCAATTTGTCTGATTAACTTCAATAACTTTGTAAAAAATCAGATAGCTAGTTCTGAAAAACTTTTACCAATTTATACTACATAGTGATATAAATTATTTACTCTCTTCATACTTGAAGACTCAAATGGCCTACTGAAGTAGAGCAAATGCTTGAAAAGGTCAACACGGGCTTGAGGGGGAGGTGGTGGTAATGTGTAAGCTTTGTTAGTCAGTTAATACCTAAATCATGCTGATCACACTGATAAATGGCTAAAACACAAGACTGCTGAGAAAACAAAACATTATTCTCATAATGTCAATATTGAACTAATAAATATCTAAAGATGTTCACAAACACGAATAGGGAAAAGATAATCTAAAACCTTATATAACTTGATGTGTTAGTGCTGATGTGTTAAGCATTTATTCTAAATAGATACCTCAGGGTAGAGTACAAAATAAAGTGATGACTGACTTAGGGTGTGGTTCACGAAATGCAGTTTCAATTCTTATAGTCCCACTTCATATAATGTAACTTCATCCTATACCATGCCACTATAAAGTATCAAAATATAAATAATCCAACTAATACGTTAATTTAAATTTGCCTCAGAAGTAACCTTTTACAAAATTTATAAATTGAGATGGAAATATACAGGCAAAATTAATTAAAAGGAAAAGCATCATAGTATGAAAAATGTAGACAAGTACATTTTATGAAAGCCGATCAACCAGTGTGCTCTTTGGGGCAAGTCGGGGCCTCCTTTGCTAGTGTATTAAAAGACTTCTAATTCAGAATAAAATTATGTAAATTAATAAAATAACATAGTAAAGTCCCAAATAAAATACCAAAACTATTCAAATCTGTAATAAAATGAGGGTCATTAAAACTAAGGAACAAAAGAATTACTTGCACAGATCAAGTTAGTATTGACAAGAGAGTTCAATACATTTTTATTGGGAAGAAAAAAATAAAGAACAGGATTGGAAAATGTCTCTATATTTTAAAGATAATATCCACATGATACTTTAGATCATGAGGTTCTAAACCAGCTTGGCAATGAGATTTTTCTCCAGGTTTTCTACAAATGTATTATATGTGCTATTTTGTTAGGATGGAAATGGAAGAATAAAGAAGTAGAAAAATCCCTTTCTTTTACAACTTCTCTGAAAACCTCCTACAAAAGCTCCAGTAAGATACCAAATCTATAAAAATAGAAAAAAAAAAAGGTAAAATATTAAGTTAAGAAAAATATATTGATAAAGCAATATAATTTATAACATTTCCAAGATACTCTGACTTTGTATTTTTCCTGTTTAATCACTTAATATTTCCAATATAAGCAGACCTAATGCTTAAAATTGATATGAAACTTAAAACATTAAAGAACCATTAAAATTTGCTTCAAAATAATTTTGGAATGGTGGGAATTACAGAGAAAACACGACTGGCCAAGTATTGCTAATTGCTGAAGATGGGCACTGAGTTCATGGGAGGTTCAAGAGTCTCTGCTCTCTGCATGTTATGTTTCAAAGGTGTCCACAATAAAAAGTTGTTAAAATCTTGAAAATAAGTTCATTAAAACAAAATGTGTTTCATGAAAACACAAAAAGGAATCATGTATGGAACAGTGCATTTGTTTTTAAAACTTGAAACAAAAGATGATAATTATATTGGAAATAGTGCAAGAGCAACTTAAAAGCATATGCAAAATATATAATAACATTTAGACTAATATATAACAATTTTCACCTTTCTTGCTAAATTTTCACTTGAAAAAATTGATTTTTACATATGTAGAATTAAAAGAATCACACAGCACTGTACAAAGAAAAATGTAACAGATTTTTATATTGAAACCTTAAAAAGAGAAGCACACCAAAAAAAGACTCCAAAGAGTCTCTAAACCTGTGGGTTCACAATTAAATAGAGAGGTGTCGAATGACAGTACTGCCTTGTCTCTTTGAAAGCTAGTCACACTTCTAGCAATAAAGATAAAAGGTTTAATCTCACATCATATACTAAATGCACATAAAACCTCACTTGTAAACTATACTCTTGATCTAGTTTTAATATCTAAAATTCTTATGACTCTTTCTAGGGAGGGTTCCTTTAAAAGTAAGGCATTTTTACTAGTCATTTTCTTCTCCTTAAACATAAAAAATACTTCAACCAGCCCAACCAACCAAGCAGGCCTTTCTCTTCCCCTGCGGACACCTCCTGCAGTAGAGAAGTTCATTAAGTTTTATGATCTTCCCAAGTCAGTCCTACTTATAAGCCTCACAAAGGCTACAAATCTGGCAAACCATCATGTATGCCATTAGACATTACTAGTAAATGAACGCTATTTAGGGTTTGTGGTGGCAATAAATCAGAGTTTGGTTGGCAGCCATCAACATGGAGTATTTTAACCTATTATTTGAAAAGGAAAAGGTTGTGTTTATTTTTTTTCATGCATAACATTTTTCACAATAATGTGATTCATATTATCTACTAAAATGTGGGATTTCATTTAAAAAATAAATATTTTTTTCTTGAAAAAGAACTATTTCCTTCACTTAAACTCGCACAATTAAGGGCTTTGGAAAGAAGACAAGATTTTTCAGGATGAAATATTTCACAAAGGAAAGCACTTCAACAATTAAGATTAAGATGACCAAAAAGAGGTGGGGGCATACACCAAAAGAGGTATGCAGGTGAGCAGACCTTGTGGCATCAGGGATATTTAATAAGAGACAGATGATAAAATATGGCTTTAAAAATCAGGAGAAAAATCTTAACATATCAACAATAATCTCACTGGTTACTTGGTTTAAAATAAACAACTATTTTTATTTTAAAGCCTACAACTTTTTGGGTGCTCTCAAAATGCACAAATATCACAATTCAACAATGAGAGACATTTCTGCCCAAAAATAATGGTATGATCAATTTTACGAAAGAATATATTCTCAAGAAAAAGCAGCATCTTATAGTAGAAGTATACTTTCCTTACCTCTCAACAAGAAAATAATATAATTGTAGTAGATTACCCATTTATCTGTCAGAAGGGAAAAATACCTTTTCATATATGGTAGAGGGGGAAACAGATGTTTTCTAAACTAAATCCCCCATGTGCATAAGAACTGGCAGTGTTCACTGCCTGATCAGAAACCTCAAAATCCACTGGCAGAGCTACAAATAAACAGATTTTTTTTAAAATGATTTTGTTTTGTTTTAGAAGAAAAGCACAACTGAAATGACATTATCCACTGAAATGACAGTTCACCCTCAACCCCCTTCATTAAGCAGAATAGAGTCATCAACATAATGTTTCTGGTTTCTATTCATAAATGACTAGGTAAACTTTCTCTAAATTACAAAGAATTAATTTTTAGGTATTATTAGATTAAATAAAATGATTTTTAAAAAATATTTATGCAATATACATATATTCTACAATGTTTCTTTTATAAGTTCATGTTTCTAAAGCATGACCGACTATGGAAGCAGGAGTGGGGGGGCTTGGAATTTGCAGCCCCGCTTTCTTTGCTTTGGTAACACTAATGTCTACACAGCTGTTTTATTTCGAATTGAGGATTCTGAGTCCCTGTCTCATTCTAAGACTAGTTTTGGAGAGTGAGGTGAAGCTATGGGTAGTAGGGGAGAATGGAAAGAAGAGAAAGAGCTTCACCCCCATCAATCACTCAGTACTTAAATCCCATCCCTCTCGAGCTTAGAGAGGCTAGCAGGAAGATGCCTCTACCCAGACAGCCGCCTTTACTCTTTGTCGGCTGTTGGCTTTTTACAAAAGAGATAACGTGCAAATGTGGATCCACTGGCCAAAGCACAAAAAGAGAATCTAATTTACAAGTTATCACTGAAAGCCCCAGAAACAATTTTAAAACACAAAAATTTCTTTTGTCAGCTGCCTCTTGGTTTTTAAATAGCAATAGCCCTACCAAAGCTCTCTCTGCCAGTAATCCCAGACTTTGAAAAGATTTGTTTCTTTTTCGTAACTCACCTTTGACATGTGGTTGACTATACTTTCCTTTCAGAATGGTGTAACTAAGTCCTGTGCAAATAAGCAACTAAAGGACTTATGCTTCCTAATTGAATTCTGCCTGCTGCTAAATGTCTCAACATGAAAAGCAGTTTGCTGGGTTTAGTTCTCAAGCTAGCTAGGCCAAAACTTTAAAAAGGCAAAAATAAATAAATAAATACAAATAATGAGAAGGGGATGAGAAGCGATAAGTATCCATCCCCTCTCCCTAGTAATATAAGGCTGTATAAAGTCGAATCAATCTTAATATTCACAACATAGTCAATACCCCAGTGCTTGGCTGTCAGCAGAAACTGAAGTGGAGCCCTGATAGCAGGAAAACCCTTGGACACTAAGCATCAGAATTTACTGAGAATTGCATACTTTTAAGCTTCTAAACTAAGAATCTTCAAGACTGAATGCTAGATGTCTTATTTTACAGTCAGATAAAAATTATCTACTGCTTTAAATCAAAACGCTTTCTAAAGGTAGCTAAAAATCAACACAAAATAAAAGTTAGTAATTCAAGAAAGGATCACTGAGCATTAAGAAACCAGCCATAATATGTGAATGAAAACCAGGAAAAGTACTCTTTGGCCTCCCTTATTATTTGCTGCTTATTATGGTTTAGCATATATATTTAATAGACAGCAATAACTCATCATCTTTTCTTGATTACTTTTAGGATCAGAATAGTATTGCAAAGCGAAAAACCTGTTTCAAAGAAGGCTGACTCGCCTATCAACCTAACAATTATTTGCACTGTGCTATTTGTACACTCAATTTAAACACAATCACATGTAACCTTCTAAATAGCCTCCCTTGGATAGTGCTATATCCTGGACTTCAACTTTTTCTCCTTTGCCTCAACTTTCAAAATGGCAACTTTAAAATACCATACATCCAACACACACCAAAAAAAAAAAAAAAAAGAAAGAAAAGAACAGGAAAAAAATAAACAGTAGAGCTTGTTTAATGTACTTGTTTGCCACATACAGGGAAGATAATGCCAAATACAAACTAAAACATCCAAATCTCTGCTTCAGTTTGAGCAGTTACCTCACGTCAAGACTGAAAGACCTTCAATTAATAAAGTCTGACAAGAAAGTTAAACTGAAACGAATTGCCAAAAATTTGCCAAATATGTACCTGTAGTTTTCATTCCAGCACTTCTGCAAAACCTATCTTCTTATATATTCCCTGACTTGGACACTTCAAAATTGTTTAACCTGCATCTGTAGACCTTTTTATACTTTATATATTAAGCACAGTTACAAGTGTAATGACTTCAGAATACAAAATAATACAAGTATTAACAGATGTAATACATCGTATGTGTCTACACATCATTACCCTTCCTCGATTCTCTAAAGTAGCCTTCCCACCTAAAACACTAATTCAAGCATGCTACTGGGGTCTGTTCAATTGCATCTATTCTTCTATCCGTGCAGCTGAAGCTTAAGACTGTCTAAGTAAAACAAAGTTCGGGCGATGCTTCTCCCGGGGACTCGGTCCTGGCATCCAGTCTCCCGTTGCTCCTTTTAAAAACTGACACACAAACAAGGCGAAAGGAGAGGGAAGAGGGCGGCTGGCGCTCCGGGCCCCCTCCCCGCCTGCAGCCAGGGGCGGCCGCCGAGGGACGGCGATCCAGCCCGGTCCGCACCTACACTTCATTTTACACCAGGAGCAGAACTGAGAAATTGACTCCAGATTTATTGCAGTTTTTTCTCAAGATCAGGACGTGGGAAGGAGAGAATGATCAAAGATGGCGGTGCCCAAAAGCAGCAGCTCTCAACTGGAGAGTCGAAGGAGTAGCTCCGACCCCCACCTCGGGGGTCTCCAGGCCCACTGCGGGGCGCAGCGTCTTACCTGTTTTCTCTTTGATCTCACACAGGACGCTGAAGAGCGCTGGTTTCATTCTGTGACAGTTCAGGGCATGTTTCCTAAAAAACAAATAACGAAACACAAAGGTATTAGCATCACCTATGGAATAATATGGCGCCTTCCTTTAAGTTAGACCCAAGATTTAATTCCAGCCCCCCATTCTGGAAGGCCCTTTTGAACCGTGGGAAGTCAACAAAAACTCCAGTTGACTAGTTCCCGACAGCCAGCAAGCCCCGGCGGCGAAAGCTGCAGCCGGAACAAGGCGGACCCATCTGCCCGGCAGGCAGCAGCCTCGGCCACTGCAGACGCGACGCGAACCCGCGCGGGGAGCCTCGCCCCGGGGGCAGGCGAAGGCGACCCGGGGGAGGGGACGGGTGCGGAGGGGCTCCCGCGTCCGCTCCTGTGCAGAGGAGGCCGGCCGACTGCGGCCAGCGGGAGGGTGACAGCTCGGCAAAGTTTGCAAGGCGGCCCTCCCTCTCCGAGAACTTGGCCGTCCGCACCCGGACCCGCCAGGGAACCGCCCATCGCCCCGCGCCGGGCCCGGGTGGCCGCCCGCATCGCGAGGTCGTCCCGCGGCCGCGGGAGCCGGCGCCGGGACTCCCCGCCGGAGGAGAAAGTTACACTTCCCGGCGGCGCGGCCCGCACGGGGTCGGGGCGGGAGGTTTAAATCCCTGGGAGGGGGCCGGGCTGCGAGGGGCAGGACGGGGGAAAGGACGCCACGGAATCCGCGCCGCACCGAGTCCGTCCCGAGCCCCCCAGAGCAACTTTGCCGACTCCCGCCCGCTTCGGGGGGCGCGGGCAAGTCCCCCCGAGGCCGGGGCGGGCGGCCGGCTTTCGGAGAAAGTTCCCCGCCGGGGGCTGCGGCCCTAGCCCCGGGCGCCACCCCGGGCCTCGACTCGGCCGCGGGCCCGGCTCCCGCACACACACAAAAGATGCTTAATGAGACGACACCAACTTTGCTTGCGCCTCGTCCAAGCTCTGGTCGGTGATGGTCATGATCTGGTGGAGGATGTCGCCGATGTCCTGCTTCCTGCCGTCGCCGTCCGCCCCTTCGTGGCCGTGCGGGGGAGGCGGCAGGGCCATGCCCCCCTGCACCGAGTGGCCAGCCAGGTTCACCCCGGCCAGAGTCTGCAGCATCCTGGATTGATCGTCCATCCCGCCGCGCGCGGGCGGGAGCGGGCGGCGGCTGAGGCGAAGGCTGAGGCGGCGGCGGCGGCGGCGGCGACGAGGGAGGAGAAGAAAGAGGGGGAGGGGGAGGGGGAGGCGGCCGCGCGCTCCCCGCCCGCGCGGGGAGGGGGCGGCCCGGCCGGCAGGGCCCGCGGCTGAGGCGATGAGGACGGGCGCCCGGCTCCGGCTTCCGCCGCCGCCGAGGCTGAGGAGAAGCGGCGGGCGGAAGCGCCGGGCTCCGCGGCGGTGGCGGAGGCGGAGGCGGCGGCGCCCGCTGCCCTCACGCGGCCGCCGCGCCGCCTCCTCGCCGCCGCGCGCCCCGCCGGGCGGCCCCGCGCAACTTGCTCCTCAGCGCCCGCCGAGTTGCCGGGACGCCCGCCGCCCCCCGCGCCAGCCTGCGCACTGCCCTCCTCGGCCGCCGCCGCCGCCTCGGCCAGGCGGGATCCGAGCCCCGGCGGCCCCGGGGGAGGCAGCGGCGGCGGCGGCGGGCGGCGGCGGAGGAGGAGGCCTGCGGGCGGGCCGCGGGGAGCGAGGGGGGGCGGAGGAGGAAAGTTTGGGAGCGGGCGGGCAGAGGCGGCGGGGGCGCTGAGCCCGGAGGAGGGCCCCGGCGGGCCGCGCGCCGGGCGGACAGCCGATGGATAGGGCGGGAGAAGTCGCCGCCGCCGCCGCCGGAGCCGCGCACCCAGCCAGCAGCCGCCGCGGACCGGGCTGGAAGGCCGCTGGGCCGAGGGATTGACAGGCTGCCAGTGCCACTCACTCACTGCGGCCCCGCGCCGGGGGGAGGGACGGGGGCTGGCAAGGGCGGGGGAGCGCTCCTCAGACCCCGCCCCCGGGGCGGTGCGCGCGCTCATTGGGCTCTGCGCCTCCCGCCGCCGCCGCCGGCACCGCCCCCGGGGCCCGGCCCGTTCCCTCTGGCCTCTGATACTCCGCGCTCCGGAGTGTGCCGCCGGATCCTCGCTCCAACCTCGTCGCGTCCTAGCCCCCCGGGATAGACCGGGCCGGCCCACAAACGGTGTGCCCGCACCCCGACTCCTGCTCCATGCTTTTGGCAGTCATGGGAGCGGGGGGTTGTGTATGGGACAGTGGGCAACTCGCTGCAAAGCCAACCGTGTGCTCCCCCGCCGCGCCCGTGAGCTTCACGCCTCGGACAGCTCCTGGTGCACTTTCCCGCTCTTCCTGTCAGGAGGTGGTGCCCTCTGGGTACCAGGCCGCTCGTCCCGGGCCAATCGCAAAGCGCTTAGAGCCGAATGGGGCGGGACAGAGGCAAGAAAGGGTCGTCCCAATTGGAGCGTTCGAAAGGTTCTGGGCAGAGGCGGGGAAGCGGCGAGTGGGGGCCTCGCCCCGCCTGCGGTCGCCATGGTAACCGAGAGGGCGCAGCTCAGCGTTGGCGCCAGCACCGGGGTCTTGTGCTGTCCCTCAATGGGTGACCAGTTAAGGTGGGAACCTGTGGTCTCACATACTTGAAGTCTGAGCTGAGTGGACCTGACTGCCATAGACTTTCCATTGAAAGGGGAAATGTGTCAGAGAGAAGCGAGTCTGGGAGGAGGGAAAGTGCCTTCAGTCCAGGACTAATTTCAAGGTTTACAACACTTTACACACTCTGCAACTCCTGATAATCCAGGGACTACTCCTTTGGCAGCGTTTGCTATTCGATGCCTCCAGATGTACTGAAGCTGCAAAAACGAGCTCTTCATTACAAAGATACGTTTGTTTAGGAAGAGACTGGATTTCACTTGTCAACTTACCCCATCACCACGAGTCATTTAATGTTGGTAACGCCAGCCACGATTTTTCGTATCTATAACACCCCTTCTTCCATTGAATTCTACCTACAAATAACTGAAGGCTCACATTATTTTGGAATATGGACCTCCGCCTCTTGTGGAGACTTGAGATTGCTCTTAAGCTGATTTCCCAAACAGGGGCTGCAATGTGTGTTCCCGATTTTAGATTCATTGAGCTCACCCTAGATGAGTCCTTTGGTTCGGTGGTTCGGAAAAGTCTCTTTGTTCCTTCTCCAAACTCAGTAAGCTGTCTTACCTGAAACCAAAAATAGGGGTATGAGGATATGAAAAATGGCTCTTACTCTGCAGGGTTTAATGTAGGACAAGCAGTTCTTTAAATGCCAGATGGATTCTTGGAATGAAGCAGGCTACTCGGTTCCAGGTTCTTTCCTTCATATGTTGTGTGTACTTTTAAATACTCCCCACTGCAAAGCTAATAGCTAAGCTTACAGTTAGGCAAGCTAAAATCCTTACAAACTGCACAGCTGCTGAGGAGGGAGTTCCAAAAAATCCACTCTGCTTACTTACCTCCAAAGAAGAACCCCCTTCATGTTCATTAATATTCTCTGCTCTTCTATACCCCATTGATATGTCAAGTTTCCAATTCTTCTTTGAAGCCCCCATTATGGGTTACTTATAATCGTCATTGATTGGGTTTTTTCTTTATTCTTAATTTGTTTTTTAAAGCTGTCACCAAATTCTTAAGCATTTTTGCCAAAAGGCGCAGGAGCAAGCGGTCAACCTTTCATAATTCTCCAACGCTGAGGATGCAAAACCACAGAATTCTAACTGAAAGATGCCTTAAATTCTAAGATTCCTTCCAGCTGTAAAATTCAATAATCCTGTGACTCACTATTAGGACTCCTCTCTGCCCTCCTTCTAGACTCATAATCTTGACTAATCAGTCATGAGGATGAGGCTAATTAGCAATGGGGATTTATGGTTATTTCTAGCCCACTCCGAACAATGAGTTATGTAAGCAAAGCAACATATATAAAAATGTAAATAGGCCGGTGGCTCATGCCTGTAATCTCAGAACTTTGGGAGGCCGAGGCAGGTGGATCACAAGGTCAGGAGTTGAGACCAGCCTGGCCAACATGGTGAAACCCCATCTCTACTAAAAATACAAAAAATTAGCTGGGCTTGGTGGCAGGCGCCTGTAATCCCAGCTACTCAGGAGGCTGAGGCAGGAGAATCACTTGTACCCAGGAGGTGGAGGTTGCGGTGAACTGAGATTGTGCCACTCCCCTCCAGCCTGGGCGACAGAGTGAGACTTCTTTTCAAAAAAAAAAAAAAAAAGTAAATAAAGAAACACTTAAGCAAATAAAGGCAATTGGGAACTATGGGCTGTGTAAACACACTGGAACATAAAAACATAAATTAGAATTAAGAAAACAGTTAGGCAAATGCCAGCAATTAGGAATAAAACAACTTGTTAAATGTCTAACACCCACAGTTATTTTATGGTACACTCCTCTACACCCATGGTCATTCAGTGATGTGGAAACTTGATACCATAATTCTGCCTTAAGTGATTGAATTAGACTGACCTTCTGCTTGGGAGGCTTCTCTTTTTGTTGTTATCAGTATGAGTTGCAGTAGAAGCCTGAGGACCCTAGCAAGGATTCCTTCACAGGCTCATTGACAACTGCCGTTGATTTAAAGCATAACTTTTTTAGACTGGTTTCCAAGCCTCAATATAACTGTCAACTAATTGCAGATGTTCCAGGATCTCTTGGTGCTCGTGCCAGTGTCTCATGTAGAATGTTGCGTGATCTCTGCTCAAGAATCTGAGTCACAAGGTTGATGCCTTCACAGATGACAGAACAGAAGTTCCCTGAGTACCCGAGTCTGTCTTTGCTGTTTCTAAGGTAGTGATTATTAAAATGTCAAGGGAAATGAAATTGACTTTTGGTGAGCAGACATTCATGTAAAGTTAACAGTGACAAAGTGGTGAAAACCAAGCAGATGTTCCTTCATGGCCATCCCTTTCCATGAGTTTATATTAACATCACCATTGCCTCTGTCATCAATAGGGTGACTATCACAGCAGATGCCATTATTGAGCACTTTCTTTGGGGGTACACTATCCTCTGTGTTCCCTTGCTTCATCTTATTACAGTCTCACAACAGCCTGCTTGGGATTGTTATTAAATAAGAAATAGAATGAGAGAGAGTAAGAAATTTCCACAAGACCACAAAGCCAGTAAGTACTAGAGCTTGAATTCAAATATTGATCTATGTGGCTGCAAAGACTACCGTATAAAACACTGTGCAAAAAAGTAATTTAGCCAGGCTGGTGACATGCAACTGTAGTTCCAGCTACTTTAGAGGCAGAAACAGGAGAATCACTTGAGTGCAGTAGTTTGAGGCTGCAGTATGCTATGATCACACTTGTGAATAGCCACTGCACTCTAGCTTGAGCAAAGTAGTGCTACCATTTCTCCTAAAATTTTTTTAAAAGTTATTTAAGATTATGAAGTAAAAATCACAAGACCTTAACAGATAAACTGAAAAATTAATGAAAATAAGTAACTAGGTGCTTAATAAAGAGAGAATAAACAGCTATATTAGAGGAATCCAGGTCTCAAGGCAGGGGAGGAGGGAAATTAAGGACAGTCAGACCATTCTTCAAAGCCACATTGGGTCCCACCTCTCCGAAGCTTTTCTGTGATGCCTGTCTTCTCTGATCTTTGTCTCCTCTAAACTCCCTCAGAAGATTGCAGTGAGATCGCCTCATTACACTCCAGCCTGGGCAACAGAGTGAGACTCTGTCTCATAAATAAATAAATAAATAAATAAATAAATAAATAAACTCCCTCAGTATATGTTGCCTGTAATACATAACCTACTACCATACTAGATAGTCTTGCACTGTTTGTTCTCCATCCACCTCTGTTAGTTTCCTCATCTAGGTCATAAAAATGTCAAGGGCAAGGTGTCGTAAGATGTGACTATAATATGACAGATTTGATTTTTTTTTAAATCATAGACATCTAAGAAAAGGTAACACTCTCCAACTTGTCACTTTGGGGAAACTGACTAAATGCTTCTTTTCAAAATGTATCATTGCTCCATTGCTTTAGGAATGACTATCTATTTGTTTATTTGTTTGTTCATTGATTTGTTTCTCTAGAGAGTGGGACTTGCTCTGTCACCCAGGCTGGAGTACAGTGGCGCGATCATAGCTCACTGTAACTTTGAATTCCTGGGCAATCCTCCTGCCTCAGGGCTCCTGAGTAGCTGAGACTGCAGGTGCACACCACTACACCCAGCTAATTTTTTGTATTTTTTTTGTATGGATGAGGTCTCGCTATGGTGCTCAGGCTGCGTTCAAACTCCTGGCCTCAAGGGATCATCCCACCTCAGCATCTCGAAGTACTGGGATTACAGGCATGAGCCACTGCACCCAGACAGGAATGACTCTTTAGAATTGGTCTTTACAGTTGATAGCACATGTGACATATGACCAACGTTTATCTTCTAAGGATGGATTTGATTGAGTTACCAAAGATTTAGTGGGATAACAGTCCATCCTTCTAAAGTGATGCCTTTAAAAGAGAATATTTATCAGAATGTATAATTTCTAGAAAAATTTGGTAGAATGCTCCCTCTCTTATGTCCCTTCATAGCACCCAGTACGGTGCAGTTTCATACAGAATAGACAGTTGGGGCCGACATGACCAGTTGTTGGCCTGCCATCCATTGGCTTACTTCCTTCTACACCAATAGAAGCCTGATTTTATTCTGAAGACAATGTGCTCAGTCCCAATCAAGGTCTAAAACAAGTATGAGCATCCTGTCCCCTGCCTTCTGAGCCTGTCAGGAGGAGGGGTGACCTTGCTAATTTTTTAAAAAAGGGACAGATAGGCCAGGCGTGCTGGCTCATGCCTGTAATCCCAGCAATTTGGCCACTGCACTCCAGCCTGGGCAAAGAACGAGACCCTGTCTCAGAAAAAGAAAAAAAAGGGGACAGACATGGCTCTTCTCTCCTTCATTTTCCTGGCTCTTTCCATCTTTGAAAGTAGTCCTGAATCTGGAGTGCTCATAGCAGCCACCTGTGATAGTGAAATGAAAATATGAAGACAAAATCAACATGGTTTGGTGGTTTATATCTGTGGTCTTCCTCCCAAAGCTTGTAATCCCAGACCAATAATTAGAAAAATATTACACAAATACTAATTGAAGGACATTCTACAAAATACCTGGCCAGTAATTTCTCTGGTCTTTGTACTCCTTGTAACTGTCAAGGTCATAAAGAGTAAGAAAAGTTGAAAAACTGTCACAACCAAGAAGAGCCTAAGGAGAAATGAGGACTGGATGTAATCTAGCATTCTGGATGGGATCCTGGAACAGAAAAGGGATATTAGGTAAAAACTATGGAAATTTGGCCAGGCGCGGTGGCTCACGCCTGTAATCTCAGCACTTTGGGAGGCCGAGACAGGCGGATCATGAGGTCAGGAGATCGAGACCATCCTGGCTAATACAGTGAAACCCCGTCTCTACTAAAAAAATTTTTTAAAAAAATTAGCCGGGCGTGGTGGCTGGCGCCTGTAGTCCCAGCTACTCGGGAGGCTGAGGCAGGAGAATGGCGTGAACCCAGAAGGCAGAGCTTGCAGTGAGCCCAGATGGCGCCGCTGCACTCCAGCCTGGGCAACAGAGCGAGACTCCGTCTCAAGAAAAAAAAAAAAAACTATGGAAATTTGAATAAAGTATACACTTCAGTTAGTGATAACATTTCACATTGGTTCATTAATTTCAAAAAGTACCATATTAATGTGAGATGTTAATAATAGAGGAAATAGTGTATGGGATATTAGGGAACTCTCTGTACCACCTTCTAAATTTTTTTTTCTTTTTTTTTTTTTTTTGAGACGGAGTCTCGCTCTGTCGCCCAGGCTGGAGTGCAGTGGCGCAATCTCGGCTCACTGCAAGCTCCACCTCCTGGATCCACGCCATTCTCCTGCCTCAGCCTCCGGAGTAGCTGGGACTACAGGCACCCACCACCACGCCTGGCTAATTTTTTGTATTTTCAGTAGAGGTAGGGTTTCACCGTGTTAGCCAGGATGGTCTCGATCTCCTGACCTCATGATCCACCCACCTCGGCCTCCCAAAGTGCTGGGATTACAGGCATGAGCCACCGCATCCGGCCCCACCACCTTCTAATTTTTATCTGTAAATACTTTAAAAAAAAACATTCAGGGCCAGGAGCGGTGGCTCACGCCTGTAATCCCAGCACTTTGGGAGGCTGAGGCGGGTGAATCACGAGGTCAGGAGATCGAGACCATCCTGGCTAACACGGTGAAACCCCGTCTCTACTAAAAATACAAAAAAATTAGCCAGGCATGGTGGCAGCCGGCTGTAGTCCCAGCTACTCGGGAGGCTGAGGCAGGAGAATGACGTCGACCTGGGAGGTGGAGCTTGCAGTGAGCCGAGACTGAGCCACTGCACTCCAGCCTGGGTGACAGAGCGAGACTCTGTCTCAAAAAAAAAAAAAATAAGTAAATAAAATAAAACATTCATTCAAAACAAAAATAAACATGGTAAGTGGGGTAGAAAGATAAGGAGAGCCTAGGTGTCTGCAGACATGGTCCAACATCTGAGCCAAAGAAGCAACTGCTTTCCCTTGGATTTCTAGTTTTGTGAGTAAATTCATCTCCTGTTTTAAAATCCTATTGGCTGGGTTTTCTGTATCTTGCAGAAAAGCTGATATAGCACTATAAACACTTATATGACAGATGTATGTGTGGATGGATGGATGGATGGATGGATGGATGGATGGATGGACTGATGGATGGATGGATGGAATAGCCTAGCACAATGCCCGACACATAGTAGGAGCTCCTAGAGTGGGGGAGATGATGTATGATAAAAAAAAAAATTCCTCTCGTCTTTGTATTGGATTCCTGGGAGGTAACATCTAAAACCCTTGAAATCTCCCAAGCTATAAGAGTGTTTTTATTATTCATGAGGCCCTTAGATCACATCTAATTTTATGCTAAAGTGATGACTCAGGATGGTGGCTGGTCACCAGAAAGACCAACCATGTGATTAGAGTGTTGGGGCTTTGAGGGAGCTGGAGATTGAGTTCAGTCATAAGGCCAATGATTCAATCAATCATGTCTATATAATGAAACTCCGATAAAAACTCTGGACACCCAAGCCCAGAAAAGCTTCCTGGTTGGTGAATACATTGATGTGCCAGGAGGGTGATACACCCTGACACCATGGGGAAAAGCATGGAAGCTCTGCATTCAGGACCCTCCCAGCTCTTGCCCTTGACCTCTCTACTTGACTGGCCCTGGTTTATATCCCTTATAATTAAACTATAATGCTGAGTATAGTGCTTTCCTAAGTTCTGTGTCATTCTAGCAAATTATAGAACCTAAAGGGGTCACAGGAACACCCACATTTTCAGCCAGTTGGTTAGAAGTACAGGTGGCCAGGGGACCTCAGAACTTGTGGCTGGCATCTGAAGTGAAAGCAGTCTAGTTGGGCACCATGCCTTTAACTGGGATTAATTGACTGTCATTTCTAAGAGGCCTACTTAAAGGAACCTAATTTAATTGAGACAAATTCCTTTTGCCTTTTCCCCACCTCCTTTTCCCAGCCTGTAGTTGATGTCTGGAGCTCCAGGAGTCATCTTGGCCCATGAAATGATCTTGAGAGTGGAGGTCAGGCACTAGGATAGTGAAGCAGAAACTTAAGAACCTGGGGCACGGGTGGCACCATGAAGCCACCATCTAAGGGATAACACCAACCCTTGATTGCTTCTTCCACACGGCTCTTACAGAAGAAGGAATAAACTTCTGTCTTATTAAATCCACTGCCATATACTTATTTCCAGTACAGGCAGCCAAACTTAATCCTAATTAATAAGGAAGCCAGGGTCTAACATAGAAAGAGTACAGTTGTAGGCACTGTAGCCCTGTAGTTAAGAGCTCTGCATCTGGGATCAGGCAAACTTGGATCTGAATCCTAGCTCCACCACTAAATGGCTACTTGGCCTCGGTCAGGTTATTTAGCCTCTCAGCTTTCTCATCTGTCAATGACAGTAATAATAGTAATAACCTACCAGCCAGGCATAGTGGTTCATGCCTGTAATCCCAGCACTTTGGAAGACTGAGGCGGGCGGATCACGAGGTCAAGAGATGGAGACCATCCTGGCCAACATGGTAAAACCCCGTCTCTACTAAAAATGTACAAAAAATAGCTGGGTGTGGTGGCACACGCCTGTAGTCCCAGCTACTTCGGAGGCTGAGGCAGGAGAATCGCTTGAACCCGTGACGTAGAGGTTGCAGCGAGCCGAGATCGCGCCACTGCACTCCAGCCTGGCAACAGAGCGAGACTCCATCTGAAAAAAAAAAAGACTTAACACACTGAGGTATAGTAAAAACTATCATTACAATGAATATGAGAGTCCATTGTAAAAGGTAAATCTCTAACATTTGCTTCCCGGTCCTCCACATCCCAAGATTCATCCTCAGTTCTCTGCCCTCCTCTTCCTCCTCTTCTTTTCTCTCTTCCCCTTTCTTCTTTCTCCTTCTCTTCCTTTTCCTTTCTCTTTATCTGCTTCCCTCATCTTCCTATTCCTTTTCTCTTCCTTTTCTTTTCTCTTCTCTTCCTACCCTTTCACCCTCTACAATCTAGTTAGTTCACCCCACAGCCAGCCCTGCACCTGTAATTCCACCTCTTGCTTCATTTTGAGAATTCCAACACCTCTCCTAACAACCAGACCTCACTCATCTGGCCTGCCAGTGCTTCAAACTCCGATTCTCCTCTATATTCATCACCTATTGCTGTGAAACAAATTATCCCAAAACTTCTTGGCTTAAAATAATAAACACCCGGCCGGGCGCGGTGGTTCACACCTGTAATCCCAGCGCTTTGGGAGGCCAAGGTGGGTGGATCACCTGAGGTCAGGAGTTTGAGACCAGCCTGGCCAACCTGGTGAAACCCCATCTCTACTAAAAATACAAACTTAGCCAGCCGTGGTGGCACATGCCTGTAATCCCAGCTACTTGCGAGGCTGAGGCAGGAGAATCACTTGAACCCGGGAGGCGGAGGTTGCAGTGAGCCGAGATCGTGCCATTACACTCCAGCCTGGGCAACAAGAGTGAAATTTCATCTCAGAAAAAAAAAAAAACTTTGAAGACAAGTAATGTTAACCCTATTGTACAGCTACAGTTGTGGAAATAAAAGCTGCTGACACTGAGTGCTTAGTTTGTGGCAGGCACTGTGCTAGTGGTTTCTCATATAACATCTAATGACACCTTCACAACAACCCTATGAGATGGGCTTTAACCTCCCCATCTATAGTTGAAGAAAGGAAGACTTAAAGACGTCTACTTTTTGTACAGCCTATAGATATGAGGAAGAAAGAAAAAAGGTGTCCACTTTTTAATTTGACCAAGGTCACATGGCTGGTAAATGAACTGTGATTCAAAAACTTCATCTACCTCATCTGGCCAGGTACGGTGGCTCACACCTGTAATCCCAGCACTTTGGGAGTCTGAGGGGGGCAGATCACTTGAGATCAGAAGTTGAAGACCAGCTTGGCCAAAATGATGAAACTCCATCTCTGCCAAAAAATACAAAAATTAGCCAGGCATGATGGTGCATGCCTGCAGCCCCAGATACTCAGGAGACAGAGGTGGGAGAATCGCCTGAACCCAGGAGGTTGCAGTGAGCCGAGATCACGCCACTGCACTCCAGCCTGGGCAACAGAGTGAGACCTTGTCTCAAAAAAAAAAAAAGTGAAAACAAAAACAAAAAAGTCATCTGAGGCTGGGCACAGTGGCTCACGCCTGTAATCCCAGCATTTTGGGAGGTCAAGGTGGGTGGATCACCTGAGGTCAGGAGTTCGAGACCACCCTGGCCAACATGGTGAAACCCCGTCTCTATTAAAAATACAAAAATTAGCCAGGCGTGGTGGCATGTGCCTGTAATCCCAGCTACTCAGGAGGCTGAGGCAGGAGAATCACTTGAACCTAGGAGACGCGGAGGTTGCAGTGAGCCGAGATCGCGCCATTGCACTCCAGCCTGGGTGACAGAGCAAGACTCCGTCTCAAAAAAACTAAAAATGTCATCTGGTTCAGCATCCTTGTGACAAACACCCATTCTACACTGCCTCTTGAGGAGTTATGTCACTTGTCCAAGGTTACATGTACAAGGTCTGCTACTAAGTGACAGAGTGGAACTGAGATCAGTACTTCTGACCCTTTCCACCATACAAGTTCTCTCCCTGCTCAAGTGTCTCCTTGAGAAAGCCTTTCTTAGCCCCCTAAGGAACTAAGTATTCCCTTTTTAAGTCCGCAACACCACTTGGTTCCTTATAAATGTGTATCTTTTTTTAAATTGTGGTAAAATATACATAACATAAAATTTACCATTTTAAATATTGTGAGGTATAGTTCAGTGCCATTAGGAACATTCACATTGTTGTGCAACCATCACCACTATCTTTCTCCAAAGCTTTTTCATCATTCCAAGCTGAAAACCTGTACCCATTAAACACTAACTCTCCAATCCCTCTTCCCCACAGCCCCTGGCAACCTCCATTCTACTTTCTGTCTCTATGAATTTCACTACTGTAGATAACTCTTAGAAGTGAAATCACGAAGTATTTGTCCTTTCGTGATTAGCTTATTTCACTTCAACTTTCATCCATATAGTAGCATGTGTCAGAATTTATTTCCTTTTTGAGACTGAATGATATTCTATTGGCCAGGCGAGGTGGCTCATGCCTGTAATTCCAGCACTTTGAGAGGCCGAGGCAGATAGATCACCTGAGGTCAGGAGATCGAGACCAGCCTGACTACCATGGAGAAACCCCATCTCTACCAAAAATACAAAAAATCTGCCGGGTGTGGTGGCGCATGCCTGTAATCCCAGCTACTGTGGGGGCTGAGGCTGGAGAATCACTTGAAGCCAGGAGGCGGAGGTTGCCGTGAGCTGAGATCGTGCCATTTCACTCCAACCTGTGCCACAAGAGTGAAACTCCGTCTAAAAAAAAAAAGAGAGAGAGAGAGAGAAAGAGAGAGAGAGATCAAGACCATCCTGGCCAACACAGTGAAACTCCATCTCTACTAAAAATACAAAAAAAATGGCTGAGCGTAGTGACGTGCATCTGTAGTCCCAGCTACTCAGGAGGGTGAAGCAAGAGAATCACTTGAACCCAGGAAAAGGAGGTTGCAGTTTAGCCGAGATGGCGCCACTGCACTCAAACCTGGTGACAGAGCGAGAACCTGTCTCAAAAAAAAAAAAATTTTCCGTTGAATGTGTATAGCACATTTTGTTGATCCATTCATCTGTCGATGGACACTTGGGTTGCTTCCACCTTTTGGCTATTGTGAATAATGCTGCTATGAACATTGATATGGTTTGGATCTGTGTCCCCACCCAAATCTCATGTTGAATTGTAATCCTCAATGTTGGAAGAGAGACCTGGTGGGAGGGGATTGGATCATGGGATGGGTCCTTCAGGAATGGTTTGGCACCATTCCTTTGGTGCTGTTCTTGTAATAGAGTTCTCATAAGATCTGGTTCTTTAAAAGTATGTGGCACCTCCCCCGTCTCTCTCTTGGTCTTGCTCCCACTTTGCCCTCCACCATGGGTAATAGCTCTCTGAGGCCTCCCCAGAAGCAGACGCTGCCATGCTTCCTGTACATCCTGCAGAACTGTGAGCCAATTAAACCTCCTTTCTTTATAAATTACACAGTCTCAGGTATTTCTTTATAGCAATGAGAGAACAAACTAATACAAACATGAATGTTCGAGTGTTTGAGTTTTTATTTTCAATTCTTTTGGGTATATACCCAGAAGTAGAATTGCTGGGTCATATGGTAACTTTATTTTTTATTTATTTATTTTTTAAGAGACAGGGTCTTGGCCAGGCGTGGTGGCTTATGCCTGTAATCCCAGCATTTTGGGAGGCCAAGCGGGTGGATCACTTGAGGTCAAGAGGTCAAGACCAGTCTGGCCAACATGGTGAAACCCCATCTCTACTAAAAATACAAAAAATCAATCGGGCATGGTGGTGGGCGCCTGTAATCTCAGCTACTCAGAAGGCTGAGGCAGGAGAATCTCTTGAACCCGGGAGGTGGAGGTTGCAATGAGCAGAGATCATGCCATTGCACTCCAACCTAGGCAACAAGAGTGAAACTCTGTCTCACAAAAAAAAAAAAAAAAAAAAAAAAGAGAGACAGGGTTTTGCTCTGTCACCCAGGCTGGAGTGCAGTGTTGCAATCATGGCTCACTTCACCCTTGATCTGCTGGGATCAAGCAATCCTCCTGCCTCAGCCTCCTGACTAGCTGGGACTACAGGTACAAGCCATCATGCCCAGCTAATTGTTTTTTATTTTTGTATAGATGAGGTCTCACAATGTTGCCCAGGCTGGTCTCGAACTCCTGGTCTTAAGCAATCCTCCACCTCAGCCTTCCAAAGTATTGAGATTACAGGCGTGAGCCACCACGCCCAGCCCTATTTTTAATTTTTTGAGGACCTGCCTACCACACTGTTTTCCATAGTGGCTATACCATTTTTCATTCCCACCAGCAGAGCACACGTGTAAATGTATACCTTTTAATGGAGCTTCCATGGATGTATCCGATGTACTGTGCTCCTTGAAGAAAAGGTCTGTTGACATTCAACTTTATATCCTGAACAACACTTACTATAATTGATGCCTAGAAAATATTTGTTAAATAAATGAATAACTAAGGTATCAGAAATCACTATCTTGAAACAAAGAAATCTGCTTTTATTTGAAACATACTAAAAACTTCAGAGAAGACCAAATAGCTGCTGAACAGTGTGCCTAGAGAGATTTTTTTTAAGCTGGTACATAAATCCAGAGTTTCATTTCTTAAAAACAAGTGGTCCCACAGTATATTTCTTTTCATCTCACCAGCTTCTTGTCAACACTAGGTTCATCTCCTGGTCCTGTTTCTTTTCTAGGCTTACAATAAAAGTGATTTAAAGTAAAAGTTTCTTTAAGAATTATGCTACAATATGTTGATCTGAAAATAAATTTTCTAAAATTATTTTTTTTTACCCATAAGGGGGCCATCAAAGATTCCTGGTGATATTATTTCCTAAGAACTTATGCACAGGTTATAAACTTCCTTCTGTCAGAGCAACTGGATAACACTTTTGATTATCTCTTCCTCCCTGAATTTCTAGGACAGATATAAATGCAGAAAGAAAATTGACTCAAAAGGCCTTTTAATTCATTATTATAATTAATAACTTTGTGTTACAGAGAAAAGTATCAATTCAAGTACATATAAAATAAAATTTTAAAATTTTATTTTTTAGGAACAGGCTTATGAGATATTTTCCTTATAACGTTCTTCCTACTGTGTTACCACTAATTACCATAACAAGGTAGAAAAAAGAGAGAAGGTGAAATAAATAAGTAAATGATGCTTCACAAAACCATGACATAGGTAGGTAGGCAAAATATTTGATATTTGTATAAACTTTAATTTTATAACCTTTGGGAGTTTTGTTCTCTGTGAATATTCAAGGCTGGAAAAATCACATCTTAAATAGTTCCCCAGCCCAAGACCCTACTTCCTCTTGATCTTCACACCTCCCCCATAAGTCCCCATAGCTACATTTCCTACCCCATGGCCTAACCCTCCGAGCCTTAGCTCACTGGACCAGGAATGGGCACTTCACCAGGACTAACCCAATCCATCTTTCGGAGACTCGCCCTTGCACCTGAAACACACTGATTTGTTTACTGACTGCTTGAGTTAAGGATGTATAATCCCAGACCTCTGGGATAGTCATGTTTAGCCAACTGCCCAGGAAGAAGCAGAGAAAGCCACTTGTAAACAGAACACTTACAGAAAGAAGAAACTTCCATGCCTGGAGGGGAGTAGGAGTGTGGTGGTGGGGGATGGGCAGACAGCTGGACAGCTCCCAGTTCTGAAGGCTTTCCAATTTCTGCTTCCCATGATGCCTGGGAGTCATTCAAGTACCCAACACTCTTGACTTGGCCACCACAACCTGGTTCCTGGCAGATTACTTAATTTTGAGTCAGATATTGCCTGAAATAGGAGAGAGGGAAGAGTTAAGCTGGAGGATGCAGCCAGGTGGGCACTCAGGGAGGTCTTGGGCAGTCTGGGTGGCAAGAACTGGGAGGAGTGAGGCAGAGGCACGGAGGAGGGAGCTGAAGGTTTGAGGAGAGGGTGGCACATTTCTTGTGCACATGTCGAGGCTGGGGAGCCTGCATCATGACCAGGGGAGATCTAAGTTCAAGAGAGATCTGAACTAGAAAGAAAAAGACATAGGCGTTATTAACGTCTTGGTGGTATTAGCAGTCATGACAGTGAATGAGATCACACAGGGAGAGTGTGAGAGCTGAGAAAAATGAGAGTCCATGACAAAGCACTAATAATTAAGGGACAGATAAAGAAAAAAGGAAGCAAAGAGGAGTCTTTAGGTTGGCAGAAAGACAAGGACTAGGAAAGCACAATAGCATGGAAACCAAGAGTGTTTTACAGAAAAAAGAGAGATCAAGAGTTGAACTGAGTTATGGTCTAAGGTGTCCACTGGATTTATTTATTTATTATTTATTTTGAGATGGAGTCTCGCTCTGTCACCCAGCCTGGAGTGCAATGGCACGATCTCGGCTCACTGCAACCTCTGCCTCCCGGGTTCAGTGATTCTCATGCCTCAGCCTCCCGAGCAGCTGGGATTACAGGTGCCTGCCACCACACCTGGCTAATTTTTGTATTTTCCTAGAGATGGGTTTTCATCATGTTGGCCAGGCTAGTCTTGAACTCCTAACCTCAGGTGATCCGCCCACCTTGGCCTCCCAAAGTGCTGGGATTACAGGTGTGAACCACCACTCCCTGCCTGTCCACTGGATTTAATGATGTGGTGAGATTGGAGGCCCAGTGAGAACCCCAGGGGTGTGGCAGAAGCTTGATGGCACCGACAAAGGAATGAATGGTAGGGAGGACCACAGACAGGCGTAGGCAGCCCTTTAGAGGAATTTGGCTAGAAAGCAGAGGAGAGAAAGAGGGAGGAGCTGGAAGGCAATGTGGAGTTAGGTACTTTTGGGGGATCTGAGAGAGAGCTAAGAATGTTTAAATGGCTCACAGGAAGGAGTCTGTAGCAGGAGAGATGGAGGGGGATAAAAGTCCCCCATGAGTGAATCCCTGGGGAAGTAGAGGGGATGGGGTCTATGGCCTGGGTGATGCTGCCCTTGGCAGCAATACCTATGAGAGAGAGGAAAAGGAAGCAGGAGGGGGAGACTGAGCTTCAATGCAGACCCAGTGACAGCCTCAGCCAACCCCATGTGGAGCTTTAGAACTATAATGACCTTTCCAAGTTGTCCTGAGTTAAGCCAAGACGGCTGGGCCTTTATTTTTATTTTATTTTATTGTTTCTTTAAGACAGGGTCTCACTCTGTCACCCAGGCTGTAGTGCAGTGACATGATCTTGGCTCACTGCAACCTCTGCCTCCGGGGTTCAAGCAATTCTCCTGCCTCAGCCTCCTGAGCAGCTGGAACTATAGGTGCACACTATCACACCAGGGTAAATTTTGTATTTTTTGGTAGAGACAGGGTTTCACTGTGTTGGCCAGGCTGGTCTCGAACTCCTGGCCTCAAGAAATCTGCCCAGCTCGGCCTCCCAAAGTGCTGGGATTACAGGTGTGAGCCACTGCACCCGCTGTCTGGGCCTTTAAACTCTTGCGTCCGTCGGTGAGAGGACATGGGCTGCCCAGACAGGGAAGAGCATGACCTTGGACAAGGTGGCTCTCTGATGCTAAGGCAATCTCTAAAGAGGCTTGGGAGCTGAACACTGCCTCCAGACAGTGCAATATACACCCAGGACAATGAGTCCTTCACTGAAGCAGGTCCAGATGGCACAACATGGAGCCTGCCACATTCCTATCCTCTACCAAGATAATGACATTTAAGCTTTTTGGCCCTGTGTTCAATTCCCTCCACCATCTGGCCTCTGCCCATCACACCAGCCTTCTCTCCCACCTTATAAGAAAGCCTCACTCCTCACTGTTTGTCCCTCTGTGCCTTCTCATCCCTCTGTCTTAAATGATCCTGGTCTTATCCTATTCCTGCTTCAAAATCCATCTCAGAGGCAGCTGTTTCTGGAAACCCTTCGCTGAATCTCCCAGAGAATAGTGACTCTCTCCCTTGTCTCTCCTACCTTGTATACATTTAAATTTTTGTGCTTAAGTAGCCTATGTTGTCAGTTGTCTCTTCCCAGCCAGGCTGTGAGCTCTGATTACAGGAACATTCTGTGAATGTTGATGCTTCCAGCCCTATGTGCTCGGAACTGGGCTACCATTGGTTAAATGAATATGTGAATAAATTAATGAATAGATGAATGAATGAAAGAGTGGGCAGAGCTGAGGCTCAGTGGGCTGACTAGTCTGGAGGCTGGTCTCAAGGAGGGATGGCAGCTGGCTGAAAAATAATGTCCAATGGGCATGTGAGCCCCAGTCCAACCCATCTTGCATTGATAGCCAAGGGGTCCTCTCTGGTAAGTGGGAGCAATAGGATTTCTGGGAAGCAGTGATTCATAAGAAGAGGAAACATTTTCCTTCTTTATTTCTTTCTTTCTTTCTTTCTTTCTTTCTTTCTTTCTTTCTCCTTCCCACCCGCCTTCCCTTCCTTCCTTTCTCTTTCTTTCTTTCTTCCTTTCTTTCTCTCTCTTTCCTTCCTTCCTTTTCTCTCTCTCTCTCTTTCCTTTCTTTCTCTCTCTCTCTTTCCTTTTTTTTTCCTTTCTCTCTCTCTTGCTCTCTTTCTTTTTTTTCTTTCAACAGGATCTCACTCTGTTGTCCAGGCTGGAATGCAGTGGTGCAATCATGGTTCACTGCAGCCTCCACCTCTCAAGTTTCAGTGGTCTCCCACCTCAGCCTACAGAGTACCTGGGACTACAGGCACATGCCCACACACCCAGCTGACATTTGTATTTTTAGTAGAGACAGGATTTCACCATGTTGCCCAGGCTGGTCACAAACTCCTGGGCTCAAGAGATCTATCTGGGTCGGCCTCCCAAAGTGCTGGGATTACAGGTATGCCATGGCACCTGGCTGCATTTTCAAAGAAGGAAGAGAAAGGGGGTAAGAGAGGAATGGAAAAATATTCTATCTTAGTGGAAATGAGACTTCAGCTGTTGGCCATGAGTACAAGGATAGGTTACAGCTGCACAGGGCCCTGGAGTAGTCCACAGATAGCAGAGTGTAGGGCCCTTGTCAGAGTCCTGGGCAAAAGGCATCATCTGGTACTAGAACGGTTGGAGAGGGGAAGTGACGGCAGAAGAACAGGCAGGTCCAGGGCTCCCCGAGGCCCACTGCATGCTGAGCTCAAGGAGAAGACACATCTTAGATTCAGCAGGTCCTGTGGATTCTGGGGCTAGGTCCTTCTGAGCCTACTTGGGGTAGGGTTTCATGACTCGGGATGGCAGTTTCTTCCTTCTCCCCTTTGCTCCACAAATACTTCTCTTCAATCATTTTCTCATTTAATCCTCACAGCAGTCCATTAATATCAGTATGTATCTTTTCTTCAGTAAACACTGATGTAGAACTGCCCTTACTCCAGGCACTGTTCTTAACCCCTCACAAATATTAATGCATTTGATCTTGGTAACAGCCCCTGAAGTTGATGGGTATTTTTATCCTATGCTACAGTTGAGAAAATGGAGGCACAGAGTATGAGGTTGCATAGCTAATAAGTGCACAATTATTCACTTTTTACATGACACAGAGTTTATTCTTTTGTTCACCAAGTGGTTATTGATTGCTTGCATGGGACAAGACCCTACACTAGGCAATAAGGCACAGTATCAATTAAAACAGGAAACCCAGCCCTTGAGATGCTCACAGTGTCCAGTTCCGAGTTCCATTGCTGAGGCTTGGGGATTGCAAGTGTTCTCCATGGATTTTTCCTGCTAATCTGTCTAGAAAATCTTTTTTTTTTTTTAGGCGAAGTCTTGCTCTGCCACCCAGGCTGGAGTGCAATGGCGCAATCTCTGCTCACTACAACCTCTGCCTCCCGGGTTCAAGTGATTCTTCTGCCTCAGCCTCCCGAGTAGCTGGGATTACAGGCTCACACCACCATGCCCAGTTAATTTTTTTGTATTTTTAGTAGAGACAGGGTTTCACCATGTTGGCCAGGCTGATCTTGAACTCCTGACCTCAGGCAATCCTCCCGCTTTGGGCTCCCAAAGTGCTGGGATTACAGGCGTGAGCCATCGTGCCTGGCCTGTCTAGAAATTCTTTATCATTAGAATGCCCCCTGAAGGGTGGAGATGTCATCATTGAGCCCTTGCATCTGCTCATAGGCCAAGTACTTGGCTTGTCTCTACCCAACTAGTTCTAGGAGGAAGAAAGCAGAGCCCTTTCCTAGAGGGGAATGGATATTCAGTTTCCAGAACTACCTTCCTGCCTTTGGCCGTGCTGTCTCCTCCATGTGGAATGTGTCTCCAGTCATTCAAACTCGCCACCAACTTTGACAATAGTGGCTCCCAAGACAGTGCTTTGTCCCCAGTTGCAGGATGACAACACACCTAATGGATGCTTACTAGGGACATTATCTCATTTAATCCTCATGACAGTCCTATGAGGAAGATATTATCGGCTCTATATTATAGATTATTTTTAAAAAGATCAGCAAAATGAAGAACTTGCCCAAGGTCACCCAGCCAGAGAGTAGCAGAGCTGGGATTTGAACCCCTGTCTGTCTGACTTTAAAGTCCAAGCCGTTTTTTTCCTCCCATTCTCTTTATTTTATTGCATTAGAAGTTTATTTCCTTAGCATATACAGAATATAAAGCCTATCTTCACAATGAATTATGCCTCTCTGCTCTTGTTTTTTCACACAAAAATTAATGGCCACTTCCTGAAAAAAACTGAAATAAATCCACAGATCCGTACCATTAACCAGTGCACCACACTGCTGCTACCTGAGCTTTTGTTTCTGGAATCCTTGGCTATTTAACGTATATCTCACAATTATGCAGTTGCTTATACTCTTTTGTTGTTGCATGTGTGAATTTCTGGTTTGCTCAGCTTGATTTTATCCCCCGTGATGCACACAGTAAATGCATAATAAATGTTTGTTGAATGAATGGATTTTTCATGTATCTTGCTGAAATATACACAGCTCTGTTTGATTCACTAGAGTGGCATACCCGAATAAGAAATAATTTTTCTTAATGTGTCCCTTATAAATTGAACCCAACCGTATTTGATTAATTTCACATCACGCATTTTTATTGCACCAATCACTCTGGTATCAGGTCATATTTATTTTTAAAACAGATTCACAAAGGGCGCAGGGCTGGAGTGACAGTGTAAATATGTTAATAATAAAAATAATACTGAAGATATTTTACTGGAAACTCTCGCATGCTAATGATGAGTAAGTGCATTCTACGGAAATATGTTTGATTTACAACGCAATTAATTTAAAAAAGGTTCAGATCCTATACCATATCTTGTATACTTAGATAATGAAAACTAAAAATGAATATTCAGGACATGAAATCAGAGGAACAAAAATCACCTTAAAGACCTTTAGCATTTTTGTTAGAACAATAGCCCAATCACTGAAAATGGTGCCACTGTCGGTTCAAACGCATCCACATTAGGAGCATCCTCCTGGGTAGCTGCGGTGATTTCGTACTGTGAAGTGCACATGTGTACTCCATACAGCCCTCACAATGAAAAACACTACATATTATCCAGTGACTGAAGAGGCCTGGCACCTTCAATCATGCAACGAAAGGCTTTGGGGGTTTTCTGTTCAGGAGAAAACAAAGTCTTTCATGTCAACTCACATTGCGGGATGTGTGAGCATTTCCATAGATATTCGGCCCTGTCTTAGGACCCAGCTAAAAAAGGAAATGCATTCTCATACCCTATTCAAATTGCAAGAAATAAAAAATGTGCTTCATTTGCTTCATTTGGTATTTCATCACTCAATTCAGATGTTCTAAGAAAGCGTGCATTCTTATGCACACTTTGGGGAAAGATGCCCATTTTTGTAACAGGATTTATAAAGTTGACTCTGCCCGCTTTGTATCCAAGAGGGGAGGCAGCAGATGCTGCCGAGAAATCTTGCACCGTGGGGAACTTCACGTCAGTGCAAAATGGTTGCGATTTTCCCTCATTTATTGAGGACAGATCTGCTTTGATGTAGCAAGCACCAGACTTTCAGCTAGAACTATTTGGCTTATTCAACAAATCTTATGTATGACTTTGATAAAAAAATAAAATTTTAATTATAAAAAAGGAAGATGCAGGCTTGAATATTAATCATAAAAAAAGAGATGTATTTTCGTGGTTCTCTGGCAGTATTGTTCATCTTAAAGAAATATTGTAGAATGAATTATCATCATTTTTGCAAAAAGCAAAGCAACAATATACACATACACAAATAGAAAAAGACTAAACTGGGCATTTAATAAAAACCTCACAGCTTAGCAGGCAAATTATATCCTCTAAGGACCAGAATCAGAGAGAAGAAAGTAATAGAAAATAAAACATAAGAGCTTTGTGTTACAAGTTTTGTAGTATTATTTTACCTTTAATCTCTGTACACCATTACTCAGAGAAAAAGAAAAATTCAATGTAGAAATAAAATAATAATCTACATCAAATGAGAAAAATTAAAACATAATAAAATATAGCATAGGAAAACTTGTTGATAATGTCTAAATGTTTTGTGGTTGAACATCAACCTTTTCTACTTAGAAAGCATCCTACTCTCTGAGTATTCTTTTTTTTTTTTGAGGGAATCTTGCTCTGTCGCCCAGGCTGGAGTGCAGTAGCACGATCTTGGCTCAGTGCAACCTCCGCCTCCTGGGTTCAAGAGATTCTTCTGCCTCAGCCTCCTGAGTAGCTGGGATTACAGGTGCCCACCACCATGCCTGGCTAATTTTTGTATTTTAGTAGAGAAGGGGTTTCACTATGTAGGTCAAGCTGTTCTCAAACCCCTGACCTCAAATGATCCACCTGTCTCGGCCTCCCAAAGTGCTGGGATTACAGGCGTGAGCCACCATGCCCAGACTTTTTTTTTTTTTTGAGACAGGGTCTCACTCTGTTGCCTACGCTGGAGAGCAGTGGCACAATCTCGGCCCACTGCAACCTCCGCCTCCTGGGTATTCAAGTGATTCTCCTGCCTCAGCCTCCCAAGTAGCTGGGATTACAGGCATGCACCACCATGCCTGGCTAATTTTTGTATTTTTAGTAGAGAGACAGGGTTTCACCATGTTGGCCAGGCTGGTCTCAAATTCCTGACCTCAGGTGATCTCTGAGTATTTTTTAAAATACCCTAAAAGTGGGAGGGGCAAGGTGAATATTTCCACTCAGGAAAGTTGGTATTTCCAGGGAATGTTTAATATATGCAGTGATTAGCACAACTTTTTGCTGTTTAACCTTCTTACTCACCAGTGTGTTTTCAAGGTCTTCTTATGGGACAGACAGGGCATCTTGATTAAAAGTCAGAGCTTTGGTCAGACCTGAGTTTACATGTCCACTCTGCAAGTGATCTTCAATAATATCCTTAACTTCTCTTTTTTTTTTTTTTTTTTTGAGATGGAGTCTTGTTCTATCACCCAGGCTGGAGTGCAATGGCATGATTTCAGCTCACCGCAACTTCCTCCTCCCAGGTTGAAGTGATTCTCCTGCCTCAGCCTCCTGAGTAGCTGGGATTACAGGTGTGCACCACCATGCCCGGCTAATTTTGTATTTTTAGTAGAGACAGGGTTTTGCTATGTCTGTCAGGCTGGTCTCGAACTCTTGACTTCAGGTGATCCACCTGCCTTGGCCTCCCAAAGTGCTGGTATTACAGGCGTGAGCCACTGTGACTGGCCTAAAAATACCCTTCACTTCCCTAAGCCTCAGTTCTTCATCTCTGAAGTGGGTGCCATGACAGTAACTGTTTCTTAGTGTTAGCATTAAAAGAGGTGGCGTGTGCAAAACATGTGTTCCATAAACATAAGGGAGAAATTCTAAGTCGGGTAGTAAAGTTCTTTTCTGATTTTATGGCACATTGTATGCAGCAAATCCAAACCACACCTTTTCCTTGGTGGTTGTGAAGGGTCTGTTGTTGTTGTTTGAGAGAGTCTCACTCCGTCGCCCAGGCTGGAGTCCAATGGTGCGATCTCTGCTCACTGCAACCACTGCCGCCTGGGTTCAAGTGATTCTCGTGCCTCAGTCTTCTGAGTGGCTGGGATTACAGGGGCCTGCCACCACGCCCAGCTTATTTTGGTATTTTTAGTAGAGACAGGGTTTCACCATGTTTGCCAGGCTGGTCTCAAACTCGCGACCTCAAGTGATCTGCTCACCTTGGCTTCCCAAAGTGCTGGGATTACAGGTGTGAGCCACCACGCCTGGCCGTGAAGTTCTAATTCTTTATTTCCCTCTCCCTTCCAGAATGTCCTCTGCAGGCATTGTTTCCTTTGTCCTCTAAGCAGCATGCTCCTTCCATGCGGACTTCTGGCTCCTGAAAGGTAATTTGCAATGGACAGCATGACTATTGTTTTACCCAGAATTGATAACATGGAAAAATGAACATTAAACGAGTTAGGGCTTTTTTAGTTTTCAATGACCTTGCCCGTTAAGAGAATCAACTGGCTTTTTCCCAATGCGGGTCAAAAAATTAAACGGAATTGTTCCTGGGTTGTCACAGCTGAATTGTCTGGTTCTCCCACTCTCATCCCCACCAGGGAGAAGGAGAAGAACAGGCTATTATGAGGATCAGTCCACGGCAGGATTTTTTATGTGTGACTTTGGAGGGCAGGGGGGAAGCCACAAGAGTAAGTCCAACATGGGAAGCTGTCATTCGAAGGAGCTTGTCAGAAGGCAGGAGGAAAACACGGAGAAGAGCCTATAGCAGGAAAAGACCAGTCTGCCTCAAGTGCCTAAAAGAGTGGGGCCACAGGATCCAAACCGACAGCACATCAGAGATTGGAAAATAGGTTAAACTATTATAGAACAGAGTTGTGGTTAAGATCCCACCCTCAAAGGGTTCAAACCCAGCTGGGCCCTTCCCATTTGCGAATTTGGGCAGATTGCTGCTCTACTGCAAAGTTCAGTTTTCTCATCTGTGAAATGGGACTACCATAAAATTAGAATATTTATGTCTTAGGGCGATTTTAAAATTATTTAATTTTTGTTTATTTATTTATTTCTGAGACAGGGTCTTGCTCTGTCACCCAGGCTGGAGTACAGTGGTGTAATCATGGTTGCAACCCCGACCTCCCAGGCCCAAGCAATCCTCCTACCTTAGTCTCTCAAGTAGCTAGGACCACACGCGCGTGCCACCATGCCCAGCTAGGTTGTGTGTGTGTGTGTGTATAAAGACTATCTCCCTATGTTGCCTATGCTGGTAGGGTAGTTTTAAAGACATCATACTTACAAAGTACTTCACTAAGGTCTTATAATTCTTCAAATAACTACATTTCTGCTCAAACACTACCAGTCAGTGAGCCACCCCCATCATCCCATCTACTTAAAATTGAATCTCAACCCAGCACTTCTTGTCCCTCTTCTCTGCTTTATTTTCTCCATAGCTAAATATCACTCTTATGCGATCTGAGGGATTACTTATAAATATTTTCAATATTGTCATTCTCCTTCCATTAGAATTTAAACTCCTTGAAGGGAGAATCTTTTGTCTGTTTTGTTCACTGATTCTATCCCTAGCATCTTGACACAGTGCCTGGGCAGGTGCTCAATAAATCGAGTTGTTGAGAAGCCGGGCGCGGTGGCTCACGCCTGTAATCCCAGTACTTTGTGGGGCTGAGGTGGGTGGATCACGAGGTCAGGAGATCGAGACCAACCTGGTGAACATGGTGAAATCCCGTCTCTACTAAAAATACAAAAAAAAAATTAGCCGGGCGTGGTGGTGGGTGCCTGTAGGCCCAGCTACTCAGGAGGCTGAGGCAGGAGAATGGCGTGAACCCGGGAGGCAGAGCTTGCAGTGAGCAGAGATCTTGCCACTGCACTCCAGCCTGGGCGACAGAGCGAGACTCCGTCTCAAAAAAAAAAAAAAAAAAAAAAAAAAACAAAAAAAAACCGAGTTGTTGAATAAATAAACAATGGCCAACATTATCATCACCATTCCGGGTCAGAAATGCTTGACAACCCCTTGGGACAGGAAAGTAGGGGAAGGTAAATATTTTAAAAATTGGGGTAGCGGCTGGGCACAGTGGTTCACGCCTGTAATCCCAGAACTTTGGGAGGCCGAGGAGGGTGGATCACCTGAGATCAGGAGTTTGAGACTAGCCTGGCCAACATGGTGAAACCCCGTCTCTACTAAAACCACAAAAATTAGCCGGGCGTGGTGGCTCGTGCCTGTAGTTCCAGCTACTTGGGAGGCTGAGGCAGAGAATCGCTTGAACCCAGGAAGTGGAAGTTGCAGTAAGCCCAGATCACACCACTGTGCTCTAGCCTGGATGACAGAGCGAGACCCTGTCTCAAAAATAAATAAATAAATAAAAATAAAATATAATAAAATGGGGATGGGTGAGGCTTGACCGTCTCAAAAAAAATTGGGGTAGCTAATTGTAAATTTTTATCGGGTCCTGAATGAAGCTTCCATATCTTGTCCTTCACATCACCCATGAAGAGCATCCTGAGAGACGTCTTTAGGGCAACGGATGAAGAGGAAGGAGCAAAGCCATGACCAGCTGAGACCCAACCAAAAGAAGGGAACAGGCTATACTGCTGGCCCTGGGAAGGGGAGCTCAGGGCTCAAAGTCTGGGGTCTTGGTCAGTGGGGGGTACATTTGTTACAATTAATGTTTCTGTGACTGATAGGGAGCAATGGATTTTCATTTTAAATATTTGTTTATTTTCTTATCTATTTTTCTGATTATACAAACAATATTGATTATGTTCTCTTTGAAATATTTTTTATTTTTTATTATATTTTAAAATTTCATTATTATTATTATTATTTTTGAGACAGAGTCTTGCTCTGTCACCCAGGCTGGAGTTCAAACAATTCTCACTGCTTCCTGGGTTCAAGCAAGTCTCCTGCCTCAGCCTCCTGAGTAGCTGGGACTACAGGCGCGTGCCACCAGGCCCAGCTAATTTTTTGTGTTTTTAGTAGAGATGGGGTTTTACCATGCTGGCCAGGCTGATGTCAAACTTCTGACCTCGTGATCTGCCCGCCTCGGCCTCCCAAAGCGCTGGGATTACAGGCTTGAGCCATCATGCCTGGCCAATTTCATTATTTTTTTTTTCTCAAGACAGAGTCTCACTCTGTCACCCAGACTGGAATGCAGTGGCATGATCTTGACTCACTGCAACCTCTACCTCCCGGGTTCAAGCGATTCTCATGCCTCAGCCTCCTGAGCAGCTGAGAGTACAGACGCCTGCCACCACACCTGGCTAATTATTGTATTTTTATTAGAGATGGGGTTTCACCATGTTGGCTAGGATGGTCTCGAACTCCTGGCCTGAAGCAATCTTCCCGCCTCAGCCTCCCAAAGTGCTGGGATTACAGGCATGAGCCACCACACCCAGCCTGAAATATTTTTCAAAAAATATTTCATAGCCAGGCACTTTGGCTCATGCCTGTAAACCCAAAACTTTAGGAGGCTGAGGCAAGAGGATCACTTGAGTCCAGGAATTGGAGACCAGCTTGGGCAACATAGTAAGACCCCCATCTCTACAAAAAAATTAGCCAGGCTTGCCTGCGGACATTCACAAACAACTCCAGAGATTAACCCCAGGGAGGAACTGCAGGTATACAGGAACACTCAAGGAGGACTTCAGCTTTATATTTATGTTGTTTGTTTGTAGTTATTTTTTGAGACAGAATCTTGCTCTGTTGCCCGGGCTGGAGTGCAGTGGTGCCATCACAGCTCACTGCAACCTCAATCTTTCAGGCCTAAGCGATTCTCCTACCTCAGGCTCCTAAGTAGCTGGGACAACAGGTGTGCACCACTATACCCAGCTAATTTTAAAATTATTCTGTAGAGACATGGTCTCACTATGTTGCCCAGGCAGGTCTAGAACTCCTGGACTCAAGTGATCTTCCCACCTCGGCTGGCTTCCCAAAGTGTTAGGATTACAGATGTGAGCCACTGCGCCTGGTGCTTTGTTTG